>NC_000017.11:53185980-53810980 GCF_000001405.40 Homo sapiens | reverse complement strand
CATTCAAAGAGTATAAAATACTTAGGAATCCAACTTACAAGGGATGTGAAGGACCTCTTCAAAGAGAACTACAAACCACTGCTCAAGGAAATAAAAGAGGATACAAACAAATGGAAGAACATTCCATGGCTCATGGGTAGGAAGAATCAATATCATGAAAATGGCCATACTGCCCAAGGTAATTTATAGATTCAATGCCATCCCCATCAAGCTACCAATGACTTTCTTCACAGAATTGGAAAAAACTACTTTAACGTTCATATGGAACCGAAAAAGAGTCCGCAGCGCCAAGTCAATCCTAAGCCAAAAGAACAAAGCTGGTGGCATCACGCTACCTGACTTCAAACTCAACTACAAGGCTACAGTAACCAAAACAGCATGGTACTGGTACCAAAACAGAGATATAGATCAATGGAACAGAACAGAGCCTTCAGAAATGACGCCACATATCTACAACTATCTGATCTTTGACAAACCTGAGAAAAACAAGCAATGGGGAAAGGATTCCCTATTTAATAAATGGTGCTGGGAAAACTGGCTAGCCATATGTAGAAAGCTGAAACTGGATCCCTTCCCTACACCTTATACAAAAATTAATTCAAGATGGATTAAAGACTTAAACGTTAGACCTAAAACCATAAAAACCCTAGAAGAAAACCTAGGCATTACCTTTCAGGACATAGGCATGGGCAAGGACTTCATGTCTAAAACACCAAAAGCAATGGCAACAAAAGCCAAAATTGACAAATGGGATCTAATTAAACTAAAGAGCTTCTGCACAGCAAAAGAAACTACCATCAGAGTGAACAGGTAACCTACAAAATGGGAGAAAATTTTCACAACCTACTCATCTGACAAAGGGCTAATATCCAGAATCTACAATGAACTCAAACAAATTTACAAGAAAAAAAACAAACAACCCCATCAAAAAGTGGGCAAAGGATATGAACAGACACTTCTCAAAAGAAGACATTTATGCAGCCAAAAGACCCATGGAAAAAATGCTCATCATCACTGGCCATCAGAGAAATGCAAATCAAAACCACAATGAGATACCATCTCACACCAGTTAGAATGGTGATCATCAAAAAGTCAGGAAACAACAGGTGCTGGAGAGGATGTGGAGAAATAGGAACACTTTTACACTGTTGGTGGGACTGTAAACTAGTTCAACCATTGTGGAAGTCAGTGTGGCGATTCCTCAGGGATCTAGAACTAGAAATACCATTTGACCCAGCCGTACCATTACTGGGTATATACCCAAAGGACTATAAATCATGCTGCTATAAAGACACATGCACACATATGTTTATTGTGGCACTATTCACAATAGCAAAGACTTGGAACCAACCCGAATGTCCAACAATGATAGACTGGATTAAGAAAATGTGGCACATATACACCATGGAATACTATGCAGCCATAAAAAATGATGAGTTCATGTCTTTGTAGGGACATGGATGAAATTGGAAACCATCATTCTCAGCAAAGTATCGCAAGGACAAAAAAACAAACACTGCGTGTTCTCACTCATAGATGGGAATTGAACAATGAGAACACATGGACACTGGAAGGGGAACATCACACTCTGGGGACTGTTGTGGGGTGGGGGAGGGGGGAGGGATAGCATTAGGAGATATACCTAATGCTAAATGACGAGTTAATGGGTGCAGCACACCAGCATGGCACATGTATACATATGTAACTAACCTGCACATTGTGCACATGTACCCTAAAACTTAAAGTATAATAATAATTTTTAAAAAAATTGTACATAAAAGTCATTTCCTGAACATAAGTCAAAAGTCTCAATAATAAAAGGTTTTTCTAAAAAAAAAAAAGAAATGCATATGTATATATATGTACATATATACACATACATTTTATAAACATTTGTATATATAAAGATATATATGCACATTTTTTTTAGATGGAGTCTCGCTCTGTTGCCCAGGCTGGGGTGCAGTGATATGATCTCAGCTCTCTGCCATCTCCACCTCCCGGGTTCAAGTGATTTCCCTGCCTCAGCCTCCTGAGTAGCTGGGATTACAGATGCATGCCACCACGGCCAGCTAATTTTGTATTTTTAGTAGAGACAAGGTTTTGCCATGTTGGCCAGGGTGGTCTTGAACTCCTGACCTCAGGTGATCTACCTGCCTCAGCCTCCCAAGGTGCTGGGATTACAAGCGTGAGCCACTGTGCCTGGCCTATAGACATATATTTTATATAGAATTGCATATATACCATATATACATATATAGTACACATACATATGTATACACATAATGTATCTATTTAATTCATAATATATCTATTAAAGTCTTAAAACAATTTTAAAACCCTTTGAGACATTAATATCTTCATTTAATTTTCAAATATTTAAAGAAATTTGAGGCTCAGAGACAATAATTCTTCACTGTTGCAATTTAAGCTTACAATCTTTTTTTGAACAAAAATATGGCTGGGATTTGAGCTTCATAGAATTTAAAACCCATGTGTTTTTTTACTACACCATACTGTTTCCAGTTTGTAGCCTAAATGTTGTTATGAAAGAAGCTTCTGGTATGAAAAGAAATAGAAGAAAATAGAATATAGTAAACCCTGAGAAGATAAAAAGATTAGAGCAGAATGATATTTTACTGGGACCTCATAACTGTTCAAAACTGTCTGCCTTTTTTTTTTTTTTTTTTTTTTTTGCGACGGAGTCTCGCTTTGTCCCCAGGCTGGAGTGCAGTGGAGGATCTTGGCTCACTGCAAGCTCCGCCTCTGGGTTCACGCCGTTCTCTTGCCTCAGCCTCCCGAGTAGCTGGGACTACAGGCGCCTGCCACCACGCCTGGCTAATTTTTTATATTTTTAGTAGAGACGGGGATTCACTGTGTTACCCAGGATGTTCTCCATCTCCTGACCTCATGATCCACCCGCCTTGGCCTCCCAAAGTGCTGGGATTACAGGCGTGAGCCACTGTGCCTGGCCCGGCAACTGGCATTTTTAATCTGCAGACAAGAAACATAATCTATACCTAGATTTGGGCTGTTTCACTTTATGTTACATAGTCCTGACATGGTATTTGATGTGGCAACATGCTTTGCTCCATCCATTTCATGTACACTGGATGGATGCTCGTGGTTTTCAGCCTTTCCTTGCTTGTAGCTAATGTGTTTTTATGTATACTCTCACAGAGTATACTAAAGTCTCTGAGCAAAACACTGCTAAAGAACTCATGCATAAGTACTAGAAGTGTGTTCTCCAACTGGGGAACTGTTTCACTCATCTGAAAGAAAATTAACCTTCTCAGAGTGCAGCCAGCTCTCATTCTGAAGTTTGAAGTGTGACTCCATGCGGAACCAAGGTTGCAGGAGCTCCTCTATTCTTGCCTGGATTTTGATTTTTCTCCCTTCCGAATTTGTAAACAAAACCTTCTCTCTAGGCTTGAAAATTCTTACAGTGAATCTCTGGCCAAAAGAAAATGATTCTTCCAAAATGTGGAGAAAAATTGGCCAGATTTGAGAGTGTTTTGGATTGAAAGTGACAACCGTGTGCCAATATCACAAAGAACGTACACATTGCCTCTGCTTACACTCGTTTGTGCATAAATTACAGCTAATGGGGCTACACTCAATGCTGTGCCGAAAAAGTAATGCACAGTCTCTGGCATTTTGTGTAAGAGACTAGTTGCTCACTTTGTGGTGGCTGTATTTTATACCTAAGAAGTTCTCTTCACGTTTTGCAATTTATCTACAATATTTTTCATGTCAAAACACACCACTATCTTGAAGCCATTCGATAGCATCACTAATAATAGTTCTTTGTTTCTTACAACAAAAGTTCAAGACACTATTTAATAAGATTTCATGAACTGGTTGATTCTATAGCAAGGTTTAAAGACAGAATGGTTTCACTTTTGACACTCAGTCTTTTCACTAATAAGAAAAAAAAAACATTAAAAGACATCAGGTAAAACATTAAAAGACATCTGAAAACAAATTTTATAAAACAAACAAAATGATTCTGTCATGTTTTTGTGTTATATTTGTATAGATTTCTTTAATTTACAAGCCCATTTACATGTATTAGCTCTTGTTTAATAATTTGAATTAATCAAAAACTTTTGAGTATTTGCTTTTTAGTAATCATTGAGCTAGGCATATGTAATCTTCAATATAATTGTGTGAGGCAGGCTGTATTATTTTTGGTTTTGAGAAGAGGAAAATGAAGCATAGAGAAATTAAATTATATGACCAAGGTTACATGCAGTTAATCATGTTAGAAACATTGCTCAAAGCTCTTTTATTTCCAAATCTAGTATCCCTTTTGTGACATTTTGCCTCTATTATGTAACAAGAGATAACTCACTTAGGAATTAATGTCAGTCTTATCTACACTCAAATTATTTAATAACACTGTAGAAAACAGTCTGTCCTGAGTAGATCTAAGAATTTCCCAAAATGAGCTATTTGAAAAATTTCCAAATTATTCCTAACTGCTATATATTGAGCAATAAAAGAAATTGCTTTCTTGTATTTTTCCCTTTTGTGTTTGTGTACCTGCTCACAAAAATCATCTCATACATAATGCAAGGTAATAAACTACATCTTGTAATGGCTACAAAGCTTTGCCCATGTGGAAATAGAACTGGAAATCCATTACTAGTGATGCACCCTTCAAATGCAATTCAAGTTTGACAAACATTAAACAATTTGGGCAGGTACTTGCAACCAATGTTTCCTCTGAGCACTTTTTAGGTGTCTCATCATCATGTTATTATTCTAAAACGCCAGGAAGAGTTAATAATTTCCTTCAGGTAAATCACTATGGGTTGAAATGCCACACAGGAGTAACCATTGCCCATTTTCTTCTGGGAAAGATTATATGAGCTCCCTATTCACAAGTTGTTTTCTTTTGAAAAGATAGTTCTCTTAAAATTTCATTTTCTCTCTGTGGCTTCTAAAATATGTTGCTATTTGATCATAATCTCAAATAAAATTGGTGTTTTCCTAATAGAATAAGCACATTCTCGTTCACTTATAAAAAAGTTAATATAATTGATTAGTGGCTCTGTTTCCTTTTCTATATGAAACAAAATAATTTCTAGTTCTCAATGGATTAAAATAAATTCCCTTTACCAAAAAAAGCATTTCACCCAGCTAAATAAATAATCCTGCTTACATAGACTGGTTTCATTCTCAAGAAGCATTCATTAGACGTGTCTAAATATACCTGTTTTTGAGGTATTTTCTTGCTTTTTTTAGAAGGGAAGAGGTTCTGAGACTCTCTTGTTTATTTCTTAGGAAAAAAAACTTTATAATTTACAATTTTTTTGTCTTTAAAATGCACAATGAAAGACATTCGTTTTTGGCACTGCATTGTTATCCCCTTGAGCTGAAAAAGTTTTGATCTTTATACAGGGCAGAAGTAGGGAGATTCAAGCAAAGAATTTAAGCACAATAAAATATGATCTTAGAAACATCCACCTCTTATCCACTTTACTTCGTTTGGTGAAAAGAAATTTTCTCTCTCTTTCAGGACTTTTTTTGTTATGTAAAAATTATCCAAGAGTAGAGAGAATAGAGTAATTTACTCAGTGCTCATCACTCAAAACTTATTTCATTTATACTCCTCCCTACTCCTGACTCTCCTCAGAATACTTTGAAGCACGTCTCTTTCCATTCTTAAATATTTCAGTATATATTTATATAAGATAGCAATTGTATTTGGAAACCATAACCATAATACCATTAACCTAGCAATTAGTACTTCCTAACATTATCAGAAAGGTAATTATTGTTCAAGTCTCCCTGATAGTTTGTAAAATGTCATTTTGCATTTGATTTGTTCAACTTATGATCCAGCCAAAGCCTACACATTACAGTTCTCTGAGATTTCTGTAAATATCTTTCAATCTGTATGTTACTCCTTCATCATTTTTTAAAATTTTTATTTATTTATTTTTTTTAACAATTTGTAGAAGAAAATTATTTATTGCTCTGTGGTATTCTTCGCATTCTAGATGTTGCCAGTTGCTTCCTTGTAACGTTTCTTGACGTCTTCCCCTACTTCTTTTATTTTCTATAAATTGATAGTTTGACAAAAAATAGTTTAGAATACTTCATAGGTTGGCTTGCACACTTCTTACTTGTTCACATCATGGGCACGTCATGACTCGTGTGTCTCTTTTTTTACATGATGTTGTAGATCATATTATTATTTAACAAAGAATCTCTTTTTCCATTGAATGCTTCCCTTTCCCCAGACTTCATGAGAGAAGTATAGCTCCCAACTACATGGGTATTGAACTTAGCAATTTGGCTTGCTGTGGCTTATAGAACGTGAATGTAGATGACATAGATCACATCGGTGCCAAGACTACAAATGCGTTTGCATTGTCTGGCTTAGCTTCTAGAATTCTTGCCTTCTGCCATGACAATCATGTGTTTCAAATAGTAACTGCTTCTTTTTTCTTGGGATACAGATTGTGAAGACAGAATAAGTCAACCTGAAAGCAAACCACAGTTTGGAACCAAGCCAAGCTTAGCATCAGTTGACCCACAGATCCAATTTTTTCATAATCAAGAAATAAATGTGTGTGTGTACATGCTATTGAGTTTTGAAATTACTTTTTGACCAACATCATTGCAGTAAAAGCTTAGTGATATAAATATTAATATTGATCAATGGAGTGGGGTGTTATCAGATTGCTCTGCCCTCTTTTAACTTAATAGTTTTGGCAACCATTGATGATTATTGCCTAGATCCTTTACCTCATTATGGGATGCAATGTGGTGATAGTCTAAGTCTATCATTTCTCACTCATATATTAATCCCAGAAGAGTACCTGAGAAGGAAACTTGGGTGTGGTTTTGTAAACCAAAAATAAAATTCTGAAGTCCCCCAACCATCTGAATGGAATTCCTCCTCAGCCAGGGCTGTTTTAAAATTTAACCCAAGAGATTGTTTCAGGCCATGATGAGAAGTGGGAGTAGAACATGCCTCATTATACCTCTCCAGTATTAACATCAACACAGACATGAAGTCTGATAAGAAACATCTTACAACCTATTGTCTCTAAGGCTACTACCTAAAGGCTTCATCTGCTAATAAGAACTTGGGTCTTCACAACCCTTTATCTTAACCTCGGCATCCCTTTCTATTAATCCCAGTCTTTAGATAAACTCAGCCAATTATCAACTAGAAAATTTTTCATCTACCTATAAGCTAGATGCCCCACCCCACCCTCAGTTCAAGTTGTCCTGCTTTTCTGGACCAAACTAATGCATTTCTTAAATGTGTTTGATTGAAGTCTCATGTCTCAATAAAATGTATAAAACCAAGCTGCACCCGGATCACTTTGGGCACATGTTCTCAGGACATCCTGAGGGCTGTGTCATAGGCCATGGTCACTCATATTTGGCTCAGGACAAATCTCTTTAATTATTTTACAGAGTTTGATTCTTGTCGTCGACAGTTTGTAAAGGAAAGTCAGAGTAATTTTTTAAAAAATATTATTTCACTTTATTTGCTAGTTCTAAGAATAATGAACTGGTTCTCTAGCATCCTCCAAAGATGACTAATGTGATTTAGTTTGAATTACTATGTACTCACGGATTTTCATTAGTATAAAAATGTCAAACACTGTTTTATGTATATCCACCAATTGCTGATATTAATCTTTTGATGCTTACATTGTCTACTCCTACTATTTCTGGTTAAAAATATTAATAAGTTTATTAAACATTAGAGCTAGAAACCTTTTTTTAATTTTTCTAGTGGAGCTGCTTTTCCTTTCTCTAAAACCTGGAAATTATTACTAAGGTTAGGGAGGCAGAGAAATTGCTCACAGTAAAATTCCTTGATAGACTGAGTCAAAGGCAGTGAATGCTGACTGTTAGGAAATCCCGAGTGGAGTGCAGTGTATTGGAAAATGGCTCAAAGATCTACCATCAAAGATTAAGGGCCCTTGCAACTATTGATAGGGTATTCCTGATATAAAGATGGTATCCTAATTAAGTGATCTTCAGTAAATGGCAAATAAAGGATTAACCGCCAGGAGCATTGGCCCCACTAATTCAGTATTTATAGCCATTCAAGTTATTAGCTTTTTAATTAACATGGAAAGATCTGAAAGTACATAATCGTCTTCCATTCTAATTATATTAACAGATTACACACACGAAAATTAAAATTTCGTTTTTCTAATATTCTCTTTAAGAATGTGCAAATAGAGTTGATGTTTTCTCAATAGATGTCTCTCAACTGTTATTATGTTTATAAACAGAATAGAAAAAATACAAGTTAATGGTATTCATTTAAGTATGTTGCATCCAATTGGGATTATAGAATTAAAACAGGCTTTACACAAGGGTATTAGAGATATACCACATCCACTTATTTAATTCTCTGTAATAATAATCTGCTCATTGAATTATTTAACACATTTTCTTATAAAGGGCTTTGTGCATGTACTAGGATTTGAATATGAACAGATTAGATTGTTACATTTATTTCCTTTAAGACAGAATCAGCTGAAGGAGTTATTTCAGAGTCTGTAGAATAGAAATTAAGTAAAGGAAAGCAAATGCAAATTTGAGAAAAGAGTAAGAATCTACTTCTGATTCCCTGATTACTTAATGATGTTGGCTTAGGAATTTTACTGAGTGAAGCTTCTAATCCTGAGATCTTTTAGTTCTTTTATTAAAACATCGAGCCAAATTCTTATTGTAAAGTTGTTTTTTTATACTTTATGTTAAGCCTAAGGATACATACTGTCCGTGCTTGTAATGTAATCTAAAAATACTCTGATATAATGATCCAAATATTGGATCAACTCCAAGGTGTAAGAAGTGGGGGCAGCTTTCTGTGTCAAAATAGTTTGTTGACCCAGGAGGATTTGGTCTGACACTTGTCTATTCTAAAGAGGTGATAGGAAGATGTATAAAGTGTCAATGTTGTTTTCCTGCCATATTCAGACCTTAAAGCATTTATTGCCCTTTATCTTTACCTGAGCTCTGATATATGAGGCCAGCATTTCCCAATAAGGGAAAGCAGCAGTCACATAATTAGAAAAAAATAGAATTTATGTTTAAAATTCAGAATCTTTGTTCTAACGAAAGACAAATGACTTCAGAGGAATCACTGTTGAGGTGGCAATCCCAACCTTCTCTTCAGCTCTCTCTACCATTTATAAGCTGAGATGCAGAAAATGAGATGGAGACAGAAGCCTTACAATCCTGTAAAGCCCCTTAAAGAGAGCCCTGTAACTCTCTTTCCTCATCCCAGTTGGTTATATGAGGTAGTAGTAGTTTTAATAGTTTTAATTTTCCATCTGTACATTAAAAAATCACTCCAAAAGTTTTGGAATCACAATCTTTCTTGTTACTTTTCATGATTTTATACATCGACTGTATTCATCTGAAGAGTTCTTATGTTATACATGATGTTGCGATTTGGACAGGAGCTTCAATTATCTGGGGGCTCAGCGTGGCTGAAATGTCCAAGTTGGTTCATTCCCATGACTGGAGCACTGATGAACAGTCAGAAGGCTGGGCTCAGTGAGGATAGGGTACTGGGATGACTAGACCTTCCTCCTCCCCCTTTCTCTCCATGTAGTCTCAGGGACTCTTCCTCTACACATTCGTTTCAGTAGATTAGCTGGACTTCTAACATGAAAAGTCAAGGCTTCCAAGAGGACAGAATGGAAGCTTGAAGTTCTTTTTAAGGCTTACACCCAAAACTGGCACAATGACATTTTGGCTACGTTTTAGGTACAGATTCAGCATTGACAGGAACATCTATAAAAGCATAAATGTGATGCACAGGGGTCAACTTTGAAGAGTATCTACCAGAAGAATAGAAACCTTCTTTCAGTTTGTTGATCTGAGAATAGAGAATACATTGTATACTTTTTCGTGGCTATCCTTGATGGTTGCAGTCCTCATACCATTTCCAGCAATCCCACAATCTGGTAATGTACAGTCTAGTTTCATGGGTTTACTCTGCAGATGGGCCTGACGGGACAGTTTGTGCTTGGCCTCAGAGGGATTTAGTGAACCAGGAGAGGCTTGTGGTCTCAGTGAAGAGATGATGGATGCCGCCCTTAATAGGGATTTATACACAGAAGTTCCTTGTGCCTTTGCGAGAATCTTAAAGATTATAAGGGCCTCTGAAAAACCTTGTGTTGCATCTCTATATAAGCAGATTGACTTATCACTGGTGTTGAGAACCTGATATTCTATAACTTGACCTATAAGATTCATTATAATTTCTAGGTAATACATTTTTTCTATTTCAGCTTAATTAATACTATTTTCTATTAAAAATCATTATTCAATCAAGTTCTGTTGGGAACTTACTATATAGTAGGGATTATTTTAGGAGACACAGCAGTGCAAGCAGTTTGCTAAAGTTCTGCTTTCCTTGAGCTTTGTAATTATGTAAGAGAGGAGACAGACAATACAAAACTTAGAATACGTGATGTATGACACATGATATTTTTTAAAAAAAGGAAAAGAGTTCTAGTATATGTGTGCTGGGGAGTGGAGGTGGGGCAATAGAGTGTGCCTTACTGAGACAGAGACAATATGAAATTAAATACCTGCAAATTTAAGAAAGAGCATTCCAACTAGAGGGAGTAACAAATGCAAAGACATGAAGGTGAAAGCATATCTGGCTTGTTTGTGGAATCAAAAGGATTGTAAGAAAGCCCTCAAAGCTGGACCAGGGTTAGCAAGGAGGAGAAAAATAAAAGATGATGAGTGAGAAGACATAAAGGAGAGTGTATAGTCAGAGGTTAAAGGGTGTAGCGACCATTTCCAACTCTGCAGGAAAATTATGCCATATAAAAACTATTTGAGTACCTATTTATTATTGATATATAATAGTTATACATAGGGTACATGTGATATTTTCATACATGTACCCAATGTACATGTACAATTACCAAATCAAGGTAATTGGGATAGCTAAAATATCATATATGTATTCATTCTTTGTGCTGGGAATATTCCAATTTTTCTCTTTTCTAGATATTTTGAAATGTACAATATATTATCATTAATTATAATCTCCCTACTGTACAATTGAATAATAGAACTTATTCCTCCTATTGAACTCTGCTTCATACCCACTAACCAAATTCTTTTCATTCCTCCCACTTCCCAGTCTCTGGTAACCACTACTGGACTCTCTACCTCCATGAGATCAACGTTTTTAGCTCCCACATATGAATGAGGACATATAAGATTCACCTTTCCATGCCTGGCTTATTTTGCTTAACATAATGACCATCCATGTTGCAACAAATAACAGGATTTTCTTCTTTTTTTATGGAGTTCACAGAAGGGTTCACAAAACTCAAGGAAACATTCACTTCCATTTGCTGGTTTACTATTAAGAATACAACTGAAGTACAGCCAGATGGAAGAGACCCACAGGGCAAAATATGGAGAAGGGGCATGGGGCTTCTATACCCTCTCTGGACAAGCCACCCACCCAGCACCTTCATATGTTCAGCAACCTGGACATTCTCCAAATCCTTTCAGTTAAGGTTTTTCTGCAGGCTTTATTACTTAGGCATGCTGGATGAAATTATTGGCCACTAGTGATTCACTCAATCTCCAGTACTCTTTCCTCTCCCCCTGTGGTTTGGAGGGTGAGGCTGAAAGTTTCAATCCTCTAACTATATGGTTGGTTTCCCGGGTAACTATCTCCTACCTTTAAGGGATTTCCAAAAGTCATCTCGTTCACGTAAACTCATGTGTGTTTGAAAGGGATTTTGTTAATGAACTACAGAAGATGCTCCTTTTACCTTTATCACTTAGGAAATTACAAGGGTTTTAGGAACTCTACCTGAGAACTGGCAACTAAGATCAGATATTTATTTCTTATTACATCACAATATCACATTGAAGCCAGTTTATAGTTGTTTTTCCTACTCAAGAAGCAACTTTGTTACAATTTTCATTCTTGCAGAGCCACAATGCTACATGATATATTTGTGGCATAAAAAGTAAGTGAGTTTGTTATCTTCAAGGTATTCACTCTAAAAGCAAAACAATCCAATAAGAAGCTGTAGTCACGCATCACTTAATGGCAGGCGTACATCACGAGAAACCTCCTTAGGCAATTTCATTGTTGTGTGAACATCAGAGTGTACTTACACAAACCTAGACGGTATGGCCTATCACACACTTAGAATAAATGACATAGCCTATTGCTCCTAGGTTTCAAATCTGTACAACATGTTACTGTTCTGAATATTGTAGGTAATTGGAACCCAAAGGTAAGTATGTGTGTATCTAAACAAATCCAAACATAGAAAAGGGACAGTAAAAGTATGGTATAAAAGATTAAAAAGTGGTACACCTGTAGAAGGCACTTACCAGGAATGGAGCTTGCAGGAATGGAAGATGCTCTAAGTGAATCAGTGAGTGAGTGGTGAGTGAATGTGAAGGCCTAGAACATTATTGAACACTACTGTAGAATTTATAAGCACAGTACACTTAGGCTACACTACATTTATAAAAACAATGTTTTCTTCAATAATAAATTAACCTTAGCTTATGATAACACTGTAACTTTTTACTTTATAAGCCTTTAAAAATCTTTTTAATTCTTTTGTAATAACATTTAGCATAAAACACATTGTACAGCTGTACAAAAACATTTTCTTTCTTTGTTTCCTTTAAATTATATGGGCTTTTTTTCTATTTTAATTTTTTTCTATTTAAATATTTGAAAAAACAAAAAAAACTAAGACACAAACACACACATTAGCCTAGGCCCACACAGGGCCAGGATCATCACCATAACATTGGCTTCCATGTCCTGTCCTTTTGGAAGGTCTTCAGGGGCAATAAGAGGTATGAATCTGTCATCTGCTGTGACAACAGTGCCTTCTCCTGAAGAAGCTGCCTGAGGCTGTTACATGGCTAACTTTATCTCTCTCTCGCTCTCTGATATCCATACTGTATATATATACACATATATGACATATATATATACATTCCATATATATGCACAGAGTGTGTGTTTATATATACTGTGTATATATATATATGACAGATATATACACTATTATATATATAAATATGTATATGTATACACACAGAGAGAGTACATTGTAAAATAACAACAAGAAGTAAAGTATAGTAAATACTAGGTAATATGCGTTTTTAACTCCATTATAATCTTGTGGGACCACCATTGTTTATGCAGTCTGTGGTTGAGTGAAACGTCTTTATGGGGCGCATGACTGTAATTGATTTTGTCATGTCATAAATTGCCATCAATTGCCCTCTTTGTTTTTCTGCTCTTCGGAGAGAAATTTTCTTTAAAGGGATTTCAAATAGCATTTGTAGGGTTTTTTTCTCCATCTTAAGTGCCTTCTAAATATTTCAGCAGTTATCACCTGCCAGGCCATAATAATTTGTCATCATAAAGAAGGAGGAAATTTTTTTGTGGGACATATATTTAAATGATTCTGCAGCATACAAAACCATCTAATACTGAATGCTTGCCTCTTCTTGCTTGTGTGATTTTTGCCTGGCTTATGATAAGCATGAGGAATATTCTATGAAATGCCTGTGTAGCCTTAAATTTTGGAATCAGTTTATTTATCTAGTGGTTACATTATCAAGTACACATATTTTGTTCTTTTTAAAATATATTTTATTGGAATATAATCTATTTACAGAAAAGTGCACACAAATTATGTGTATCGTTGGGTGAATATTCATAAAGTAGCCAGCACTCAGATCAACTGTGTAGCCAGCACTCAGATCAACTGTGTAGCCAGCACTCAGATCAAGAAACAGAACATTTATGAGCACCAGGACACCCCCCCTGGTGCTCCTTCCTAATCTTTACTTCCCCTTTCAAGCATAATCACTATTTTGTATTCTGGTACTTCAGATTCGTTTTTCCTATTTTTTAAATAGAAAGTTTTCCCAGAGAAATACATTTTACTGGGCATGATACAAATATACTCTTTTGTCTCAGCTTCTGTGTCTCAATCACAGCTTCATAAGACTCAAAATAAATACTGGCTGTTATGTACAGCCAGTATTTATTTATTTTTGTTGCTGTGGAATATTCCATTGTATTAATAGACTGCCATGGGCTTTTGAGTTATGGAATTGACACTAGACTGTGACTCTGAGCAGGGCACTTGATGTCAATGAGTGGGACAGTTAATACCTGACTCCTCATGGCAGGTTGGCTTTCCCAAGAAGGCAGCCTCTGAGATAGTGATTAGTGCATACAAAAACTTACTGGAATGTGTCCCCTCAAGCAACACCTGTGGGAGAGGAGAAGGAAGAAACACGAGGTGGAGGAAAAGTTGGGCTGTGATGAAATTACAATACGGCCTCAGCCGCCCCTGCTTACGATGTTCCTTCAGACTTGTCTTAATTTCCCTCAAGGGGGCAAGACCTTTTTGCTCCCATATCAGCCAATCACTGGATTCACGCTGCCCACAGTCAGAAGGCTTGACCTTGAAACAGGTGTCTCTCTGCAACACGATAACCTCCACACTTCTTGTTAAATAAACATTCCTAATAGTAACAATCTAACAGGTGCCTCCCTGCCTTCTCTAGGGACCAGGCCTTCTAATGGACCCCTGTGATGCTAATAAGTGTGCAGACATAAGCATTTAGTCAAGGTTAGAGTCCTTGTGAGCTGAAAGTGAAAAAAAAAAAACCCCACAAACTTTAAAATGAGCTGTGGAGAAAGCTGTTGAAAGAATCGCTTAAAATTAGGTAATCATTTTGTATTGTGCTCTCCTGTCTCTTGTGTACTTCACAGTGTACACATTGGGTTTATGATGAAGGAAAAAGAAATAAGCCTAATCAAACTGTCCCACTTGCAGTGCTGAATGAGTCTCCATGTCTGCCTTTCATGGTGGCCAGGTAAGAACAAGAAGGTAAAGGGAAGAAAAATTAGAAGCAATATTTTTTAACAACCTACTCGGTCCAAAGCACTCTACTACTATGTGTTTTGCATGTTTTGTCTCATGAAGTTATCATGACTATGTGACATATCTATTACTGTTCCCATGTAAAGAAAGAAGGAAGAGGAAAAGAGAGCACTGTGGATCAACAGTTAGTAAGTGTTAAAAATAAAACTCAGACTCAAGTTCAACCTATTCCAGTTCATTTTTTCTCCCAACCACCACACACTTTCTCTCTATGAGATGAGACAAAATGAGCATAAACCACCGGGTAGGGCAGGTGAGTATTTTCCCTTTACTTACAACAGAGTACACGTAATTCAACTTAACAGAATCAGGAGTTACTTACACCATGTGTTTTTTCCCTGATTTCAACATAGATTTTGTTTCTGATAAAAACACATTTAGTGTACCTGCTCACTAGACAGAAAGCCTCAGAAGACATGGATCTTGCTCACTTCTGCATCCCTAGCACGTAAAACAGGGCTACAGGAATTTCAATAACCCATTGCTTGATTCAATAAATGACATCAGTTCTTACAGTTCTTTGGCCCTTAAATACCAACTGATACGCATTCAATTAAGTCAGTAAGTTAGTGACAGATGTGAAATATGGGATTTATTTGTATAAACATAAGCAATAACTCAGGATTCTCTTCATTTTCAAAAAACTAATGATATTAAAGCATCATCCAAGGACACACAACTTATGACTTCAGTTTATCCATGCAAAGAGACCTCTTAAAAACGGAAGGTAACTTTGAGTCATTTTCTGTCTCTTCCTCCTTTCTTCTTCTTTCCCCTTTCTCTGTATCACTTTTATTTTAAAAAATGGTGAAAATAACTTATGAGAGAATAAAACACCAAAAGAGTCAGACAGAGAGAGTCTGAAGCTGAAGGGGAAAGTGAGGACCAGTTGTGGCAACATTTCCAGAGGTGGCAGCCAAGGAGCTGCAGATAGCAGAGTTTATTTATAGTTAAAGTAAAGTGAACAGAGATGCCTTGTGATGATGTTGGCTGTGAATTTTTGTTTCAAGGAAGTAGAATAAATAGTACACCTACCTGAAACAGGAGAAAACTAAACTTGGAAAATCTCTTCAATGACAGAAATAAAAGGAGTTGTGAAATTATGCTGCCTGGTACTTTTGCTGTTGTGTGATTCCTTTGCAGTAGATGAATAATTCAATCTCAAGCTCCCCAGTGGAATACTTTGGGGCCTCTACATGAATCTCATAAATATCAAATTTATTTGCTTGTAGTCATTACCACATGCTAAAGAAAATGAATTTCACTTATTCTCCACTACAAGATCATCAGAAAGTACAGAAAATCTGACCATTCCTAAGAAGAAGAGTTAGATTTACTTTCCTTAAGATTTAAGGCCAAGTTCAATAAATAGTGAGTCACTGTACCTGCTACATTATTTTATGTCTGAAAGCTAGAAATGACCTAGCTTATTATATTCCTCCTACCCAGTGTGTCTCTAGCCTGTGCTAGACATGTTCAGAGTTGGAAATCTACTACATTTTTGGACAGTGCTCATGGTTAGGGAGCTCTACCTTATATTAAGATGAAATCTGCTTTCTTGAAAGTGATTAGCCTACTGACTCTAGTTCTGTCTTCTAGAAAAATTTGGAGGATTAATCCTATTCCTGAAAAAATAATCTTTAAAATAATCAAGGTTAGCTTCTGGATGTCCCATAACAGCTCTTCTGTAAGTTAAAGAGCTAAATATACCTGTTGCTTTAACTATTCCAAGAATGATAGATGCATGTTATTCTGAAAAGGTATCCGTTACCATTATTTTTAAATTGTAGATTTCAGGTCTAACTAGGGTTCTAAAGTTGGTACAAGCAAATTGTCTACACATTTTTTTTTTTTGCTTATACACATCCTAAGATATTTTAAAAATAACTGCTAGGCCCCTCACACATTTTTAAGTTATCATCTAATTTTATGTTTGAAAATTGTCATGTTTATTTCCCAACCTAGTGTTTATATTTGTTAAATACATTTTCATCAAAGTTTTGAACAGTAGATTTTCCTCATTCAGTTTGTGGAAAATATTCACCATGGAGAAAATATTCACCATAGAAAAACCAGAGGTTACTGGACAACCATTCAGCCAAATCAGCGTAATTTTCTCACTGACTATACCTGATTTCATTTGTCAAAGCAGATAAATGTGTTAATATGCATCTCCTTGACAACTCCTCACTACTCAATTCTAGGAGACATAGGTAGATAAGACCTACAGTGCTGCCATATATTTATCAGCTGGCTGAAATATGGCACTACCCTCTGATAATCTCTTACCTACCTGGGCTCATTTTGCTTTTATTTTTTTTAATGGAAATTTCTCTCAGGAGCTGTGTGTCATTGAATTGTCCCTTTGTTTGAAAGCTAGAGGTTTTATATTCTGGGACTGTGCCCCAGGTCAGTAAAATTTAGGATAGATGAGAAGAATAACTCTCTCTCTGTGTGTGTGTGTGTGTGTGTGTGTGTGTGTGTGTGCGCTTGTGTGTGTGTGTTCAGTAACTAATGGGAACAGGGTGCTCGTTTAGCAGATTTCATGGTGGAAGGCAGTTTGCCATGCACATTTTCACTGAACTAGATTTAAGGACAAATCAAGATGAAAGAAGGAAAGTGTTCTCATGTTCCTGCAACTTGTATAGTAGTGTCATTGGATCCTTAGGGTGTCACTTCGCCAGCTGGAAACCTCTGTGGGCAGTGGCACCTTCTGCTTGAGTATTGCTCTTGCCTGCTGGGCTTGTTATGCTGACTTGGCCTGGCAGGCTGTACTCAGCTCGCGTTACTGGCCTGGATGCCACGAGCCAGGTGGGGAGTGGCAAGGGGTGTGTGAGCAAGCGAGCATGGGGTCTGGACACTGAGCACAGCCAGGCACACTGCCTGCTGTAGTGTGGCAGGTAGTTCCAGGTGCCAGCTTTGTGCAAGGCTGAGGCTGGACCAGATGTACCACTAGAAGCTTCTGCTGCAGGCACCAGCATCTGGATGAGGAAAAGATGGTGGCACCCAAAAACTCAGAGATGCCAGGAACCACAGAGCCCCAAAGAGAGTGTTATAGCATGTCACATCCCTGACTTAGGGAGCCCCGAGGTCTGGGCTCCCAGAAAGGCCACAGCTCTTCTCTCCTTATTATTGCCCACAGCTTGGTGAGTGAGGGGGCGAGTTTTGGGGGGATGTGTTTCAGCCTGTTTGTGTTACAGGTCTCTCAGTCCCACTGTCCCACTCTGGCCACAGCTCTTGGGCTGACCCTGTACCGCTGCTGCTTCCTGTCTTGTGGGGCAACCACCCAGCACTGGTGGAGGGATATAGTGTTACAGCAGTTCTGGCCATGGGTATTCTAAGGTCTGGGCCCCGGAAGGGTTGCCACTCTTCACTCCTGCAGTCCAGGACTGTGTCGCCACCTGCAGCTTAGCGAGCTGGCCAGGAATGTGTTACAGTTCCTTTCACTCCCTGCATTTGTCAATTCCCGAGTTCCTGTCCCATGTCCAGGAGGAATGAATTTATGTGGACAACTGGAGGGTAAGCAAGGAGGAGAGCTTTATTGAGTGACAGAATGGCTCTCAGGAGACCTGAAGTGGGTAGCTCCTTTCTGCAGGCTGGTCATCCTGACAAGTGTCTGACTCTGGCTGAGTCTGGGGTTCTTAATATGCTCAGAATGGAGGAAGCGCATGCTGACTTGTCCATAGGCAGACATAGGCAGGCCTGGAAAAAGCACCATCTGACTGGCTGAAAGACATCAATGAAGTTCTCACTCCTGGTCATGAACCCCACCTGGAACTGGGAGCCTGGCCCCCAAGCTTCAACCTCTCCCTGGCTTGAAGGTGGGGTTTCACTGGGGACCTGCCCCTTCCCTCCTAAGAATCTGTGTGCCTCCCGCTGCCATCAACATTACATCCACAGTGCACAGGCTGTTCCTGCTGAGGGGCACCCACAGGCCCACGACAAGCTGCCCTCAGTACCTCAGCCTCCCTCCCACACTTGTCGGTGCTCAAAGTCTGGAAGGGGCCAAGGGAACAGGGGGCTTGTACGTCAGTGCTGCCCCAAGTACACGCACACCCGGCCAGGCTGTGACAGCCCTCGGGCTTAGCCATAACTTTGCTCTGCACTGGAGTCGGCACCAGGAGCAGGAAAAGGTTTGTGAGTGGGAGCAGGCACTTCTGAGCCTGCAGGGGAAGAGGGCTTCCTGAGCTCCCAAGAGTGCAGGGATGCCTGGGTCTGGAGCTGCAGCTGGGCAGCTGTAGCTGCACCTGCAGGCAAGGACTCCCTCCCTGCCAACTCAGTAGGGTATGGGGCTCCCACTGGGATCACCAGTTACCAGCCCCCACCGAGCGCACAGCCCTGGTCGCACCTCCCCCACTGCAGCTGGAGTCCTCACAGTGGCCACCCCAGATGGGCCCCTGCCACCATCATTAGGGAGCTATCGTATTGGCTCTGTCTTTAGAGCAGACACCAAGTATTTTTTGCGTGCTTCAAGCCTTCGCATTGCAGATTGTCAACATTTAAGTAACATGGATGTATACATCTGTCTCTAAGTAGCCAAATGTGAATCTAATACACTCCTTCTAAAATAACTCAGAGCCTTGGGGGAATAAAGGGTTTCCCAAAAACAATTTGTTAGAGTTGGGTCTATGAAGAGCGTGGGAAGAATATAGAATTCAGAATAAGATGTTCCTGAGTCTCCCTGTTCCCTGTTTTTTGTTTGTTTGTTTGTTTGACCAGCTATATACCGTCAGCATGCTTCTTTGTAATTATGGGTCTCCATAGGTTTTACTGTTTTTCTTTTTTTGTCTTGAGACAGTCTTGTTTTGTCACCCAGGCTGGAGTGTAGTGGCACAAACTCGGCTCACTGCAACATCCACCTCCCAGGTTCAAGTGATTCCCCTGCCTCAGCCTCTGGAGTAGTGGGATTACAGGTGTCCACCATGATGCCTGGCTAATTTTTGTATTTTTAGTAGAGATGGGGTTTCACCATGTTGGCCAGGCTGGTCTCAAACTCCTGACCTCAGGTAATCTGCCTGCCTTGGCCTCCCTAAGGACTGGGGTTAAAGGCCTGAGCCACCCACGACTGGCCATTACTGTGTTTCTTACTATGACTTCTCTTAGCTCCCTCAACCCATGCACATGCTTCTAATAGGTATTTCCCTAGGAGTCTCATCAGATTTAAACTTCTTCGATCATTTTTCAGTCTCAACTAGCTATTTGCAAGTGTATTTCTCCTAGTGACTGTTTAAAAATATAATGTCCAGTAGAATACCAGATGATAAGAATGGATTAGCTGGTGAGGCAGGGAGCATTACAAATGTTTTTTTGCTGAGGAGTGTTAAAAGAAAAAAACTTCAGTTGAATTAAATTTAAAGGAGTTTAATTGAGCCATGAACACTACATTAATAGGGTAGCCTGCCGAGCCCAAGTAGGCTCAAAGACTCCAGTGCAGCCACGTGGTGGAAGATTTATGGACAGAAAAAGGAAAGTGAGGTACAGAAAACAGAAGTGAAGTATAGAAATTGCTGGATTGGTTACAGTGTTTGCCATATTTGAACATGGTTGGAATAGTTGGCTATTTGGCCAAAACTCGCTGATTGGCCCAAGTGTAGGCAACGGTCTGTTTATACCTCTGCTGGTTATAGTTCACGATGTACAGAAAAACCCTTAGGCCAAACTTAAAATATGTAAGGAGGCAGCTTGAGGCTAAACTTAATTTAAGAGGAGGAAGAAGGAGTAGGAGAAATGAGTGCCATCGATGCTGTTTATTTTAACAGTAAGGACAAAAAGTCTGAAAATTCCAAAAACAGTATCCTTTTCAACACAGCAAGTTTCTATCCCGTCTTTGTCTAACCCTTTAAAATCCAAAAATCCAAACGTTTCACACCCCTGGTGATTCGACTAGCTATGATTGACAAGCCAGCTTATTTTTGCATTTGCACTTCAGTTTCATCTGCATTGGAAACATAGCTTGATTAAAGGCCATATCTCCATGAATCTTTTTGTTTTCCTAAAAATTCAAACATGTACTGGTAAACAAATCTCTCTTTTTTTCTAGATCTGAACATTTTAGACTCTGGTACTTTTTCATCTAAGAAGTATTTAAAATCAAACATCTTAGCAAGTTTTAAAAACCTGTCTTGATTCTTAAGGAGACCAACAGTCTTAATAATATCTCTAGAATTTAAATGCACAAGCCCAAATCTGAGATTTAACCAAGAGTATTTTAAACTATAGCACCTTTGACTTACACCATCATAAGGCAAAAGCAAGGGGCAAAGTCTCATTCCTTTCACAAACTGTATAACCTTTTAAATGTGCACTAGGATTCTTGATATTAAAATTATAGGAATTCAAATATTCAGCCTTTTCTAGTGAGGTGAATGAGGGGAGAGTTCATTCAACAAAAGAAGTTTATGATAATTTATATACTCTTTTACTTTTGAAAAGGTAGCACTTTAAGCACTCTGCCAATGCAAATTTATGTCATGTCGTTTACTTCAACTATGGAGTTTGCCTCTCTCTAGGTTTAGCTTTGATCTGAGTTGATATTAACTGAAAGTTCTTCCTATAAGAGATATATGTTCACCTGGGTGATGTGAGTGAATCATCCCAGACAAGCTTTTCATAGGTTGAGTGAAATCTGCTAACAATGGAATATCACAGAAATAAAAGGATGGGTTCTGGAATCAGAAGCAATAGATTTGAATACAAGCCCTACCGTTTCTCTACTGGTATTGAAGAGAAGTCGTAGTAAAGTACTAGATTTGATGATAAGCCCTACTGGCTTTGGGCAAGATAATTTCAGTACAGCCAGTTTCTTCATCTTAAAGCAGTAAGCACGAAAATATATACTGCATAGGGTAATTAAAAGTATTAAATATATGTCTGTCTTACAGTAAACATAGAAAATGTTATATATTATTAATCTAGCATTTAAGAAAGTGCCTAATACATGATATGCTCAACATATGCTGTAAAAATAAAAGATCTAACACTCATTGACAGCTTACTGTAAGCCAGACAATTCTAAGTATTTTATAATGGATAACATTTAATTAATTGAATGAACTAAAATGTATTAATCTATATTAATAAGACATTCTTCATATAAGTGAATTAATTGTAACCTAAGATCTCTGAGGTTTCAGGAATGTATGGATGGTTTCCAAGATAATTATTAAAACCTTGATATTTCTGCAGTTTTCAGTTTAAATGTGCTTATATGCATTTATTAGAAAGAAAAGACATAAAGAGATTCTCAAAGAAGTTCTGCAAACCTCAAAGTAGATAAGAGTCTTTGATACAGATTATTACTTTGATGGCCTCTGCCAAGTGTGTGAGACAAGACGAGTGAAGTTCAGAAAGTGGTTAATTAACTCCTGAACATTATTAGTATTGCACTTTCTGTAATTAACACTATAAAACATGTTAACTCATCCCTGAAGATTTTTCTCTCATTGTAAATAGGTTATAGTCACCCAAGTGTGTATTTCCCACATCTACTACTAGTGTCTGTGTAAACTGGGGGCTGTTGGAAAGAAAAGAAAAAGAAATCTTGCATTTTCCTTACATTTACATTAAGAATGAAAAGTTGTGTGAATACTATGGTAGGTCAATTTAACGGATTTTCCAGTCTAATTTTTCATCTGTGACCCTTGTTCTAAGGAGCATTTGGGGGAAGAACTTAGTGTTTGCTCACACTGGGTTTTGTAACTGACACAGTTCATGTCATATAGTAACTCAAGTCTCATATAATAGCTGAAGAAATATTTATTGAAGAAATGGGCAACTTCATAAAGGCTTAAATTTTACTAATCCCAGGTAAATATCTATATCAACATATACAAGTCCATTTCATATAAAGTGGGACCAAAGATTTACACAACTCTGTACTTAGCATGTTGCTGATAATAACCAATGCCAGCTGAAGAGAATTAAAATGGAATTTTAATGTTTTACTTTTCTAGGTATGTATGGCATTAACAGTCAGATATTTATATTACAATCTCTAAGTGGCCTGATTTTCAGCTAGGTCCCCCACACTCATGAAAGCTGTCTATTGTTCATCCCAGACTGCGTTCATTTAAAAAATAAATAATCTATACGAAGGGTAAAAGTAAAAATAATTTGAAATCCAACTACCTTCATATGGCCCCTATTAGCATTTTTAAAAATTGAGATTATAATTCACATGCCAAAAACTTAACCTGTTTAATGTGTCTAATTCAGTGGTTTTTAGTATACTTATAAAGATATGCTACCATCATGACTATACATTTCCAGAACATTCTCATCACTCCTCCCCAAAATCCATGTATCCATTAATTGTCACTCCCTCATCTCCCTTCCCCCAGACTCTAGCAAACATTAATCTCTCTTTATGGATTTGCTTATTTTGGACATTTCATATAATTGAAATTGTAAAATATATGGCCTTTTGTTTCTGGCTTTTTTCTCTTAGTATAATGTTTGAAGATTCATCCATGTTGTATTCTATTAAGTGACACATTTTGAAGGTATCTCCCTGAACTTAGCTATATCCCCTGTTTTAGAAAAGCAGCTAGCAAGCAGAGTTGTGTTCAATTTTTCCCATGTGTTAGACAAGACAAAATAGGGTATTGTAAATATGAATGAATAAAATAACATGTTTGACCATTCTACCCTTACAATTTAAGAAAGTATTAAAGAAATTTGGAAACTGTAAAACATATTGAGTGGTATATGTCATCTACTTAGCTATGGCCCAGAGAGCTTGGTGAGTTTACTAGGTCACTCTCTCGGGTTTTTTGTTTGTTCATTGTTTTGGGCTCAGAAACCTAATTTAGTCTTCTCATGAAGAGTAGACTTGTTTCTCAATCAATGTCTCATATTAAACTAAGCTCATAGGATTTATGTATTGAGATATAATGAAAACATATTGATTTATAACATGAAAAATTGTCCAAAAGTTCACATGATTAACACACTTTCTCATTGTAGACATATCTACGTGAAAATCCAAATTATGTTCAGAATATTGCTTAAAGACAGAATAGAAGAATTAGGTAACTTGATTGTTTAATAGCCTAATACACTCATCTCACTAAAAAGAATCTTAGGTTGTAGTTATTTCTGGCTGCTACAACAACTAACAATCAACTGGGTGGCTTAGAGAACAAACATTTATTTCTCACAGTTCTGGATACTGTGCAGTCGAAGATCAAAGTGTCAGGCAGTCTGGTGTCTAGTGGGAGCACTCTTCCCAGTATGCAAATAAATGGCTCTGTTGTCATTGTATCCTGTCATGGGAACGAGCAGAGAGAGATCTCCTGTGTTCTCCTTTTTTTATGAGTAGGGGCATTAATCCTACTTATGAGGGTTCCGGCCACATGACCTAATTACTTCCCAAAGGCCTCACCTATAATGCCATCACATTGAGGATTAGGCTTCAATGTATAAGTTTTGGGAGAGGGACACAAATATTCAGCTTACAGCACCTTAATCGTAAAGTTTGCTAACTAAAGTTTTATCTTCTCCTAGGTGGATTTGGGGTGGACAATGGCATATTTATTTCTATGTTGCTTCCTTTGAGGCAAGTTAGCCTTCTCTTCACATTGAAAATTTAAAAAAAAAATACAATCCATCATCTATTTTTGGAAAGTCTCTGACCTGAGAGTCTCTTTGTCTCTTTAAATTATATTCTCATATCTTTACCTTTGCTCACTGCCTGTTGCATAGCAGAGTACAATCTTAAGTTCTTAAGATGGTATCTTTCTATAACTTCCAAGTTACATACCTACAACAGAAAACTGTCCCAGAGGTGAAAACTTCAAAACAGTAATTGCAAAGTACTTTTCTTCCAATTATAACATCTTTGAGGCTGCTGAAAGAAAAGGTACATGTTTGAGAAGTAGTGTAAAAGATCTGAAATAAACATCTGTGTTGGTACCGGTGTCGTTGCTGTATTTAGAGCTTATGACACATTTCTATTTTGACTGTAAAATGTGTTAAATGACACAAGTTGTCTCAGAAGTTGGGTGACTCAGAGTAGACACTTTTAAGATTTTGTTGTTGTTCTTAGTGATAGGTGACATTTTTTTGTTAGGGCCACCTTTAATCTCACTGACTTTTACCAATCCACTGATCTTGTTTGACTGGATACCTGTCTGCTAGTGAGGATTAAATTTCAATCAAATCTCTACCTGTAGCACCAAGCCCAGCAAGATGATGAATAAATGAATCTGTAACCGAATCATTATACATGTGAGATGTCCACAAATAAATGAACCCTCTGCCTCTCTCCCTTCCCCTTTCCCTTTCCTTCACCTTCTTCTCCTCATTTTCCTTCTCCTGTTCTACTACTTCTCCGTGAAGGAATCCTATTTATCTCTTGGCCAATTAAGGTTTTTATGAAGGAACTCTGTTTTCCAGTCTGATGTGGGAAAGGTGAGTTCCCTAGTATTCAAGTAAAAAAAGAAGTTAGTAGATATTCTACACTAGGCTTCAAGAGAAGAATAAAATGATTAAATATAAAAATTACACAAAATAATCATTCTTCAGTCTCTGAGAATGTATATTATGATTATTCACACAATAATATCAGCACCTTTTTGATTATAGTATGGAAATCCCTATTCAAACATATCTCTGACAAGTAGACTAGTGATCAACAGGACACTTAATTCCCAACTGTGGGCCGGGCGCAGTGGCAGAAGCCTGTAAACCCAGCACTTCGGGAGGCCGAGGCGGGAGTATCACGAGGTCAGGAGATTGAGACCATCCTGGCCAACATGGTGAAACCCTGTATCTACTAAAATGCAAAAAATTAGCCAGGTATGGTGGTGCATGCCTGTAGTCCCAGCTACTCAGGAGGCTGAGCCAGGGGAATCGCTTAAACCCAGGAGGCGGAGGTTGCAGTGAGCCGAGATCGCGCCACTGCACTCTAGCCTGACGACAGAGCAAGCCTCCGTCTCAAAAAAAAAAATATATATATATTTATATATATACAATCAATAAAATAAAATAATTCCCAATTGTGGACTCCATCAGACTCACTTTTAGAAACGCTATCTGTTCAGTTCTTCTGAGATAAAGAGCCTGTCTATTTTATTTTACTTTAAGTAAAATAAGAATTTTACTTAAGTTCTGTGATACATGTGCAGAATGTGCAGATTTGTTACATAGGTATACATGTGCCATAGTGGTTTGCTGCACCTATCAATCTGTCATGCATTAGGTATTTGTCCTAATGCTTTCCCTTCCCCTGCCCCCTACCCACCGACAGGCCCCGTATGTGATCTTCCCCTCCCTGTTTCCATGTGTTCTCGTTGTTCAACTCCCACTTATAAGTGAGAACATTCGGCATTTGTTTTTCTGTTCCTGTGTCAACTTGCTGTAGATGATTGCTTCCAGCATCATCCATATCCCTGCAAAAACATTAACTCTTTTTTTTATGTCTGCATAGTATTCCATGGTGTATATGCGCCACATTCCAAACTATAATCAATGGGCATATGGGTTGGTTCCAAGTATTTGCTATTGTAAATAGTGCTGCAATAAACATATGTGTGCATGTGTCTTTATAGTAGAATGATTTATAATCCTTTGGGTATATACCGAGTAATGGGATTGCTGGATCAAATGGCATTTCTGGTTATAGATCCTTGAAGAATCGCCATACTGTGTTCCACAATGATTAAACTAATTTGCACTTCCACCAACAGTGTAAAGTGTTCCTATTTCACCACAGTCTTGCCAGCATCTGTTCTTTCAGGATTTTTTAATAATCGCCATTCTAACTGGCATGAAATGATATCTCATTATGGTTCGGATTTGCGTTTCTCTAATGACCGGTGATGATGAGCTTTTTTTTTCATATGTTTGTCTGCTGCATAAATGTCTTCTTTTGAGGAGCGTCTGTTCCTATCCTTTGCCCACTTTTTGATGGGGTTGTTTGTTTTTTTCTTGTAAATTTCTTTAAGTCCTTTGTAGATTCTGGATATTAGCCCTTTGTCAGATGGGTAGATTGTAAAAATTTTCTCCCATTCTGTAGGTTGCCTGTTCACTCTGATGGTAGTTTCTTTTGCTGTGCAGAAGCTCTTTAGTTTAATTAGATCCCATTTGTCAATTTTGGCTTTTGTCTCAATTGCTTTTGGTGTTAGTCATGAAGTTTTTGTCCATGCCTAAATCTTTTTTTATATATTATTATACTTTAAGTTCTAGGGTACATGTGCACAACGCGCAGGTTTGTTACATATGTCTACATGTGCCATGTTGGTGTGCTGCACCCATTAATTCGTTATTTACACCAGGTATATCTCCTAATGCCATTCCTCCTCCCTCCCCTGACTCCATGACAGGCCCTGGTGTGTGATGTTC
Organism: Homo sapiens; assembly: GCF_000001405.40. NCBI lineage: Eukaryota > Metazoa > Chordata > Mammalia > Primates > Hominidae > Homo > Homo sapiens. The sequence continues at coordinate 53,783,669 of NC_000017.11, read as the reverse complement.
CCCACCCTGTGTCCAAGTGTTCTCATGTTCAATTCCCACCTATGAGTGAGAACATGCGGTGTTTGGTTTTTTGTGCTTGAGATAGTTTGCTCAGAATGATGGTTTCCAGCTTCATCCATGTTCCTACAGAGGACATGAACTCATCTTTTTTATGGCTGCATAGTATTCCACGGTGTATATGTGCCACATTTTCTTAATCCAGTCTATCATTGATGGCCATTTGGGTTGGTTCCAAGTCTTTGCTATTGTGAATAGTGCCGCAATAAACATACATGTGTGTTTTTCTTTATAGCAGCATGATTTATAATCCTTTGAGTATATACCCAGTAATGGGATTGCTGGGTCAAATGGTATTTCTAGTTCTAGATCCCTGAGGAATCACCACACTGTCTTCCACAATGATTGAACTATTTTACAATCCCACCAACAGTGTAAAAGTGTTCCTATTTCTCCACATCCTTTCCAGCACCTGTTGTTTCCTGACTTTTTAATGATTGCCATTCTAACTGGTGTGAGATGGTATCTCATTGTGGTTTTGATTTGCATTTCTCTGATGGCCAGTGATGGTGAGCATTTTTTCATGTGTCTGTTGGCTGCATAAATGTCTTCTTTTGAGAAGTGTCTGTTCATATCCTTTGCACACTTTCTGATGGGGTTGTTTGATTTTTTCTTGTAAATTTGTTTAAGTCCTTTGTAGATTCTGGATATTAGCCCTTTGTCAGATGGGTAGATTGTAAAAATTTTCTCCCATTCTGTAGGTTGCCTGTTCACTCTGACGGTAGTTTCTTTTGCTGTGCAGAAGCTCTTTAGTTTAATTAGATCCCATTTGTCAATTTTGGCTTTTGTCTCAATTGCTTTTGGTATTTTAGTAATGAAATCCTTGCCCATGCCTATGTCCTGAAAGGTAATGCCTAGGTTTTCTTCTAGGGTTTTTATGGTTTTAGGTCTAACATTTAAGTCTTTAATCCATCTTGAATTAATTTTTGTATAAGGTGTAAGGAAGGGATCCAGTTTCAGCTTTCTACATATGGCTAGCCAGTTTTCCCAGCACCATTTATTAAATAGGGGATCCTTTCCCCATTTCTTGTTTTTGTCAGGTTTGTCAAAGATCAGATGGTTGTAGATGTGTGGTATTATTTCTGAGGGCTCTGTTCTGTTCCATTGGTCTATATATCTGTTTTGGTACCAGTACCATGCTTTTTTGGTTACTGTAGCCTTGTAGTTGAGTTTGAAGTCAGGTAGCGTGATGCCTCCAGCTTTGTTCTTTTGGCTTAGGATTGTCTTGGCAATGCAGGCTCTTTTTTGGTTCCATATGAAACCAAAAGGCCCTGCTTTTTTTTTTTTTTTTTTTGGCTTTCCGTTTGCTTGGTAAATATTCCTCTATCCCTTTATTTTGAGCCTATGTGTGTCTTTGCACATGAGATGGGTCTCCCGAATACAGCACACCAATATGTCTTGACCCTATATCCAATATGCCAGCCCATTTCTTTTAATTGAGGCATTTAGCCTATTTAAATTTAACGTTAATATTGTGATGTGTGCATTTGATCTCATCATGGTGATGCTAGCTGGTTATTTTGCACATTAGTTGATGTAATTTCTTTATAGTGTTATAGGTCTTTATATCTTGGTGTGTTTTTGCAGTGGCTGATACAAGTTTTTCCTTTCCCTTGTTAGTGTTTCCTTCAGGAGCTCTTGTAAGGCAGGCCTGGTGGTGACAAAATCTCACAGCATTTGCTTGTCTGTAAAGGTTTTTATTTCTCCTTCATTTATGAAGCTTAATTTGGCTGCATATGAAATTCTGGGTTGAAAATTCTTTTCTTTAAGAATATTGAATATTGGCCCCCCCACTCTCTTCTGACTTGTAGGGTTTCTGCGGAGAGATCTGCTGTTAGTCTGATGGGCTTCCCTTTGTAGGTGACCTGACCTTTCTCTCTTGCTGCCCTTAATATTCTTTCCTTCATTTCAACCTTGGAGAATCTAATAATTATGTGTCTTAGGATTGCAGTTCTCGAGGAGTATCTTAGTGGTGTTCTCTGTATTTCCTGAATTTGAATGTTGGCCTGTCTTGCTAGGTTGGGGAAGTTCTCCTGGATAATATCCTGAAGTGTGTTTTCCAACTTGGTTCCATTCTCCCCGTCACTTTCAGGTACACCAATCAATCATAGGTTTGGTCTTTTCACAGAGTCCCATATTTCTTGGAGGCTTTGTTCGTTCCTTGTCATTCTTTTTTCTCTAACCTTGTTTTCACGCCTTATTTCAGTAAGTTGATCTTCAATCTCTGATAACCTTTCTTCTGCTTGATCGATTAGGCTATTGATACTTGTTTATGCTTTACAAAGTTCTCGTGCTATGTTTTTCAGCTCCCTCAGGTCATTTGCATTCCTCTTTAAAGGGGTTATTCCAGTTAGCAGTTCCTGTAACATTTTATCAAGGTTCTTAGCTTCCTTGCGTTGGGTTAGAACATGCTCCTTTAGCTCAGAGTTTGTTATTAGCCACCTTCTGAATCTTACTTCTGTCAATTGGTCAATCTCATTCTCCATCCAGTTTTGTGTCCTTGTTGGAGAGGAGTTGTGATCATATGGAAGAGAAGAAGCATTCTGGGGTTTTTTGGAATTTTCAGCATTTTTGCACTGTTTCTTTCTCATCTTCATAGATTTATCTACCTATGATCTTTGTGACTGGTGACTTTTGGATGGGGTTTTAGTGTGGGGGTTCTTTATGTTGATGTTGATGTTGTTGCTTTCTGTTTGCTAGTTTTTCTTCTAACAGTCAGGTCCCTCTTCTGCAGGTCTGCTGCAGTTTGCTGGAGGTCCACTCTAGACCCTGTTCACCAGGGTATCACCTGTGGAGGCTATAGAATAGCAAAGATTGCTGCCTGCTCCTTCCTCTGGAAGCTTCATCCCAGAGGGGCACCGGCCAGTTGCCAGCCGGAGCTCTCCTCTATGAGGTGTCTGTCAACCCCTGTTGGGAAGTCTATCCCAGTCAGGAGGCACGGGGCTCAGGGACCCACTTGAGGAGGCAGTCTGTTTCTTGGCAGAGCTGGTGCTCAGTGCTGGGAGAATCCATCTTGCCAGGATCAGCTGCTCTGTTCAGAGCTGGCAGGCAGGAACGATTACATTCACTGAAGCTGTGTGAACAGCTGCCCCTTTCCCCAGGTGCCCTGTCCCAGGGAGATGGAAGTTTATCTGTAAACCTCTGACTGGGGCTGTTAGCTTTCTTTCAGAGAATGCCCTGCCCAGTGAGGAGGAATCTAGAAAAGCAGTCTGACCACAGCCACTTTGCTTTGCTGTGCTGTGGTGAATTCTGCCCAGTCCAAACCTTCCATCCTCCTTAGCACTGTCAGGGGAAAACCGCCTACCAAAGCCTCAATAATGGCGAATGTCCCTTCCCCCACCAAGCTCGATCATCCCCGGTGGATTTCAGACTGCTGAGCTGTCAGCGAGAATTTCAAGCTTCATGGGCCCCGTGGCAGTGGGAACTGCTGAGTGAGACCACTTAGCTCTCTGGCTTTAGCTCCCTTTCCAAGAGAGTGAATGGTTCTGTCTCACTGGGGTTGCAAGTGCCACTGGGGTATGAAAAAAACTCTTGCAGCTAGCTCAGTGTCTGCCCAAACAGCCACCCAGTTTTGTGCTTGAAACCCAGAACCCCAGTGGTGTAGGCACACGAGAGAATCTCCTGATCTGCAGATTGCAAAAACTGTGGGAAACGCATAGTAACCCAGCCGGGTAGCACAGTCCTTCATGGCTTCCCTTGCCTGGGGGAGGGAGGTCCCCTGGCTTCTTGCAGTTCCCAGGTGAAGCCAAGCCCCACCCTGCTTCTGCTCGCCCTCTGTGGGTTGGACCCACTTCCTAAACAATCCCGGTGAGGTGAACTGGGTACCTCAGTTAGAAATGCAGAAATCATTCACCTTCTGCGTTGGTCTCTCTAGGAGCTGCAGACCTATTAGCTCCTGAATAGGAGCTGTTCCTATTCAGCCATCTTGGCCCTTCCTATCTGCATGTCTTTTTTAAAAAAAAATGTTGACCAAGTGATTCTATTTTGCACTTCTGAAGCAGATCAATTAACAAACATGATGAAAATTAGAACCAAATTATAGCATTCAGATCTCTCTTGTTCAATAGCACAATAATGAGTCATCTCAGTTACAGAAGACCACGAACTAGGATGGTCAGTAATCCATACACAATGTTTCAGTAACTGTAAGGAACAGAACAGAAGGATGGCCCTGCTGGAAGACAAACTAGGCTGATATTTATATGAAACCCTATATAACTAACAATCTATAAAAATTGGGGTAAAAGAACAACCAAAAATCAAATATTACTTTTCTCATCTGCCCATGGGCTCCTGAAATTTATTTTCTAGAGGAAATCCAGTTTTATTCCATAATTAGAAATAAGGCTTAAATTTCTCTTCTAGCTATTAAGGAGTAAGGAAATAAACTTACTCTTTCTGTTCAACAATTAGAAAACTAGGCAAATATATGAAACAATTGTCTTCAGACATAGAACAACAGACATTTTAAGAGATGGGTCCCTGAGAGGAAGGACATAAAGAAGGTAGGATCTGTGATTGCCCTAACCTACTGCCTGGAGTTTTCTGGACACCGTACAGAGAGCGGGAAGACTTTATAGCTTGGTGGCCTTGCTGGACTAAGAAAACAAAGTTTGGAGTTGGAGGAGGCCAAAGAAACAAAGTTTGTAGGTGAAATAACCAGATAAAAAGTGCTAAGATCCCCAGAGGGAAAGAGAGAGAAGAGAGAGAGAAAGAGAGAGAGAGAGAATTGGAGATCCATGGAGGGTTCCCCTTGAGGCTTTGTTTGAATACCAATGTACACTTGTGAGTGGAACAGTCCCAGAGCTCATGCAAAAATAGGAATAGTCCCTATTCTCATCATCCACAGTGGAAAGAACTCCTAATCCTAATATATGGAACGTCAGACAGAGTTCTCATAAGGATATTGCTTAGTAATAGGGTTAAATTAGCCACGGACTAAGAACTACTCTGGAGCTGTTCTAACAGAGCTGAAAACAATCCTCCAAATGATCCAGCAGATTGGAAATAATTGCATTCCAGAAAGGAAAAGGGCATGCGCGCACAAACACACACACACATATATATATACACACACAAATATGTATACATTTATACATATATGTTATACATATATATATTTTTTTTAATTCAGGACCCAAAATGTAAAATTCACAATATCTACATTCAACCAAAAGTTATCAGCATTAAAAGAAATAAAAAAGTATAACCCATAACCAAAAGAAAAATCCACCAACGGAAACGGATCCAGAAATGACATGGTTAATGAAATTAACAAGTAAAGCCATTAAAATAACTACCAAATTAGTAATTCAATTCTAGTAGGTCTTAATAAAGTCTAAAAATACTAAGTTGTAGGTTACAACAACTGTAGACTTCATAAAGCTGCCAGCATCATCCGGGCAAGCAATATCAAGGTGAATAAGAGAAACTGACTCTAAACCAGAAAATATAGAAGATATCAGGCCTGAGTATGCCGACTCTCCCTTAGTGCCATACAGTCAAAAAATCACATCCTTCTTCTTTCTTCATCGGAAGATGGGAATGGGGAGGCCACTGGAGAGATTTATATCTCAAAGACTGAATACTACCTGATATGGACTATTACAATTTTGGATCTGATGAAGCATTAAATTCTATTAGATACTTACTACCTTCCCCACTCCAACGCAAGCTATTTAGTGCATGGGAGTTATGAGAATGAACAGCTTAGTTATAAACAATAAAGGAGCTTTATTTTCTGGGCACATTCTAGTTATTTTGTGACTCTGGCAGCAGAAGCCACTCTGTTTCTCTTTAATATGATCAACTTTGTTCAGATCATTTCTTTGCTTTGAAGTTTTGTTAGTGGAAACTCTTTGAAATTTTTTCCACTTTGTTTCAGATTAATTTATATTCCCCTCAGATATACAGTTGTAAGATTGAGTATTGCTTTCTATTCACTTTCTTGTAACTTCAGTGTGTCATGGGAGGCAATGTTGTTAAGGGGAAGAAAGAACCAGAGGTGGACCCTGATATTTTGTGAAACATTCTATACCTCAGTTCAGTCTTTGTCACTCTGCAGTTGTAGCTTTACTTTACTTCAGGAGGCAGGGATAGTTGGGCTTCTGATAGTTTATCACTTCAAAGTGGTTTCTAGAAAGATGGTGGGCATTTATTTTTCCTATTTCTTGTATTACTTTGAAATTGATGGCCAGTAGTTTGTATTCTCACAGTTGGTTTTTGTTTGTTTTTTTTTTTTTTTTTTTTGTCTCAGATTTGGACTGTGGGAAAAGCATTAGGAAACTTGATTAGAATCTCCTGTTTCTTTCTTTGGTTATCACTTTCCTAAATTAATGGCATAAGGCTGAATTCCTTTTCTTGTTTCACAGCTACTAGTAAATAACTTTGCTGAGTTGTTTAACTATTTTTATTTATTTTTAAATAGAATTATTATGCTTTATCCTTCTATCTTTATCTACAATCCATATTCTGCCATCTTTAATTAAATATAAGAAAACTAAGAGTTCTTCTAGTATATTTTTTCACACAATCCAAATTTGTGTGTGTGATAGGTGTTCATGTATATCCAACATCTGCTTTAACACATCACACGCCTACCTACTCTTTGCTAGATAAAACAGAACATTAGAAAATTTTTTCAAATATTGAGATTGATGTGTGCCCCTCAATCCTTTCTACACTGCTGATCTGGCAGTGAGAATTTAAAGCCAGTGGTTCGTAGCTTTTCTACACTAGTCTTATTTTTATACCCTGTGGTTACACAGTGAGTCGACTCCAATTTCCAAAAGATCTGTTTGTCCTTTATATAAAAATAGATAGGTATAGTTACGTTTCAAAATAAATATAAGAATACAACTATATGCTTTCCACAGGAAACTTACTTTAGATTGAAGGACACGAACAGTTTGAAAGTGAAAAGATGGAAAAAGATATTCTATGCAAATAGAAACTAAAAGATGCTGGTGGCTCTACTAATGGATGAATGAACAGAAGAAAATTGTGAGATATTCAGTGTAAAAAAGATAGCATGGATGAACCAGGGTATTATGCTAAGTGAAATAAGCCAGACACAGAAATAAAAATATTGCATACATTTACTTATATAGAAAGTCTAAAAAATTCAAATACATAGAAACAGAGGCTAGAATTATGGTTACCAGGGGTGAGATGGGCATGGGGAGATGTTGGTCAAAGAGTACAAAGTTGTAGTGATGTAGGATATAGAATGAATAAGTCTCCAGAGATCCAATGTACAGCATGACGACTAGTTAATACTATTGCATTGCATAATGGACATCTGCCAAGAGTAGATTTCAGGGGCTCTTATCACATACACAACTTACAGAAAAAATAAAAGGTAACAATATGAGGAGATGGATATGTTAATTTGCTTGACCATAGTAATCATTTCACAAGGCATATGTATATTAAAACATCATGCTGTACACCTTAAACATGTATGAAAAAATACTTAGAAATAAACTTAACTAAGAAGGCAAAAAACTTATACACTAAAACTACAAAATATTACTGAAAGAGATGAAAGGAGACACAAATAAATGAAAACATATCCTTTTCTTTTTTTCACTAGTCCCAGAATTTATTTTTTACATTTTAATTTTTTTTTTGTCCTGTTACTCAGTGATTTTCAAACTTTGGGTCACAAACCATTAGTGAGTCATGAAATCAATTTACCAGGTCCCAACTAATTTTTTTTTATATACTTTAAGTTCTAGGGTACATGTGCACAACGTGGAGGTTTGTTACATATGTATACATGTGCCATGTTGATGTGCTGCACCCATTCACTCGTCATTTACATTAGGTATAGCTCCTAATGCTTTCCCTACCCGCTCCCCCAACCCCAGGACAGGCCCCGCTGTGTGATGTTCCCCTTCCTGTGTCCAAGTGTTCTCATTGTTCAATTCCCACCTATGAGTGAGAACATGCAGTGTTTGGTTTTTTGTCCTGGCGATAGTTTGCTGAGAATGATGTTTTCCAGCTTCATCCACGTCCCTACAAAGGACATGAACTCATCTTTTTTATGGCTGTATAGTATTCCATGGTGTATATGTGCCACATTTTCTTAATCCAGTCTATTATTGATGGCCATTTGTGTTGGTTCCAAGTCTTTGCTATTGTGAATAGTGCCGCAATAAACATACAAGTGCATGTGTCTTTATGGCAGCATGATTTATAATCCTTTGGGTATATACCCAGTAATGGGATGGCTGGATCAAATGGTATTTCTGGTTCTAGATCCTTGAGGAATCGCCACACTGTCTTCCACAGTGGTTGAACCAGTTTACAGTCCCACCAACAGTGTAAAATTGTTCCTATTTCTCCACATCCTCTCCAGCACCTGTTGTTTCCTGACTTTTTAATGATCGCCATTCTAACTGGTGTGAGATGGTATCTCATTGTGGTTTTGATTTGCATTTCTCTGATGGCCAGTGATGATGAGCATTTTTTCATGTGTCTGTTGGCTGCATAAATGTCCTTTTGAGAAGTGTCTGTTCATATCCTTTGCCCATTTTTTGATGGGTTGTTTGTTTTTTTTCTTGTAAATTTGTTTGAGTTCATTGTAGATTCTGGATATTAGCCCTTTGTCAGAAGAGTAGATTGCAAAAATTTTCTCCCATTCTGTAGGTTGCCTGTTCACTCTGACGGTAGTTTCTTTTGCTGTGCAGAAGCTCTTTAGTTTAATTAGATCATTTGTCATTTTTGGCTTTTGTTGCCATTGCTTTTGGTGTTTTAGACATGAAGTCCTTGCCCATGCCTATGTGCTGAATTACCGGTATTGCCTAGGTTTTCTTCTAGGGTTTTTATGGTTTTAGGCCTCACATTTAAGTCTTTAATCCATCTTGAATTAATTTTTGTATAATGTGTAAGGAAGGGATCCTGTTTCAGCTTTCTACATAGGGCTAGCCAGTTTTCCCAGCACCATTTATTAAATAGGGAATCCTTTCCCCATTTCTTGTTTTTGTCAGGTTTGTCAAAGATCAGATGCTTGTTTTTCTCAGGTTTATCAAAGATCAGATAGTTGTAGCTATGCGGCGTCATTTCTGAGGGCTCTCTTCTGTTCCATTAGTCTATGTCTCTGTTTTGGTACCAGTACCATGCTATTTTGGTTACTGTAGCCTTGTAGTAGAGTTTGAGGTCAGGTAGCATGATGCCTCCAGCTTTGTTCTTTTGGCTTAAGATTGTCTTGGCAATGTGGGCTCTTTTTTGGTTCCATATGAACTTTAAAGTAGTTTTTTCCAATTCTGTGAAGAAAGTCATTGGTAGCTTGATGGGGATGGCATTGAATGTATAAATTACCTTGGGCAGTATGGCCATTTTCCCCTTCTATGTTCATAGTTTGGAAAATATCATATTGTTAAAACATCATTACTACCCAAGGTGATTTACAGATTCAATGCAATCCTTATCAAAATTTCAATGGCTTTATTTTCAGAAATGAAAAATCCATCCTAAAATTCATATGGAATCTCAAGGGACCCTGAATAGCCAAAACAGGCTTGAAAAAGAACAAACGTATAGGTCTCACACATCCTAATTTCAAAGCTTACTACCAAGCCATGATAATAAAAATACTGTTTTACTGGCATAAAAAGATACATAAAGACCAATGGAATAGAATAATTAGCCCAGAAATAAACCCTTGTGTATATGGCTAAATAATTTTTAACAACAGTGCTAAGACCAGTCAATGAAGAATGGACAAAGAAATATTGTTGGTGGAACTGCATATACACATGAAGAAAAAGGAAGAGAAACAGAAGGGCAGAAGAAAAGTGAGGGAGAAGTAACAGAAGAAAAAAGAGGAGGAAGAAGACGGTGGTGGCGGCTCTTACCTTATACCATATTTTAAAGAATATTCAAAATTAACCAAATACCTAAACTTAATAAAACAAGGGAAAACTTCATAACATTGAATTGGGCAATTAATTTTTAAAATATGATACCTAAAGTACAGGTGACTAAAAACAAAATAGGTAAGTTGAACTTCCTCAAAATTAAAAACATTTGTGTATCAAAGGACAATAACAATAGAGTGAAAAGTTAACCCACAGAACTGTGGAAAATATTTGCAAATTGTACATCTGATAAGGAATTGATATCCAGAATATATAAAGAATTCCTATAATTCAACAACAAATAAATAACAACCCAACTTAAAAATGGGCAAAGAACTTGAATAGATATTTGTTAAAAAAATATGCAAATGTCCAACAAGTACATGAAAAGATGCTTACCATTACTAATAATTAGGGAAATCCAAACCGAAGCACAATGACATACGACTTCACACCCATTAGGATTACTATTATCAAAAAATTAAAATAACAAATGTTTGTGTGGATGTGAAGAAGCTGCAATGCTTGTGTGTTGCTGGTGGGAATGGAAAATGTTATGGCAGTTCATCAAAAAATTAGAGATAAAATTATCATATGGTACAAAAATTCCACTTCTGAGTGCGTACCAAAAATAGCTGAAAGCAGAACTCAAACAGATATTTGCACACCCTTGTTCACAGAGCATTATTCACAATAGCCAAAAAGTGGGAGCTCCCCACATGTCCATCAGTGGATGAAAGGATACATAAAATATGGTATGTGCATACAATGGAATATTATTCAGCCTTTAAAAGGCAGGAAATTGTTACATGTGCTTCAACTGGGCTCAATCTTGAAGATTTTATGCCAAGTGAAATAAATCAGTAACCCAATAGAAAAATATTGTATGATTATACTTATATTAGGTACCTAGAATAGAATTCATAGAGACAAAAAGTGGAATGGTGACTTCCAAGGTCTGGGGGTTCAAATGAATGGAGAGTTAGTGTTCAATGGGTACAAGATTTCAGTTGAAGAAGATAAAAGAGGTTTAGATATGAATGGTGATGATGGTTATGAGGGTTGCACAACAATGTGAATTTATTTAATGCCATTGAACTGTACACTTAAAAATGGCGGAAATAGTAAATTTCATGTTTTGTATACTTTAACCACAATTTTTATAAAACAGTGGTAAGAAAATCTATGTAACTGGGCATATTTACTTTTCTAACCCAGGTTTGACTTGATTTCAAGTTGGATTATTAAAAATAAAATTTATTTCAAGGGTATTGAGGCGTTAACTTTTTAGCAACTTTTAAGATACTTCTACTTTGGTTTTGATTTCTAATTGTCACATTTTGTGTAATCTTTTATTAGACCCTTCCATGACCATTGTTATAAGTTACATTATAAATCCAAAATAAGCACAAAATATCGTTTACTATTTTATTTCATAAGAATGTGCAGAGCAGTTCTTCAGTGCTAACTTCATCCATATTGTTAGTCATAGAAAATTTTTTGAGTCACAGTAAGTTCATTTAATTTTATATAAAGCTTCTCAAAATTCAAAAAATAAGAAAGGAAAAAAATTCCCTCCTCTTTCAACTAATAAAACCACTGTATATATCCTTTCACACTTTCTTTTATCAATGGAATTTACATTGCCATAATCATACTTTTAAAAATAAATATCTTTTTTTGTCATTTAACATTATTTTGCAGATAGTTTTCTGTACTTTTATTAAGCTTTTCAGTTTACTCTCATCCGTAGTAAATCCACATTTATTTCTGTCATGTAGAATTATTACCATTTTCCTAATTCTGCCCTTAATTTTAGACATGCAGTCTGTTAGACATAATGTTAAATATTTATGCCTTATAGAAGGCTTTTTGTTTATACTGGATTACCTTAAGATAGATTTTCCGATGTGAAAATATTTGGTCAACATGTGAAATGCTTACTGGCCTCTGATAGCTGTCAAAGTGCCTTCTAAAACAGTTATGAAGTCAGGCATTTTACCCACATGTTGAAGATGGGATGGAACAAGAATGGGCACACCAGCTCAAGATGCTGCAAAGTACTCTGAGCGGGATCTGATAATAGAAAATCCTCTGCCATTTACATATTTCCAATATAAAATGATGTCAGAGCCAGGCAGAAGTCTGTTCATTTAAACAACAACTGAAAGTCATTCTCTCATTACTTTTGTCATTTCTTTTTCTATCAACAAACATTAACTGAAAAAGTACTGTGCTGTGGGGCTATGGGAATAAACCAGACAGGACTCTGTCTTAAAGGAATTTACATCGTGCAAAAAAACATGCACAATTAACTATGTAGACACTGTTCATGGCTATAAAGAAAGTGTTGAAGTATTGGCATGGGATTTTTGAGGCAGGAATGACTCCTTATAGCTGATAGAAAATGGAAAAGTTGTCCTGAAACAATATTCTCGATGGGCCTTCAGAAGGGATAGGATTGGACATTGGGAAAAAGAGTGGACAAAGATTCTGGGCTGGCAAACCTGGAGAGCAAAATCAAACCAAGAAGGTAAGGAAATTCAAGGCATACATTAAGGATTGGGAGTAGACATTATGGGAGTTTTGTAAAATGTGATTGAAAAAGGGGTTGGAACCTATTTCATTAAGTCTTTTAAGTGCTAAAGAGTTTACATTTTATGTAAGACACAACGCATGCCTGATACTCAGGAATGGGGAGAGAGACCTAACAGAGTCTATGATTCTGGAAGTCACTTAGTGCCCTGTTGTGTACGCAAGTATATGAAGTTAGAATAGTCCTGTAGGTATTTTCGCCTTTAGGACAAGAGGGGTTCTTTTTCCGGGTGCCACAGTTTAGAAAGCCACTGCCTGTCTCTAAAGAAATGTATTAAAGATCTGGACATCTTTATCACTTAAATTTAGATTCTACTGTTGACAGAAAAGGACTTGTAAATGTTACTGTTAGTTCTTATGATAAATACCCTTCCAGACCTCAGGAAAACATGTATTTATCTCTTGCCTTGTGTCATCAAAAGCAAAGGTGATAGTTTTGGAATACTGTAAAGATTTTCAATCCAGGCCACTACTATTGCCAGAGATGGGATCTCTTTTGAGTTTGAAGAGGATCTGAGCAGAAATGCTTATGTAAGAAAAAAGACAAGTTACTTTTCAAATTCTTCCTCTCACATTGCATGTCTACTTTTACACTTCTTTTCATGCTTTGATTCATGGCTCCAGAAATATATAAAACTAAATGTAGTATTAGCAACAGTTTCACATAGTGGCTGACTGAGGCACATTTTGCAGTATCACATATTTCAAATTACTTTTAAATTTGTATATAGGCAGGTATAGACATAATGTGTAACATGTGATACTGATTGTATTTAATTATTATTATCTACAGTATTTCTGTTCCATAAAGTTGCCTTCAGCACTGAACAAGCAAATGCTGAATAATGGGTCCTACGTAAATCTGAGGTAAGGTCCTCAAGAGCCTCTGGTCACAGCATTTTCATCAACTAATCAATACATACCTTGTTTTATGTGATTTTGTTTAAACACACCTTACTTAATGTATATTCTCAGTTCATTAACATTCAACTTATGGCTAAATGCACTGTAACTCGTGCCTGAACAAAGCAAATCTGATACATGCATTTTGTCCTGATAGAAGCTAAGAAGGACCATCTCAGCCTTCTTGTGCTTGGGCACACTAGAGAGCACTCAACATTACGTTTGGGAGTGGGCCATTTTAAATAGCAAAAAATCACCAACTAAAAGTACAAAATGCAAAAAATGTGATACTACATAGATCACCAAAAGGATTCTTATTTACATATGAAGGCTTTAACAAGAAGGCAGAGCTTCGACTTGTTTGAGCTCAGTTGGGAACTTGCACCTTAGGAAGCTCGCGTTTTTATATATAGGCAAGTCTGGGAATGACTGCAAAAGCAGTGTTGATTTCAGGGCAACAGATAGATTTTAGCAAGTAGGAGAATTTGCAAACACGGAATCCTCAAATAATGAGGATTGACTATATTTATATTCACAACCAGATGGACATTGAGGGCTACAATTGTCAATGGCTTTAGTTTTCTAGACTATTTAATGAGTTGATAAATTAATCAACTAAAATTTTAGTTTAATTAACATAATTTAAGACACTGGTATCTATTGGTAGTTTGTGTTATAATAGAATTAAGATATAAAATATGTATCTCTCATGTTATAATTTGTATTTTGTTTTTTAATTTTAATACATTTGAATATTTAGATAAAATAACTTTGTAGAAGGTCTATATGAAAAATTGTGGGCTGGGTGCAGTGGCTCATGCCTGTAATGCCAGCACTTTGGGAGGCTGAGGCGGGCGGATCACGAAGTCAGGAGATCGAGACCATCCTGGCTAACATGGTGAAATCCCGTCTCTACTAAAAATACAAAAAAATTAGTCAGGTGTGGTGGCGGGCGCCTGTAGTCCTAGCTACTCAGGAGGCTGAGGCAGGAGAACGGCGTGAACCCGGGAAGCAGAGGTTGCAGTGGGCTGAGATCCAGCCACTGCACTGCAGCCTGTGTGACAGAGCAAGACTCCATCTCAAAAAAAAAGAAAAGAAAATAAAATTTATGAAAATACCTTAGGATTTTCTTCATTTATTTTAACTTACATTTTATTTATTGGTGCATTTACTTATTTTTAAAACCTCTATAACATAGTGGATCCTCATTTCTCCATACTATTCCATTATTAGGGCATTTTTGTGGCCCTTAAGTCATATTTTAATAAAATATATAATAAAATAAGTATGCTTTGAATATAATTCCATTTTATTTTTTTAATTTCTTATTTTACACTGAGAAGGTATATAGTCTGAGATCAAGATTAAAATAAATAAAACACTCAAATGCAAACAAAAGATGGGCCCAGAAAAAAATTTTAAAGGACTGAAGGTAAATTCTTACAATCGTTAAGGTGGACATATTTAATATATTTTACTTAACAATTTGTTTGCATGATCTGTAACATTTGTTGGTGCAAAAGTAATTGCAGTTTTTGCATTGTTGGTGTTTGCTGTTTGATATTGAAATACATTCTTAAATAAATGTAGTTATGCCCATCATTTTAATTGGCATTTCTTGATTTATGGTTTTTTGCTAACGACACTACTTGCTGTTTATGTTTATTTTAGACTATTGAAATGATGTTGGACAAAAAGCAAATTCGAGCAATTTTTTTTTTTTTTTTTGAGATGGAGTCTAGCTCTGTTGCCAAGCTGGAGTGCAGTGACTCAATCTTGGCTCACTGCAATCCCTGATTCCCTGGTTGTAGAAATTCTTCTGCCTCAGCCTCCCGAGTAGCTGGGATTACAGGTGTGTGCCACCACGACCAGCTAATTTTTGTATTTTTAATAGAGACGGGGTTTCACCATGTTGGCCAGGATGGTCTTGATCTCCTGACCTCGTGATCCACCCGCCTCGGCCTCCCAAAGTGCTGGGATTACAGGCGTGAGCCACCATGCCCAGCCGCAATTTTCTTTTTCGAGTTCAAAATGGGTCGTAAAGCAGCAGAGACAACTTTGCAACATCAACAATGCATTTGGCCCAGGAACTGCTAATGAACGTACAGTGCAGTGGTGGTTCAAAAAGTTTTGTAAAGGAGACAAGAGCCTTGAAGATGAGCAGCATAGTGGCCAGCCATCGGAAGTTGACAACAAACAATTGAGAGCAATCATATAAGCTGACCCTCTTACAACTACATGAGAAGTTGCCAAAGAACTCAACATCAACCATTCTATGGTCATTTGGCATTTGAAACAAATTGGAGAGGTGAAAAAGCTTAATAAATGGGTGCCTTTTGAGCTGAGTGAAAATTTTTAAAAATTGCCATTTTGAAGTATTGTATTTTCTTATTCTATGCAACAATGAACCATTTCTTGATTGGATTGTGATATGAAATGAAAAGTGGATTTTTTATGACAACCAGCAATGACCAGCTCAGTGGTTGAGCTGGGAAGAAGCTCCAAAACACTTCCCAAAGCCAAACTTGCACCAAAAAGGTCATGGTCATTCTTTGGTGGTCTGCTGCTGGTCTGATCCACTACAGCTCTCTGAATCCTGGCAAAACCATTACATCTGAGAAATATGCTCAGCAAATCCATGAGATGCACCAAAAACTGCAATGCTTGCAGATGGCATTGGTCTACAGAAATGGCCCAATTCTTCTCCACAACGCCCGACTGCACGTCACACAACTAACGCTTCAAAAGTTGAATGAATTGGGCGATGGAGTTTTGCCTCATCTGCTATGTTCACCTGACCTCTCGCCAACTAACTACCACTTCTTCAAGCATCTCGACAACGTTTTGCAGGGAAAACACTTCCACGACCATCAGGATGTAGAAAATGCTTTCCAAGAGTTGCTTGAATCCCAAAGCACAGATTTTCACACTATGGAAATAAACAAATTCATTACTCATTGGCAAAAGTGTGTTGATTTTAATTGTTCTTATTTTGATTCATAAAGATGTGTTTGAGCTTAGTTCATGGTCTAAAACTGCAATTTCTTTTGCACCAATCTGATAGATGTAAGGTATGTGGGCCTCCATTGGTACTCTTGTTTTGAGCCCCACAGAAGTTAATGGTGGATCTTCAGCTAGGAGAGTGGTGGTGATGGTAAAGAGAATAGGATCACTCTGAATATTCACTGGTGACTGGCACTCCCATGTACACTGACTGCTGTGCCTGACTTGTGTGGGGGCCATACAAGCGGGGACAGATGAAAATCAGAAAAGTCAACTTCTGTGGAGGGAAGCTTCAAAAAAAAAAAAAGAGTAAGATTTGGAGGGGAGGGAGAGAAGAGAGTTGAGAAAAGCTCATAAAACTATGGAAATTAATTATAAATTTAAATGCCTCGTTATTGAGATTAAAAAGGAGATGAGTTCAGAAGCTCTACTCTAATTGTGAGGGTTTATTATTTATGATGCTCCATTTAGATTAGGAGTGCAGTGGCACAGAGCTCGTTTTTATCAAATGCTAATGAGCAATAATTGCTATCATAAGTAACACTACTCTTCATAATGACACAGCAGAATACCTCTTTATCACATCTATTTAGGATATTAGTGGACAGAATATAATGAGAAACAATTTTATGGTGAGACAATAACATATAAACCTTTCAAGTGAGCTATCACAATACCGATAGAAATAAAACAGTATAAATAACAGTAAGGACATTGCAGGCAGATATACTTAAGATCAAAAATCCCAAGAATGTCATTTATTAATCTGATTAATTTATTCAACCATTGCAAGACTCAGTTTCTTTATCTGGTAAAATGGGGGTATAAATTATGATTTTGCAGTGCTGTGAGAATGAAGTGAGGTGATGTAAATAAAGAACTTGTTATAGTGCCAAGAATAGAACGTTCAATAAATTGAGGCTCTATTAATAGTGGTATTATTACTCTGTTAAAATAAAAATTCAGTCATGTCACTCTTTTGCTCAAAAGCTTCTAAGGGTGCCCATATCTCAAAGAGTAAATGCCAAAGTCCCAAGGATGGCCTAGGAGGTCATTTACACTCTGGCTCTCCCCCACCCCTGATCCTTCTATTCTCTGATGGCATTTGGGGTCATCTCGTTGTATTCTTTCCTCACTCACTTCTCTGGCCACACAGGTCTCCTTGCAGTTTCTCAACAAGGTCAGGCACACTCCTAGACCAAGGCATCTGCACTTGCTGCTTTTATCCTGAAATAGTCTTCTCTTGTATATCCATGGTTCATGCTCCTTAACTTTCTTTAGGTATTTACTCACATGTCCTCTTCTCAGTGAGACCTTTCAAGACCACTCTATTTAAAATTACAATCTTCCTCCTAAAAAAGTCTCTATTTCTTTTGCTTGCATTTTTTTTCTCAATATTGCTTATTACGCCATCTACTGTGACTCATCTCTTATAGCCTACAGCTTAAATTTCTCTCAGGTGCCCCAGTGGGAATAAGACTAGTATCCTGAACCTTGGAGTCCTTTCATTCATAAGCTTAATGTGATTCTGTTTCTATTGTCTTTCATTTTCCTGGCAAAATTATGGTATATGAGGACTTAACTTAAAAAAATAATGTTTTGTTAGCCTCTGTCTTGCTGTCTTGCTTCTTAAACTCAACCCTAATTTTTTTTTTTTTTTTTTTTTTTTTTTTTTACATTTTGGTAAGACATTATTTTACCTTAAAGCCTTTAAATTCAGAAGCTGTGAAGGAAACTACTATCTGTTTTCTCAATATTTCTTCTCCAGTTTTTCCCTATAGTAATAGAATTATTCTGTTGGCTCATGACTGCCCAGGTAAAGACATGCCCCACTCTTCCTTGCTGGTAGTCATGACCAAATGACTGAGTTTAAGTTTGGGCCAGGGAAATGTTAGTGAAAGCAGTATGTGCAACTTTTTGATTTATGACCATAAGCGGGAGGTGTTCCTGTGGGTGTGGTCATCTTTGTGCAGACAAGGGTAACACCCCAAAGATTACTGAGCAAGCATTCTGGATCTTCAACACTATAAATTGTCCTAACCACCCTGCGATGCCTTCCAAGCTGGTTAGATTTAAGAATGAAATTGACTTTCATCTTGATGAAGCAATTTATTTGGCAGGTTCTTGTTAGAGTAGTGTAGGTTCTATCCCCACAAACACAATAGAACACAATTTTAACAGCAGTTTTGTTCTGAATTATGTTGTCAAGAGTAGTGTCATCATTAAAAAAAATAATGTGTGCTGCATTTATTGAGCCATGACATATGCTAGAACTCTGCTAGGCAATGACCATTTATAACTTTCAAAGCAATCCTATAAAGTAGGTATTATTCTAGTCTTATAGACAAGGAAGCGGATGCTTTGAGAAGTTATGCAGCTGGTCCACATTTGCTTTATTAACTAATAAATCCATGAATTACTTTATCATTTCCACAGTGTTTCTGGTTACAGAGACCTCTCTTGGCACACTACATTTCACAGAGCCTCCAAAAGAAGTAATGGTGGCGCTGAGACCAAAAGAATAAGAGGAATTTACTTCGTTAATATGAGAGAAAAATCTCATTACCGGTAGGAACATATAATGTGCACAGGTCCCATTGCAGGAGGGACTATGGTAAGAATGAGTGGTGAAAACAAGGTTAATGTGATTTCATTTTTTTTGGATAAATGCCCAAAGGTGGGATCGTGGGTTATATGATAGTTTTATTTTTAATTTTTTGAGGAATCCTTATATTGCTTTCCATAGCAGAGTCATCATTTTGCATTTCTACCAGCAGTGTACAAGAGTTATGATTTCTTCACATTGTCACCTATACTTATCTTTTTTTATAATAGCTATCCTAACAAATATAAAGTGATAATGCGTTTTGATTTTCAGTTCCCTGATGAATAGTGAAGTCAACCATTTTTTCATATATCTGCTTCCCAATTATGTGTCATATTTGGAGAAATGTCTATGCAAGTCCTCAGCCATTTTTTTATTGAAATATTAGGGCTTTTTTGCTACTGAATTGTAGAAGTTCCTTATATATTTTGAAAAACATATATATATAAAGGTTTTCCATCAATGGTCATATATATGTATCCATGTATATATATACACACACATACACACATATATACATATACACACACATGCGCACACACTCACACACCCCCATATAATTCTTCTTTCAGGGGCTCTGTGAAAGGTAGTGTAATGGAAGAGGGTGTCTCTAATGAGGAATGCTCTAGAAATGATAAATTCATAAATTTATTAGTTAATAAAGCAAACTTGGACCATATGAACAGTGAAATATTATTCAGCCTTTTAAAGAAGGAAATCCTGCAATATATGATGAACTGGAAAAACTTTGAGGAAATGATGCTAAGTGAAATAAGCCAAGCACATACAGACAAATACATAAAATTCCACTCTTATGAGGTATCTAAAATAGTTGAATTCATAGAAGCAGAGATTAGAGTGTTGGTTGCTAGGGCCAGTGGGAAGGAGGAAATGAAAAATTACTAATCAAAGGGTATAAAGTTTCAGTTACGCAAAATGAATAAGTTCTAGAGACCTGTTGTACAACACTTTGCTTATAGTCAACAGTACTGTATTTTACACCTTAAAATCTATTAAGAGGTTAGATCTCTAAGTGTTCTTACCACAATAAAATTGTTTTTAGTAAAAGAGGAAATTTCTGTAGCTAGACAAGTATGAGCAAGATTTTGGTGAGAGCTGAGACTGGAAAAAGTAAAGATCTGTCTCTACACAGACCTAGATGATACCGTAAAGAAATGTATCTTGGAATAATTGAAAAGCTTTAAGAAAGCAGTGGCATTATTTTTGATTTGCTTATTACGATGAGCACTTTAGTATAAGGAGAGTAGAATGGCTTCTAGAGGAAAATAGAATGGCTAGGAGATGTTGCATTAAATTAATACATGATAAAAAAAAGATGTAATGGCATTTTGAATTAACATAATGTCAATCCAAATGTCACAATGGATGTAAAGAAAAGTAGACAAGTAAAAGGAGTTGCAGGAAGCATTTGGGACAATTTGATGATGACCTGGGAGAAATTCCCAGGGTCTCTACAGATTTGTGCTTTGGAGCATCATCCTTTAACCTACAAGTGGTTACAGTATAAATAATAAACAATTCTAAGATGGAGATAGAGGCATAAAAACATGTGGTAGATGTACTCAGGACTAACTCATTGATTCTCGATTCTGACAGGGATCAAGGAGAGTTGCTTTTTGGGGATGTGTGTGTGTTTTTTCGTTCTTTTGAGACAGGGTCTCCTTCTGTCACCCAGGCTGCAGTGGCACCACATCTTAGCTCATTACAGCCTCAGCCTCCCAAGCTCAAGCAGTCCTCCCACCTCAGCCCTCATGAGGTAGCTGGAATCACATCCAGCTAATATTTAAAGAAAACTTTTGTAGAGATGCAGGTCTCCCTATGTTGCCCAGGCTGGTCTCTGACTCCTGAGCTCAAAGAATCCTCCTGCCTTGACCCCCCAAATGGCTGGTATTACAGGCATAAGCCACTATGCCTGGCCTAAGGAGAAATTCTAGAAAGCATTTGCATTTGAACTGGTCTTTAAAGGCTATAGAAGTTCCATACTAGGCAAGATGAGCAAAATGTCTGTCTTAAATGTTCCTTTCTCTTAAACTCTTAGTTTATGAGAAAGCATCTGCCATTTTGTTTGCTCCCTTTTTTGCCCATAGGTCACCATGCTTAGTATCCTGTAATCCTCCTACCTTAACCACTGCTGACCATATCCAAGAGCTTGACTCAAAGGCTGCCTGTAATGGTTTTCCTAGAGTGTCTGGCTAAAAGCATACAATCTGGTCAGGTGCCACAGGTCTGTCTATTTTTGCATAAAGACTGTCTTTATCAATCACGCTAACTTAATTAGCTGGCTAGAAAATAGAAGCAGGGTAGAAATAGCTCAATCATTTTATTTTTTTATTATTATTATTATACTTTAAGTTTTAGGGTACATGTGCACAATGTGCAGGTTAGTTACATATGCATACATGTGCCCTGCTGGTGTGCTGCACCCATTAACTCGTCATTTAGCATTAGGCATATCTCCTAATGCCATCCCTCCCCCCTCCCCCCACCCCACAACAGTCCCCAGAGTGTGATGTTCCCCTTCCTGTGTCCATGTGTTCTCATTGTTCAATTCCCACCTATGAGTGAGAATATGCAGTACTTGGTTTTTTGTCCTTGCAATAGTTTACTGAGAATAATGATTTCCAATTTCATCCATGTCCCTACAAAGGACATGAACTCATCATTTTTTATGGCTGCATAGTATTCCATGGTGTATATGTGCCACATTGTCTTAATCCAGTCTATCATTGTCAGACATTTGGATTGGTTCCAAGTCTTTGCTGTTGTGAATAGTGCCACAATAAACATACGTGTGCATGTGTCTTTATAACAGCATGATTTATAGTCCTTTGGGTATATACCCAGTAACGGGATGGCTGGGTCAAATGGTATTTCTAGTTCTAGATCTCTGAGGAATCGCCACACTGACTTCCACAATGGTTGAACTAGTTTACAGTCCCACCAACAGTGTAAAAGTGTTCCTATTTCTCCACATCCTCTCCAGCACCTGTTGTTTCCTGATTTTTTAATGATCACCATTCTAACTGGTGTGAGATGGTATCTCATTGTGGTTTTGATTTGCATTTCTCTGATGGCCAGTGATGGTGAGCATTTTTTCATGTGTTTTTTGGCTGCATAAATGTCTTCTTTTGAGAAGTGTCTGTTCATGTCCTTCGCCCACTTTTTGATGGGGTTGTTTGTTTTTTCTTGTAAATTTGTTTGAGTTCATTGTAGATTCTGGATATTAGCCCTTTGTCAGATGAGTCGGTTGTGACAATTTTCTCCCATCTCGTAGGTTGCCTGTTCACTCTGATGGTAGTTTCTTTTGCTGTGCAGAAGCTCTTTAGTTTAATTAGATCGCATTTGTCAATTTTGGCTTTTGTTGCCATTGCTTTTGGTGTTTTAGACTTGAAGTCCTTGCCCATGCCTATGTCCTGAAAGGTAATGCCTAGGTTTTCTTCTAGGGTTTTTATGGTTTTAGGTCTAACGTTTAAGTCTTTAATCCATCTTGAATTAATTTTTGTATAAGGTGTGAGGAAGGGATCCAGTTTCAGCTTTCTACATATGGCTAGCCAGTTTTCCCAGCACCGTTTATTAAATAGGGAATCCTTTCCCCATTGCTTGTTTTTCTCAGGTTTGTCAAAGATCAGATAGTTGTAGATATGTGGCGTTATTTCTGAGGGCTCTGTTCTGTTCCCTTGATCTGTATCTCTGTTTTGGTACCAGTACCATGCTTTTTTGGTTACTGTAGCCTTGTAGTTGAGTTTGAAGTCAGGTAGCGTGATGCCTCCAGCTTTGTTCTTTTTGCTTAGGATTGACTTGGCGATGAGGGCTCTTTTTTGGTTCCGTATGAACTTTAAAGTAGTTTTTTCCAATTCTGTGAAGAAAGTCATTGGTAGCTTGATGGGGATGGCATTGCATCTATAAATTACCTTGGACATTATGGCCATTTTCACGATATTGATTCTCCCTACCCATGAGCATGGAATCTTCTTCCATTTGTTTGTATCCTCTTTTATTTCATTGAGCAGTGGTTTGTAGTTCTCCTTGAAGAGGTCCTTCACGTCCCTTGTAAGTTGGATTCCTAGGTATTTTATTCTCTTTGAAGCAATTGTGAATGGGAATTCACTCATGATTTGGCTCTCTGTTTGTCTGTTATTGGTGTATAAGAATGCTTGTGATTTTTGTACATTGATTTTGTGTCCTGAGACTTTGCTGAAGTTGCTTATCAGCTTAAGGAGATTTTGGGCTGAGACAGTGGGGTTTTCTAGATATACAATCATGTCGTCTGCGAACAGGGATAATTTGGCTTCCTCTTTTCCTAATTGAAAACCCTTTATTTGCTTCTCCTGCCTAATTGCCCTGGCCAGAACTTCCAACACCATGTTGAATAGGTGTGGTGAGAGAGGGTATCCCTGTCTTGTGCCAGTTTTCAAAGGGAATGCTTCCAGTTTTTGCCCATTCAGTATGATATTGGCTGTGGGTTTGTCATCGATAGCTCTTATTATTTTGAGATACGTCCCATCAATACCTAATTTCTTGAGAGTTTTTATCATGAAGGGTGGTTGAATTTTGTCAAAGGCCTTTTCTGCATCTATTGAGATAATCATGTGGTTTTCGTCTTTGGTTCTGTTTATATGCTGGATTACATTTATTGATTTGCATATATTGAACCAGCCTTGCATCCCAGGGATGAAGCCCACCAAAAGAGATAAAGAAGGCCACTACATAATGGTCAAGGGATCAATTCAACAAGAAGAGCCAACTATCCTAAATATATATGGACCAAATACAGGAGCACCCAGATTCATAACGCAAGTCCTGAGTGACCTACAAAGAGACTTAGACTCCCACACAATAATAATGGGAGACTTTAACACCCCACTGTCAACATTAGACAGGTCAACGAGACAGAAAGTTAACAAGGATACCCAGGAATTGAACTCAGCTCTGCACCAAGAGGACCTAATAGACATCTACAGAACTCTCCACCCCAAATCAACAGAATATATGTTTTTTTCAGCACCACACCACACCTATTCCAAAATTGACCACATAATTGGAAGTAAAGCTCTCCTCAGCAAATGTAAAAGAACAGAAATTATAACAAACTGTCTCTCAGACCACAGTGCAATCAAACTAGAATTCAGGATTAAGAAACTCACTCAAAACTGCTCAACTACATGGAAACTGAACAACCTGCTCCTGAATGGGTACTGGGTACATAAAAAATGAAGACAGAAATAAAGATGTTCTTTGAAACCAATGAGAACAAAGACACAACATACCAGAATCTCTGGGACACATTCAAAGCAGTGTGTAGAGGGAAATTTATAGCACTAAATGCCCACAAGAGAAAGCGGGAAAGATCCACAATTGACACCCTAACATCACAATTAAAAGAACTAGAAAAGCAAAAGCAAACACATTCAAAAGCTAGCAGAAGGCAAGAAATAACTAAAATCAGAGCAGAACTGAAGGAAATAGAGACAAAAAAAACCCTTCAAAAAATTAATGAATCCAGGAGCTGGTTTTTTGAAAGGATCAACAAAATTGATAGACCGCTAGCAAAAAATAAAGAAAAAAAGAGAGAAGAATCAAATAGACGCAATAAAAAATGATAAAGGGGATATCACCACCGATCCCACAGAAATACAAACTACCATCAGAGAATACTACAAACACTTCTACACAAATAAACTAGAAAATCTGGAAGAAATGGATAAATTCCTCGACACATACACTCTCCCAAGACTAAACCAGGAAGAAGTTGAATCTCTGAATAGACCAATAACAGGCTCTGAAATTGTGGCAATAATCAACAGCTTACCAACCAAAAAGAGTCCAGGACCAGATGGATTCACAGCCGAATTCTACCAGCGGTACAAGGAGGAACTGGTACCATTCCTTCTGAAACTATTCCAATCAATAGAAAAAGAGGGAATCCTCCCTAACTCATTTTATGAGGCCAGCATCATCCTGATACCAAAGCCGGGCAGAGACACAACCAAAAAAGAGAATTTTAGACCAATATCCTTGATGAACATTGATGCAAAAATCCTCAATAAAATACTGGCAAACAGAATCCAGCAGCACATCAAAAAGAAACAGCTCAATTATTTTAATGGTGGAGTTCTAGGGTGAGGAGGACTGGATGCTTTTTTTTTTTTTTTTTTTTTTTTGTCTGTTTTGAAACGGAGTTTCACCCTTGTTGCCCATAATGGTGTGCAGTGGCGTGATCTCGGCTCACTGCAACCTCTGCCTGCCCAGTTCAAGCGATTCTCCTGTCTCAGCCTCCCGAGTAGCTGGGATTACAGGCACATGCCACCACGCCGGGCTAATTTTTGTTTTTTTAGTAGAGACGGGGTTTCATCATATTGGTCAGGTTGGTCTTGAATTCCTGACCTCAGGTGATCCGCCTGCCTCGGCCTCCCAAAGTGCTGGGATTACAGACGTGAGCCACCGCGCCGGGCCTGGATGCCTTTTTTTAGGGACTGACCAGGCAGGACTTGAGAAGAAGCCTTGGTCCTAAATAACGTTTCACTTCCCCAGGAGGACTGACTATGTGGTACTTCAGAATTTTTCCCATTTTCTTGCTTTTCTGACCTTGACATATCTCTATTGATTGCAACAAAGTAGCCAAATTAATTCTGAACATACAAATGAAATAGTGTTTTAATACTCTCACCTGTTTCTCAGAAAAAATGCAAGATATTTGAGGCTTTAAAAATTGCAAAACTAACTTCTTCTCCTAGAAAACACTAAATGGCGGATGACGCAGGTGCAGCTTGGAACCCGGAGGCCCTGGTGGCCGTCGGGGCCCTGGGATTGGGAACCGCGGTGGCTTCCGCGGAGGTTTCGGCAGTGGCATCCGGGGCCGGGGTAGCAGCAGTGGACGGGGCCGGGGCCGAGGCCGCGGAGCTCGCGGAGGCAAGGCCGAGGATAAGGAGTGGATACCCGTCACCAAGCTGGGCCGCTTGGTCAAGGAAATGAAGATCAAATCCCTGGAGGAGATCTATCCCTTCTCCCTGCCCATTAAGGTATCTGAGATCATTGACTTTTTCCTGGGGGCCTCTCTTAAGGACGAGGTTTTGAAGATTATGTCGGTGCAGAAGCAGACCCGTGCTGGCCAGCGCACCAGGTTCAAGGCGTTTGTTGCTATCGGGGACTACAATGGCCACGTCGGCCTGGGTGTTAAGTGCTCCAAGGAGGTGGCCACCGCCATCCGTGGGGCCATCATCCTGGCCAAGCTCTCCATTGTCCCCGTGCGCAGAGGCTACTGAAGGAGCAAGATCGGCAAGCCCCACACCGTCCCTTGCAAGGCGACAGGCCGCTGCGGCTCTGTGCTGGTGCGCCTCATCCCTGCACCCAGGGGCACTGGCATTGTCTCCGCACCTGTGCCCAAGAAGCTGCTCATGATAGCTGGTATCGATGACTGCTACACCTCAGCCCGGGGCTGCACTGCCACCCTGGGCAACTTCGCCAAGGCCACCTTTGACGCCATCTCTAAGACCTACAGCTACCTGACCCCCGACCTCTGGAAGGAGACTGTATTTACCAAGTCTCCCTGTCAGGAATTCACTGACCACCTCGTCAAGACCCACACCAGAGTCTTCGTGCAGCAGACCCAGGCTCCAGCTGTGGCTACAACATAGGGTTTTTATACAAGAAAAATAAAGTGAATTAAGCCTGAAAAAAAAAATTGCAAAAATACTGGTCTCATTGAAACAGTTCAATATTTTCAAATGACAAATATATAAATGGATTTTAACAGCATTACCATAAAGTTTCAGAAATAATTTGCTAATGTGAAAATGCAGAAGTTTGATTTTTTTCCAAAGACTCTTTCGTGTAATTAGGTTCAATAACTTAACTGACGATAGGAGGAATCTGTACCCTCTAATCCATTTAGTATTTTCATGTGATTTATTTCAGTGAGAATACTAGCCACGTCAAATGTAAATTCAAATGTCTTATTAACTATTTTAATGATATTAACATTTAATGTCTCTTTTCACATAGAATCAATCCCTTATGATGTAAAAAGTTTGCTTCGAAATTAAGACTTAACAGTTTTACCAAAAGTTGCCAATACATATTTGTAGATAGGGAAAAAATCTGAAAATTATAGTAGTGAAAAGTTTCTTGTTACTAGTATAATAATCATCAAAAGTTCTTTTCTATATTAGATTTCTCTGTTGAACAGTATTCCCTTCAAGTTATAGTGAAATAATAATAAACATTTTGGTGACCTTTTGAACCCTGCAAAATATTGAGGCTTGTTGTCAATGAGCACAAAAAATAAATCTCAGAATCTTACTGTGGTTTTGTACAGAGTCTGCATCAACTTAAAATGTTAGAAACTGCTGTTTAAAAACTAGCTCTTTAGCATTCTTTGACAATCAGTTTTGTATAAGCATGTAATTATTTTAGGTTTGTATCTCACCCATCTGTTTTCTTTTATTTATAGAAAACATATAAAAATCATGGAAAGAATCTCCTTTATTATCAAGTATTTCTGTTGGGATTTTTTAAAAGTTTCTAATTTATATTTGCTCATAGTTTTAAATTTTTTGTGTTAAAAGTATTCATATAAATGGCTTAAAAGTGAGAGCAAAAGCTGCAATTACTTTACACCAACCTAATACTATTATGTGACTTACAAAAAAAAAAATAAAAAACACGAAAACAGAAACAAAAACAAAATCACATTCTTGGTCTACCCCTTACATGCACCAATGTCTATCCACACCCTAACAAACACTCTCTTCTTTTTTATGGTAATTTTTGCTATTTATGTCTATATTTTCTAAAAAAAAAAGTCACATTAATATTTCTTATTTTTTTCAATTAGATAATATCTCTTCCCATTCTTCCATGAAAAAAATGATTTAACATACACATAATAACATTATTCACTGTTGCCCATACAGAGGTATTTCCCTTTCTCCATTTCCTCAATATAGTTATATGACAGTCTGTGGTTTAATCAATAGTCTTCTTCTCTTCGCTAAGAAGACATTATACTCAGTTTTATCATATTGTATACTAAGATCACACAGTGTTTCTTGTAAATGTTGTTTCCTTTAGCATTAATAATTGTCTATTCATAGCTATTTCCGTATATCTATCATTGATTCTTCTCTTAAATTCTTAACACATATTTATTTATTTATTTTTAGGAGATGGGGTCTCACTCTGTCATCCAGTCTAGAGTGCAATGGTGTGATCATAGCTCATTGCAGCCTCAAACTCCTGGGCCCAAGCAATTCTCTTGTCTGAGACTCCCAGGTAGCTGGGACTACAGGTATGCACCACCATGCCTATTCTTCTCTCAAATTTTTTACCAAAAAGGTAACACTCATTCCACATAGTCAAATACATCAGATATTCTACTAATTCTATTGATTTTCCAGTGGAACTGTCATTCCTGGAGTCCTCTACCGTTTGCCTTACACTGGATGGATTAGCTCTTGTGCAGCTCCTCCTGGGACCAGCTTTGACCTTCATCGTGGAAACTGTCTTTTCTTGTCTTTTATGCAAAATATAAACCTTGCCCTTTACTTCACACCCTATATAAATATTAACTTCAAATGGATCATAGATTTACATGAAAGGATTAAAACCATAAAACTTCTAGAATATAACAGTAAAAAATAGTGACTTTGGTAAAGAGCTATTTAATAGAGCATTAAAAGCATGGACTATAAACAAGAAAATGGATAAATTAAAACTCATTGAATTTTTTTAATGGTCTTCAAAAGATATTCTTAAGATAATTAAAAGGCAAATCACAGGCTGGGAGAAAGAATTGCAATATATATACACACACATATATATGCTATATATATATATACACACACACATATGCAATATGTATGTATATACACACACAAAAATACCAAGAATATATAAATGTACAAAGAATATATAAAATATATAGAGAATATATACAAAGAATATATAAAGAAAATATGAAAAAGCCTTACTACTAGAAAATATGAAGAAAAATCATTAAAAAATGGAGGGTAACAAAAGATTTGGACGCTTAAATGAAGATATACAAATGACACAAGAAAAGTTGTTCAATATTATTAGTCATTAGAGAAATGCAAGTTAAAACCATAATTAGACACTACTACTGGGCCAGTATTAATTTATTGCTTTTCAGCTGCACATTTGCCCTTCAGCACCAGCTGTGATATTGGACTGGCTATCTTAAGCATTCTTTTTTTACAGTGAGCAGAATGCTAAACATACTCAGTAGAGGGCATACACTGCCGGAGGAAGGGGCTTCTCTTGCTGGTTCTAGCTGCTGCACAGTTGCTCAGTGGTGCAATTGCGTGGCCGTCCTGTGCTGCTCCGCTCCAGCCTCGAGTCCAGACTTTGTCATCTCCAAACAGACCTGGAAATGTGTATCAAAATCAGGAATGATGATAAGGGAGGCTGAGAAAACTACTGAGGTCTAGGAAGAACGGCCCAGAGACGGAAGAGCTAGGATAACAAATAGTATGTTCTAGAGGAGTAAGTGAGAGAAATATCTCAGAAATTACCAGATATAAGGGATGCCTGTTCCTAATGAATTCTTGCTTGTTTATGGCTATATTTTCAGTGGGCTAAAACTGCTTAAAGATCTTTAGTTAAACAAGACAGTTCAACTAATTACTCAGATTCTTGAAGCTACCATGTGGCAGAAATTGGATTTGATCCTAGCACTAGTAGGTTCTGAAACCTGCCAACATTACAAAGATATTTAACAAACTATATTTTATAGAACACTTATTTTACTCAATTCCGATGGTTAGTTTATTGAGGAGTGTTTAGGGTGAGGTTTCATGAGCAAAGTTTGGGAAATTCTGATAAAATAGTGTTCTTTATTGAAATATTTTTAGGAATATACTGATTGTTATAGAGGACACATACACAACATGTAACAAATACATTTCACCTCCAAAATATTTTCTTAAAAGAAATGTTTTGGAGGACTCTTTGCTGCAGAACATAATTTGGAAAGTATTGCATTGCATCTTGTGACCCATTATGATGGCCTTATTAATTCTCCTTTCATGCTGTATAGGCGTAGCATTATGTCCTCAAAGCAGTTTCAATAAGAGAGCCACCATTTACTTACTCTGAGAATGGGAGATGTAAATTCTTTCATTTCTGTGTGATTTTGTAATACTCCATCCTCCTATAAACAGGCAGGAGAATCAAGCTAATAATCACTGGGAAAAGAAAATCTACATGGCTAATGGTTTCTTGAGCATGTGCTAATTGCTATTTCTTTTGCTGCCTTACTGGATACTTTATAAAATCTATACTGAAAGCTGTAGATTCTTCTACTGTATTGCTGCTTTATTTTTGACAGTTTCAGAGACTTCTAAGGATTTACAGGTCCTCTCCTCCTCTACTATTTATTTTTTTCTAAATAAAGCCACTTCTTCAGACTCTTCTAAAGTTTCTTCACAGTAGTTACTTAAGCTGGCTTGTCTATTTTCCTCTCAGTAGTTTTCAAGTGCTTAGAGATATAGTCTTTAACTGATAAAATCCTTTCAAAAAGTAATAGGTTTCAAGAGAGTTTGTAGCCCATTGAAGAGTAGTAAGAAGCAGCTCTAGAGAATGTAAACTGTATCCAATATATAAGGTGATGGTAATATTTTAGCAATTTTGTAAGCTATTTTATTAAATAAACACATTGGAAACAATTCTGGATATTTTTTAAAAGCATGTAATTTTACCACTTGAATTCAATAATGATTAGTGTCTTAGGATAATTTTTATCCTCAACGCATTTTTACACTTCTCTCTCTCGGAATTTCCTTCCAGTGTGGCATTCTGCTGTTTCACTTAAGAGCACATAAACATTTTTCCATGGTGTTTCATATTTCCCATGAACATAAGTTTAATGACTGAAGAATATTCCAGTGGTTTATTTAATTATTCCCTTTTTGAAGCATTTTAAGATTATTTTCTATTTTTTCTCTGCAAGTACTTCTGTAACAAACATATGGTATATAAAAGTTTTCCCCATATTTTGAACTCTTTATGATAGTTTCTTGTAAGTAAGATTACGGGGTCAATGGACATGAACACTTTTATGGCTCTTAATGCTTATAATCAAATTGCTTTCTAAGAGGTTGTACCAATTTACAGTGCTACTAACTACATATGAAAATCAGTCATTTTGGGCCATCTTAAATTTAGGCAATTCTCGATGCTAGTTTATGCATTTCTGTATTTCCAGTTTTTAATGGCATTATCTGTAATAGGGAATAATTAGGATATTAGTAAACAGACCACACAATCTGCTTTTGTTTCCCACCGAATCTGTATAGTAAATACAGTTGACCCTTGAACATTTTGGGGGTTAGACACACCAGCTCCTCCTGCACTGGAAAGTCCTTGTATAACTTTTGACTCCCAAGAACTTACCTAATAATAGATTACTGTTAACTAAAAGCCTTACTGATAACACAAACTGTTGATTAACAAGTAATGTGTATGCTATATGTATTACATACTGTATTCTTACAATGAAGTAAGCTAGAGAAAAGAAAATGTTGTTAAGAAAATGATAGCTTTTTTTCCACTGGCAAGATGGCTGAAAAGGAACAGCTCCAGTCTGCAGCAATCAGCAAGACCAATGCAGAGACAAACCACTGCTCAAGGAAATAAGAGAGGACACAAACAAATGGAAAAACATTCCATGCTCATGGATATTAAGAATCAATATCGTGAAAACAGCCATACTGCCCAAAGTAATTTATAGATTAAATGCTATCCCCATCAAGCTATCATTGAATTTCTTCATGGAACTAAAAAAAGCTACTTTAGATTTCATATGGAACCAAAAAAGAGCCCATAGAGCCAAGACAATCCTAAGCAAAAAGAACAAAGCTGGAGGCATCACGCTACCTGACTTCAAACTATACTATAAGGCTACAGTAACCCAAACAGCATGGTATTGGTACCGAAACAGATATATAGACCAATGGAACAGAACAGAGCCCTCAGAAATAACACCACACATCTACAACCATCTGATTGAAGATGTTGTTGAAACAAACCTGACAAAAACAAGCAATGGGGAAAGGATTCCCTATTTAATAAATGGTGCTGGGAAAACGGGCTAGCCATATGCAGAAAATGGAAACTGGACCCCTTCCTTATATCTTACAAAAAGTTAACTCAAGATGGATTAATGACTTAAGTGTAAAATCTAAAACCATAAAAACCCTAGAAGAAAACCTAGGCAATACCATTCAGGACATAGACATGGGCAAAGACTTCATGACTAAAACACCAAAAGCAATTGCAATGAAAGCCAACATTGACAAATGGGATCTCATTAAACTAAAGAGCTGCTGCTCAGCAAAATGTAACTATCAAAATCTAACTATCATTAGAGTGAACAGGCAACCTACAGAAAGGGAGAAAATTTTTGCAATTTATCCATCTGACAAAAGTCGCATGTCCAGAATCTACAAGGAACTTAAACAAATTTACAAGAAAAAAACAACCCCATCAAAACGTGCACCAAGGATATGAACAGACACTTCTCAAAAGAAGACATTTATGCAGCCAAGAAACATGAAAAAAAGCTCATCATCACTCATCATTAGAGAAATGTGCATCAAAACTACAATGAGATACCATCTCACACCAGTTAGAATGGCGATTATTAAAAAGTCTGGAAACAACAGCTGCTGGCAAGGATGTGGAGGAATAGGAATGCTTTTACACTGTTGGTGGGAGTGTAAATTAGTTCAACCATTGTGGAAGACAGTATGGTGAATCCTTAAGGATCTAGAACCAGAAATACCATTTGACCCAGCAATCCCAACTGGGCATATCCCCAAAGGATTATAAATTATTCTACGATTAAGAGACATGCACATGTATGTTTATTGCTGCACTATTTACAATAGCAAAGAATTGGAACCAACCCAAATGCCCATCAATGATAGACTGGATAAAGAAAATATGGCACATATACACGATGGAATACTACACAGCCATAAAAAAGAATGAGTTCATGTCCCTTGCAGGGACATGGATGAAGCTGAAAACCATCACCCTCAACAAACTAACACAGGAACAGAAAACCAAACAATGCCTGTTCTCACTCATAAGTGGGAGTTGAACAATGAGAACACATGGACACGGGGAGGGGAACATCATGCAGTGGGGCCTGTCGGGGGCTTAGAGGGTTGGGGGAAAAGGGAGGGAGAGCATTAGGACAAATACCTAATGTATGCGGGACTTAAAACCTCAATGACAGGTTGATAGTTGCAGCAAACCACCATGGCATATGTATACCTATGTAACAAACTTGCACCTTCAGCACATGTATCCCAGAACTTAAAGTAAAATAAATAAATAAATAAATAAAATTATAAGGAAAAGAATATATTAACATATTTACTATTTACTAAGTGCAAGTGGATCATCATAATCGTCTTCCTCCTTGTCATCTTCACATTGAGTAGGCTGAAAAGGAAAAGGAAGAGGAAGGGTTCATCTTTCTGTGTCAGGGTTGGCAGAAGAAAATTTACACAAAAGTGGACTAGGGCAATTCAAACCCATGTTGTTCAAAGGTAGACTGTACATTTAAAAGCAAAACATTTAACTGCCACCTCCTACACACTCCTCTACTTGTTGGAAGAGTAGGTTTTATGTAGTATATTAGAAATGCTTTCAGGGTCCTTGTCTAGTCCACACTGATTCTTTGTGAGTTGCCAGGGATGGGTTCTTCCAGGCAAATTTTATGATGCTGGCTTTCTCCTTCCCAGCAATCTCATGGAAAAAGATTGCTACCTGAACCAGATTCCCTCTTACAAGGTCTAAAACTAAGAGATAGAAGCTCTGAGTCAGTCTACATTTTCTCTGCAACAGAAAGTTCATGAAAATTCAGGAACTGGAGGGCATAATATACAAAAGAGCATCAGAGAGAGGGTTTCTTTAGAAAGAAACAGAGGCAAGAGACACATTGGGGAAAGAGATAGAAAATGAAAGACTTCTTTGGTCCCTTTTGGCTTTCTGGTTTCCACATTCAGTCCCTGGTGTCCCAGGCTATTATTCCTATCTAGTATTTTATGACATAGTCAGATATTAGTTTAATAAGTTTCTTTTTGCCTAAACAAGCTTGAGGTACCCTTTATTACTTGTGACCAAAGGATCCTTGACTCAGGCAGGCAGATAATAAACTGTGAAAGACAGCAGGTGTTTCTGCTGAGTCAGCTTGCCTCCCTCTGAGTCACTCTCCCCAACCCACACCCCAGCACTGCTGCCAAGAGCCAAAGACTGGCTGCTGTTCCCTTGCCTCCTGGGACCACAAATTTTGAGTTATAATGTACAGTCCGTAGCTCCCTGTGAGATCAGACTGAGGCTGGAACTTCTGAAATTGTACCCTTGCTCAGTTTATTTCTCTTTTCTGTCCAGCTTCTTCCTCTCCCTTACCAGTTACTTCTAGGAACATTTACCTTATAAATCAATTGCACTCAAATCCTTGGCTACTAGTCTGTATCTGCGATAATTCCACCTAAGACAATGGTTCATCCTGCAAACACTAGGAAGAGAGTACTTGTACACAGTAAAGTAAATGAGCTGCCAGGTATAATTCTGCATTATTGGAAAATCAAATTAAATCTGATATGTTAAATATCAGCTAGTCTTCTTACTAATAAGGAAATGATATGGCGTGTTTTATTGCGGGATCTGGCCAGTAGCCTGCAATGCAATGGGACTCTCTCTTTGTTCCCAGGCAGATCGGCAGGACGAGAAATAATGGACACACACAAGATAGTGAAAGCTGGGTCCAGGGGGGTCACCGCCTTCTGGTCCTGTGATGCCGCCAATGCACTGGGTATACCAGCATTTATTATTAAGTTTAGTGAGGGCGGGGTAGGTTAGTGAGGGATTTAGGGTCGTTTGATTATGAGGTGAGATGGTCACATGGGGATGAAGTAATTCTTTAACATAACATCGGTATGCAGAAGTACAGTATACAGAGATAAGAATTTTCAATATAGTGTGTGTGTCAGCAATTTCTAACAGAGTCTTAAAACAGAAACACAGTCTATCCATAACCTATGATTAGCAAGATATTAATCAGCAGTAACAGTTGCAGCAAAAGCTGGTTGCGAACAATCAATAGAAACAGGAAGTTAAGCTAGACAACTGGTTAGACCAAAAATTCTCAGAAGGGAGTGTGCCTTAACCCTAAAGAGACCTAGAAGAGCTGTGGCAAGATAAGGGCTTTTATAGCCCTATCTTATCCATATGAACAGGCGCCCCGCATGTGTCCTCTTATAGGCTCTCCACAAGGGTCGCATTCCATTCCCAGAGCTATGAATATCTACTTTTCTGGGATAGGAATCTTGGTGATGTGAAACCTCCCTGACTGCACGTTCATTTATAGGCTCTCTGCAGGGGGAAGCACATCATGCGCTGTTGGCTCATTCTGGCAGCCCAACCTGGCATTGTCTTTACACAATCCTGCATGCAATTTTGTATTTACAATAATCAGGAGCATTTCATCTTTTATTCCATAGCAATAGTTTCAAGGCATCTCCCTACAGTGTTTGCACTGAAATATGTATCTGTTTGGGGACCTAGAATAAGATTTGATGAATGGCACATCCTGTGTTCTGGTGTAACCTATTATACAATCATTGTAATGTCAAACATACTCTGGGTAAGAATAATATAAATAATTAGGGGCCAGCTAAGTTATTTAACTATATATTACACTATTCATAGTAAAACATTATATATACACCTTTACTTTTAAAATTACTTTCTCATATGTCATTACAATTCTGTACTGTAAATTGCTTTTCGAAAGTCATAGAGCCAGTGATAGCCAGTGTGTTTTAATTCAAACTCTTGAATTGTTTCTCTAAGTCATGATGCAAATTAATGAAAGTTATTTCCTGTTGTAGTTATTGTATCACAAATAATGGGTTCACCAATGAAGAACATGTTCAAAGGTTTCAAGGTAAGCTGGATAATACATGAAAAAGAGAGCATGTTCCTTGCTGTCAAAGAACTTACAGTGTAATTAAGATAGCAATTTGATTTGTCTTAGTTGTATTTATTTTTGTGTTCACTTACACCATGAGTAATCTCATATCTTTATTTGGGTAGCTTTTTTTTTCAAGAAATGATAGTCTGCATTAATAAGACTGAGAAGACTGATTTAATACTGTTTAATCATTAGTGTTTGATTTTAATGGGTTACTACTTTCCTCCTTGGTAATGAGGCACAGTTGCATGCAAGGTTTTTATTCTGTCTTAATCCTGTAAGTCTCAGAAATACTGAATAAACCTAATCTAAGTACTTTCCTAATTTTGAGTGTAGAGTCTATCCAGAAAAAAGCTAAACTTCTAGAGAAGTCTGAATTTCAATAACTTTTTAAAATTTCTTGCTGAGTCCTTATTTTCTAAGCTATAAGACCTGTGAATAAATATGATGTCATGAAAATACAACTCTGGTGAAAAGTGCCAGCCCTTACCCATGTTAAGAGAGGATGATACTTTAAGCCAAGAGCCTATTCCCTCTTCGAATCTCTCTCTGCTTTATTCTTCTCACCACAGATGCAGCCTCCCTCTCTATGCATCTTCCTCCACTTAATCTCTATTCCACCTCTGGGCCATCACTTTGAAATACACAGTATCTGGAAAAGAAGGCCTCAGGAGAAGATATGATTTCTCAACATATTTTATAGGTGAATCTACAGGAGGAAGAAATAAAATTTTTTAAAAGCCCAAGATTTAATGAAAATGGGAACAAATCATAGTGGAATGCAGTTTCAGGTATGAGCTACAAGCACATTAAGGAACATTGAAGTTGAGTGTGCTTTATATTCCTAATGTCTTGAGCACACTGTGATTTAAAATAGCTATTAAAGATTATGCAAAATGTGCAAAATTAATGTGCAACGATTTTACTTTTGATGAGTCTCCTTTTTTATTTTAATATCCTCTACCTTCTTGCCTTAATTTCCCTATCCTGTCAGTTAGCTTGAGTTCAGAAATAGAAAGTCAACTTATTTGACCTTATAATGGTCAAGTTTAACTTGTTAATAGGAACTATACCATTAACTTGTTAATGGTATAGTGAAAAGAGACAGATGCTTTGAAGTCATAAAAAAGAGTTTCAAATTCTAGCTCTGTCACATACTGTTTTTCCTTACACAAGTTGTCTCTTTGGTTATTCTGGCTTTCATAGATAAGTAGGTGTAATACCCACTTGTTTGTTTGCAGTTATTGTGAGGCTTAAGCAAGATAATGCATGTAAAGCATGTAAAATGCCTTGCACAGTGCCTAAAATATAAAGTGTCAATGGCTCTTTAAACAATATAACAATTTTTAGCAATCCTTATCATTTGATTACAGATAATTCTTGGTAAAATATTCATTATAATTAAAAAATATACATATTATAAGCAAATTAAAGGAGAGGATTACATTTTCTTTGCAACTACTCCTCTCAATTCCTTAGAGCATCTTAATCATATTGTAAGTTCCTGATAAATAAGCATCAAATTTTGGATTATGAAAAGAAATTATAAATTACATATGTATATGGGATTTTTTTATATTTTAAGATTTTCAAGAAGTCCCATTGTAAAAAGACATTAGTGAAGAAAACCTAGTGAAATCTAAGTTTAGAGTTCAGAGTAATGTACCAATGTTGGCTTCTTATTCGTGACAAGTGTACTATAGAGATATATACTATTAAAAATAGGGGGACTTGGATGAGGAATGTACGGACACTCGGTATGATTTTTGCAACTTTTCTCTAAATCTGACATTATTCTATATAAAACACTAATTTTTAAAAAAAGTCTTCTTCCCAACCAAAACTAAAAATCTCCAGGCACCCTGCTCAAAGGTAACTACTAAATATTTCCTTCAACACACACACACACACACACACACACACACACACACACACACAGAGTGAAGTGATAATCTTCAGGAAAATTCCCAAAAGAGCTCTAAGGAACCACCCCTCTTTTATTGCCAAACAGCCACATAATTATTTTTACTTCTTGTGGACAATGATGAGAGGAAGGTAGATTATGATCACTTCTTTAAAGTAAGATATGCCAAACAAGCTTGTTGGGCCCTTTCCTCCAAGTTGTCTTTTAACTGCACTTAAGAAGATAAAAGCATATTTTTGAGTCCCTAAAGATTTATTTATTTTGTTTTTTTTAGGAATTCTGCTTTTTTGTGTTTTTTTTTTATATTTATGTCTAATTAAATATGTTAGGAACAAACTCACCCCATTTGAATGCAAAATAAAACAAGCACACGTTGTAATAGAATTCAGCATAGGCAATTCTTGTGATTGAATGTTAACAGGGGCCACCTACTCCAATCCCTGGGAAATTCAAGACATTGTCAGGACAATCAGCCACCTGCATTCCCTACCTCCATCATGCTGGGATCAGCTTTAGTCAACCCTTCGGGTGACTTGATTTGGTTATAAGCTGTGGGCACTGTTCTGTCATTTGTCAGACAGGGGTGAGTATCAAGATTAAGGCTCAGCATCAATCAATGATTCAAAACTCTTCTTACCTATAGGAAGAGGCCTAAAATTAGAGTTTGGATTACTTATCTATTTTTGCTCTCTGCATTTGAGATAAACTAAAGAGTTCATGAAACCCTTTGAATATTCTGTCTCTTAGTGCTATAAAATTTCCATGTCATTGTGATTTGTAAATCCAAATCACATTGACCAAGCAATCCCTGACACACAGAATGCATGAGGAATATTAATTGAATAAAGAATGGTTTCAGTCAGTCTCCACTGATGGGTCTTAACTTCGTTTCTTGTCCTTTACTGTTTAAACAATGCTTCAATGAACATCTGTCTATGTATCTATAAGTAGATGTGTGAAATTTTTTGTAAAATAAATTCCTAGAAATATAATTGCTGGATATAAGAAAATATGCATTTTCTATTTTGATAAATAGTCTAATGACTTAATTATTTCTGAAATATTTGGCAAGTTTTAAAAGAGAAATTTTTGGACCTGGCTTTAAAAGCACTTACTAAAAAATTCAATTTGGAATCCTTTATGCTAATGGAGAAGGATGATCTCTTGGATAAGTCAAAGTTGGGTTACCCCTAAATCATTAGATTGAATTTCAGATCCTTTAGTTCACATGTATGGATAGATCTGTGTTTTTTTTTGTTGGTGCTGGTGAATTTTTTTTTTTTTTTTTTTTTTTTTTTGAGACGGAGTGTTTTGCTCTTGTTGCCCAGGCTGGAGTTCAATGGCATGACTTTGGCTCACTGCAATCTCTGTCTCCTGGATTCAAGAGATTCTCCTGACTCAGCCTCCTGTGTAGCTGGGATTACAGGCATTCGCCACCACACCTGGCTAATTTTGTATTTTTACTAGGGACGGGATTTCTCCATGTTGGTCAGACTGGTCTCGCACACCCAACCTCAGGCGATCCGCCTGCCTCGGCCTCCCAAAATGCTGGGAATACAGGTATAAGCGACCACATCTGGTCAGATCTGTTGTTTTAAGCACATGTAGCAATTAAACCAAATACAAATATTATCTATGCTAGTCATAACTCCAGGAAACCTGGTAAATAGCCTCTCTACTCAAAATTTTCTCCTGCAAGCCATATGATGTTGTAGATATACAGCTTTTCTCTCTACATTCATGTGAAGCACCAGACTAATTGGCAGTAGAATTCCTTATTTACTTATATTTTTTCTTTGACGGATGCTATTTAGTCTGGTGGTTAAGAGTATGAAATTTGGGGAGGCCAGAACTGAGATGAATTGTCATCTTTATCACATAACTGGCTATGTGACCTTGGAAGTTACTAAGTTTCTCTGTGTTTAAAATGAGGATAATAATGTTTATGTCATAGTTTTAATGTAAAAAGTAAGTGAGATTATATGTGTGTATACACAGACACATGATGGCTGTTGATAGTGCTAAGTATATAATCAGTGCTTAGTAAAGAGTAATTATTATTTTTGAGAACTCATAGGACTTTTAAATACAAGAGTATAATTTTTGTTTCTCCAGCAAAACACCTCCGAGAATGTTTGGGATCACCTTTAGTGTCGTAGAACTAACATGGTAAATGCTTAATAAATCTCTCTCGTCTCCCCAAAAGCTTCAGTTTCTCTGAATTATTCTCTTCTGGACTAAACAATTGTTTTTGTTTGTTTCAAAATAAAATGGAAAGCAGAGGCACAGAAATGACAATATTTTTTAGATATGCCTGCCATTTAAACAATACTTTCAAATACTGGCATTGAGTCTTCCTAAATGTGTAAACAAAATACACAAATGAAAAGCAGAGTTAACAAATTTGAAGAACTGCCTTGGGGTCATTTCAAAGACAGTACCATGTGGTTATGAATGTTTTCTGGATTAGTACATCAGTGCAAAGTCCATGACAGCAATCTGGGAAAGGTCTATAGCTTGGTAGCTGTTGGTCATGAAGGTTGCTGGACATTCCTCCCCATAATCTGATGTGAGTCTGGTACCTGTGCAATACTGAAAAGGAACTTTGAACTACACCCTCCACATTAGGAGTTTATTTGATATCCAGAGCATCCATCCATATCCTGCTGGATCAGGACCTTTGCAAACCTGTGCTGAATTTGGAGCCTCTGCTGACAAAGTTCTTTCCTTGATTTTTTTTTGTTGTTGTTTCTTTTAAATATATATATTCCCAAAAGAGATGAGCTTGAAATATATAGAAAACTGATATATTTCTCCCCTCTGGGAACCCTCTAAGAGCTGAAAGAACTTAAAAGTATGCTGACAAGCGTTTACTTATGCTGTATCTATTTTTTCCTAAGACAAATAGTATCATACATATGAAAAGCAGTATGGATTTTCAAAGTATTTTATAATGCTTAAATACCTCATTTTTCCCCATGCTGTTCTCAAGGAAGACTAAAGAGTCATTATTTTATCCAT
Organism: Homo sapiens; assembly: GCF_000001405.40. Taxonomy (NCBI): domain Eukaryota; kingdom Metazoa; phylum Chordata; class Mammalia; order Primates; family Hominidae; genus Homo; species Homo sapiens. The sequence goes on along the minus strand of NC_000017.11, from coordinate 53,742,672 downwards.
GGTACAAATGAGTAAAACTGAGGATTAGAGAGAATGGATTAACTTGCCCTAATAATAATATGTGCTATAAATAATAATAATACGGCCGGATGTGGGGTGGCAAAGTCTGTTACCCCAGCATTTTGGGAGGCTGAGGCGGGCAGATCATGAGGTTAGGAATTTGAGACCAGCCCGGCCAACATGGTGAAACCCCATCTCTACTAAAAATACAAAAATTAGCCGGTATGGTGGCTGGCGCCTGTAATCCCAGCTACTCAGGAGGCTGAGGCAGAAGAATCACTTGAACCTGGGAGGCAAAGGTTGCAGTGAGACGAGATCGTGCCATTGCACTCCAGCCTAGGCAACAAGAGCAAGACTCTGTCTCAAATAATAATAATAATAATCATCATACTGAACATTCTTGTTGCTTTGCAAAGTGCTTTCAGTTATTATTTATTTGATTCTGGGTGTCAATATTTTGGAGTGGATATTTTAAAACATAATCCCTTTTATATATTCCCATGAGGACTTTATCTTTCTAGACTCATCATTCTCCACCTCTTCCCCTCTCACTGAACTCTGCTACATTTAGACCTAAATCTGGGGGCCTCATGCTTGTGTTTTTGCACATTGTGTTTTCCTGGCTTAGGGATCCTTCCACTCAAATAAATGTCACCTCTGTGAGGTTTACACTGAACACGCTGTTCAGATCTCCCCTAAGCACTCTCCACTCCTCTTTCTTTTCTCCTTACCACTGACATGTACTCTATTTTACTTACCTATTTGTTTATCTAACATTTGCAGAAGTTAAGCTCCTTGAAGACAGAAATCTTTCTGATATTTCACCTCTGTGTTTTTAGTACTTTCAGATGTATGTACATAGTTGGTTAGTGCATGTTTTTGAATGAAATTACCCTTTTTTCCCCCATAACTCCAACACATACATCAGGCCCAGCATATACATCACTATTCCCTCAATCCCTTAAGGCTATATTAGGCAATTTACTGATTTCCCCCTAGGGTATACTCTGCATTCCCCATTATAGAGATTACAAAATTGTCTTTACCCCTTCCTCCTTCCTAAAACAGCAAATGTCTGCTTCGCCTATTCCTCCAGTATCTACCAAAATGTCCAGTATCTAGCAATAACTTAACACATATTTGATAAATGATTGAAGGATTGAATGAAGGTCAGAATCTATCAAATGGTTACAATAGGACTTGAGCACAGATGAGATGCCAATACCTGTGTTTTCTTCATTATCTTATTTGACTCCTGGAGTGGTCCACTGTTCTTTCCTTGATGGCTCCTCTTAATCTGCTTCCTTTCCATGGGATAAAAAGGTAAAGGAAGGACAGGAGCTATAGAAACAGCTGCTTCTAAGTGCATCAGATTGTGTTTCCTATATCTAAGACTTGGAAGGGGCTCTAAAGTTGTGTCTTTATGTAGTAGGGCTGAAAAAAATGTAACACTGAATAAATGCACATTGCACATTAAATCTCATTTAATTTTTGCATATAGCTTTGGAGGTAATCATTAATATTCCCATTTTGTAAGTTAGAGTGCTAAGGCTCAGAGAATTTTTAAATTTGCTAAAGGTAACAGCAGTAATGGTAGTGTGAGAATCAAACCCAGGTCTATCTAATTCCAGAGCTCTCTTTTCCATGATTACAACTTGTTGCCGCCTTGGAAGTATTCTACAGATAACACATTTTCTTTTTTTATTTGTTTTGGCTCAGAATCCCATTTTTACACTTTAATCATATTTGTTAATTGCAATTGAAGAAAAATAGCATTATGAATACACCATCTTTCTATACAACTTCAATTTACTTATTGTATTTACTGATTTATCTATTCCTCTGAGTTGTTCCGCAAAGGTACCTGGTTGAAATGTAACCATTAATTAGCAGCAGGGTGTCTCTAGGAAGTTGGGTTTCTGTGAATAAGAGGAGTGGAAAGGGGATGTACTTGAGAGACAGGATTTGATGGAAAAGATAGGAAAGGAAAATGAAAGAAAACATCTACAATGTCAACTAATCATGACCACAGGAAGCTTTTTAAAGGCAAGTGAGAACTCTAAGTGTTGAGCTTGGGGGTAGCAATCAAAGGAGAGAATGCATGGGAGCCAACACTTTTCTCTTTCTTTTTTTTAAAAATAAAACTACATTTGATGAGTCATCTTTCTTACACTGATTTTGATTTTTTAAAGATGGAGCTCTAGTATAACAAGTATAAGTGGCAACTTAAAAGGATGAAACTAAATGGTAATATTCCATTCTTCCAGCAAGAATATTACCATTCCATTCTTCTTCACTTATACGTATTATTACTATAGTTAGTTAATTACATGTATTTTCACTAATTATTCTAAATTACCTTAATATATATGAAAATCAAGTCAAAAATAAATAATCTTAATAGAAGAATATAATCCCTTCTGACATAGTGTGGAAATGCCAATATTAACAGTCTTAAGGAGAACTATGAGATTCCTGGAAAAATCCATTGTCCAGCTCTTGACTGGTAAATGATTGACTTGCGTTGTTTGCAGAGATCCCTCAACTCAGTCTGTTCACCAAATATATACGAACAAAAATCAGTCAAATACTTAACAAATTGTGGTCCAAAGTTTCAGAGTAACCTTACACTGTTAGCCTCTATATCACCCTTGTCTCCAGTAAGATCTGGCCCTATTCTATACAATTTCAAATCAAGTTTTAGGAACACAGAAATAAATGTGGTGGCCATAACCTGAAAGCCAGCTTAGGTTAGTTTCAGCAGTGAGAATTGAATGCTTAATTTGATGAAATCTGAGGAAAAGCATTAGAAGGCATTCCTCATTCTTGTTAGTTCTTTATCTTAATATTTGGTTTTGAGATGCCCCGTCCCCAGGCAGTTAAGTGCAGGTTTTGAGCCACTGGGAATAAGGACTAGGTAAACTGCTTGCAGCCTGGGACAGGGTATCTATCATTTTAACAACGACACCTTGTGACCTGGACCTCAGAAACATTTTCTGCGGCACAACAGAAATGCTCTAAAAGTTGATTGCGTTCTGCCTGCCTTTCTGATGAATTGCTGCTCTCTGCTTCTTTATCACATACCTAACTTTGGATTCAAGCTTTTTTTTAGCTTCATCTTTTCAAGGTTTTGTGGTCAAACTTTCAATGTCTTTACTTCTTAGAAACTATTTCTCTCGTGAGATCTACTTCAACCATTTTCAGTGATGGCACATTTAGCTCCCCACTCTCAATTAGAGACCTCCCGTATATTGAATTCAGACAATCATAGAGAAGGACACTTATCTTTTGCAACCTGTCTCCTTGTAGCTTCTACGATCCTTTGATACCTGTATTAGTCTTTGGAGGCTAATCATTCAGACCCCAACACTTTGGGGAAATAAGAGCCAATAGTCAAAATAAGAGGCACCCTAATAACAACTGATTCATGACAATGTACAATACTTCACACATTTGTTAACATCAATTTTCTAAAAACCATAGTTAATAGATAAATAGGTAGTCTTAGGGGTGTACAACTCTAGCCACTGAGCTCGAGTTGGCCACTGAGCATGGTTCTCATCCTCCATGCTTAGAGATAGTACTTTCTTTCCATCATAACCTGGTCTTAGGGTAAGTGCTAATATTGCTTTAAATATCTATGTGTTCCCTGTAAGAGATGGTTTTATTTTTTTGATAGTTATATTTTACTCTTTTAGTTTGTTTATGCAGCAAACATTGTTCGTTCATCATGAAAACCTACCATCACAGCTGCAGGAGTATACCAGTAAACAAAACAGGCAGGTTTTTGCCCATGTGAAGTGTTAAAAATCCACAATGACAATAGAGGAAAAAACCACAAAAGAGAAGACTACAAAGGGGAAAAAATCAAAGTAATATAAAAGGAAACAATATGAGTTTTTTTAAATTTTTTTCTCTTAAGGCCAGTCAAATTTAGCAGTGGGTGATGGGGGTGGAATCCTATTCTTGACATAGTAGCCAGAGAATGCCATCTTGAGGAAGTAATATTTAGGTTGTGAGTTAAAACGGATATAAATGTTCTTCAGGTGAAGGAGGGTATGAAGGATAGAGAGAAGCACATTTAAGGCATAGCAACAATTGAGATAAGAGCCTCTTGAACAATGAATACCAGCCTGCATTCATTTCTCATAAGTGTGTGTCTAAGGCCATAAATCCCTCCCTTGGAGAGAGGCAGTTTGCATCCACCTCAAAGTTGAATATCTGTCTCTTACTGGAGCTTTGAGGGGAGGTAAAGTATGACATTTTTTATGTCATCTGTTCCCAAAATTGCGAATACAGCACATCACCTTCTCAGGAACTGGAGTCCAGATATAAGGAAATGAACATGTCAAATAGTAGGAAGATCAATACAAAGTCAAGGCATATAAGTGAACTCAAACTGGAATGGCAGAACTTGTACCCTGAGTCCAGCACCTTCTATGAACCTCCAAGATGAACATACTACTCTATGAACCTCCAAGATGAACAATATGATGTATTAATCAATCAGGTCTATGATGCACCCTAAACTGCTTGACTTATTTCTAGGTATGGAAAACAGTGGTTTTACATGAGTATAGAATGAGGCTCATTTGAAGTCTCCAAATACCACAAAGGGGATTGTTTCCCAGCTTGGGAAACCTTCTATCAGAAGTAGCACATGCAAAGGCAGGAAGGCATTGGAACATTCCAGGAAGAGGAGACTAGAGAGGAGAGAGTATAATTAACATTATTCAAGGAATCCAAGAAGCAGTACATGAAAAGGAAAGCGTTAAGGGATGGCTGTTTTTTTCTGGAAGCTTTGGAATTCCATTAAGTGGACTATTATCTTCAGTGGTCATGGGCAAATCTATCGGGCAGCACAAGGACAATTTGTAGTTTCTGTGACAATTTGTAGTTTAAGGACATATGTCACCATACCGTATCATTTTTGACCTCAAACAAATTTGAGGCTTATGGAATTTTCAAATTTTTTCTCTAGGATCAATTTTATTTGCCTTAATTACTTCTTAACAGTTTTGTGTTTCCCCCTGAAATAAAGTGAAATTATCCCCCGATTACTGCAAGAAGAGCTTTGCTTTCTTTTCACTCCCAGATTTCTGTTACCTCTCAGCTGAAATACTGAGCACTGTTGCTACTAAAGAATTAATTTTTCTTGCCTGAAGATTTGTCATATAGTTATTTCTTTGTAACAACTGAAAGGTAGTTTGCTATGGGCTTAGCCCTTCACCACCAGCCAGTCATTCCCAGGTGAAGTGGAGTAGTGTGTGCTAGAAAGGCCAGGAAATACCCAAGCCGATGCCTCTGTTGGCACAGCAAGGAGCTCCATCGTTTTCTGTTCATTTCTGTGAAGCCATTTCACAGAGTGACAGATCTCGATAAGGGCCAGAATCTAGTGACCTTCTTCTCTGATGCTATCAATCATGTGTACTAGAGTTAGGTGGCAATTCCATTCCCAGGAATGGTGAGCAGAGTCTGTTAATGAATTTTGGCACTGTGCTGTAACCACCAGAGTCACTGAATATGACAAAACTTCTGAGCTGTGTGAGTTAAAGGGAAAAACCTACCCATGTGAATAACCCGTGTTTTTCTTTCCTCCACTGCAAAGAGTTTGCAAATTTCCTAAGCACAAAGCAAGTTTAATTAAAGCCAGCGAAGCAGGGGAATGCCACAGTTGAATGCATTTTTATGTGGCTCACATCATTGGAGCCAGGCAAAATGTGAAATGTGATAATATAAGCTTTGTTAGGTAAACAGTCTCACTCACTCCAAACACTTACTTCAATCCCAGGGGTACTTTAAAGTATTTACTGAGTAGTGCTCCAGCTCTTCTTCCTCTTTGCAGTCCCCAGTCTTTCTGATGTATTAACAACCACACTCTGCTTCCAAGAAGCATAAGGCAGAAGCAAAACTCAACAGGGAATTGCCTCTGCACTTGCCGTTGGCAGGACGGTGGGCTCTGTCTTTCCAGCAGCGCCTTCTCCCTGGCTTAAGCAGAGAGGTGATTCAGAATCTTGATTCAGGATTCCCACACCTGCTCTCATGCCTGGTCAACAGTGCTGGCTGTTTGCAAAGAAGCCTTTTTTTTTTTTTTTAAGTAGTAGTATTAGTACTTACCCATTTGGAGAGAAAATCCTTTTTTAAGCTTAGGAAATGATAACGTTAATTCATGCTTACTTTTATAGCATTCCATAGAAACTGGGTTTGAAAAGATAAAATGTAATGGAAGTTTCAATTTATCATTCTATGTTATACTATACATTTCTACATGAAACATTTTTTAATTTTTTAATGGCATCATATGTCTATGGGAACTCAGAATTTTTAGAAATAACTTATTTTTAATTGGGTTTGGAAATGAGTGACTTTTGCACATCTAGGTCATATTCAAAAACCAACTAATTCAGACATTGATGAATTAAATTATAATTAATATTTACTGAATGCTGGCTATGTGTTAGGCACTATTATTATAGACTGCTAAGATTCAGCAGTTAAAACAGCTCCTCATAGAGCTTATATTCTAATGGGGAGATAGACAATAAACAAAATAATGTATTATGCAGGGAAATGAATGAGGGAGTGTGACAGAGGTGCTGAGTTTAATGGTTGCATCTTTAAACACGTTGGGCAGACAAACCCATGCGGAGAAGGTGGTATATTTATAAAGCCTTACCGAAGTTAATAATAGAGACATGGAGATATCTGGAGGAATCATTGTCCAAGCAGATAGAAACATCCAGTTCTTGCCCTCATGCAGGAACCCTCCAGCCAGGCTTAAGTTCTGGGACCTGCATAGAGGCTAGTGGGCCTGGGCAGAGTGAATGTTATAGGCTAAATTTTGTCCCTCCATAAATTCATATGGTGATATCTTAACACGCAGTATGTCAGAGTGCCACTTTATTTGGAAATAAGGTATTTAAAGAGTTAGTTAAGTATAAATGAGTTCATTAGGCTGGGTCCTAATCCTATACTGAAACCTTGACCTCAAACTTCTAGCCTTCAGAACTGTGAGAAAATAAATTACTGTTGTCTAAGCCACCTCGTCTGTGGTAATAGGGGACATGATGAGAAGTGGTCAAATTCTGAATCTATGTTAAAGGCAGAGCTGATACAATTTGCCTACAGATAAGGTGAAGAATATAAGAGACAGGAAGGAATCTGTCAAACAAGAGGATCACTGACATGCCACTAGTGCCACATGGCACAGATACGGAGCTTATGGGAGATGATCTTACAAGCAGGGAATTAGCAGAGCACTTGCTGTTTTTTGAACCCTTATTCTTCCACAGCATAGGCCAAACATAGATGTCCTGTATGTACCAAGATTCCAACGGAAAGGGTCTGTCTTAGCCAACAGGCTGGATAGAAAATTGAAAGCTCTGAAAGACAGAAGGGGCTTCAAACCCACAATTGTTCTTACTGTATCTTCTGGCCGTGAGATACTAATCCTGACATAGAGAGAGACTCCTGATCCAGACTTAGTCAATTCAATTTTATCTCCCAGGAAGTAAAAGTCTTAAATGGAAAGGAGGAATGTAAGGCTGTTGGGGCAGATTACCATACAGTGAGACTCTGGAAAGATGGTCCCTGGGTTTCTGCTGCTGAGTCTCTCAAAGCCAGTCTAGCTCTTAAGGCTTCCATTAGCTAGTTCAGCTTTCCTTTGATTCTGTGAATTACCTTACTGTCCTTCTAACAACTAAACTTTTATTCGAATAAGCCAGAGCTCATTTCTGATGTTTACAATCAAAGACGCCTGAGACACTCAACACATAATAATGCAGTCATTCTGATCTGTGCCACAGTTAATTCCTAACAGCAATCTATCTTAAATCTCATTTTGACTCTGACTTAACCTTAAATGTAAGAAAGAAGCTAACCCACTTGGAGGTATTCAACAAATCTAATTACATTATTCCTCCAGTTCTCTCTGGCATCATTTTATATGTGAGAGCCTTTTGGTAATCTTTCATAAGCGTGAGCAAGCATTGGATCTGCATTTTACCAAACCCTTCTACATGGATGATATTATAATGCAGTTTTCCTCAAAAATGATGTCTTTAATAATTTTACTGTTGATTTTAAAACACATTAAAAATCCATCGGAGTATTAATGTTTGCAACACTGAAAACAAGAAGTATTTTACAAATGGGTCATAGTTCTTTTTCTACCTTCTTTCACTGCCAAATGTATAAAATGCAAAGTGTAAACTTGTGGCCTCTGGTTTATAAATGCTTTCTCTCCTAGTTTGTTATTTACATACTATAATTATTTCAGGCTCTCTTCAAACTCCCGAAACTACACATTTGAAAATAAACAAACAAATTGGTTTTCCTTTATGCTCTTTGACACTATCAATCAACCCATCCTGTAAATTTATTTTCCTGTGACTTCAATGTATTATTATTCCAGCTTTCTGACCATAAACACAGTTTTTCACTATTTATTTACATTTTGAATAATGAAAGTCTTTCAATTATAATGAATCCTGTGTTCTATAATTTTCAATGTTCTATAAACATGGGGCTTGGCGGGAGGCCCCTAATATTGTAGTACAATCATTCACCAAGGGTGGGTAAATGGCACAAGTGAGAAGAAATTCTCCCAGACATTCAGAAAGTGTGAGGCCATTGATTTTGTCCTAATTTCAGAACTGAGAGCATACACTTTCAGGAACTATGAAGGGGATTTCTGCTTCTAGATTCCTGCAAACAGAATAGTTTTGATGAATACTCATTTCCTTTAGATCAGAGAAGTGGCAAGAAAATACATCCATATATACTTGACATTGTAGTTACAGAAACAGTTTATGGAGAATAGAGGCATGGGCTGGGGTGATACCCCTGAGAGTTATCTACTACATACTCACAATTAGGGAGATGTATTTTAAGACTATTGCTTGTTTTAGAAGAAATTTACAATTAAGAGAAAAAATCAGTCAGGGGAGCAAATATCCTTGAGTTTCTTTGACGAAGTCAGAGTTACACCAAATCTCTTCATGAGTCTCTCAAAATCTCCCCAAAGCAATCTTTCTCAATCCCATGATTTTTGTGATAAAAATCAAACTTTTCATTTGACTTACACTTTTGATTTATTTTAAAAAGAATAAAGCAAAAACAAGAAAAACAGTTATGGTAAGAATAAAATACTTTTGAATATGGTTTGGGGTATATTTGACTACAATGTTAACTTGCTGTATTTTACCAACTTTATAAAATGGTATGTTACACAATACATAGGTTAAATTTATTGATAAATATGTCAGTACTATTTTCTTTAAAGAGGTTTTATAGGTTGCTTGGCAAAGCCTATAAATTAAATGTTCCAGTTTGACCTTGCTATCAGTCAAATACTCAATAGAATTACCATAAAGACATTTTTAAAAAGATATAAAATACAAAGGAATAAGGATGGTGGGAGAGAAGATAACGATCATAAAATTTTGGAAGCTGAACAGCAGACAGGCAAAGGATAACCCATATAGCAGGCACCCAATAATGAAATCTCCAGCTAGAAATCTGAGAATGGCAGAATCCTCAACAAGCTCAAAAGCCAGTAGCACTAAGTGCCTTTAATACTGACCTGTGCTTATTGACAATGTACGGATGAAGTTCCTGATCCCCTTTTCAACGTTAGGCAGGCTGAATCAGCTTAGGTCACTTATTTCATCCCACAGATGTGTTCTTTGAGTACTTCTGAGCACTCAAGATAGACTGTGTTGAACTCGGGATATAAAAATAAGAGCGGCTCACTCTCTTTGATCAAGTATCTCCCAGATGGCTCGGTACGTGTTTTACCCTTCAGCCTCACTAGATGCTTAGACTGTGGTCAGTTACATATTTTCCAAAACTCTCATGATGGTGCCACTGACGTCCCCTAAAAGATTCTAGTCTCCTGTGAGTCCACATCTAAAAAGTTGTGAGATGCCCTTTTCTTACAAAGATAATCTGTGTTTACCACTTAGGGTTTCAAAACTAATAACATACTCTTTATTTTTTATTTTGTTTTGTTTTATTTTTAATTGACACATACTTGTACATATTTATATAGTACAGTGTGATGCTTTGATATATTTATACATTGTGTAATGATCAAATCAGGGTAATTAGCATATCCATCACTTCAAACACTGGTCATTTCTTTGTGATGAGAACATTTGAAATTCTCTTTTCTAGATATTTTGAAATATATAATACATTATTATTAATTGCAGTCACTGTACTGTGTAATAGAATACCAGAACTTATTTCTCCTATTTAACTATAACTTTGCTAAGTTATACTATTTTGCACTTAATTCTTATTAGATCAACTTTTTCAAATTCCACAAGCAATATCATGTGGTATTTGTCTTTCTGTGCTTGTTTTATTTCACTTGTAATAATGTTCTCTAGCCTCCTCCATGTTGTAAAAACAGAATTTCATTCTTTTATATGGCTAGTTTTCCACTGTGCATAGATACCACATTTTTTTGTATCTATTTATCCATCAATGGACACTGATTCCAGGTCTTGGTTATTGTGAATAGGGCTTCAATAAATATGGGAATATGGATATATCTTTTACATACTGATTTCCTTTGAATGTGTATCCAATATTGGGATTAGAGAATCATATGGTAGTTTTATTTTTAATTTTTCGAGGAATCCATATACTGTTGTACATGATGACTGCAGTAATTTACATTCCCACCAACAGTGTGTGAGTTCCACTCTTTCCATATTCTGGTCGGCATTTGTTATTTTCAGTCTTTTTTTTGGTAATAACAATTTTAACTGGGGTGAGATAATATCTCATTATGGTTTTGATTTGCATTTCCCTGATAATTAGTGATTTGAGCATTTTAAAAAATATAACTGTTGGCCCATTTGTATATCTTCTTTTAAAAATGTCTAAGGTATTTTCCCCATTTATAAAATGGGACTGCTTGCTTGCTTTTGAATTGTTTGAGTTTCTTATATATTTTGGATATTAAACTCTTGTCAGACACATAGTTTGTAATTATTTTCTCCCATTCTGTAGGTTATCTCTTCACTCTCTTAATTGTTTGCTTTGATGTACAAAAGCTTTTTAGTTTAGTGGAATTCTATTTGTCTATTTTTGCTTTTGTTGCCAGTGCTTTTGAGGTCTTATACAAAAATTCCTTGCTCAGACAAATGTTATAAAGTATTTACCTATATTCTTCTAGTAGTTTCAGGTCTTACATTTAGAGCTTTAAGTTATTTTGAGTTGATATTTGCATATGATGGAAGCCAGAAGTCTAGTTTTATTCTTCTGCACGTGAACATCCAGTTATCTCAGCATAATTCATTGAAGATACTGCTCTTTTCCAACATGTGTTTTTGGCACCTTTGTTGAAAAGTAGTGTAATATAAATGTATGGATCTATTTCTGGGTTTTCTGATATGTTCGCTTGGTCTATGTGTCTGTTTTAATGGCTATGCCACAATGGTTTGATTATTATAACTTCATAGTCTATTTTGAAGTCAGATAATGTGATGACTCCAGTTTTGCTCATTTTGCTCCAGACTATGTTGACTATTCAGGGTCTTTTCTGGTTCTATGCAAATTTTAGGATTGTTTCTTTTATTTCTGTGTAGAATGTCATTCATCTATGGATAGAGATTGCATTGACTGTATTGACTGCTTTGGGCAGTATGGACATTTTAACCTTAATCCTCCTCCTTCATGAACATGAGATATCTTTCTATTTACTTGTATTCTCTTCAATTTCTTTCATCAGTGTTTTATAGTTTTCATTGTAGAGATATTTTTACGTCCTTGCTTAAATGTATTCCTAAGTATTTTATTCATTCATTCATTCATTCACTAGCTATTATAAATGGCATCGTTTTCTTGATCTTTAAAAATATGTTGCTGTCAGGGTGTAGAAACACTGCTGGTCTTTGTATTTTAATTTTATATCCTACAACTTTACTGAATTTGTTTACTAGTTTTAATAATTCTTGTAGAATCTTCAGAGGACACTTTAACTTCCTCCTTTCCAATTTGTATGCCCTTTATTTATTTCTCTTGCCTAATTTATCTGGCTAGGAGTTCCAGAATTGTGTTGAATAGTAGTGATAATGGTAAGTGTTAGGTTATTGTTTAAGATCTTTCTACTTTTTTTATTTAGTTTGATATAAATTCTCATCTTAGAACTGCTTTGGCTATATTGCACAGGTTTTGATATATTGTGTTTCCATTTTTATTGTGTCTAAAATTTTTAATTTTTTAAAAACTATATTTATTGATCTGTTGGTTGTTCATGAGCATGATGTTTAATTTTCATGTATTTGTACAGTTCACAAAGTTCCTGCTGTTACTGATTTCTAATTTTATTGTATTGTGGATATAACAAATACTTGATATGATTTTAATTTTTAAAAAATTGTTGGGGCCGGGCGCGGTGGCTCACGCCTGTAATCCCAGCACTTTGGGAGGCCGAGGCGGGCGGATCACGAGGTCAGGAGATCGAGACCATCCCGGCTAAAATGGTGAAACCCCGTCTCTACTAAAAATACAAAAAATTAGCCGGGCGTAGTGGCGGGCGCCTGTAGTCCCAGCTACTTGGGAGGCTGAGGCAGGAGAATGGCGTGAACCCGGGAGGCGGAGCTTGCAGTGAGCCGAGATCCCGCCACTGCACTCCAGCCTGGGTGACAGAGCGAGACTCCGTCTCACAAAAAAAAAAAAAAAAAAAAAAAATTGTTAAGGTTTATTTTGCAACCTAGCATATGATCTATCCTAGAGAATGTTCCACATGTTGTTGAGAAGAATGTGTATTCTTCAGCTGTTGGATAGAACGTTCTGCAAATGTTTGTTAGGCCTATTTGGTCTAGAGTACAGATTAATTTTTTTTTTTGTTGATTTTCTGTCTGTATGAGCTGTTTATTGCCGAAATTGGGATGTCAAAATTCCCTACTATTATTGTATCATGGTCTGTCTCTCCCACTATGTCTATTAATATTTGCTTTATATATGTAGGTGCTCTGATGTGGAATCCATTTATATTTAAATTTATTATATCCTCTTGCTACATTGACACCTTTATCATTATATAGTGGCCTTTTTTCTTTTATTACAGTTTATGACATAAAGTCTATTTTACGTAATATGGGTATAGCCACTCCCGCTCTTTTTGGTTTTCATGTGCATAGACTGTCTTTTTTCAAACTTTAACTTTCAATGTATCTGTGTCCTTACAGGTAAAGTAAGCCTTTTTTAGGCAGCATATAGTTGGGTACTGTTTTTTCTAAAATATAACAAAACAAAATAGAACAGAAAAACATTCAGCCAATCTATGTCTGTTAATGGGAGAATTTAATCAGCTTACACTCAATGTAATTATATGTAGATAAGAAATTACAACTGCTATTTTGCCACTTGTTTTCTAGTTATTTTGTAGATCCTTTCCTCCTTTTTTCCTCTCTCACTGTCCTCACTTATAATTAAGTAATTTTCCCTGGTAATATGTTTTGATTTTTTTTTTTATTTTTAATGTATCTCTTACAGATTTTTGCTTTGTGATTGCCATGAAGCTTACAATAGTATCTTATAGTTTGAAGAAGTTATTTTAACTTGATTACAACTTACCAAAGAAAATAAACAAAAAAACCTGTACACTTAACTGAATCCTCTCCTCACATTTTGAATTCTTGATGTCATAATTTACATCTTTTTATATTATTTCTTAAATTATTGTAGCTATTTTTTAAATAGTTTTCTTTTAGTCCTCATATTAAAATTGTAAGTGGTTTATACACCATGATTACAGTACTATAGTATCCTGAATTTTTCTCTATTTTTCTGCTGAGAACCCTGTTGCCAGGCATATTGAATCTGCCTTAGATGTTATTTAATTTCTCTTGTTGCCTTCAGGGTTCTCCTTCTTTTTGAAACTTGAGAATTTAATTATAAAATGTGTTGGGATAATCATATTTGGGCTGATTTTGATTGGTGAACTTTGACCTTCCTCTTCCTAAATATTTACATCTTTTTTTTTTTCATTTTTGATTGGTTTTCTGTTATTATTTCTTTCAATAATCTGTCTACTCCTTATTCTTTTTTTTACTTCCTCTTGAACTCCAGTGACCTGAATATTTGCTTGCTTGATGCTATACTCCAGATCTCACAAGTTTTCTTCATTCTTTTTCATTAATATTTATTTTTCCTCCTCTGTATATTTTCAAATAACTCAACTTCAAGCTCACTGATTTTGTCTTCTGCTTGATTAATTCTGCTGTTGATTCTCTCTACTGCATTTTTCACTTTATTCATTGTGTTTTGTAGCTCCACAACATCTGTTTGATTATTTTCATTTTTTAAATTTGTGTAATTTCTTTTATAAATTTCTGAATTGTTTCTCTGTGTTTTGCTGAAGTTCACTGAGATTCTGATATGGTTTGTCTGTGTCCCCACCCAAATCTCATCTTGATTTGGAGTTCCCCAAATCCTCATGTGTCATGGGAGGGAGACGGTGGGAAGTGATTGAATCATGGGGGCAGTTACCCCCATGCTGTTCTAGTGATAGTGAGTTCTCACAAGATGTGTTGGTTTTATAAGGGGCTTTTGCCTTCTTCACTTGGCATTTCTCCTTCCTGCTGCCATGTGATGAAGGACATGTTGGCTTATGCTTCTACCATGATTGTAAGTTTCCTGAGGCCTCCCTAGCCATGCTAAACTATGAGTCAATTAAACCTCTTTTCTTTATAAATTACTCAGTCTTGAGTACACCTTTATTAGCAGCATGAGAATGGACTAATAGTAAATTGGTACCACAGGGACTGGGGTGCTGCTGTAAAAGTACCTGAAAATGTGGAAATGACTTTGGAACTGGGTAACAGGAAGAGGTTGGAATGGCTTGGAGGGCTCAGAAGGAGATAGAAAAATGTGGAAAAGTTTGGAAATTTCTAGAGACTTGGAAGGCTCAGAAGACAGGAAGATGTGGAAAGTTTTGAACTTCCCAGAGACTTGTTAAATTGCTTTGACAAGTCTGATAGTAATATCAGTAAAATGCTGATAGCAATATGAACAATGAAGTCCAAGCTGAGGTGGTATCAGATGGAGATGAAGAATTTGGGAACTGGAGCAAAGGTGACTCTTGTTATGCTTCAGCAAAGAGACTGGCAGCATTTTACCTCTGATCTAGAAATCTTTGAAACTTTGAACTTGAGAGAGATGATTTAGGGTATCTGGAGGAAGAAATTTCTAAGCAGCAAAACATTCAAGAGGAAGCAGAGCATAAAAATTTGGAAAATTTGGAGCCTGACAATGCAATAAAAAAGAAAAACCCATTTTCTGAGATGTTCAAGCTGGCTGCAGAAATTTGCATAACTAGTGAGCCAAATGTTAATTGCCAAGACAATGGGGAAAATGTCTCCAGGGCATGTCAGAGACCTTCATGGCAGCCCCTCCCATCACAGGCCCAGAGGCCTCAGAGGAAAAAAAATGGCTTTGTGGTCTGGGCCCACAGTCCTTCTGCTCTATGCAGCCTTGGGACATAGTGCTCTATATCCCAGCTGCTTCATCTCCAGCTGTGGCTTAATCAAGCCAACTTACAGCTCACACCATTTCTTCAGAGGGTGGAAGCCCCAAGCATTTGGCAGCTTAGACATGGTGTTGGGCCTGCGAGTGCAGAGAAGTCAGGAATTGAGGTTTGGAAACCTCTGCCTAGATTTCAGAGGATGTAAGGAAATGCCTGGATGCCCAGGCAGAAGTTTGCTGCAGGGGTGGAGCCTTCATGGAGAACCTCTGCCAGTGCAGTGTGGAAAGAAAATGTGGGATGGGAGCCCCCACACTGAGTCTCCACTGGGGTACTGCCTAGTGGAGCTGTGAGAAGAGGGCCACCATCCTCCAGATCCCAGAATGGTAGATCCACTGAAAGCCTGCACTGTGCACCTGGAAAAGCCTCCAGACACTCAATGCCAGACCGTGAAAGCAGCTAGGAGTGTGGCTGTACCTTGCAAATCCACATACTCAGAGCTGCACAAAGCCATGAGAGCCTATCTTTTGCATCAGCATACCCTAGATGTGAGACATGGAGTCAAAGGAGATCATTTTGGAACTTTAAGGTTTAATGGCTGCCCAATTGGATTTTGGACTTGCATGCAGCTGGTAGCCCCTTTGTTTCGGCCAATGTCTCCCATTTGAAATGGGTGTATTCACCCAGTGCTATTACCCTCGTTGTATCTAGGAAGTAACTAACTTGCTTTCAATTTTACAGGCTCATAGGTAGAAGGAATTTTCCTTGTCTCAGATGACACTTTGGAGACTTGTGAGTTAATAATGGAATGAGTTCAGACTTTGGGGGACTATTGGGAAGGCATTATTGTGTTTTAATATATGAGAACATGAGATTTGGGAGGGGCCAGCATCAGAACAATATGGTTTGGCTGTGTCCCCACCAAAATCTCATCTTGAATTGTAGTTCCCATAATCCTCACATGTTGTGGAAGGGACCTGGTGGGAAGTAATTGAATCATGAGGGCAGTTACCCTTATGCTGTTCTCATGGTAGGGAGTGAGTTCTCATGAGATCTGTTGGTTTTATGAGGGGCTTTTCCCACTTTGTTCAGCACCTCTCTCTCTTGCCAACATGTGAAGAAGGGTATGTTTGCTTCCCCTTCCACCATGATTGTAAGTTTCCTGAGGCTTCTACAGCCCTGCTGAACTGTGAATCAATTAAACCTCTTTTCTTTATAAATTACCCAGTCTTGGGTCCATCTTTATTAGCAGGGTGAGAACGGACTAATACAGCTTCCTTAATGGAATTGTTTTAAGTTTCTTGTCTGGAATATAACACATCTCCATCTATTTAGCTTCAATCACTGGCAACTTATTTTGTCCCTTTCATGAGGTCATAATTTCCTGATTATTCCTAACACTTGTAGCCATACACTGATGTCGGTGCATTGAAGAATTAGGTATTTACTCCAATCTATGCAGTCTGGTTTGTTCGTGCCTGTCTTTCTTCTGTGGGCTTGTCCAGAAATCTCAGAGGCTGAATATTGTCAAATCCCATGACTGCTGCCACTTTCTCAGCCCTAGAAGAAAACCTAAACCCAGATTCACCTTAAATCTTGTGAGAACTCCAAGGTTAGTGTGATGACCTGGGCTGTATGTACTTGGAGAAGACCCAAGGCAGGGTTATACTCGGACTGTGTGAAAAGCTGGCTAGGGAACTGAGCCTGGAAGATTGTCCTGTTGGCAAAGACAAGCAATTTTCCCAGCAGTTCTCTTCCCAGGTAAGATAATCCTCTGACTGAAGTCAGAGGGGTTGTAGTCAAGATTGGACTTTCTCAGAACATGCAGCGGGATAGAAGTTGGTGAGACTTCTCAGTAGCCTAGATGTGTGCACTTCTAAGCAGTTTTCTGCACAGATGGAGCAGTTCCCCCAACTGTAGTGAGAGAGGCTGGAGCTGGTACTGGGCCCTCTCAGAATCTGCTGTAGGATGGGGACCAGCAAGCACACTCCTGTGTCCCCAGCAGGGGTGAATCCCTAGCAACTCCCTACATAGGTGGTACAGCTTCCTAACTGAAGCAAGAGAGGCCAGAGATGAGACTGAAGCCTCTCATAATCTGCTTTGAGATAGAGGCTGCTGTGCCTATCATGGAGTCTCAGATGGGTAAATAATTTCCAGGCTACAAGATATGAGTGAGTCTTCCTCTAAATTCTTGCGTGAGCAGTAATAAGCTGGGACCATGGCTGAGGGGAGCAGAGGTTGAGTTACTAAGTAACTTTCAGGTCTGTTGCTGAGACTGATGTCAGCAGGCAGCCAAGCCTTTCTGCCAAGGCACTAGTGTGAAAGATTCTTCCTGGACCTTTTGGCAGATGGTTTTGATTTCAGGTTAAGGGCCAAACATGACTGTAGCCATGCCCTTTAGGGAGCAGGGCAAATTTATGGGTTTGAACTCAGGAGCAAAATCAGCAAGTCTGCTACCTGTGGGCTGGTCTGCACACTCAAAATGGCCTCCCTAAGTTTTGGGCTCCACTGGGATTTCACAGCCTCATACCTGAATCTCCAAGCTCCCTCAGAGAGACTTCCATCTGTGGATGAGTGTGGGATTCTTGTTGTTGTGAGGGGATATGAGCATGTGACCTATTCTGCCATCTTGGTGACATCCTCTTAATATATTATTTAAGGATATATATGTGGGTGGCAAATTTATTTTAAAAATTAAGTAACAAAATTCAAGACAGTGAATGCCTCTGAGAGGTTTCAAATGGAGACAGATGCTACTAAGGAGGATCACCCGGGGGTTCTAAATCCCTAGAATTATACTATTTCTTAACCTGGGTTACTATTTTACTCACCTGGGTGGTAAGTGCTTGTGTTATTATTATTATTGAAACTATAAATTTATATGTTAAGTAGTCTTACCTCTATGTGCTACATTTTAAAATTTTTAAAAAGTTGTTATAAAAATGAGCGAATGTTTAATGTACTAATATGGAGCAATCTCCACAATAAATTTTACATGATAATTCCAGAATGCAAAAAAAAGGATTAAAATATGCCATTCTCGAAAAAGTGTGGAGGTAGTAGAGTTAGTGCTTATGTGCTTGAATATATACAGGTATCTCTGAAAAGATACACAAGTCAATGCTAACACAAATTACCTGAAAAAAAGCTTTTCACTGCAAATTCTGTAGTACTTTTTGAATTCTGAACCCTGTGAATGTATTATCCAATAACGATTTTTTAAAAACACACAAAAAAAGTAAAAGACCTGAATTTAGGTATAAATACCCCCTTTTTAATATGTATTTTCTAAAATAAGTAGATGCTCTCAGAATCATTTTCACTGGCCATAATTTTTTTTTTTTCTGAAAACGTGGTTATGGCCACCATTATATTGAGGACTTCTTACATATGAGTTTGAGCTTAAGATATGGTTGATGCATTAATTTTTCCCCTTCTCACTCACATTCTTCCAATTGTAGAAATGTACAATAGCTGCTATCATCTGTCCTCTGCACATAGGCCAAACTGCAAGGTAGTCTATATTTTATTTTATTTATTTCGTTTTTATTTTTATTTATTTATTTATTTTGAGACTCTGTCACCCAGCCTGGAGTGCAGTGGCGTGATCTCGGCTCACTGCAAGCTCTGCCTCCCAGGTTCACCCGCCATTCTCCTGCCTCAGCCTCCCGAGTAGCTGGGACTACAGGCGCCCACCACCACACCTGGCTAATTTTTGTATTTTTAGTAGAGATGGGGTTTCACCGTGTTAGCCAGGATGGTCTCAATCTGCTGACCTCCTGATCCGCCCACCTCGGCCTCCCAAAGTGCTGGGATTACAGGCATGAGCCACCGCTCACGGCCAAGGTAGTCTATATTTTATTAATGGAGGTAGACTGACTGTTGTCCATAGTCTTTACTGTGAACAAGCTTCTCATGACCATTTTCACTCAGCAGGCTTTGTATTAGGAATGAGAGTGAAACTGGACCTTTCTCACTTAACTTTTTGTAGGATTTATGTAGGGTTGGAGAAATGTTATCATTGCCATTCTATCCAAGAGCTTCTTTTTCCTCTAATATCATGTCAATAACACAGAAAAATCTGAAGCTCATGTATTGTGGCATGATACTTACTAGGTTACTTAAGGGTGTATGTATGTTACTTAAGCTCCTATATTGTGGCAAGATACCCACTAGGTTACTTAAGGGTGTATGTCCACTGCTTGAACTCTGAAGCTTGGGCAGTGAGCTAAGGCTATGCTATTCAACCAAGGAGCAGGTATGCATGAGAACCCAAACATCCCAGAAAATATATGAGAACCTACCAAAAAAACAGCCTCATCAGTCAAACACAGTAGGCAAACACCTAGAAAATTAGCTTAAAAGCAGTTTTGAGATGGGAGTCAGTGTGGATCTCTACAACTGTCCTGTGACCATCCAGGAGTGCCCAAATGTAAGTCCTAATAAACTCATCTATTCATTAAGCTGAACTTGTCTGAGTCAGTCTTTGGTCTCTTGGCTCCTTCCCAGTTTGGTGGGGAACATTACAGTCTTAAGCTTTTCTTGTAACAATTGGCATCACGAATAGAACCACAGATGAGTCAGTGTGGAGGGAATCCTGAGGTGGTCAGCAACATGCATGTGAAATGAGTCGCCCAACTGCTCAACTGCTGTGAGCTGATATGTGAATATGGGAATGCTCAGAAAATGCCAGTGGGGACTGAGCATGTATTATAAATATTTAATAGCTAATATATTAAAGTATGATAAGAACAGCAAGCACACTGTTGTTGCAGTTAGTCTGGCTACCGAGAAATAGAGCAGAGCAGAAATGGGAGAAAGGATTGAAACTCCAGCAGAAGATGAAAGGCATGCCGGGTTTTCTAGGACTCTAGCTGGTTACATATTATGGCTCATTTTTGTGTACATTTTAAAACTGATGAGCAAATTACAAAAGAAAAGTTCGGAGCTCAAATGGTTAAGCTGCAACTATAGAGTTAAGTAGATTCTTCTAAAGTTCTCTATTTCTCTCTTTCATTTCCTGCCTTATTTGAATATGCTATTATTAAGCTACTTGTGTGGAGAAAAAACTCACTAATTCAAGGCCATTTTGGGATATCATTTTTCTTATACAGTTTGGCCAATTCTAACTGAAATGTAGACATTAAAAATCATTTGAAATCGAGGGAAACAAAAGAGTAAAACAGGTTTTCATAATCAAACTTCTATAGAAACTGCTCTATCCAAAATTTTGGTCCACAGACTTCATTGAATTACCTATAAGAGCAAACAAAGTTTAACCATATTTTCGGATCTCAATTTTGTTAGAAGTAATTTGGATCTAGAAATCTTTGTAAAATAAAGAGTTTGTGGTGGTGTCTCATGTCTAGAGTTCGAAGGTAAAAGCTATTGGATTTTTGTTTGTGTGTCTGTATACAAGTATTACATTTTTATGTTTTTGTATGTGTATTATGTTCTATATTATATCTATCATGGTACCAAATGACTTGTAAGTACATGAGTACCTATAAATTATGTCCAAATTTTTAAAGTACATGTTGATTAAGTAATTTTTAATAAATAATCTGGCTTTAAAATTATTAGTAAAAGAAAAATGTCTTTAGAATTGTCAACATAATTTTTTCTGGGTTTACTGATTAGAGTTTTATATTGGCCTCAGCTAAATATTATAAAATGTCAGAGTTTGAAATAAAGGTTATGAATATAATTATCCAAGACCAGAATAGTCTTCGTTTTTGTGATTTTTTTGATAAGTAAAACTAATTGAATATTTTTAGTCCAATTAAATTAGCTAAAGTTTCTGAGTTACTGCCAAAATGCCTGTGTGTTTAACTTTAAGGACTTTGCTTAAATAAACACCTGATATTCACAGGCTATGAAAATGGCTAACTGTAAAATCACTTGAAATGATGACTAGCTTTGTCTATTGTCTTGGTTCTCATGAGTAATCGAGGTAAACTTCTAAATATAAATAAATTGAGTAAATATAAATGAGACAAATGCCAGTAGGTAGAACTTTTGTATGGTTTAAAAATCTTAAAATTGTTTTAAGTACTAATTAACTGTCTGGGTCATTTCAAATTTTAAAAAGGTTATGATATGGGGCATTGGTGACACTTCTGAAATCATTAATGGAAAATATAGAGCAGGTGATCCTTAAGGTGGATAATATCCATACTGTGAAAGTCTTGGCTAATGCTTTTTCCAGTTTTCCTTTAGCAAAAAGGTAACAGGACCAGTTTGCTTTTACTTAAAAGGTCCAACAATAGGCTTTCCAGGTGCTACCACAAGGGTACCTGTACAGCCCCACCATCTGTCATGGTATGGTTGCACCAGAGGGTGCCGTGAAGCCTGCCAGAGGGCAGCTGGTCCCAGTTGTGCTTCTTTTTTTTTTTTTTTTTTCAGATGGAGTCTCGCTGTTATCAGCTGGGCTGGAGTGCAATGGCACAATCTCAGCTCACTGAAACCTCTGCCTCCCAGGATCCAGCAATTCTCCTGCCTCGGCTTCCCGAGTAGCTGAGATTACAGGCACCCCCCACCACACTCAGCTAATTTTTGTATTTTTAGTAGAGATGAGATTTCACAATGTTGGCCAAGCTGGTCTTGAACTCCTGACCTCAGGTGATCCACCCACCTTGGCCTCCCAAAGTGCTGGGATTACAAGCATGAGCCACCACACCCGGCCCCAGTTGTGCTTATTGATGGAGATCCAAGAGCCTTACACTATCAACTTGCAGCAGTACCAATACCAGCGGGAGTGATCATCATGCGGGTAGCATGGACAAGGCCCAAAACTTATCAATTGGCTATTATCCCACTTCTATGGAGGGAAGCTAGTACTGTAAGCCAGGCCTCAAGCCCACAGTGGCCACCTAATAGGGCCAATGGATACAAATTCAATGCTAATGATGCTAAAATAAATATATCCATGATGGTCCTCACTAAACACTTGTGTTTATACCCATAGGCTGTTGTTCCTGGTACTCATGGCAGCTGGTAGCACCTTTTTTGGACTGGGTTGCAAATATGGCAGCAGTCAACAACCAGTCTGATTGTTGCATATATAGATACCTTCCCCTAACAAATGATGATGGTATGCCTTAGAATATTCTGCCATTCTCTCTACAGAGCTAGAATAACTGGATAAACAACACCTAAAATACAACCTGGGCTCACTGGGGATTTTTTCCACCTGGAGGCCTGATAGGCAACTCAATGGAGAACAAACAACATGTGCCCTTATAGGTGCTACCTGTTGTGCCTGTATCCCAGATAAAGAAAATTATAATGTCATAAATGCTTTAAATCATTTGTCAACTCAGATCCATGATACAACCAATTAGGTCTCTTTGACTCATTCTCAAATTAGTTAGACACCTTACCTATTCATTGGAGTTATGTTTTGCTAACAGGCATCATAATTGTAGTTATTTTCAGCTTTTAATGCTGTTATATAGGATATAGGTATAGCCTATACACAAAAGCCATGGGTATACATTATAGGCACATATAGTTCTTCCCCTTGTATGCTGTTGAGGGACACTCACATAAGATTGGCAAAAAAATATAAGAGCTGGGGAACAGGGTGGATTGTAGTGGGATGGGTCTCCCACCAGGTTACTCACAAGTGAATGTCTGCTGTCTGAACCCTGAAGACTTGGCAGTGAGCCAAGGCCATGGTGTCCAATAGAGGAGCAGGTTTCCCTGAGAACCTAAACATTCCAGAAAATATATGAGAACCTACCAAGGAAAACAGTCTCATCACTCAAACACAGTAGGCAAAGAGACAGAGACAGACACAGAAAATTAGCTTAAAAGCAATTTAGAGACAGGAAGTGGCACAGATCTCTACAGCTGTACTGATGTTATCCAAGAGTGTATGTAAGTCCTAATAAATTCATCTACTCATCAAGTTAGACTTTTCTGAATCATAGTTTGGTCTCTTGGCTTCTTCCCAGTTTGGTAGGGGACACTGTAGTCCCAAACTTTTTTCTCACAATAGCTCAAAGACATTGATTCTTAGAAAAGAAAGAGACTGTAGCAATCAATTTTTGAATGCTTATAAACATTCTCTATTTCTCTATTTGATAATCTCATGCCATTTTAATCAGGAATTGTACATGCAAATCATTCTGTTTTAAGATAATTGAAATTCCAAACCAAATTCATGCTGTGAAATAATGAGAGTTTCTAAAATTGTCTGAACATATTAGAACTTCAATAATTTAAGATTTGTTGGACTGGTCAAAATAGAGTGAGAAAGCACACAACAACAAAACAAACTAAATTGGCAAGGTAGCTTAGTATTTGTGTGGGCTTTGAGTGAGACAGGCCTGGCTTCTAATCCTGTCATCTCCATGTGCTAGATATCTGATTTTTGCAAGATTTTATAAGGCTATAAGCACAGAGGTTTTAATGTATAAGATGCCTATTTGTTCTATGCAAGAAAAAGAACAAGGGTAAACAGTCTAATGTTATCAAGAAATGTAGCTTCTGCAGAAAGGGATTTCAACATCCCTTCATGTAAAATTCAACATCCCTTCATATAAAAACCCTCAAAAAAATAGGCATTGAAGGAACATACTTCAAAATAATAAGAGCCATCTATAAAAAACCCACAGCCAGCATCATGCTGAATGTGCAAAAGCTGGAAGCATTCCCCTTGAAAACCAGCACAACACTGGATACCCTTTCTCACCACTCCTGTTCAACATAGTACTAGAAGTCCTAGCCAGAGCAATCAGGCAAAAGAAAGAAAGAAAAGGCACCCAAATAGGAAGAGAGGAAGTCAAACTATCTCTGTTTGTAGACAATATGATACTATTACCTAGAAAATTCTGTAGTCAGTCTTTGTGCAAAAGCTCTTTGATCTGATAAACAACTTCCCCAAAGTTTCAGGATATAAAAGCATTGTACAAAAATCACTAGCATTCCTGTACACCAACATCTAATCTGAGAGCCAAAGCAAGAATGCAATCCCATTCACAATAGCCACAAAAAAGAATAAAATACCTAACCAGGTACTTTATTAACAGCTAACCAGACAGGTGAAAGATCTCTACAATGAGAACTACAAAACACTGCTCAAAGAAATCAGAGATGACACGAAGAAAGGGAAAAACATTTCATATTCATGAAAAGAAAGAATCAACATTGTTAAAATGGGAATACTGTCCCAAAGCAATTTACAGACTCAATGCTATTCCTATAAAATTATCAATTACATTCTTCACAGATTTAGAAAAAAATATTTCAAAATTTACATGGAACCAAAAAGGAGCTCTGATAGCCAAGGCAATTCTAAGCAAAAAGACCAAAGCTGGAGGAATCACATTACCAAACTTTAAACTATACTACAAGGCTACAGTAACAAAAGCAGCATGGTACTGGTATAAAAACAGACACATAGACCCATGTAATAGAGAGCCCAGAAATAATGCCACCCCCTAAAATCATCTGATCTCCACAAATCTGACAAAAACAAGCAATGGGGAAAGGACTTCCTATTAAATAATTGGTGCAAAAATTACTGGCTAGCCATATTCAGAAGATTGAAACTGGACCCCTTCCTTAAACTATATATGAAAATCAATTCAGACCCCTTCCTTAAACTATATATATATATAAATTAATTAACAAAGGATGATAGACTTAAATGTAAAACCTAAAACTATGAAAACTCTGGAAGATAACCTAAGAGATACCATTCTGTACATACGACCTGGCAAAGATTTCATGATGATGATTCCAAAATCAATTGTAACAAAAGCAAAAATTGACAAAAGGGACTTAATTCAATTAAAGACTTTTACACAGCAAAAGAAATTATCAACAGAGTAGACACTCTACAGAATGGAAGAAAATATTTGCAAATTATGCATCTGACAAAGTTCTGATATCCAGAATCCATAGGAATTTAAATAAATTTATAAGCAAAAAACAACCCCATTAAAAAGTGAGCAAAGGACATTGAACAGACACTTTTCAAAAGAAGACATACATGCAGCCAACAAGCATATGAAAACATGCTCAACACCACTAATCATTAGAGCAATGCAAATCAAACCCAAAATGAAATACTGATGTCGTTTGGCTCTGTGTCCCAGCTCAAATCTCATGTTGAATTGTAATCCTGAGGGTTGGAGGTGGGGCCTGGTGGGAGGTGATTGGATCAGGGGAGCAGATTTCCTCTTGCTGTTCTCATGATAGTGAGTGAGCTCTCATGAGATCTAATTGTTTAAGAGTGTGTAGCACGACTCCTTCATTCTCTCTCTCCTGCTCCACCATGATAAGATGTGCTTGCTTCACCTTCATCTTCCACCATGATTTTAAAAGTCCTGAGGCCTCCCAGGCATGCTTCTTGTATAGCCTGTGGAATTGTGAGTCAATTAAATCTCTTTTCTTCATATGTTACCCAGTCTCAGGTATTCCTTTATAGCAGTGTCAGAACGGACTAAAACAGATACCATCTCACATTAGTCAGAATGGCTATTATTTAAAAGTCAAAAACTAACAAATGCTGGCAAGGTTGTAGAGAAAAAAAGAATGGTTATACACTGCTGGTGGCAATGTAAATTAGTTCAGCCATTGTGGAAAGTGGTTTTGTGATTTCTCAAAGAACTTAAAACAGAAATTGCCATTTAACCCAGCAATTCTATTATTGGGTATATACTTAAAGAAATATTAATTGTTCTACCATAGAGACATGGGCATTTGTATGTTCGTAGCACTCTTCACGATAGGAAAGACATGGAATAAACCTAAATGCCATCAATAGTAGACTGGATAAAGGAATTGTGTTACATATGCACCATGGAATACTATGCAGCTATAAAAAAGAATGAGATCATGTTCTTTGCAGCAACATGGATGGAGCTGGAGGCCATTATACTAAGCAAACTAATACAGAAACAGAAAACCAAATATTACATATTCTCACTTATAAGTGGGAGCTAAACATTTAGTACATATGGGCACAAAGAAGGGAGCAACAGATGTCAGGTCCTACTCGAGGGTAGAGAGTGGGAAGAGGATAAGGACTGAAACACCACCTTTGGGTACTATGCTGATTACCTGCAGGACAAAATAATCTGCACACCAAACCCCCAGAATGCTCAATTTATCTATATAACAAACTTGCACATGAACCCCTAAACCTAAAATAAAAGTGAAAAAAACTTAAGTTAAAAATTAAATGATGGACACATTAGGAACTAAAATTAAATTCACAAATATGATTTTCCTGACAGTCCTGTTAGAAAGATGACAAAGGAGCTCCTATTTTTTATCATTTCCTGATGTAAATTATATGATGTTCAAAAAAGAGGCTATCGATAAATATCTTTGAAGATTTACAAAACAAAGTAAAAATAAAAAAGAAATAAAAGGGAAGGTGCAATATTCCTACACACAATCACATAAAACCAGAAAATAATCTCAACCATAGAAGACACAATCTGCCAATGAAGAATAAAGGAAAGAAAACTCTCCTTTAAATAACCTTGGCACAATTTTTAAAATACATTATAAAAGTAACAGTACATGCATATATTATGTAAAAGTACCAATGAAACAAAGCATAAATGATTTTAAAAATTGTTTCTTTTATTTTGATTTTCCTCAATATTTATTATGTGGTCATTATTCTCATGATCATCAGGTAGCTGCTGGATATTCAGGCATTACAGCCATATTTCAGACAAGAATAAAAGGAATGGTAAAGGGTAAAAGGCAAAAACTGAGGAAAATATATTAGCCAAATCCTTTTTTCTTTTAAGCTTTCCTGAAAGCCCCTCCAAGCAACTTTTGCTTACACCTTACTGGGTAGAAATGAGTGACATGGTCATGCCTAAACACACCTTTGTCTTCCTTTACACAGGCCCCAGTGATGACAGTGTTCTACCACTTACTGTGATTTAAAGTCATCATCACTTTCCCATTTATTGATTTCTTACTTCCCTGAAATCTAAATTGCAGTGTCACCCACACAAGGAAGTTCAATTCAAAAAAAGTGATTTTTTTTGGTCTGTAAACATTATTGTCCTTAATCATTTGGGCTTCCAATTATAAATAAGAAAGGAAGAATTGATATTAGCAGAGTCTACTCACACTTTGCCTCTCAAAGCTCAGTTTTCACATTCTAAATGGAGATAATAAAGTTAAACGTGGTTGGCAGAGTTCAACGAGATACTGCAGATAAAGTATATCATGAATTGCTAGTTAACAGTAAGTTATCAGTAATGCCAATTGTTAGTGTTGATTAAATTTCAAAATTGGTACACCTCATCCATTACTAACATGTGGCAAATACATTCTGAATTATCATGGAGGCTTCAAGACCCTGTATTTACATGATAATACCTTTCTTCTGTGAGCTTTCCCACATGGAAGTCTCAATTAAGACTTACCATACCCAGTCTAAAATCTGACCCTTTTGGCAGCTCCCTCTTTACTGCCGAACAGCAAAAAGATTTTTGTGCAGACTCTACTAGGTAAGGAAACTCCAGGTTAGCAAACTTTATTTATATTTATAAAATATTTACGTGTAGTCACAGAATAAAAACCTAACACCCGGGATGATAGTTTTCTAAATAAAGCTCATGTCAAATCATCTTCCCAGGCCTTCTCTTTACCCCAAAGGATACTTTGAAAAAGTTACATGTTTAATTGCTAGTCTTTTTTGTTTAATTTGAAAAGGGTTAATAATAAGAAATAACTGATCTTTTTTCAGGCTGGTTTATAAATTGTTAGTTCTCTAATGGTGGGGAATATATCTGTTGATTTCCGTACTTTCCCTTATTAGTATGGTCGCATACAGAAGTTCATGACTTTCTTGTTAACAAGGTCTATATCTTCTTCAGCTTGGCCTCTTTCCCACCAACATCCATGCATGATGCATAAGAAGACTTTCATAAACATTTCCTTCTAAAAATGATAAAGTAGAAGGAAGGGAGGCCGCTACCAGTTTACGGATCTATTATGCACCTAATAAGACGCCGAACATTTAATAAGTTTTCTTTTACTTAATTAATAGAAAGCAAACATCAAAAAATGAATGATAAATGCTTGCTCAGTAAATGACGGAAGCCGCACCTGCTACCAGAGGCAGTGCTTCTTGCTCCACCTCAACTTCTATACCCACACACACCTTTGTCTTCCTTTACACAGGCCCCGGTGATGAAAGTGTTCTACCACTTACTGTGATTTAAAGTCATCATCACTTTCCCATTTCTTGACTTCTTTACTTCCCTGAAATCTAAATTTCAGTGTCACCCAAACAAGCATAGAGGTCCTATGTATTTAAGGGGTTTTACTACTAAATCCTGACAACGGTAAGTATTATGATAATAGCCATAACAATATTGATAGTAGCTAAAATGCCTTCGATGTTTCGTATGTAAAACTTACAGCCGGGCGCGGTGGCTCACGCTTGTAATCCCAGCACTTTGGGAGGACGAGGTGGGTGGATCACGAGGTCGGGAGATGGAGACCATCCTGGCCAACACGGTGAAATCCCGTCTCTACTAAAAATACAAAAAAAATTAGCCGAGCGTGGTGGAGGGCGCCTGTAGTCTCAGCTACCTGGGAGGCTGAGGCAGGAGAACGGCGTGAACCTGGGAGGTGGAGCTTGCAGTGAGCCGAGATCATGCCACTGCACTCCAGCCTGGGCCACAGAGCGAGACTGTGTCAAAAAAAAAAAAAAAAGTTACGGTACTAGTTGATTTATAGGTACAGTCTCATTGCTTCCTTACCATAATTGTATGAGTTAGGTATTATTATTGTTACTATCATTATTCTCTGAGTTTTGGAGAAATTAGTTATGTATGCATGGTTACACAACTCATTAGTCTAACTCCAGGGTCCAAACTCTTAATCACTAAACCAAATTTGAAAATGGCCCAAGACATAATAAAATAACCAACATGGTGAATGGCCACAGATTCAAATCTCCAACATCTTTATGTCATATTGTGCCTAGACAAAAGATATATCTTACTCATAAAATATTTATATATACAATTTTAATTTTATTGTAGAGTTGAAAAGATAGTGCAGAGAATGTCCATATGCCCTTACCCCAGCGTCCTCTAATACTAACAATGTACATAATCTTGATAGTTTTAGAAAAAGTAAAAAATTAACATTGGGGTTTATTTTTATTAATTAAGCTTCAGACCTTATTTGGATTTTACTAGTATTTCCAGTGATATCGTTTTTTTTGTTCCAGCCTCCAATTCAGGATACCATGTTACATTTAGTAACAATGTCTCCTTTTCTCCTGCAATTTATAATAGTTTTTCAGTTTGTCTTTATTTTTAGTGTCATGTTAGAAAAGCACTGTGCACACATATTATACAATAACTCTCAATTTGAGTTTATCTGATTTTTTATGATTAGACTGAAATTATGAATATTTCTGGAAAATAACACAGAGATGAAATACCTTTTCATTGCATTTTATCAGGAGATATAAGATACCAACATGACCAATTACTAGTGATATTAATCTTTATAATTAGTGATATGGGGAAAGTAGTATCTTCCTATTTTTCCATTGCAAAGTAACTTTTATAATCTTTTCATATTCTGTGTGTTAAAAGTGAGTCATTATGTCTAGTCCACACTTAAGAGAATCATAATTACTCTGTTACTTCTGAAAGAAGGAATATCAAGAATTTGTAAGCATGTTAAAAACCTCGAAGTAATTAATATCTTGAGAGAGAGAGATATGCTTAGAGGCTTTGTAACCATCCTATTTTCCTTCAAGAGTCACTCATTAAATTCAGCCACAGTTAGAACTGTTGTTACAATGGTGATTTTCTTTTCTCTTATTCTTTCTACTTTTATTATTTAAAATTCTTCTTCTTTATGGGAGATTTGTCCTTTCTCCTCCCTGCCCCATTTCTTTCTTTCTTTAATTATTTAATTCTATGAGTATGATCTTGTGATTTTTTTTTATTCTTTGGTTAATAATCCAACATTACTGTTACTTATCTTGTTGCTCAAATTGTTCCAACTTTAGACTTTGGGTGCTCTTTCAGGTTGGGTTCTGCACCTTTTAGTAAGTACTCATTTTTTTTTTCCCAGTTGTTCACTTTCTGGAATTAAAAGATATGACAGATTCATCTTGTATTTTCCCTGTCTCAACTCTAGAATCAGCCATTTCTCCAAAAAGTCTAAGTTCCTGTTCTCAGAGAAATAATATTTAGAAGCCAGAATTAAGTTGCTGAATATGCTTGTTACTACTGAGGTATCATTGTTTTTAGGGCCTTTCAGTAGACAGAGGTCAAAAATAAGTGCATCGCTACTAACCCATGTATATACACAAATCTTTATTTCTTTACATGATTGTTCATACTGCTATCTCCAATTGTATTACAGCCACCACAAAGTTTCATTGTCATTTCCACCCTTCTTCATTTAATAATTTAGTTCTCTTACAGTGAGAAACCTGGCTCTTCTGTATAACTTATTTACTTATTTATTTAAACTTATATACATTTAAAGTAGTTTCAGAATTGCTAACTGTGGGAAACAAATTTTCCAACTAGAGAAAGTTACTTTTATTATTAACCTTTAAATATCTAGTCAAACACTTTTCCAAAGTTATTTAGTTTGTCTTTTCCTCCCCACCCCCTTCAGCAAGGTTATGTCAAACATTTGTAAATGTTCATTTCCTATCTGTGATCTGTCTTGGCATTCCTGGCTCATTGGTTTGTTTTGTTTTTTAATTTTATTACAGTAAAGTTCAGTCTTTGTAGACTGTCATTTACATTTGAGAACTTTATCACAGAATT
The DNA here is from genome assembly GCF_000001405.40 of Homo sapiens. Classification (NCBI taxonomy): domain Eukaryota; kingdom Metazoa; phylum Chordata; class Mammalia; order Primates; family Hominidae; genus Homo; species Homo sapiens. The sequence continues at coordinate 53,711,394 of NC_000017.11, read as the reverse complement.
TTTTTTTTCTGGTTCCACATTGTAGAGTTTTCTTTTACTGCTGATTGTGTATCTCTTTTTCCCTTTCATGTTTTGAGAGACTCATCATTTCTCACCTCTGAATGTCCAAACCCTGTAAGCCTCTTCCTCTGTGGGGATTCTTGTATAGTGAACATTTCAAGTGATAAATCACTTTCCCCAAAAATTTTAAAACAATCGAAGATAGCCATAAGTATCTGTTATAGCTAAGTAAGAGCTTTGTTATTAAATAGATTGTGTTAGAAGAACTTCTTGTTTATTTATTTATTTTATTTTTTTTGTTTTGAGATGAAGCCTTACTCTGTCACCCAGGTTGGAGTACAGTGGCACTATCTGGGCTCACTGCAGCCTCCGTCTCCCGAGTTCAAGCAATTCTCCCTCCCTCAGCCTCCCGAGTAGCTGGGATTACAGGTGTGCACCACCATGGCTAGCCAATTTTTGTATTTTTAGTAGAGACGGGGATTTGCCATGTTGGCCAGGCTGGTCTCGAACTCCTGACCACAGATGATCCACCTGCCTCAGCCTCTCAAAAAGCTGGGATTACAGGCATGAGCCACCGTGCGCAGCCTTCTTGGCTTCTTGATACTCCCTGTATTCACTTTGGCATCTGCCCTGGGGGATTGTTGGATTTTGAGAGCAGATACTTATCAGTGATTTTTTCCAGAAAACTGCAGCCGGTGAGCCAAGATTGCTCCATTGCACTCCAGCCTGGGCAACAAGAATGAAACTCCATCTCAAAAAAAAAAAAAGAAAGAAAGACAAGAAAACTGCAGCCTGGATTAATCCCATCGAGTACATTAGGACCCAGACCCCAGGAGTACACCCAAGTCTCCAGGCTTAACCCAGGCCTACACTGATGTTTGTGTTTTTCATGGAAGTGAGAGCAAGAGGAGGAAACACATGTTGTTAAGTCTCTAACAGATAAAGAGTCTAAAATGGGATGGCGTATGCTCAGACATTTCTCTATTTTCACTAATTAAATAAGACACTCCATTAGAAATAGCAAGGAAGGGGTCCAAAGTAGCACATTGTGTGTCTACAACACTGCTCCTCATTGAGATGAGGTGTATTAAGCAACTGACCCCATTTAGAAACTTAAAGACTAAGAGCTAAGCATTCATCTATTGTGTTATATTTTAGAATTGGTATGTAATTGGTATGTTTTGAGCAGAACAACCAAAACCACAGCTAACATGCTGTGTGTTAAAAATTTGTAAGATAATATACTAACAACTTCACATGAATTATCTCATTTAATTCTTAAACAATCTTGTTTTTACAAAATATTGTCTGCATTTTACCAATGATAAAACTGAAGCATAGATAGGTTAAATGACTTGACTAAGGTTTTTATTTTATTTTATTTTATTTTTGAAACGGAGTATTGCTCTGTCACCCAGGCTGGAGTGCAGTGGCGCCATCTAGATCTCGGCTCACTGCAAGCTCCGCCTCCCGCGTTCACACCATTCCCCTGCCTCAGCCTCCCGAGTACCTGGGACTGCAGGTGCCCGCCACCACGCCCGGCTAATTTTTTGTATTTTAGTAGAGACAGGGTTTCACCGTGTTAGCCAGGATGGTCCTAATCTCCTGACCTCAGGTGATCTGCCCACCTCGGCCTCCCAATGTGTTGGGATTACAGGCGTGAGCCACCGTGCCTGGCTTTTGCTAATGTTCTTAACTCGAAAGTGGTAATCAATATTGTAGCTCTGCATTCTGACTTTACAGCTTGAACCAAATACCTCTTCCTTCAAATGGGAAGCACCCTGTAGAAACTTTTCTTTTCTAGCTCCCCATTTTTTTTTTTTTCAATAAACCACTTTTCTCTCAGTCACCTACCACCTCTCTTTTTGCCCTCTACAAATTCTGGCTCATTTTCCATCATTCATTGATGATTTTAGCACCTAGTTTATTATTTTGCCCTCTCTGCTTAAATTCTAAGTCTGTGATTTCCTCATCTACTGGAATTATCTTCCTCATACCTGGGCTAAAAAGCCTGTCACTTCCATGACCTTTTCATGCTCAGTGATATGTTTTCTTCCATTTTATGGTTATAATTTTGACCTTTACATTTATCAATAATTGTATCACTTCAAAAATGTTAAACTTGAATATTACTATCTGGAAACATCTCATTCTTCTGTATTATTTAGCATTGAATATGGATGTATATAACAACAAATGAAAAACCAACCAAACAAATGAAAATCTGAATTAAACCTAACAGAAGCTCTCATGTAAAATAAGTTCAAAGAAGCAGACACTGGTTAGGGAGCATCCCAAAAGCATCAGGCCTTCAGATTCTTTTTACATTGGACCTCTGTTACCATTAACACAAAGCTTCCACGCTCCAGAATGGTTGCTTATGCTCCAGCCATCACGTCTTTAAGAAAGCTTCCCAAAAGTTGCACGATACTTTCACTCACATCCACATTAGCTAGAATTTATGAACGTTGTTGCTGTAAAATGTCTTCTTTCCATGTGGTCATGTGCCCTGTCAACTCTTTGTTCTTGTTTTTAATTTTTAAATGGGTTTAGGGAAATAAACAGATATTAGCAATCGGCATTTTCTACTACTCTTTCCAGTCATTATTCTCTAGCATTGTTTTAATCTCAACAAGATCTCCAAATCCATTGGCCCTGATCATTTTTATTAACTATCATTTTTCTCATATTCTAATTTCCCTTACTAGTCCAGCAAAAGTCAATAGCTCATCATTAAGTTTACTCTAATGTCTTAATTTCCTTCTCTTTTTCTCTACTGTTCTCAACTGACTGTGCATTAAATCCAGCTATCTCTCTACTCTGTTCATTTATCTCAACTGAACAGCTGTTCTTCGTTGGAGGAAAATGCAACTGTGCTTTTTGCTTTAGTTTTAAAATCAGGAGCACTTTGAGAGGCTGAGGCAGGAGGATCACAAGGTCAGGAGATCCAGACCATCCTGGCTAACATGGTGAAGCCCCGTCTCGACTTAAAATACAAAAAATTAGCCGGGTGTGGTGGCAGGTGCCTGTAGTCCCAGCTACTCGGGAGGCTGAGGCAGGAGAATGGCATGAACCCGGGAGGCGAAGCTTGCAGTGAGTGGAGATCGCGTAAGGGCACTCCAGCCTGGGCGACAGAGCGAGACTCCATCTCAAAAAAAAAAAAAAATTACAAAACATTCTGGTATATTGAACTTCGACTCAAATGGGTTACTACTGTAAGCCATTTCCTCACTCCACGGACTTCAAACACCTTCCTTCTTGCTTATGCTATGCTGAGGGTGTTGCCTCACACTTCTTTGAGAAAATAGAAACAATCTGATTAAGTATACCTACTCTCATCCTAGATTAACTTAGGCTCTGAATTCTAATACCTCTCCCTGTCTCAAGGATTTTTCACCTATAATCATCCTGTCTTTCTCTAGAGTCATTCGTTTCTCCTTTTCTTTTGGATTGCTCTCATAAGCATCAAAACATGCCTCAGAAATTTCTATTTTAAACATAACAGAAGTTTCCCTTGACCTCATATTGCCCCTTTAGCTACAGTACCATTTTTCACTTTGGCTTCATGACACTTTTCCATAAAAGAGTTGTTTATGGTCACGGTCTTTACTTTCTCGTGCCAATCTCTATTCTTTCCCCAGTGCACATACTTTAGGCCTCTGTTCCTATAATCCTTTGATAGTTGCTCTTGGCAAGGTCACTAATAACCTCAATGGTGCCAAATCCTGTCGTCATTTCTCTCCTTTCTTTTTACATGACCTCTCAATAGCAACTGATACCATTAATCCAGAATACTCTGTCTAACCTTTTAAAATATAGATTTGTCTGGTTTTCTCCATCCTTATTGCTGGTCTTTCTCAGTCTTTTAAATTTAGATGCTTCATACAGCTCAATGTAGGTTTTTTATTATTATTTCTTACATAAAATCTTACCGAAAGCACACTCATTCCCTAGGAAGTACCATCTAGCTCCATTATTTTACATATATTTTAATTGACTCCTCAATTTTTTTCTTCAAGCATGATTTTCTCCCTTAATTTCAGATTTGTGTATCTAATTGCCAATTTATCATCTTGTAATCACCTGATAGGTTCTTCCTGCCCACTGACTAGACTGAATCAATTTATTGAGACCATGACATTGCACTAGAGAAAGAGTTTAATTGACACAAGGCTGGCCACATGGGAGATGGAGTTATTACTCAGATCAATATCCACAAAGGTTCAGTGGCTAGGGTTTTCATGGACAATTTGGTGGGGAGGAGGCTAGGGAATAGGTGCTCCAGATTGGTTGGGAAAGAAATGATAGGGGTGTGAAAAATGGTCCAAATGGTCCTCATACATTGAGTGTGCCTCTGGGTGGGGCCACAGGACTGGTTAAGTCATGAATCAGGAGTATGGGTGAGATCAGTCTGAAAAAATTTCAAAAAAAAAAAAAACACCCAAGGTGTTACAATGTGATGGTATCTACAGGAGCAATTGAGGAAGTCACAAATCTTATGACCTCTGGGCACGTGACTCCTGGGCAGTAAAGGATTATAGAAACTATGTCTAGATTTTAGCAGAATTCAGGGTCCTCTCATAATTCTATTCTCATGGCCTTTCATTGGTTTTACAAAGCCAATTTCAGTCTGTGAACAAGGAGGGAATCAGTTTTATCAAGGACTATATTTTCCCTGCTTCAAGGTCAAATTATAATCCAAATTCCTCCCATGTGACCTACAACCAGGAATGGGTGAAGATAGCTTAGAGGGTAGAAGCAAGATGAAGTCAGCCATGTCAGACTTCTTTTACTGTGATAGTTTTGCAAAGGCATTTCAATCTTTTCTCAAATGTTGAATTGACGTTTCAAATTGAACATCATTGAAACAAAACTCTATCATCCCCCTACCTTTACTACTTTCTCAATGGAAACTTTTACCTTTCTCTGTAATCTCTGTATCAGTAAATAAATAAATACTATTCACTGTGTTGCTTAAACCAACAATCAATAGATGAATCTTGAGTCCCCTCTTAACCCCTAGTTCCAGTTCATTATTAAATCTTAATTGATTTTACTTCCCAAATATATTTTGAATGTGTCATTTCCCTCCATTCCCAACCCTTCTACTCTATCTCTTGGACTACTACAATAATCCCCTTTACTGATCTTCAGACTTCCATTCTTAACAATTTTTTTCATTCTGTGCAAAGTTATCAGTAAGTTAAAAATGAAATTAATTCCAATCATTTCACCTCCTGCTTAAAATATCTCAGTGATTTCTCACCGCATTGAGAGTGAAATTCAAACTTTACTTTCTAATATGAGGTGCTATGTAATGAGAAACCTCCTATCTTGTGCCATGACATTCACTGTGCTGGAGCAGGTCTTCTTTCTGTCCCTTGTCTATGCCAAGTACTCCCACATAAGGTCCCTTGTAGTTATGATTTTCTCTGCCAGGAGTATCAAGCTTCTCCAGGTCTTTGCAAGGGTGTCTCCCTATTGTCATTAAAGTTTCTGTTTTAAAAGTATCTCTTCAAAAAGGCCTTCATGACCACTCTATCTGAAGATGCCTCTAGACACTCAAATCCTCATCCTTATATCTTTTCTTTATAGTATGCATCACTGCTTGATATTTTCTTTTTGACGTATTAGTTATATTCTGTCTCCCCCCAGTAGAATGTATGCTTTAAGAGATCATGGACCATGCCTGCATTGTTCTCAGACAAATTTTCAGAAATTCCAGTGTTGACTGGTATATAGTAACTACTCAATATGTATTTACTGAATGAATGATTGAATTAATAAATAAATGGTTTTTCAATGCCAAAATAACTAGGTACTAATAGCTGCTAAGTGACCGTGACACAAATAAGTAATTTTTTCCACTACTGAGTCAAAAACCAATTTTTGTAAAGTAAATTACTGATCTTATGTCTTGTAAATTTTGCATGTTTTTTATTTGTTTCCAGTCTTTGAAGCAAAGCAAAAAATGATTATTTCTTTTTCTCCGTAAGTCAGAGATCTGAGCCCATCCACCTAAAACCCATTTTATTATAAAGTTGACAAATTACATTGGAATTTCCCTGGTGGAACTGAATAAAATTAAGTGAGTTTTGTATTACACACATACATATATACACACACATACAAACACAAAACATTGTACTTGAATATTTCATATGAATAAAATTAAAATTATTAATATGACAAGATGGTAACACTTAGAGCAAACAAAAACTCTTCCAGACTTAGTGTATTTATATCCTCCTTTTGATCATAGAGAATATTTCATTTCTTCATCTTAAGAACAGTTGCACTCTAAGTAATTTTCCAATCTGTTTCTCATTTGGAAAACAAACTGAAATTGGTTTAGATACACTTTCCTGTAAATCAAGAGGGATTTCTATAATTCCACTTATTGGCTTCAAGAGGGCAAAAATTCTTCTCTAGTCTCAATCCCTTTTTTTCAGCACCTCATATCTACTGTCAAGAAACACATGATCAATAACCCCTCTATGACCAGGGCATGATAGGTTATGATACAAGAACCCTACCATCTCTCCTTAATACAACAAAAGTGTTTCTTTGTCACACAGAGTCCATCACAAATCAAGACAACTGTCCAGGAAACTGTCTTCCATGTAGCTACTCAACAATTCAGACTACTTCATTCTGACAGTTCCACTGTTTTACCCACAGTTCTCTTAGGTTGGTGAGGCAGGGAAGAGTCAACCACAGAGTCATGCTATGTCAGCTATGGATGTTACATGCTTTGACTTGGGAGTGACATACCCATTTCTTCCCACAGCCCATTGATTCTAACCAAGCATGCTGCTCCACTTAGCTGCAAGGAGACTGGAAAAAATGTCCTTGCCCTGTACCCCGAAAGAGTAAAACTGAATAGGGTTGAACAATAGACTTTCCTGCTGCATCCTTCCAATTCCCTTTTTTCTTTCTGCTGGTAGCCTCTTCTGCTTTTGGCTCTAGTTCAGATCTAGGTGAGCAATTATAGACTGGCATTCTGCTTCCTCTCTTCCCTGCTGTCAACGTCTCTGTAGGCCCAGGCCATTAAGCTGCAAGACTTACAAAGACAGGTAATTTATCTATTTTATTCATCAACGTTGTTCCTAGTACTAAGCACCAAATCTGAACTATAACAGTCTCTGAATAAAACTTGCTTAAATTAATTAAGAGATATGTTTCTCTATTCGATATTGTCTAATAGATATAGGCTTATTTATTTGTTAAATAACTAAATATCTCCAACTTCACTCACTTGACGCTCCAGCATAGGTGAAAAGAAAGTGCAGATTGTAATAAAAGGAGTGCTATCTGATGTATTGTTCTTATGTGATTTTTCTTTGATTGAGGAATGGTGTATACAGTAGCATGCATCTCTGATTCTACCTACAGTAACTTTGTAGGCTCTGCTTTTATTATTCCCAAGGAGTCTGAGAATAGTATCTATTTGATGTGCAGAAGTTTGGTCCACCTCAGGAAGGAGTTAGTATGCTTAAGAAAGCGCTCCTGAATCTGACACCGTGCATTTCATCCTTGTTTTTGAACTCTCTGCCTGTTTTCCACCTCCAGCCTCTGGCCCCAAGAGCATTTCCAGTTACCTCAAGTTGTTTTGAATTTCCAAAATAATTTTCAACATAAAATTAAATTTTAATTCCTTTTAACTTGGCAAAAAATAAATGAAACATATACAGTGTTGCAAAATTGAACAATAAGATATCACATCTGTCAAAGGACAGTGGGGGCAGATTGTGAATCTCAATAGTATTTCTCTAGTTGATTACACTTTTACTGTATTTGGAAGGCAGGCTTCTGATTAACTATCTTAATATTACTGGGTCATCATTTGTAAACCTCCCAAAGGGAAAATCTTGACATGAAGGCTTAAATCAGAAGTGAAACAGGTCAGAGATATAAAAGGAGAAATGATAAGTAAAACATCTGTGGAGAATATTCCCTTAATTATATCTTTCAATTTTTTCCATAGAGACATATGCACGTAAAAGCGTGTATATTGATTCACATGTAATATACCAGAAGAAATTTGTTTCCCAGGTTTAACTTATAACTAAAACTTTAAAATTTTTAAATCATTTTTTAAAACCTTATATTTTCCATAGTCTTAGTAAGCCTTCCTGACATATCATAATCAAAGTAAGCAGAAAGCAACATGACACATCATCCTAATGCAAACTTCGTCTCCTATTTCCATTTTTGCTTCTGTTCACTTTGAGCTCCCCTGTGCCTTTATATAAGTGAAGTAAGGATTGATATGTCAGGGGATTATTCAGTAACCGCCATTTAATATCCTAAATTTAAGTCACTAAAGTGTTGCAGAAGGATAAGGTGCACAAGAGTGGAAGAAAATCAATACAACAACCCCACTTTGTATGGCAGATTCATATCCTTTTGCTTCATCTGAGAACTTCTGAGAGTTTAAAAAGCTATCCTGTCACCTCACATTTCTCAAAGCTAAATAAATTTGCCAGCCCTATGGCCCGACAAACATCTGGATGGGGGGATTCACAAGATCCACTGATTCCATAAATTTCTATTCTATTCTTAAACAAAAAGTCAATCTTAAGATAAAGATATGCCTTTCCCCCACTTTTATTCTTATTCTCAACTGGAATATTATTTAATACAATTCTGAGATGTGACACTCAGCTTCAGTGTGTGGGGTAATAACAATTAGTAGAAACTGTGGCAAACCAGAGTGTGGAAGCACTGTTGAAAGTAGGCAGCTGCTAATTAGCTATAACAGACCATTGGCCAAGCTAAATGCTATCTCAGTATTATAAAATATCCCTGTTACTTCTGAAGAAAAATTTCAAGTATAGGTTTTATTAAAAAATAAAATCTCCCATTTTAAACATGTTTTAAAAACATTTTTAACATTATTTTTTAAACAGTATACAGCAAACCCAAGCCCATCTGTTCATCGTTATTTTGCCCGAAGCATAAAAAAAAAAATCTCTGTTTAGGAGATAAGATAAACACATTTTATCCCAGAATCTACTTTAATGGTGTTTTTACAAATGAAATCTATATGGACTGCATTTTAAAATTCTAGTTATTCGGCCGGGCGCGGTGGCTCACGCCTGTAATCCCAGCACTTTGGGAGGCCGAGGCGGGTGGATCATGAGGTCAGGAGATCGAGACCATCCTGGCTAACAAGGTGAAACCCCGTCTCTACTAAAAATACAAAAAATTAGCCGGGCGCGGTGGCGGGCGCCTGTAGTCCCAGCTACTCGGGAGGCTGAGGCAGGAGAATGGCGTGAACCCGGGAAGCGGAGCTTGCAGTGAGCCGAGATTGCGCCACTGCAGTCTGCAGTCCGGCCTGGGCGACAGAGTGAGACTCCGTCTCAAAAAAAAAAAAAAAAAAAAAAATTCTAGTTATTCAAGAGTAATAACTGAAGTAAGATTTTAGTGATACTTTGCATTTAGTGTTTTCTAATTTGTAAAGTGTTTTCTATACCTTAGCTCACTTGAGCTTCTGATAACCTAGTAAAATATTTATAGTGGTAAAGAATATTTCTGTTTGTACACAAAAGTTTTGAATTTCAAAGAAAAATTGATATTCAAACATTGCACAGCTGGGGAAAGTATAGAGAGAAAATAAAACTCTGGAATTAGAATTACAGAGAGAGGATAAGAACTCTAGAATAAGAACTTTTATTAAAGCATAATTTCTTCTGTTTTACACTGTCTCATATACTAGATGTGTTTATCTGTGTTCACTATTCAAGAAGATAGAGCATTTATTGGACATCTACTAAATTTCATACTGTGCTAGGCATAACAGATCTGTGAGCTGGTTAATATGTTCCTATTTCATATGCAAATAAACTGAGGCACACATACTAAGGAACCCAACCAAAGTCACTTAGAATAAGTGAAAGAGTCTGTCTTGGAACAGAGTACTGCCTGAATTTAGATTCTGTCCTCAGACTGAAGAGTCTAGCAATCTCACAATAATGATTGATGGCAGAGACGTCAGAGGATGGAATGGGTATCAAGTGATGTCCTACCACTTGCTCCATCTCCATTACGTTTTGGTGAATAAAGCCATGTGCTTGACTAGAGCTGTAAGCTACCATTTGACTATTCACAAATACCCATCCTGTCTACTAAGAGGACATAAACAGAAGGTGGCAGCCTGAACCCAGAATTTACATTTGATCCTTTTGAGCATTCATCTATTCCCTTGGCACACAAAAAAAAATGGCAATCAGGCCAGTGGCGGTGGCTCATGCCTGTAATCCCGGCACTTTGGGGGCCAAAGAGGGGGATTATGAGGTCAGGAGTTTGAGACCAGCCTGGCCAACATGGTGAAACACTGTCTCTACTACAATAAAAAAATAAAAAATTAGTAGGGCATGGTGGCACATGCCTGTAGTCCTAGCTACTGGGGAGGCTGAGGCAGGAGAATTGCTTGAACTCAGGAGGCAGAGGTTGCAGTGAGCCAAGATCATGCCACTGCACTCCAGCCTGGGTGACAGAGTGAGATCCCCCCAAAAGTAAGAGAGAGAAAGAAAGGAAGGGAGAGAGAGAGAGAAAAAGAAAGAAAGAAAGAAGAAAGAAAAGAAAGAAAGAAAGAAAGAAAGAAAGAAAGAAAGAAAGAAAGAAAGAAAGAAAGAAAGAAAGAAAAGAAAGGAAGGAAGGAAGAGAGAGAGAAAGGAAGGAAGAGAGAGAGAGAAAGGAAGGAAGAGAGAGAGAGAAAGAAAAAGAAAGAAAGAGAAAGAAAGAAAAAAGAAAGAAAAGAAAGAAAGAAAGAAAAGAAAGAAAGAAAGAAAGAAAGAAAGAAAGAAAGAAAAAGAAAGAGAAAAGAAAGAATGAGAAGAGAAGAAAGGAAAGGAAAGGAAAGAAAAAAAAAGAAATGACAATCGGACCCCACTAACATTCCAACTCTAGACAGTCTGCACTTCCCACATCTCTAAAGAAGCAGAGTTTATTGCCACCTGACCCTGATGCCTGGTCAAGGCTGAGTGGCCTTGGGGAAGAAACATAACATGGTTGTGCCAATTAGGTTCTTTTTGAAGGAAATTAGGAGGGGGAAAAAAAGCAAAACAAAATACTATAGAAGCAGAGTTGATCAGTGTTGGGTGTCCTTGAGCTGAAAGGTCATGTGGACTCAGGACCTGGGACCACCATTTAGATCAGCCTTCACGCACGTTGCACAAATGGGAGTAAGAAAGATAATTTGCAGAAAGAGAAAGAAGATAAAAATATATGTATAATGCTTACTGTTTACCAAGTATTTTCAAATTATTTTCCATATTTACTCCCAATGACAACTCTATTTTATAATTAAGATAGTGGAGAACCAGAGAGGCTAAGTGACTTGCCTGAGATCACACAACTAGTGTGGAAACCAAGGGTACAAACCCAATATATGCATAATTAAACCCTGTGCTCCACTCTGTCTAATTATACATGTCAGTCCTTTCTAAGTCCTCTTCTTTGATTCTGCAGCATCTGACATAATGATCCCTTTGTCATTGACTTTCATAATTTTTCACTAACTCAACTTTCCACTTGCTTGCTTTCTCTCACTTCTAACAAGTTTGCATTCTCAACATCCTGACTTACTCCTCTTCTCACCACTCTATATGATTTATACCTACTCTCTCCTAAAGGTTCTGTATGAGGTTATAAAGTTATATCTTCCTATCTTCCCAAAACATTAGTTCTTCTTTCCGGATATCAACATTTTGTGTCTATGTCTCCAATATTTATCCTCTACTCTAGTTCTGAATTTTCATTTCTGTTCTAAAAACATCAATATGTATATAGACTATTTATCACTATACCCCCAAATCATTTACCGCCCGCTGATTTTTCCATTTTGGTTTTTATTTAGTTTGATTTTGCTACTAATAATATCACCAACCTCTAGTAACAATTCCTTAAAAATACTTTCAAATTTGGAGATCCACTCCCCAACTCCCAGTATTCTATTTTATTCCATCTGTTTTGAATTCTTATCCTTTATTTCTCTCTGTAAAACTTTAGCCACTCTTCAAGGCCTAATTCAACTGTCACTTGTTTGCTTATGTAAACTTTTTTGTGTAAGGGAGGCAGTGAAATTTTTCTGTCTAAGCTTCCATAGTATCCCTTGATACGTATTGCCACCATTATGTGGCTCTATATATGTGTGTGTACAAATTCGCATGTTTAACTAGGATAACTTCCTTGAGAATAAGGACTTTGTTACTATAACTATATTCCTCATTGCACTTAGCATTGTGCCTCACAAATAATTTGTGCTTTTTTTCTTTTACTATTACCACTATCTACTTGGCTTAAAGTACACACAACTTCTAGGTAAATGCAATGAAAAAGTAAAATACATAAATAAAAGGCATTCATGAAGAGAAAAAAGGAAGAAAAGAAAGACTGAATAAAGAAAAAAAATGCACCAAAGAATAGATACTTGTTGAGCTTACTTGTCTTGGTGAATAAATCATATGTATTAAAAAGTGAACATCTAAACATTATGGGCTTATGATTTTCCTGCTCAGGACCCAGATGACACCTCATAAAACAATGCACCTATCATAGATCTCCCTAATTGCAGCTGTGCTACACATTGCATGGTGTGATCACCGTGGAGATATACGACTTCCATAAATACTGTTTATGGAACATCTGCTAGGTATTGCTGTGCTTTTAATATATGTCAAGATAAAGTCACCCTATGCGCCTGTCAATGGGAACACTTGAGAGAAGTTAAAGTACGTTTGGGGGTAAGCTAGACAGTGGTGGATGAAATCCTAAGCAGGAAAGCCCATGAAGAGCCAATGAAGTCTCACCTCACTTGCTCTTGGCGTCGTGGTCAGACATTAGTCCTCTGTGGCAGATATCAACGGACCACGTGATCACCCAATACCTTACAGAAGCAATCTGTTGCTGCTTTTTCCATAATGCCACCAGATAATTTTGCTACAAAAACTTATTCATAAATTAAAATCTTTTGCTGTATCTTCCAATCAGCAGAGAGGATATAGCACAAGCCCTAGTAAAGAGGCTTGTTCTACACATCAGATTTTGCCATCCAGACGCTAAGAGAGAAAAACATTTAACTCAAATTGTTCTTACTATTTGTTTGTTAAACATTACATTGCCTTAGTGACATGCTGACATGGCGTATTGACTGTAATTCCATGGTAAGGACTGGAGTTGACCCCAGGCACCTGTGATTTGCATAAGGAGGCTTCATCATTTCATAACCACACTCTACTCCCAAGACACAAGAAAGAAATTAGAAGTGAGATCAATTTCAGGAACCTGTGTCAGCCCTTTGGGGAACTGATCATGCCCTGATGTTCTTAATGTTTAAGTGTTTATTGTCTAAAAAGCTTAACCTTGAAATCTTATTGCTCCTTCCTTAAGGATTTTAACAATAACCCTCCGGTTCTTTAGCCAGGAGGAACTTCACTGATTAGGTTAGATTTTAAGTCTCTGATCTTCTATCTTTATCCTTCTTGACTTAAACAGTGAAAATTACAATGACATAAAGCTTCTTGCTCATTTTTTTTCTTGTATTAAATGATCTGAAATCAGGTTGATTTGCTATCTTCTGTAGCTTGTAGCTAATACTTTGAAGAAGGTCTCTAAATTGAGAACATGACTGAATGCCATTAGCTTAAAATGGTCCTCTTTCCCAAATTATTTTAGTCTTAGCAGTGGTACCTTCAAAATTCTCAGTGTGAAAATGACCCTTCAGTCACATTGTAATGGCTGAATTAATGAATGCTGCACTGGTTTATAAGACCTAACTTGTATTGTGATTTACTCAATTATCTCAACATTCAAGAGGAAACAGAGAATTTCGATGACAAATACTACGAATCTCAAGTGCTAACTATGAACACTGGACTGGAAGCAAAACAAAACAAACCACCCTGCATAAAACATATATTTGAAAAATGAAACCAACGGCAGGCAGAACTAATGGGAAGTGATCTAACAGGAAGGATAGAACAAAAGAAAAAGCAGGTATTTATTCATCACTTGTAATGTGTCAGGTTCTGCGATTGGTACTAAAATACATCATTGTATTAGTGCTTCAACATCAGTGTAAGAGAACTATTGTCACATTCCTTTCAGAAGAGGAATATCTAGTCTAGAAGGGTTAAATAACATAATTAAGATCACATTCAGTGTCAGGAGAGTAAACAGCCCTGATGTCCTAAGCTCCAAGTCTTAAGCTTTTTCACTTAATATTCCTCCCTCAGTTTTCGATATAGGTATTATAGATCTTCCTGAGATGTATTTTAATCCTCATAATTTTACCTTGAAGAAATGAGAGTAAACAAAATAATAAAGCAAGTACATCAAGGGCATTAACCTGTAAAGTCACTTCCATAAACCTCTTCATTACCCTCCTAATAGCAACCTCTTAACAGCAACTTCCCTGACTTATAGTGAACCAGAGTCAACCATCTATCTCGTCTTTTCTTCTGCATCTTTGTCTGCTCCAGCATACTTTCCCTTCTTTCTCTTTAGCTTTAAAATTACTTTAACCTTATCATACACAGTGCACCTCCATTTTATTCCCTCAAAAGAGAAAGAATTGGACATAATGTACTTGCAGCTTTAAGATTTTTAAAAAGGTATTACATAAAGTAAAATGAAACTTTGAGGTTTCATAGACTATTTGGTAAAAGAAAATAGTTTGATGTTTTTTCAGCAGCATGCCTTGACTCTCTTCAATTTCTAACATATCTGGTCACTTCATATGTTATTTTAAGTTTATTTTTCTTCTAAAAAACGGATTAAGCCTTTTCCTCTACCACAGCCTTCTACAATGTCCCCTGTCTCAGATACAAGCGATTGGCTTGAAAATCATGGTTCTGAAATAGAACAGGCCTATCCATAATGCCCATTAATGCAGTGTCCTCCAGTCAGACAGCATCATTTATAACCCTGAGAGTGCGGCTGAGACAGCTCCAAATCTGCAACTTCAGCTCACCAATTTATGCAGCCGGAGCCAATGACTCCAGCACTCAGAAATCTCCCAAGGAGCAGTAAACACACACAAAACAAGAAATAGATACAGATAGAGGTGTTCCTATAATGAGAGCAGATCAATGATGGCACGACCGGCTGGAAAAAATAAAACCCAGGTAAACAATAAGGTCAGGTGATGACTTAATATACGTAGAACAAGAGAGAAACAAAATGCTCCATAAGATTTTAGTGACACAGTCTTAAAGTGGCCTTGATTTCTTCATACCATGTGGATTCAACCTGTTCATTTACATAAAATTCTTGCCCAACCAGAGGCTTGTACAAAGTGAGTCATTGATAAATTGTGTCAAATTCATTAATGAGCAGTATGCCACTGGATGATCACTGACTGGTTATTCTCTGAGCTATGTCCTACACAGAAAGAGGGTTTTGAGCGAGGGGTTTGGTTACTCCCACAGGGAGGAGTTTGATAGAAATTAATAGCCATAAGTAAGGATTGTCATTGGCTTCATAGCACAATATGCTTACATGTACCCGATGAGCAATGATTATGAAGGATTTTTTGAAGGCATTAAAGGGGGGTGAGGCTGTGAAGATTTTAGTTACAACCAATGAGACACCTACTGACATCTTTAGAAAAGATTCATACTTATTCTATAACTTAAGAACACATGATATCCTGGCATCTTGGTAAAGACCTGAGTTTTCAGATTGAATAAGTCTGCCAGGGGTTGAGCAAAAAAAGTAAAACATTCACATCTGAACTTAAATCTGGTGGAATTTTTGAACCTCAATTATAATATAAATAATCTTTAAAGTTTAAAAGAAAAAACTAACCTAAAAAAGAACATTCTATTTACAATGAAATGCAACTCAGACAGCCTTACATTTCTTACCTGCAACAACATAGAATGAGAGAAAACAAAACAGTGTCTGCAAAGATAGGGTGTTATCTAGATATATGATCATTCACATTAGACAGGGGAATGAGTGCATTTTTCAGGCATGTAATGGCTCAAAACATTTATCTGGAAAAAAATGGACGATTCACTCCAAAAGAACAAAAAATCATTTCCAAAATTAGAAGAAAAGAGAATTTAGAGGAAAAGTGGTACTCAAATTTAAGAAATATGGAAGGAAAAGGTGGAAATGGTAGGTGAAAATCAATTAAGGGTTTTGTTTGGTTTCAAGGTTGGGAATAGTTAGAAAAACATACCTGTGTGTATATATTTGTGTGCTTATATATAAATTTTAAGAGAAGTCAAGAGAAGAATGGCAAATAATGTATAATTTTGAAGCTACTAAGGAGTAAAACGAATTAATACAAAGTTTTTTTTTCTTTCTTTTTGAGAAGGAATCTCCCTCTGTTTCCAGGCTGGGGTGCAGTGGTGCGATCTTGGCTCACTGCAAACTTTGACTCCCTGGTTCAAGTGAATCTTCTGACTCAGCTGCCCGAGTAGCTGGAATTACAGGCACATGTCACCACACCTAGCTAATTTTTGTATTTTTAGCAGAGACGGGGTTTCACCATGTTGGCCAGGATGGTCTTGGTCTACTGACCTTGTGATCACTCACCTCGGCCTCCCAAAGTGCTGAGATTACAGGCGTAAGCCACTGTGACCAGCCAATAAACAGGTTTTTAATCCAGTAAAACTCTACAACTGGTAAAGGAAAAGGAAAAGCGAAAGCATATGGCCATTGTTAGTATATCCCTATTCCTTGGTAGTCACTGGTCTGATAAGTGATGAGCATGAGATCCATGGGAGGGAGATTGCCTTTCTCAACTCCACCAGGGCATATCTGTCAGGTACTAGGAGGAGAAATCAGATACCGGTGGGCTGTGCACATGCTATATGAAGAATCACGGGGCCGAACCTCGGTGCCTGTGAGGTTCTTCACTCACCCCGCAAATATTCCCGTGCTGTAGGGAGTATGACATTAAATGACAAATAAAAATAAAAATAAAAATCATCATTAAGGAGGAGAGTGAGAGAGAAAGAGAGAGAGACAGAGAGAAGAGAGACTATGGAAGAAAAGAAATGTATGTTTAGTATAGTTCATAGAGCTTCTTGCCAACTTTTGAACAAGGGTCCCTAATTTTCATTTTGCCAAGGGCCTACAAAGTTTGCAGCCAACCCTGCTGTTAATATATATCTGCTAACATTTTGAGAGTAACAAACAGAAGAGTGCCAAGACTCTTGCATTAATTCCTTTAAAATGTGCATGGGAACAAGGAAATACAATGAGTAGTCTAAGAACAGAAGTGATTAATTGGACAGATATGTTTGGAGCCAAAATCAAAGGGCTCTAAGCAGTGTGGAGTGATGAAGGGATCTCAAAGGACTCCCAGGTTTCTAACTTCGATGGTCCAGGACTGAAAATATTGGAGGAGGAGTGTGACCATGGTGATCTCACTTTTGGATATGATGGGATGGAGGTCTCTGTGGGTAATGGAAAAGAATATCAGGTTTAATTGATTCATCATATACAGTATCTAGAACTCAGTTAAGAAATTTGGGTTAGAGATGTAGATTTGAGATTTATCACCATAGAGAAAGTAATTGGAACTGTAAGAAATGATTATACAGATGTAGTTTAAGAGAATACAGAGTGAAAAAGGACAAGTCAAATAATTAAAGTGATGTTGAAAAGACTTTTGAGGGGATGATTGAGGAGTCACTAGACAGTTAAAACAATATGAGTTGCATATTGCCCAGGACACAAAAGAAAATAGAATTTCTAATATTTGGTAGTGAAATAATCAGATTCTGACACGGATTACAATGATCTCTGTCTCTCAGTGCTTACACCTGTCTGAGTTCATTTGAGGTGCTCTAACAATTTGCCAAAAAAGAGTAATTTACAAACAATAGAAATTTATTTCTCACAGTTCTGGAGGCTGGGAATTCCAAGATTAAGACACTGGCTGATTTGGTGTCTGGTGAGGGCTCACTCTCTGGTTTATAAATGGCAGTTTGTCACTGGTACTCATATGGTAGAAGGAGCTAGCTAACTTGCCAGGGACACTTTTATAAGGTACTAATTCCATAATAAATGAATGAATGACGACCACGTTTATCATATTGTAGAAAATAGCACTGCAGAATCTTCATGCAGAAAGGTGAAAGCTATCCGTAAACCTTTCAACTCAAGCTAAATGTCTCCAAAGTGATGTAATCTCTATGTCTTCTTAGACCTGACAAAAAGGCTGTGCTAGCTAAAGGTGCTAGCCTGGGAAACAGCCAGACCTATTTCACTCCGTGTTCTTAAGTAAAATCCATGTAGACGTGAAGCCAAAAGCAGTAAGGAAAGTAGGACAGACTAGTAATTAGTACAGTTTCTTTTTCCTTTTCTTATTTTTTTAATCTTTATTTTGTTAATAGGGCCACCTCTCTTCCTCTCATCCCAAAACTTGCCAGTTTTCAAGGAAATGTGCAAGCAAACAGCTTGATTCTGAGACATCACAACCAGATTATTTGTGAATATAAGCTATTGATCTCTGTGTGTAATGAAAAGGTCTCTTTTCTGAAAAAAATCTGAAGACATAAAGGCAAGGTAAAATAATAATCCAAAACTATGTCTGTCTGTATTTACAGGCATCGTGCTTAGGCTGCTGGGCAAAAGTACTACTATCTTGAGCAGTCTTATCCTAGGTACAAGTGTAACAGTTGAGCACTGTGAGTGCCCATGTGACTTCCATTCCTTGTAGATGAGCCATAAAAGTGCTAGATGGGCCAGGTTCAGTGAGCTCTATGTAGTAAAATTCTTGCACAAGTGCTTTCTCTAGTTTCTGTAAGAAACATTCTCAATTATGTGCATTTTGCACCTTAGGGAGGAGAAGAAGAAAAAATTTAAGGTTGGCTCTTCGTAAGTGAAAGCAGAAGCCTTTAATTAGTATGCGCTCTTCAGTCTGGCTTACTATCTGAGACACCCTAATTACTTTATGGGAAAAGAAACCCATCCACATATTCAAATTGCCCACTGGAATCAAACACCACATGAAAAGAAGCATGAGATTAAAGGGCAAAAAACTATAAAGTGAGTGAAATAATATTTTGTTGCTTTTTAGATTGCATTCACATTTTCTTCTGCTTTAATTTGGTAATTTATTACCCAGGGACAAGAGATCATCAGAGCAGATTGATTGATTGTTTAATCAGGTTATTAATAAATTCCATCATATATTCAGTCTGAGTAAGCAGCTGCTTACACTGCTTTCTCTATTTTTGCCTGGTTTAGTTCCTGGATTGAGGAGGGGAACTAAGATGTTATTTTCCCTGATTTCTATGCAGTTTGAGAAAGAAAGCACTTTGTTACGGAGAACCCACTGTCAAGAAAGTCCACTAAATTGAACAATTTTGATGTCCTGGAGAATTTCATTTGAATGAATTATGTGGGGATTTTGAAAAAAGCTAAACTGCTGAAGATATTGGGTGAGTGAGAGTCAGCATTAAAAAGCAAGGCTTAGAAGCAGGTACTGCAAATTAATTCAATTTATTTCCAAGCCAAGGTCATGCCTTATGCTTGGAAATTGATTTTAAAGGTGGCTGTTGGACATACGAGGGTAAAGCGTTAGGCTTTTATCCTTTAACTCTATTGGCTTTTATAAGAATATCTGATAGTCATAGGGAAGGCACTCATGCTTTTTAATGTCTTTTTTGGCTTGGGATTGTGCAACTTATATGGCAGTAACAACGATGATAGGAAAATAGCTAACTACCTGCTAAGTACTTTATATATAATGACTCATGTAATGTTCTTGACTCTCTGAAGCAGGTTTTATTATTAGCTCTAGAAAAGATGCAATTACTTTCAAGTTTGCATAGGTATTTGGTAAACATATCAGCTAGTTTATAGTATGACTGCAATTAAAGAAAAATCTGGATAAATTAAATAAGTTGTTGACCAGGCATGGTGGCTCACACCTATAATTCCAGCACTTTGGGAGGCCTAGGTGGGCGAATCACCTGAGGTCAGGAGTTCGAGACCAGCCTGATCAATATGGTGAAACCCCGTCTGTACTAAAATTAGAAAAACTAGCCAGGTGTGGTGTGGTGGCGTGCCTGTAGTCCCAGCTACTTGGGAGACTGAGGCAGGAGAATAGCTTGAACCCGAGAGGCAGAGGTTGCAGTGAGCCGAGATCACTCCACTGCACTCCAGCCTGGGGGACAGAGTGAGACTCTCTCGCAAAAAAAAAAAAAAAAAAAAAAAAAAAAAAAAAAGGTTATATACTAGAAGGAAAACTGGGCTTAGGGAGTGGAGTGGAAGGGAGAGCTTCTAGCAAGCCAAGGAGCAGAAACCACAGCAGCAAACATCCAACCAGGATACTTCCAAAATAATAATAATAAAAAATAAATAAATAAATCTCCAATTGTCATGCATCTGCTTCATAGTTTGTACTCGGATGAGAAGAGATCTTGTACCAAAGGCTCTTAGAGTTGAACATGAGTATCTAAATTTATCATTCTGCTAAATCTATATACAAAGAAACATATTTGTTAAAAGGAGATCAGGGTGTCCTTAGGAAAGGGAAAAATGAATATGATGTGGCCACAGCTGACAATGTCTAGTACAATTGTGGGTCCATTGTATTTCCCATGAGCTTAAATACCTCTAGTAGCTGTATGAACATCCTTTGTATAGCCCTATGGTAAATGCTCTCACCATTATCTCATAAAAAATTACCATTTGCCATCCAAAATTAGAAAGGATTTAATATCTTTATAGAAGATTTACTTTAAACTTCAAACTTTAGCTCTTTGAAGACATTTATTACTTTGATGAGTATAAGTGAGTTTACACTCACTTTTCTCATAGAGTATTTGCCATTTCCCCACAGACCTAGAAGAGTCTGAGTATCTGGACTGGTCCATAGACCAGTATTTCGGAACTGCTCCAGATTATCCACAGACGGTGGGCATTAAGTAGTTTTGTGGCTATCTTTGTACACGCCTGTCAACCTGCCTCTCCAAACATTCTCTTTGCTAAAAAATGCACAGCAACTCCCAGGCCTTTGAAGTATGAAGTAAGTTCTGCTCTCCAAATCCACGTTTGGCTTCTCTATCCTTGCCTTGTCTGTACATTTGCATTACTTTCTAAAACACCGCCAAAAATAGCTACTTGAATATTACACAGCCAAAGTTTTAACCATATTAAAAACGTCTCAGGTCTCTTACCTGCATCTTTATACATTATTCATTCTTCCTCAGCATAAAAGAAGAAACAGAGTTTTGGTAACATATTCAGTAGTTAGGGGTGACATTCCCCATCAGTCGCCATGCATTAAATATATTTTGCAATAAGTAAAATAATTGCAGAATTATTTTGTGCTTAATGTTGTGTTGGAAACATAAAGAAAGAATTCACATTAGAATTTCACTCAAAATGTTCCAATCACTCATATTCCTAAGTATAATATTTTGTTAGTAAAGGGGAAAGGCAAATCCGCAGTTTTAGGAATTAAAAACAAAAACAAAACCCTCATACTACCAGAAAAAAGTTCTGAAACATTATTTTATTTGTGCATATCATTATTAAAAATATTACTTACTCATCTAATTGTACAGTAATCTTTAATTAGAAGTTTGGCCCAAGTCCTATAGAAACAGACTATGGTAGGCTGAAAAATGTGCCCTGATCCATGAACTCTGTAAACGTGGATTTATATGGCAAAATACGTGATTAATTAAGGATAGTGAGATGGAAAGATTATTGCAGATTAGCCAGATAGGCACTAAATGCAATTATATGTGCCTTTATAAGAGGAAGACAAAGTGAATCTTCATACAGACAGGAGTAGGTAAGGTGATCACTGAGACAGAGACAAAAGTGACACAGTCATAAATTAGGTAATGCTGGCATTCACTGGAAGCTGGAAGAGGTGAATAAGAATTTAAAACTAATACATAGACTAATGCAAGATAGGTCCAATAGCATGGACTGTGGATATTGTTAATTTATTACCCAGGATAATGAAGTATGTGCATATGAAGATAAGAAGAATACTAAAACAAACAAAAAGAGGTAGAATGCATTAATATTCACTAAAACTTCTACCAAGTGTCTACTCTTAATTGCTAGCTAGGCATTTCTGGGCACCAAGGATAGACCATTAAGTATAAAAAAGTGGCTACGAGCTTACATTTGGGATATACTAAATTCGAGGTGAATGAAAGCATGAGCACATACCTGGGCAGAGTTCGCAGAAAGAAATTATTGGCACCTTAAAGCAAGACTGAACAAGGGATGGCATGCATCTCCTTTGAAAAATGCAAAAATAATTCTTAGGAATTTAAATCTGGAAGATAAATTTTTAGGTCAATGAGAAAGAAAAGAAAAAGGAACATTCTTATCTCTAAGTAACATCAGCAAATATAAACTGTCATTTTCATTTTCTTTTCTCTTTTAAGACATTGTCAAAACATGAAAGTATTGAGCTATTGAATTCACTAAACATTTAGAAGCATTTTTCATATCTGCTAATGTTTGTGTTAAAATATTGAAAATAAATGTCTCAAATGAAAATATTTTTTTTTTTCTGAGAGGCAACTTTGCAGTTTCTGTGGAGTGAAAAGCTCTCAATTAAAATGGGCATCTTATTAAAACTCAGTCGTACATTTATTTTTTAAAAAATGATGTCCTGGGGTAATATTAAATAGTACATTTCAGGGCAATTATTTTATTTATCTATTCAGTAGACAATTATTGAGCACCTACTATGTGGATTTCATGTTAAGTAGTGATAATAGAAAAGGGAATAATAGTCAAGTATACAAGTAAGTAAAACACAATTTAATGAATGCCATGATAGAGCATTTTCAGGAGCATGGAGAAATATTTAATTCAACTGTAATAGGTCCAGTTCACCTAGAAGCCAAAACCTGAGTAGATCATAAGATAAGTAGGGGAAGGTAAAAAGAGATGATCCTGACAGGTAAAATAATACTTAAATCATGGTAGAATGAAAATATTAATCAACAGGAGAATAATGAAGGCATTTGTTGGTGCAAAGTTACATGAGCTGAAGAGGGCATTAGAAGATGAAGAGAAAAATTTGGATGAGGTATGCGTCTTGGAAGGCCAGGTGAAGTATGTGCATGAGGTTGAAATTTACACTGTAGACAAAGACGCTACTTCAAAAATGTAAGCAATGAAGTAGCATGATCAGATTAGTAATTTAAATATTTGATTGGTGATGGCAAAGATTAAGGTAGGGAGTCTATTAGAAGATTATCTAAATCCTGACAGAAGTTAAAAAAAATTGTTGAAAAGCAAACAAACAAGGTAGACATCAGCAAGATGACAGGTTAGAAAGCTACAGACCATTATTCCTCCACAAAGACATCAAGTTACCAACAAAATACGGCTGGGAGTGGTGGCTCACGCCTGTAATCCCAACACTTTGGGAGGCCGAGACAGGCGGATCACGAGGTCAGGAGATCGAGACCATCCTGGCTAACACGGTGAAACCCCGTGTCTATTAAAAATACAGAAAATTAGCCAGGTGTGGTGGTGGATGCCTGTAGTCTCAGATACTCTGGAGGCTGAGGCAGGAGAATGGCGTGAACCGAGGAGGCGGAGCTTGCAGTTAGCGGAGATGGTGCCACTGCACTCCAGCCTGGGCGAGAGAGGGAGACTGTGTCTCAAAAAACATAATAATAAAATAAAAAATAAAAATAAAATAAAGTTACCAACAAAATAGCAATGACAATATCTGTTAGAATTCTAGAGATGAAATGTGAAGCTACAGCACCCAGGTTAGTGTAAAAACAAAAAGGAATTCCAGTGAAAAGGGTAGAAAAATTTGTGGTGTCTGGCATTGATGACAGCAGCTGCTGCCATCAGCTGCATGGCTGGGGCTGCACACTCCATGGAGCTGGTGGAAGCCCCGCCCCTTCTTGGGATGGGAGCCACAAACTGCAGCTGTAGACCCAGGCCTCCAGCTCTGCGGAGCAGGCAGGAGCCCCACCCTTGGTTCCAGCCTCCCAAACTGCAGCTGTGGATCTGAGCCCCCCTGTGCTCTTGGGGGAGCCAGGAACAGGCAGGATCAGCCGGGAACAGCCATTCCTGCTGTTGCAGACCTGGACCTCTGGCTCCCGGAAGCAGACAGGAGGCAGGGACTAGCGGGAGCCCTGCCCCTTCTGAGTTGGTGGGGCAGGAGCTCTGGGTGCAGCTGCGGCTGCCCTCCCAGGCACAGGACCCGGGTGTCTCTGCAGCCTGCACCCTTGGCACCCCAGGAAGGACACCCCCACCCTGCCTGCACCACACCCCTTCCCTGCAGGCTCAGGGGTGTCTGCTTCCACTGTCTGGCCTCTCTCTGTTCCTGGCATCTGCTCCAATCTCGGAGGCTTGGTTGAAGCCAAGCCCCCAGGCCATGAATGGCAGGGGGAGGCAGACAGAGTTCTGGGCAGAAGTGGGTGGGGTCCCCAGTAAGGCCCCATCCTCAGGCCAGAGAGGGCCTGAAGTCTGGGGGCTGGGCTGCCAGTCCCTTAGACCAGAGTGGGGACTCATGGTGCCTCTTCCGGGCCTGCCCATGGCCACCCATGGACCAATCAGCATGCACTTCCTCCCCTCTGAGGTCCATAAAAGCCCTGGGCTCAGCCAGAGCAGGTTAGAGGATGGCCAGAGAAGGAAGAGGGTAGAGAGACTGGATGACAAGCTGCAGAGAGGAATACCCTCTCCACTGGGAGCTGCAAAGAGGACATGCCAGCAGGGAGGAGTTACCCCCTCTGCTGAAAGCTTCAGAGACCTGTGCAGACATCCCAATGACTTGCCTGCAGAGAGGAGTTACCCTCTCCAAGTCCTCCTCTTTGCTTAGAGCTGAACACTGGATAGGGATGACCTGCCAATAGAGAGGAGTTAATCACTTCTCTGAGCTGTTCTAACACTAAATAAAACTCTTCTTACTCACCTTTCACTTGCCTGCATACCTGATTCATCTTGAACGCAGGACAAGAACTCTGGCAAAGGTGCCATGGCCACCGAGGTTTCTGGCCAGAAAAATTGACACCCCAAAGATCTCATAACAGCATGACTATTTGTGCTCTTCTCCCTATGTAGCACAATACAGAGCAAACAGGAGGAAACCACACCATACCAGAGCTTCTCCCTTAGGACAGAAATAAAAGAGTTGAGCATGTGTTAAACTTTCTAGTTTGTCTTGAGCCTGCATGAGAAACTGTTTTCTGCCTCAATAGAGTTAGAGGGCTGACAGGACTGGTGGCAGAGTTTGGAAGTCGTTAAGAAAGAAGTGAGAAGTATATTAGAGCCCCAGTTCTATGGGAAGATGCCAAGGAGAGCAAGATATTAGAAAAAATGTTTTTTCAGAAAAAAAAAAAAAAGAACATCCTACAATCAGCCTGAGTGATGAGAGTCCTTACCTGAACAAATTCAGTATGTAAAGACAGGAAGAGGTAGTTTTGTTTTGCAAATGCTCAAATCCTAGTAAAAATTATAAAACCCACAAAGAAACAGAAAACAACATGGCCAAATTAAAAAAGCAAAATAAAACTCCAGAAAAAAAAAAACTCTAAAGAAGCATAGATCTATGAGCTGAGTAATAAAGAATTTAAAATAATATCCACAAGAATGCTTAAGGAGCTGAAAAAATACAAATGGTCAACTAAATAAAAAACAGAAAAATGATTATTGAACAAAATGATAGTATAGAACCTATAAAGAAAGATTCAATCAGAAGTTCTAGAGTTGGCTGGGCATGGTGGCCCACACCTGTAATCCCAGCACTTTGGGGGGCCAAGGCGGATGGTTCATCTGAGGTTAGGAGTTCAAGACCAGCCTGGCCAACTTGGTGAAATCCTGTCTCTACTAAAAATCAAAAAGTTAGCCAGACATGGTGGTGTGCACCTGTAATTCCAGCTACTCAGGAGGCTGAGGCCAGGAGAATTCCTTGAACCTGGGAGGCAGAAGTTACAGTGAGCCAAGATTGCACCATTGCACTCCAACTTGGGCGACAGAGTGAGACTCTGTCTCAAAAAAAAAAAAAAAGAAAGAAAAAGAAGAAGAAGTTCTAGAGTTAATTGTTCCTTTAACTCCTTAAGATGGCCATCAATTTCCTTATGCTCTTTTAGCTTCCTGTGGTAGTCCTGAAGCAGCTTACCTCTAGGGAGTACCATGATGAGAAACCTCACAGTTTTTTTTAGCTCCTCTGACTTAGTGATTTCAAATTACCTGTCTTTATGTTTGACAGTTCCTTATTTTGCCTCATGAAGTCTTCTTGATCAATACTTAATAATGAAATTGAGTAATGATTAATAAAATTGTTGGATCAAATGGCAATTCTTTCTAAGTTCTTTGAGAAATCACAAAATTGCTTTCCACAATGGCTGAACTAATTTACTTTCCCACTAGCAGTGGATAAGCATTTCCTTTTCTCCACAATCTCACCAGCATCTGTTATTTTTTGACTTTCTAATAATAGGCATTCTGACTAACGTGAGATGGTATCTCATTGTTGTTTTAATTTGCATTTCTCTAATGATTAGTGATGTTGAACTTTTTTTGTATGCTTGCTCGCTGTGTGCATGTCTTTTGAAAAGTGCCTGTTCATGTTCTTTGACAACTTTTTAATGGGGTTGTTTGTTTTTTGCTTGTAAATTTGTTTATGTTCTTTATAGATCCTGGATATTAGACTTTTGTCAGATACATATTTTGCAAATATTTTCTCCCATTCTGAAGGTTGTCTGTTTAGTTTTTTGATAATTTATTTTGCTGTGCAGAAGCTCTTTAGTTTTGTTAGGTCCTATTTGTCACTTTTTTTGTTGTTGTTTTAATTGCTTTTGGCATCTACGTCATAAAGTCTTTGCAAGCTCCTATGTCCAAAATGGTATTTCCTAGGTTTTCTTTCATTGTTTATATAGTTTTTAGTTTTAGATTTAAATCTTTAATCTATTTTTGAGTTAATTTTTGTATATGGTATAAGGAAAGGGTCTAGTTTCAATTATCTGCATTGACATCCCACTGACAGTAATATGTTCCTTGAAATGTTGTTCATTTCAAGGAAGAAAATGAACAACATTATTTTGGATCTTACAACTTAAAGAAATGAACCTAATAGACATTTACAGAACTCTGCACAAAAAACCAACAGAATATATATTTTTCTCATTGCCACATGGCACATACTGTAAAGTAGACCACACAACTGGGCATGAAACAACCCTTATCAAAAACTAAAACAAAAATAATGAAATAATATCAACCACATTCTTGGACTACAGTGCAATAAAAACAGAAATCATTGCTAACAAAGTCACTCAAAATCATATAATTAAGTGAAAACTAAACAACCTGCTGCTAAGTTATTTGTGGGGAAATAATGAAATTAAGGCAGAAATTAAGAAATTCTTTGAAACTAATGAGAAAAAAGATACAACATACAAGAATCTCTGGAACACAGCAAAAGCAGTATTTAGAGGGAAGTTTATGGCACTAAACGTTTACATCAAAAACTTAGAAACATCTCAAATTAACCTAACATCGCCTCTAGAGGAACTAGAGAAACAAGAGCAAACTAACCCCAAAGCTAGCAGAAGACAAGAAATAACAAATATCAGAGCTGAATTGAAGGAAATTGAGATACAAAAGAAGAAAAAAGACAAATGAATTCAGGAGCTGGTTCTTGAAAGAATTAATAAGATAGGTAGACCACTAACTACACTAATAAAGAAAAAAAGAGATGAACCTAATAAATACAATTATAAATGAAAAAGGAGATATTACCACCAACACTACAGAAATACAAAAAACCCTCAGGGACTATTATGAACACCCTGTCCACACAAACCAGCAAACCTAGAATGAATAAATATGTTCTTAGAGATAAATACATACAACCTCCCAAGACTGAATCAGGAAAACATTCAAACACTGAACAGATTAATGTGTTCCAAAATTGAATTAATAATAAAATGCCTACCAACAAGAAAAAGCCCAAGACCAGATAGATTCTCAGACCAATTCTACCAGATATATAAGAAAAAGCTGGTACCATTTTTAATGAAGTGATTCCAAAAATATTGAGGAAGAAGGACTCTTTTCTAATTCATTCTATGAGGCCAGCATTTTCCTAATAACAAAATTTGGCAGAAACAACAACAATAACAAAAAAATTCAAGACAATATCCTTGATGAACACAGATGTAAAAATCCTCAACAGAATACTAACAGAATCCAGCAGCACATAAAAAGGCTAATTCCCCATGATCAAGTAGGCTTTATTCCTGGGATGCAAGATTG
Source organism: Homo sapiens (assembly GCF_000001405.40). NCBI lineage: Eukaryota > Metazoa > Chordata > Mammalia > Primates > Hominidae > Homo > Homo sapiens. The sequence goes on along the minus strand of NC_000017.11, from coordinate 53,683,164 downwards.
GTTCAACATACATAAATCAGTAAATTTTATTCACCACATAAAATTAAATCAGAAACCACATGATCATCTCAATAGATACAGAAAAAGCTTTTGATAAAATTCAATATTCCTTCATATTAAAAAGCCTCAATAAACTAGGCATTGAATAAATGTACTTCAAACTAATAAGAGCCATGTATGAAAAACCCACAGACAATAGCATACTGAATGAGCAAAGGCTGGAAGCATTCCCCCTTGAAAACTGGCACAAGACAACTATGCCCTCTTTCACCAGTCTTTTTCAACATAGTAGTGGACGTCATACCCAGAGCAATCACAAAAGAGAAAGACATTAAAGGCATCTAAATAAAAAGAGAAGAAGTCAAACTATTCCTGTCCACAGATGATATGATTGTATGTGTAGAGAGCCCCACAGTTTCTGCCCAAAAGCTCCTTGGTCTGATATATAACTTTAGCAAAGTTTCAGGATACAACAGCAATGTATGAAAATCAGTAGGATTCCTATACAGCGACAACATTGAAGCTGAGTACCAAATCAAAAACACAATCCCATTTACAATAGCCACAAATAGAATAAGACACCTAGGAATAGAGCTTAACCAATGAAGTGAAAGACCTCTACAATGATAGTTGTAAAACACTACCCAAAGAAATCATAGATGACACACAAAAGACACACAAAAAAATTTCATGCACATGGATAGGGAGAATTTATGTTGTCAAAATGGTCATACTGCCCAAAGCAATTTACAGATTCAATGATATTCCTATCAAACTAGCAGTGGCATCCTTCACATGATTATAAAAAAAGCTATTTTAAAATTCACATGTGACCAAAAAGAGCTCAAATAGCCAAGGCAATCCTAAGCAAAAAGAACAAAGCTGGAGGCATCACATTACCCAATTTCAAACTATGATCAAGGCTACAGTAACAAAAACAGCATGCTACTGTCCAAAAGCAGATGCATAGACCAATGGAACAGAAGACAGAGCCTGGAAATAATGCCACACAGTTAGAAACATCTCACCTTCAAAAAATCATATTCATGCATCATTTTTTACAGGTGAAATAGGTGTTGTTGGTAGCTATCGGTTTTCTGAGAGTAATTCACCTGACAGAGAGATTCAGAGAACTTTAATGGAGTTACTGAATCAAATGGATGGATTGGATACTCTGCATAGAGTTAAAACAACCATGGCTATAAGTCAACCAGATTTCCTAGATCCTGCTTTGCTGCATCCAAGAAGATTAGATAGAAAAGTACATACTGATTTGCCAAATGAACAAGCAAATTTAGGCATATTGAAAGTCCATGTGGATCCCATTTCAAACCATGGTGAAATCGATTGTAAAGCAATTTTGTGATGTTTTCAGATGGCTTTAATGAAGCAGACCCTGAGAAATGTTTGTACTGAAGCAGATATGTTTGCAATTTGTGCTGATCATAATTTTGTAGTAAAGGAAGACCATGAAAGCAATCAGAAAAGTGGCTGATAGTAAGGAGCTAGATTCTAAATTGTACTATAAACCTGTGCAATATATTGTAAAATTTTTGATAACTACATGACAGACAATGATCTCATTAAAGTGTATGAATGAAAGTATGTATGAGTGACACCATAACAATTAGCAATTCAGTAATTCAAATTTTAAGGTTGGTACAGAAGAAATTTGTGTGTTTGCTTAATGTTGCATTTATTGCAGCAGAAGTTATAAGAGTGTGTTGAAGCTTTTCACATTTGCTATGGAGCATTTTGCAAAACATTGAAAATGGTGTGAGTATAAGAAAGTATTTCTTATGACTTATTTTATATCATTTTTTCCTCATCCTAAAATGTTGAATAAAGTCTGTTTGATTCAGCTCTTGTTAGAAACAAAAGAAAACTAAACTAAAGAAAAGTGCAGTGAACCTTAGGTACTTATGAAGCCATAATACTTATCGAACACTATCAAGCAAACCAATGTGGGAGTCCCAGAAAGAGAAAGGAGAAAAAAAAAAAAAGGGCAGAGAGTTCATTTGTAGAAATAATGGCAGAAGATCTCCTAAATCTGAGGAAGTGAGGAAAAAACTAGAACATAAGTTTCAAGAACCTCACTATAACTAGACTAAATCCAAAGAGTACCATACTGCAACACATTATAATCAAACTGCCTAAATCAAAGACAAAAACAGAGTCTTGAAAGCAGCAAAAGAAAGGTGATTCATCACACACAAGGCAGTTTCTATAAGATTATCGGCAGATTTTTCAGCAAAACTTTGTAGGTCACATGGGAGTGGGATGATATTTTTAAAGTGCTGAAAGAAAAAAGAATAGGGAAGGAATAATGCTACATGTGGCAAAACTGTCTTTAAAAGCAAAGCAGAGAGGCAGAGGTAGAAAGATTGCTCACACCCAGGAGTTCAAGACTAGCCTGGGCAAGAGAGCAAGACTCTGTCTCTACAAAAAATTTTTATAAAAGTAAGCTGAGTGTGAGTGACACATGCCTGTAGTCCTAGCTATTCAGGAGGCTGAGGCAGGAGGATTGCTTGAGCCTGGGAGGTTGAGGATGCAGTGAACCATGATTGTGCCATTGCACTCAGCCTGGGCAACAGAGCAAGATGTTGTCTCAAAAAAAAAAAAAAAAAAATGGCCATGCACCGTGGTTCATGCCTGTAATCCCAGCACTTTGGGAGGCCGAGGCGGGCGGATCACCTGAGTTCTGGAGTTTGAGACCAGCCTGACCAACATGGAGAAAACCCATCTCTAATAAAAATACAAAATTAGCTGGGCATGGTGGCAGGTGCCTGTAATCGCAGCTACTCGGGAGGCTGAGGCAAGAGAATCGCTTGAACCTGGGAGGCGGAGGTTGCAGTGAGCCGAGATTCCACCAATACACTCCAGCCTGGGAAACAAGAGCAAAACTCCATCTCAAAAAAAAAAAAAAAAAAAAAAAAAAGAAGAAGAAGAAAGAGAAATTAAGACTGTTTTGGATAAACAAAAGCAGATGCAGATGGAGGTCATTACCACTAGTCTCACTTTACAAGAAACGCTAAAGTTGGTCCTTCAATTTGAGATGAAAATTTGGTAGCTAGAAACTTGCAGCTTTACAAAAAATATAGTTTTCTGGCAAAGGTAAAAACATGGACAAATGTACTAACTTGTACTACAGTAAGTTTGGTACATAGAATTTAAATGACAAAAACCATTAAATTACAAATTAATGTTAATAAGTATACAGTATATAAAGATAAAAATTTAACATCGATAACATAAAGAGTGTGGGGTGGAGATTTTTATGTGATTTAAATTAATCTGTTATTAGATTAAAACAGAATTTTGTATTTTAAGATGCGTTATGTAATTGCAATGGTAATCATGCACATACAATTTATAGAATATACAGAAAAGGAAATAAGAGAATCGAACATATGGCTACAAAAAATCAACAAAACACAAAGTCAGGAAACAAGAAAGGAAAAGAGGGACAAAAAAGCTACAAGATGTATAGAAAACAATAAATAAAATGGTAATAATAAATCTTCACTATCAATAATTATTTTAAATATAAATGGATTAAACTCCACAATGAAACAGACAGATTAGCTGAATGGATTAAAAATATATAATTCACCTATATGATATATATAAGAGACATACTTTATATCTGGAGACATACATAGGCTGAAGCTGAAAGGATGAGAAAAGATATATTTCATGCAAATGGTAATCAAAAGAGAGCAGGACTGGCTATACTAATATTAAAAATAGGCTAATTTTTTTAAAGGCTGAATAGACAAAGGGGGCATTAGATAATAATTACAGGGTCCATTCACCAAGAAGACATAACAGTTATAAATTTTTATTTGCCAAATCATAGAACTCTTAAATATATGAAGCAAACCTTGACAGAATCAAAGAAAGAAATATATAGTAACACAAAAATAGTAGGAAACTTCAATATCTCACTTTTCATAGTGGATAGAACTAGGCAGAATATAATAAAGAAATATAGGACTTAAAAGTGCTATAGGTAAATTAGACCACTCCATGAAACAACAGCTGGTTATATATTATTCCATAGTAGCCAAAGCAATCTACAAATTCACTGCAATCTCTATCAAAATGCCCAATGGCATTTTTTACAAAAATAGAAAGTTCATCCTAGAAATATAGATAATGTCAAGAAACCCAAAGTAGCCAAAATAATTTTTAAAAAGGACAGAGGTGGATCACTTACATTTCTTGATTTCAAAGCAGATTACAAAGCTATAGTAATTAAAACAGTGTGATATACTGACATAAAATCAGACAAATAGACCAGTGGAATAGAATAGAAAGCACAGAAGTAACCCCTTGTGTATATGGCTAAATTCAACAACAGTTCCAAGACCACTCAATGGAGACCACTCAATGGAGAAAAGGCAGTCTCTTTAACAAGTAGTATTAAGGAAAGTAGAGATCCACCTGCAAAACAATCAAATTGGCCCACTATCTCATACCATTTACAAAAATTAAGTCAAAATAATGGGTTAAATACCTAAATGGAAACCTTAAAATTATAAAATTCCTAGAAGAAACCAGGGTAAAATCATGACACTATACTTGGCAATCAATTCTTGGATATGACACCAATAGCACAGGAAACAAAATAAAAAAATAGACAAATGGGACTACATCAAACTTAAAAAGAAAGCTTAAACACAATCAACAGAATATATAGGCAATCTATAGAATGCAAGAAAATATTTGCTAATCATATATCTAATAAAAGGTTAATAGCAAGAATATTATTAAAAAACTCCTACAAGTCAATACAAAATTAAACAAAACAAAAACAAACAACCTGATTAAAAAACACATAAAGGACTTGAATAGACATTTGTCTAAAAAAGATGTAAACATATAAATGCTCAACATCAATAGTCACCAGAGAAACACAAATCAGAACTACCAGATATCAAAACAATCAGGGGTGGGTTTCCCACCTGTTGCTGGCTCCCACCGGCTCTATGGAGTGCACAGCCCCGGATTCACCTTCACCAATGCAGCTGGCATCTTCGCAGTGGCTATTCCAGACAGGCCACTGCTACCATCAAGTTCTGGGGATTTGTTTCACAATAATGTGAATATGCTTAACATTACTAAACTGTACATTAAAAAGTGGTTAAAATGGTAAATTTTATATTTTTACTGAAAAAAAAAGACAAATGAAGGTCATCCAGACCTTCCCTTTAGGAAAAGGACTATATCTCATTATAAATGCATATATCCTATATAACCCAGTTAAGACCTAGGTCAATCTAGGGCATGCATGCCTGAAGTTGATTGAAGGACTATTAATTTGCATGGGGAGGTAACAATTTCAGGCGAGGGTTTTAACAATGCCAAGGTGATGCAGAACAGTATGCTCTATCTGTTACACTTAATTTTTCAATTCTTTTCTCAAAATCATATAAGCATATTGTACTAAACACGACATACCCTAGAGCATTATATCTTCTCTTCCAATGCTATTGAAGTTAATTTGCTGAATATCTTGGCTTTAATTACCTCTTCAATGCCTGCTGTAGAACTTTTTGCTAAAATAGAAAATCAGGAAAATTAGGTTGTTAAAATCAGTGCTTTTTTAAAAAAAATTATCTTTTTTTCTTACCTGAAAAAAAGGTAACTCAAGCATCCCATATGCTGTAATTTGAAAAGACTGCCCAGAAGGAATTTTCTTCTATCCCAGGCATATGCGTTTGAGAGTCTGGGCTTTTCCTTGCCTCTCTTAATCATAGCTTCACTGTGTGATACTGTGCATATACAATATGCATAACGCTCCTCGGTCAGCCATTCATTCCCAGTTTCAAAGCATATGTGATGCTTAGTAGACACATTACACTTCCAATTGTAATTCAAATAAGAACAGGCTGGATATTTACTCCATCACTCCAAATCAGCAGAGACCACCAAATAATGATAGATTTTAAGAAGGATCTTCTTGAATATAGAGAACTTGGATTTTATTAAGCCCGAAACATGGGGAACAGTGAAACCAATATTTGTTATCCTGTCCAGCCAAAGCAGCAGTTCTTGTAAGAATACAAGATTTTATATCCCAGCAAGGACTGAAATAAGAGTAAGACTGAAACTAATCATAGTGATATATTAATAAATACTGAGTTGTCATTAGAAAAGAGATATGATTCCTTCAGGAGGGGGTGCATTGTTTATTTGAACAAATAAAACAATACTTTGAGTTTAAATATATTTCCCCCTTACAAAATGAAGTAGGCAGTGGAACATGCCCGAGGCCAGAGGGCTACAAATTTGCTAGGTTCTGCTGATACTCTTCAGCATCCTTCTGCAAGAGCCTTAACCTCACTGACAGGTACAGAAAGTTGTGCTCAAATTACAAGCTGTCCTGTTGCTGCAAATGAAAGGTGAGAGAAAAAAGCCTTTGTGGAACTCTGCCCCCCAGGCTTTTGTCAAGAAGAAAAGAAAACAAATTTAGGGGACATTTTTTAGCATCCAGACATCTTTTCATCGAAGGCATACATTTGCATAAATTTATTAAGCAAAATTTTATTGGCCTGCCAGAATGGTTGGCTTCTCCCCAGAATTGATACCACTCTTACTCTGATTCCTGCTACATATTTCTTTTATCACCATTCATCATCTTATACTCTATTGTCGTTATTTTACTTCTAGATTTTTATCTCTGGTTTATATCTTTGAAAACCTTTTTATTCTTTTTTAAGTTTTTAAAACTTTTTGCTATTGCTAGATTATCCTTTTTTGTTTTTCCTGTTTATTTCATCTATTGTCTTCTAATTACAATATTAAAACACAGTTTAGCTTCCTTTTAAATAATTCATCTAATTATTAAAATCACATTCCAAGTATTTTATTATTTTTTCTTTGCTGTTAATTTTGTCATTTTTCATTAATTCTAATCTATTTAACTGTGCTTTTTAAATTAATTTTTTGTGCCATTCTGCTTTAATTTTTTAATTTTATGACTTGGTCACATGATTGGTAGCCTGTAAGAATCCTTGTCATTAAGAGGATATTTTAGGGATGATTTTCTACTCATATATATCTAAAACTACCACACTGACTTCCTCTAATGAACCTCTCACCTATTCCAAGATTAATTCTTCCAGAAACCTTATTTATACAATTTTGGAGATACTCTGGCTAACTCTGCTTAGGCAAAACAAAAATTTCTTGCTATTTTTTTTTTTTTTTTTTTGAGACAGAGTCTCATTCTGTCACCCATGCTGCAGTGCAGTGGCACTACATCAGCTCACTGCAACCTCCGCTTCCCAGGTTCAGCTGATTCTCATGTCTCAGCTTCCTGAGTGGCTGGGATTACAGGCTCCCACCACCATGCTCAGCTAATTTTTTTGTATTTTTAGTAGAGACGGAGTTTCAGCATGCTGGCTTGGCTGGTCTTGATTATTGTATATTTTAATTCTCAATTTTGATGTCACTTCTTCTGAGAATTCTTTAACTTCCCTAGTTGCCTACAGTATGTACTTCCATAACCCCTTGGTATGTCCGCTAGTTTGGCATTTATTATATTAAAACCATATCAGTCTTTCTTACTGTTGCACACACTTCACTTAACATAGTCTTAGTTCATAAGAGATGCTCAGTAATTGTTGAATGAATGAATGAAGTGGACACAGCTAATTAATTAGGATGGTGTTGTTTCTTCTCAAATTATAATTTTCAGTTGTTATTTAAGAAGCTCCGTATTTCTGATATCTGTTATCAGTAGTTCCTTTGGTAAAATGAATAAAAATGCCTGTTAGAATTTGAAGAGAGGCTTCTGGTGTGGAGGCAGTTCTTGGGAAACAGAAGTGCTCTACACAGGGTTCAATGATCTCAACTTGACACATCAGGTTAACCTATTCTTGTGGAGACAGTAGTTTCAGGAGATGCTCTTCCTTATAAACAAACAAACTAACTAAACACGTTATAAAAAGCAAAAGGTTTTCATTCTTAAAATTATTAAATTTGAAAATTACACATTTGAATGTTCTCTCAATTAATACTATCCCTCCACTGAACTGTAAATTGATGTTTTTAATTTATTTTTTATTCATAGTTAGGAAATCTGATAATTAACTTCCTGATGGAGTTCAATGTTATATGGTGATGAAATAATAGGATTTTAGAGCATTAATCTTCTCATATTCATGATTTTAGATGGCGTCTCTCTAGTTATCAGGAAATGTATTGCTTAATGGCAAAATGTGGATTGTACATTTTTAGTATTTTTAATCTCAGAAGAAATTTTGCTATGATTCCTACCCTAACATAGATTTTTCCCTCTTCCTGGCTCTTATTTGATTCCTTGGAATGCTGTACAGCATTTGTGTTGACATTTGCATTTAGTTGGTCAAAGTATACATTGCTTCCTGAAGCAGAGTGTACACTATTTTACTAAAATGCAGAAATTATTTTATTTCTCCTCTATCCAAAATAAAGCTATTTTAAAATTTATCTAAAATATATTTCAATTTCTTTCTTGATTAATATAAAGTGTTTGCTTTTCAGGTAAATATCCTACACAAGAAGCAAACAGATTTTAGTCTTTACTGATAGACAATTGATAATTTCTTTTAATACTGAAGATATGTTACAAATAACATAACATTCCTTGCAGCTTTTAAAGATTTTTTTACTCTAGTACTTAACTTTCCTATTCCTAAACTCGTAAACAAGAATGATTTAAAAGATGAACTACATGTAGAATAGAAGTTATCTAAAATCCTACAATACAGAGTAATCACATAGCCATTATTAACTTTAGCACATTTTCTTCCTTTATTAGTTAGCATATTTTAATATGAGTATGCAAATATTTTGAGAACATACTGTGTATTGTGAACATTTCTCCATAATACTAAAAAGTATTTATGAATATTTTTTATTTTCAGGCATATTATACACTATAATCATTTCCTTTAAAAATAATGCTTTAGTGAACATCATTGTAACAAAATAATATGTCCATGTTTCTGATTTTCTTGTGATATATTTTTAGAAGAAGAATCACTGCTTGTAGGTATATGAGCTTTTTAATGCAAATTATTTACCTTTCAGCTTGCACCAATGTACACTCTCACCAGCAACGTACTTGAATGCTAGTCTACGCACCCTCAAAGCTATTATTCTTTAAAAATCAGCCAACTTAAAGGCAAACGATTATACCCTATTCTAATCTGCATTTCTTTGATAACTGTGGCCATGAACATTTTTTCATGAGTTTATTAGATATTCATCTCTCTCTTTCAGTGAATTGTGCCAGGGTGCTCCTTGAATAAAACTTTAAAACTTTCATGTCCTTTGGCAATTTATTCAGTATCCTTCTTTTGATTCAGGGGAAAATAAAACCCAGAGCCTTTCATATTAACGTGGAGCAGAACTTCACCAATCTATGTGTACTTCCCAGAAGCACCATCGTCATGGATGTGTTTAATCATTCCTTTTTGATAGACTTATTAGAACAGTACGTTCTATGATATTTTACCAAGGAACATTAGTTTGTTTCAAGAGAAGCTTTTAGGTGTTCTGCTAAAAAGACGGTACTCTAGTCAGATAAATTAGAAAACAGTTGGCCAGGTGTGGTGGCTCATGCCTGTAATCCCAGCACTGTGGGAAGCCAAGGCAGGTGGACCACGAGGTCAGGAGTTCAACACCAGCCTGGCCAAGATGGTGAAACCCCATATCTACTAAAAATACAAAAAAATTAGCCGGGCACGGTGGCAGGCGCCTGTAATCCCAGCTACTCGGAAGGGTGAGGCAGGAGAATTGCTTGAACCCAAGGGTCAGAGGTTGCAGTGAGCCAAGATCATGCCACTGCACTCCAGCCTGGGCAACAGAGTGAGACTCTGTCTCAAACAACAACAACAACAAACAAACAAACAAAAAAAAAAAAACAAGGAAACAGTTGCATAAAATTTAATAGTTTTCCTATTATGGCATTTTTAAGAGTCTTTAGAAATAAATTTAAAAATTAAGTTTATATTTTTTTCTGATCATTCATATTATGAATAATTATCTCAATAAATCCAAATAATATGTAAAATAGAAAGATGACAACAAAAGCCACCTGAAATCTCATTATGCAAAGATGGCACCATTATCCTTTTGATGTCCTTTTTTATATACATGCATATTTTAGAAAATCGGAATAATAAAATATTTGATGCTACAAAACATATTCAAGTTATCTATAGAGGGGTGTTCATCATTGCTCCTTTTAGAAAAATTGGACTATTTTACTTTTAAGTGTCTTACCTTCTGCCTTTAAACATTTATCCATGAAGACTGGTATTGCTGTAACTGCTTCTTTTCAGTGGTTGTATAATATACCATGGTGTTGGAAGGCCGAGGTGGTCGGATCACGAGGTCAGAAGATCGAGACCATCCTGGCTAACGCGGTGAAACCCCGTCTCTACTAAAAATACAAAAAAAAATTAGCCGGGCATGGTGGCGGACACCTGTAGTCCCAGCTTCTCGGGAGGCTGAGGCAGGAGAATGGCGTGAACCTCGGAGGCAGAGGTTACAGTGAGCCGAGATCGTGCCACTGGACTCCAGCCTGGGCAACAGAGTGAGACTCCGTCTCAAAAAAAAAAATTAATAACAATAATAATAATAATATACCATGGTGAAGCTGGGCTACAATTTGTTTAATCATTCTCATTCATTTGTTTCAATATCCACCCCCCCCCCAACATTTGTGCTGCAATAAATTTCCTCTTACATATATCCATAAATTTTGGTAGTTCTAATTTTATGAAAAAATTCCAGAAATTCCAGAGTAATCCTTTTGAAAAATAAGCCAGATAATGCAATTCTCCTGCTCAAAATTCTCCATGGTTTTTGATCTCATGCCGGTTAACAATCAACGTCCTTTTCATGTCTAGTAGGGCTGTGTGTGGTGTGGTCCTTTGTCTCTATCCATCTTCCTCTCTAGCGTTTTCTCCCACACTCCAATCTAACACTGCTGTCGTTCTTGCTGTCTCCACCTTGGGGCTTCTCTACTTTGTGCTTCTGTTCTGGTCCACTCTTTTCCCAGATATTGTCTTGGCTGCTTGCATCCTCACTTCACTCATACCTCTGGTCACATGGCATCTTAATACAGAGGGTTTCCCTGACTCTCCTATATAAATTAGTACCCCCACCACACTTCTTCTTTCTCTATTCCTTTAACTGACATCATTTTTCTTTATGGCAATTATAACTGCTTGACATGTTACATAATTATTTATTGTCTGCTACCTCCAATGTCATGTAACCCAGGAAAGCACAGCACTTGTGAATGTTATTTACTGCTCTATTCTTGTCAGTTTGAGCAGCTCCTGGTGACAGGCATGAACTCAATGTTTGTTGAATATGTTGGGAATGAATGACTAAATTTTTTGTATGTGGGAGGTAAATACTTTTCTGATACCATTGTCTGTTGTTTATGGATTTTGTCTATGATTTCTCTAAGCATACTGTTTTAATTACAAAGGTCCTCTCATTTCCTAAGTTGTAATTAGAGCCTACTAAATTTTCGTATTTTTTTGGGTGTTAGCTTTTATGTTTTTAATCCACCTTAATTTTTTTTCGGATGGTATCATATGAATCCAACTTTATTGTCTTTCTGCTGGATAGCCAATGATATCAGCTCCATTTATTGAGTGAATCATTTTCTCTATTGACTTTTAGTACTTTCTATTCTCATAAATTAAAATCCATAAAATTGACCTATTTTTGCTACTCTCTTCTGTTTCACTGATTTATTTGTCTATGCTTATTCTAGTGCCATTCCGTTTATTAAAAGTTTTAGTATATTTGTTAAGAGTCCCCTTGTCTTTGTTTTCATAATATCCTTGGCTATTTTATACACAGTCTTAAATATGAGTTTTAATACTATTTTTTACATTTCAAAACATTCCCTTGAGATTACATTTAAAATTTTATAAAATATATGTATTAATTATGGGAAAATTTATATTTTTATGTTATTAAGCCTTACTATCCAAGAATAGGTGACTGTTGTTTTCCATTCATCAAGAAAATTTTATCATTTTGTCTGTATAGCTCAGTCCTTTTCTTGTTATTTTAAGATACTTATAATTGGCATACAAATAAGATCTATTAATTTTTGTGTATTTTCTTTAACTACTTTTTCAAATTACCTTATTTGTTATATTTTTTAACCAAGAGCCTTTCTGTACAATAATTTCATTAGCAAAATGATATTTTAATATTTACCAAAGTTTATAAAGTTTAACTCAATGGATTTACTAAAAGCTCTAAAATAAAATAGAATAACAGCAAAGTAAATGACATCCCAAATTTGTTATTATTTTTGGAAATGACTTTAAGTTATGCTTTTTCTTGATTTTTGGTAAATAGTCTTACTCATATTTAAGATATTTCCTTCAATTCCCAATGTATTTAGAGTCCTTATTAACATACACTTGAATTTCATTATGTCTTTCACCATTTATTAAGATAATATAATTCTCCCATATAACTATCATTATGAAGTTTAATATAATGAATGATATATTTTTGAATATAAGATTTTTGCATTATTTTTATAAACTGTTTTATTATATTTGCTAACATTTTATTTTAAATTGTTTTATTTTTACTCCTGATGTTACCTGTGGCAGGAATCCAAGTTACCCTGAGCTACCAGCAGTATAACCATACGGGTCTGCAGCAACTTCAATCCTTGCCTCCTCAGAAGAGAGAATTCCACTGAGGAGCATAAAGCAGAAAAAGAGACTGAGGCAAATTTCAGAGCAGGAGTGAAAGTTTACTAAAAAGCTTTAGAACAATGAGAAAAAGAAAGAAATCAAAGAAGGAAAGTACAACTTGGAAGAGGGCTAAGCCGGTGACTTGAGAGACCAAGTGCACAACTTGACCTCTTGACTTGGGGTTTTATACTTTGGCAAACTACTAGGATCTTGCATTACTTCTGCCCACTCTTCAAATCTTATTGGGAAGCTGCTGATCAATTTCAGGTATTTTCTATCTATTAGGAGACTGCCTTTTTCTGGCACTGGCTGTGACCAATTACATTAGAGAAGCAGTTAACAACTGCCTGACCATCACACCTGATGGTTGCCCAACACTCTTGGTGTGTTGGAGGAGAGCCCTATTCTGCTCTGCTAATACCTGACTAGATACCTAGTGTAACACTGATAGTCTCAATATTTTGGTAAGGAATTTCAGATCACTCACATCCAGTAGAACAACTGATAAACTTGACATTTATATCTTCCTTTTTGTTTCTCATTAGTTATGTTTCTTTTGTTGTTCGTTCCTTATTTTTGTTTATGTGATTAAGTTATTTTTAAACTACTAAAAATTACCACTAACTTTTCTCTTACAATAATGCCTACCTCCTTTTGAATTATCAGATGTTTTTATATATTATGATACTCTATTATTCTACCACTTCTCCTCATCAAGGCTCAAGTGAGAAAATAAACCATGAATATATTTTATGTAGTGAATTAACTTAACTAGAATGTCCATCTAGAATGACATTAGCTATTTTTCATCCTTGGAATAATTTTTTAAAAAATACTCAAATAATTTTTGCAGGCTTAATATCTCTCAGAATATCAGTTGTGGAAGGATGCTGTATAAGATTAAAGTTTGGGAATAAGTAAATCATCCCTCTCTCCTTCCTTACCCCTTTAATTTTATCCTCTTAGTTGTGTGATACATTAATTTACTAATGACAGGTCCATATCTATTTATTTTACTGTAGTAGGTGAGTGATACCTTGACAAGGGATACAATTCTTAGCTTGAAGTAGTTTTTCCTCAGCAACTTATAGTTGTTATCTGACCATCCTCTCAATTCTAGTATGATATTTCTTATCTTAATCAAATATTTTGTCTTTCTTATTTTAAAAATACTTTTATTTGAAAATACATAATATTTCCTTTTATTTTAGTAGTCCAAAAGTTTTGCTAGGTTATTTGTAGGTATATATCTTTTCTCATCAATGCTGTCTAAAATTTCAAGTCTAATCAATTAAGATCAAAATTTTTGTTTCAATCTTAGGAAATTTTTATTTGATTTTTAAATGCATTGCCCCTGATTCTTTTTCTCTACCTGGCATTACTTTCATTTGCATATGACCTCAATCAATAAGCCTTAAAAGTTTTTTTTATTCTTTATTTTTCTTCCTTCCTTCCTTCCCCACTCTCCCTCCCCCCTCCCTTCCTTCCCTCAATCCTTCCTCTTTGCCTTCGTTTTTGCTCTCTCTCTTACTTTTGCTTGCCTTTCTGCCTTCTTTCCATCCTGACTATGCAAATTGATGTATTCTTTGCAGGCCATTAATATTTGTTCCAGCAATGAGCACTGAATTAGTCCATTCTCACACTGCTAACAAAGATGGACCCAGGACTGGGTAATTTATAAAGGAAAGAGGTTTAATTGACTCACAGTTCTGTGTGTCTGGGGAGGCCTCAGGAAACTTACAATCATGGTGGAAAGGGAAGCAAACACATCCTTCTTCACATGGCGGCAGGAAGGAGAAGTCCTGAGCAAAAGGGGGAACGCCTCTTATAAAACCACCAGATCTTGTGAGAACTCACTCACTATCACAAGAACAGCATTAGGGTAATCGCGCTCATGATTCAATTACCTCCCACCAGGCCCCTCCCATGACATGTGGGGATTATGGGAACTGCAATTCAAGATGAAATTTGGGTGGGGACACAGCCAAACAATATCATTCTGCTCCTGGCCCCTCCCAAGTTTTATGTCTTCACATTTCAAAACACAATCATGTCCTTCCTACAGTCCTACAAAGTTTTAACGCTTTTCAGCATTAACTCACAAGTCCACAGTCCGAAGTCTCATTTGAGACAAGGCAAGTCCCTTCCACCTATAAGCCTGTAAAATCAAACCAAGTTAGTTACTTCCTAGATACAATGAGGGTACAGACATTGGATAAATACACCTGCCCCAAATGGGGGAAATTGTCCAGAATAAAGGGGTTGCAGGCCTCATGCAAGTCCTAAATCCAATAGGGCAGTCATTAAATCTTAAAGTGCCAAAATGATCTTGCTTGATTCCATGTCTCACATCCATGGTATGCTGATGAAAATGGTGGGCTCCCACAGCCTCGAGCAGCTCCACTTCTGTGGCTTTCCATGGTACAACCCCTGCTCCTAGCTGTTTTCGTGGCTGGAATTGAGTGCATGTGGCTTTTCCATGTGCATGGTGCAGGCTGTAAGTGGATTTACCATTCTGGGGTCTGGAGGATGGTTGCCTTCTTCTCACAGCTCCACTAGGCAGTGTTCAAATGGGGACTCTGTGTGGGGCTCTGTCCCCACATTTTCCTTCTGCACTGCCCTAGCAGAGGTTTTCCATGAGGGCTCTGCCCCTGCACAGCAGATGTCTAGGCATTTCCATTCATCCTCTAAAATCTACATGGAGGTTCCCAAGCCTCAATTCTTGTCATCTACACACCCACAGAACCTGTGCCACATGGAAGCTGCCAAGGCTTGGGGCTTACACCTTCTAATGCAACAGCCTGAACTGTACCTTTTAGTTATAGCTGGAGCTGAAGCAGCTGGGATACAGGGAACCATGTCCTGAGGCTGTGTAGATCAGGGGAGACTTGGGCTCCACCCAGGACACCATTTTTCCCTCTTAGGACCCTGGGCCTGTGATGGGAGGGGCTGCCATGAAAGTCTCTGACATGCCCTGGAGACATTTTCCCTATTGTCTTGGTGATTGACATTTGGCTTCTCATTACTTATGCAAATTTCTGCAGCTGGCTTTAATTTCTCCTAAGATAATGGGATTTTCTTTTCTATCACATTGTCAGGCTGCAAATTTTCCAAACTTTGATGTTATCTTTCATCTTGAATGTTTTGCTTCTTAGAAATTTCTCCCACCAGATGCCCTAAATCATCATATCATCTTTCTCTAGTTTAAAGTTCCACAGATCTCTAGGGCGGGAGCAAAAATCCACCAGTCTCTTTGCCAAGCAAGAGTCACCTTTACTCCAGTTCCCAATAAGTTCCTAATCTCCATCTGGGACCACCTTAGCCTGGACTTCATTGTCCATATGACTATCCACATTTTGGACAAAGCCAGTTAACAAGTCTCTAGGAAGTTCTAACATTTCCCACATCTTCCTGTCTTCTGAGCCCTTCAAGTCTCTAGGAAATTCCAAATTTTTCCACGTTTTCCTGTCTTCTTCTGAGCCCTTCAAACTGTCCCAACCTCTGCCTGTTACCCAGTTCCAAAGTCATTTCCACATTTTTGGGTATCTTTACAGCAGCACCCCACTCTCTGTGGTACCAATTTACTGCATTAGTCCATTCTCACGCTACTATAAAGAACTGCCCGGGACTGTGTAATTCATAAAGGAAAGAGGTTTAACTGACTTATTGTTTCACAGGGCTGGGGAGGCCTCAGAAACTTTACAATCATGGTGGAAGGGGAAAAAACATGTCCTTCTTCACATGGTGGCAGGAGAGAGAAGTGTGGAGCAAAGGGATAAAAGCCCCTTATAAAACCATCAGATCTTGTGAGAATTCACTCACTAACATGAGAACAACGTGAGGGTAACCACCCCCATGATTCAATTACCTCCCACCAGGTCCCTCCCATGACATGTGGGGATTATGGGAACTACAATTCAAGCTGAGGTTTGGGTGAGGACACAGCCAAACCATATCAACCACCCTCTTTTACCTCACCTAAGGCTATTTCTTTTTATTATTATTATGATTTTTGAGACAGAATCTTGCTTTTATGCCCAGACTGGAGCACAGTGGTGTGATTTCAGTTCACCGTAATCTCCACCTTCTGGGTTCAAGTGATTCTCGTGCCTCAGTCGCCTGAGTAGCTGGGATTAGAGGCATGTACCACCACACCCAGCTAATTTTTTGTATTTTTAGTAGAGGCAGGGTTTTGCTATGTTGACCAGGCTTGTCTCAAACTCTTGGTCTCCAGTGATCCACCCACCTTGGCCTCCCAAAGTGCTGGGATTACAGGCATGATCCACTGTGTCTGGCCTAAGGTTATTTCATTTTTGTTCTATCAAATATGTTATACTATAATCTTTTTGAGTGTTCTTGCTTTTTTTCTATTCAAATGTTTACATATCAACCTCAACATGTCTATGTTTTCAAGATCCTTTTTGTTCTGAGTGTTTTACTTGTTCTCCCTTCAGATTGAAGAAATCCTCGTACACATCTCTATAATTTTTTTGTCTACTGATTGATGCACAGGTACTAATTTATCTTAAAAGTGGCAATCTCACAAGCATTGGTTGTTGCAGCAGCTGCTGTGTCTATGGAATGGCTAATTGACACTGGTTAAATCCCTGTTAGTGTCTAGAGAAAGCCTCAACAATAGCAGTCATAGGAACACTCTCTGACAGCTTCTTTCAGCCACAAAGGTTGGCACTTTCCTAGCTATGATATTTAGAGTTATAGAAGACTTGGTTCACTAGTGTAGCTTCCCTTCTCCACCTCCCATATAACACTTCTCATTACCCAGGATAAAAAGAAGGCCTACCACTGCCCTTGTTCTTCATGGTATCATAGGAGTTATTAGAAATTATTTTAGGCAGATAGAGAGGATAAGAGGTCCTTGGTAAGGTTTTTTTCTTTTAAAGCAGCTCCAGAAAAGTTTTTTATCTAGCAGAAAATTGGCTTGAAGGGGCTGGCTGGCAAGCTTTGATATGCAAATAATGGCCGTCAGAAACTGGGTCCATCCAATATGGCTATTTCCACCCTCTTCTCCTTGTCACCCTGTGTGCTAACCATCATGGTCATGCCCAGATAACCTCACGTGTGCAGGACATCATGGCGCCCTGCATTTGCATATTAAAAGGCAAGGGTGGGAGGGCCAGTTTTTTCACTGGCTACGTAAATGACGTATATGGTCAAACCAATACTCCTCTGGCCTCCTAATATAACCTACTGTTTCCCATCACACTTGGGGTTTCCTATCTTGGTTTGGAGGCCCCCTCTGTTTGTTTGTCTATGGGGGAGCTTCTTTCTTCTTTCTTGCCTATTAAACTCTTGTCTCCTTAAAGCCACTCCACGTGTGTCTGTGTCCTTTTATCTAAATTGGCACGAATGAGGCAAAGGACCCTGGTGTTCCTCCAGTCATCAGAGGCATATCAATGGTCCCACATCTCTTTATGCAACTTTTAATGATCCTTTTATTATGACTCCCTGCTGGTAGGTCCAAGATTCTTGAATGATACAGAGAATAGTGTTGAACAATTTCACTCCATCTGCGGCTTTCAACAGATCCACACTCACAAAATTATATTCAACTTTCAGTACCAATAGCTGCATACCACAGGGAAAGTCATTGATAAAAAGAATTGAATTTATGAATCCACAGTTGGCATAAAGTTTATACTGGAGCACAAAAAAGGATGTTTTCTTAGCACCAGTTTCCCAGTGAATGAAAAGACTACACTATGTTCCTTACTTAATTCAGAAAAAAAAAAAAATCCTCTTTTTCTCTCTCTCTCCCTCTCATTTGTGAAGCATCTGTTAACATTGTGTAAAAGTTGTCATCTGTGGCAGTTAGGGAATCCCAGGTTACAGAAGACTTCATTACCTTGGAGTCCTTGTGAAAACACAAAATAATTGTATATAACTAAAAATGATTTAGAAGAACTACTCAGAGGATATGTTAACTGGCTTCCATTTGTCATATTGATAACATTTACTCATTTGAAAGCAATGCCTGTATTGAGAAATTTTCTTGACTTCTACCTTTTTCAAGGACTTTTAAAAAATCTTTTAAGAAATCTAAATATTTTTGCTATTTTGACATTTTTTCAAGATACATCATTATAAATATTTTCTAAATCATTCTTTAAAAATTTTTTTCATTTCCATGGCAAACTGCTTCAGCATGAACATTTTCTTAATAATATTGAAACAAATCTTATTAAATAAGTGTTATGGGTGAAACTAGAGATATGATTAATCCTGGGGCAAAATTCCTCTCAATCTGTGAATCTGTGAAACCAGACAAAAAGTAATCTGTTTTCTAAAACACAATGCTGGGAAAGACATAGGATAGCTATTGCCATCACCAAAGGGAGAAATTGGAAGGAAAACTGGGGTTACGTGTATCAGGAAAGTCTGAAATCTACCAGGGAAAATTCCATTAGATTTTTTTTTCTTGTTGAAGCAGTAAAAAAGGAAATATATTTATTAAATCCTGATCCTTGAATGCTTCTTTTAAAATTCTTTATTACATTTATCTATTATTTTATTGTGGTAAGGCACTTAACATAAGATCTACCCCCTTCACAAATTTTTAAGAGTGCAATGCATTATCGTCATCTGTAGGTACAATGTTATACAGCAAATCTCTACAGCTTATTCATCTTGTTCGAAAGTTTATGCCTGTTGATTAGTAATTCCCCATTTGCCCCTCCTCCCAGTCCTTGGTATCCACCCTTCCACTCTATGATTTTATGAAACTGAGTATTTCAGATGCCTTATATAAGTAGAATCATGCAGTATTTGTTCTTCTGTGACTGGCTTATTTTATATCATATGTCCATGTTGCTGCATATTGCAAGATTTCCTTTTGTTAAAAGGCTGAATAATAGTCCATTTTATGTATATTCCACACTTTGCTTATCTATTCATTAATTGATGGATATTTGGGTTGCATCCAGCTCTTGGCTATTGTGAATAGTGCTGCAATAAACAGGGAGAGTAGTAGTAGTAGATATCTCATCAAGATCCTGATTTCAATTCTTTTGGATAAATACCCAGAGGTGGATTGGTAGATCGTATGATAGTTATATTTTTAATCTTTTGAGTAATTCCATACATTGTTTTCCACAATGGATATAGCATTTTCATTCTCAATGTACAAAGGTTCCAATTTCTCCAGATTCTTGCCAATGTCATTTTTCTTGCTGTTGTTTCATACTAGTTGTCCTTACAGGCATGTGGTGATATCTCTTTATGATTTTGATTAGCATTTTACTGATGCTTAGTGATGTTTTTACAGAAATAGAAAAAAATTCTAAAATTTATATAAAACAGTTATATTTTAAGACATGAGAATTAACATCTTTGGCTGGATGCTCTGTTCTCTTGGTCCAACATGGTGGTGGCCCCTTGCTCTGAAACTGAAGAGGAAGGAACTCTGATTTCTTTGCCTGCAACCTCAGTTTCTGGTGGCAGCAACACCCCACCAGCCTCTAAACTGCTTTCAGGGTCATTCTTCCCTTTTCTTGGCAGAGAACACATATTTACAGGTAAATACCTCTATCAGCCATTAACTGCTTCTAGAATCCCAGAAGTCTAACAGCTGTCCTTCATTTTATTCTATCTCTGTCTCTTTAATTGCAGGCTGCAGCATGTCTGCTGGGATGCCTGATTAGATCCATAAGTCACACTCTAATCTATAAGAGGTTCTGACAGTTGTCCAGCCACACCCTTGGTGTTCTCTCCAGAGCACATTTTCTCATTTCTTTGCAATACGGATAGGCTGAGAAATTTTATATGTCCTTAAGCTATGGTTTCTTTTTGCATAACAATTTCTTCTTCAATTTATCTATTTCACATTTTACTAAAGGCAACAAAGAGAAACAAGACTTCAGTTTAACACTTTGCTTAGTAATCTTCTCAACTAAATGTCAAAGTTTATCATTTACAAGTTCTACTTTTCACCCAGCAAAACACAATTTATGCATGTTCTTTGTCACGTTATAACAAAAATCACCTTTCCTCCAGTTTTCAATAAAATATTCCTCATTTTTGTCTGAAATGTCACCAGAAGCACACTTAACATTTGTGTTTTTAGAAATATTCTGTTTGTGATGATATATGTATTCTCTCTAAGACAATAGACTCTTTACAGCACTCCTCTTCCGGAACCCTCACCAGAATCTTCTTTAATGTCCATATTTATATCAACAGTCTCTTTAAGGCAATTTAGACATTTTCTTTATCTTTTCTTTTCTTTTTTTTGAGATGGATTCTCGCTCTGTCACCCAGGCTGGAGTGCAGTGGCATGATCTCTGCTTAATGCAATCTCTGACTCTGTGGTTCAAGCAATTCTCTGCCTTAGCCTCCTGAGTAGCTGGGATTACAGGCGTCCGCTGCCACGCCTGGCTAATTTTTGTATTTTTAGTAGAGATGGGGTTTCACCATGTTGGCCAGGCTGGTCTCGAACTCCTGACCTTGTGATCCATCCACCTTGGCCTCCCAAAGTGCTGGGATTACAGGCGTGAGCCACCGTTCCCGGCCAATTTAGACATTTTCTTTGTATCATGTGCCTCAAAACTCTTCTAGCTTTTAAGCAGGACCCAATTCCA
Organism: Homo sapiens; assembly: GCF_000001405.40. NCBI lineage: Eukaryota > Metazoa > Chordata > Mammalia > Primates > Hominidae > Homo > Homo sapiens. The sequence continues at coordinate 53,661,833 of NC_000017.11, read as the reverse complement.
AAGCCACTTTCGTATTTTAGGTATTTGAGGCAGTAGCATCCAACTTCCTAGAATAAAATCTGCATTTTTTTTTTTTTGCCATAACAAATCAAGTAGCTTAGGACAACAGAAATTTATTGCCTCAAAATGTTAGAGGCCAGAAACCTAAAATGAAGGTGTTGGTTAGGACATGTTGCCCCTGAAGACTCTAGGGACGAACCTGTTTCTGGCATGTCCCCTAGCTTCTAGTAGCTTCAGGCATTACCTAGCTTGCAGATGGCCACCTTCTCCCTGCCTCTCTTCACATCACCTTCTCACTATGTCTGTCTGTGCCCAAATTTCTTCTGTGTATAAGGACATATGTCATACTGCATTATTGTCCATTCTAATAACCTCATTTTAACTTAATTAGTTCTGTAAAGACTCTATTTCCAAATACAATTGCCTTCTGAAATAGTGGTGGTTAGGACTCAAACATGCCTTTTTTGGGGGGATATAACAACCCAAAACATCAAGGCACTAGAATTAGAGGAAATAATACATAATTAATTTAACAAAGTGCATTCTATGTGCTCAAGGCCTATGTAAATGTAGAGGTGATATACAATACAACAGTAGCTTAATTCTGGATTTGTATAATGTGAACTAGGTATGTGGACAAACTATGTCCCACAGGCCAAATCTGGCCTGCCGTTTGTTTTGGTAAATAAAGTTTTATGGGGATGGTTTATTCATTATACATCATCTATGGCTGCTTCCACACTACAATGATATGTTGAGTATTAGAAGCAGGAACTGGCTATAGACTGTAAAGTATTAAAATAGCTGGCCCTTTAAAGAAGTTTGTGGATCCCCAATTAAAATAATAATAGCTCTCTCTTATTGAGTGCTTGCCTTGTGCCAGCTCTGTGCTCCGTGTTTTACATGCTTTAAGTCATTTAACCCTACTTCTTCTCTTTCTACCAAATAAGAAAACTGAGCACTAAACAATTTAAAATTTTTTTTTTTTTGCACAAGATTATACAGCTGCTAAAGAGTGGGACTAAAACCTGAATCCTTATGGATCCCAGCCCTACTGCTTGTTTCAGTACTAAATTATTTTTCAACAGTAGTGAGTTTCTTATCATCTATAGTATAATAAGAAAGATATTTGGTATTTGTTTTAGCATAGAGCTTCTAAAACTCTTGAAATTTCCAGAGTGATAATGCTGATAAAAGCATCTGCTGTTCTAATGAGGTAACTCTTGGCAGGACCATCCACTTCAGAAAAGGGGCTCATCACAGAAAGACCCAGCCTTGATTACAAGCTTGGGATTTTCAGCCCCAGATTCCAAGCTCCCGGGAGGGAATAAGGTTGGAGATTGAGTTAATTACCAATGGACACAGTCATGGCTACATAATAAAACTTCCATAAAAACACTAAACATAAGGTTTAAGGAGCTTTCAAACTGGCAAACACATCCACGTCCGTGGAAGGCGACATACCCCAACTTCATAAGAACCAAGGCCCCTGTGTTCAGGACCTTTCCGGACCATGCACTATGTACCACTTTATCTGGTTGTTCATTTGTATCCTTTAATATAAGCTGTAATAGTAAATACAGCATTTACCTGAGTTCAGAGTCATTCTAGCAAATTAACCTTGGTGTGGGAGATTGTGGGAACCCTTGACTTTGTAGCCAAGTTAGACCAAAGGGTAGGCAGCCTGAGCACCTGATACTTGCAAGTGGCATCTACGGTGAGGGCAGTTTTGAGGGACTAAGCTTTTAAACCTGTGATGTCTGATACTAACTCCTGGTAGTTAGAGTTAGAATCAAATGGAATTGTAGGACATAAGTTGGTATCAGAGATTCAGAAAACTGGTTGGGTGGAGGAAAAATAAAAAACTATAAATACCTCTCATCACCTGAGATGAAATGCCACACTTTGTTATGCAAACCTGACCTCTATATTCTTCAATTGTTTGAAGTATCTTGAAATATAACCAAATATATATAATTTCATTTTTTTCAAAACTAATGATATGGTTTGAACATATCATCTTTGAAACTTATGAAATAAAGTTCTCTATATGTAAGTGTATGAAATTCAAACACGTAACTTCAACAAAAATAAAATTATATCTCAGACAATTATTCAGTTAGTAACTTATCTGTGATGCTATTGCGAAGGAAAATCAGTTATGAGAACATAAGTGAGACCTCATTCATAAATCCAAACTGTTGTCCTTTAAAAATATTTATCATTTTATTCAACAAAAATTGAACAAGCAAAATATGTCTGATACTTTTTTAGGTCCTGGGTTCATCCCAAAAATTGCAACTTAGACTACCCACTTTGGATTCAGAATTTATTTGGAGATACAGAGGTAGAAAACTGAATCACAAAACAATGAGAAAGAGTTGTAACATGGCCATATTCGATGAGTATTTGGAGCATAGAAGGAGGAAGTGACTAACTAGCACTTACAAGAGAATATAATGAACTTGTTATATTTTGACACATTATCTCTTCCTGACAGGTAGCAAGAAAAGTGACTAACTACAGAGACCTAAATCCAAAGACCTGAGAAATGTAGGGTGGATGATAAAAGTGTAATTATAACTTTAATTAGTGACTTAGGTACTAAGTCATTTGCTGATTACCAAAATTAGTCAATGTTCTATTTTTCAGTGCAAACACAACGTGGAGTATTGGAGAAAAATAAAAATATTTTGGAAAAGGAACCAATAGAATCTCTAATAACTCTCAAATTTAAACAGTATTAACCTTTAAGATTTTGAATTAGATTACTCTAGTTGTTTTTTAATACTAAATTTTTTTTCTAATCTTAAATTTCATATAATTGTTGATAATAATTTGAAGGGGTACATTATAATTTTTAAAAATGGAAAAATAAAGAAAACTGTCTTTCTACATTAAATTAAATGTTACAGACTTTATATACCCCATGTTTGCTCACCTGTGATACTATGGAAACATATGCATGTAATATAATATAATATCAGATACTCTAATATCTGGTATATTGATTTCATAAGGTATCCATACAAGGTGAGAAGTAAAAATTACATAAATGCCTCAGTCAGTCAATGCCTTTATACTCCTGAAATTTTAATAATGTGGGAAGATGTAAGGTGTCATTTTGGTTTAAAAATGAAAAATAGGAACAAAAACGGATATTAAAAATTAATTGGTTCAGTATTTTTTTAAAAAAATTGACAGAGTGGGAATTCTCCTCAAGCTCCCCTGGTTCAAGATCCCTTGCTCAGCAGGTTAATCAGTTAATAACTTTATACAGGTGTTTTAAAAGATATCTTTGAACAGAAGTCTGATGATAATAAATTTAGTAGTGCTGTCTTCTCTAGTAGCACACTTTTAATATGCTTTGTTTTTATTGTTAGCTACATCTGAGTAGTTGTAAAAATACACCCTCAAAAGGAAGACTTCTTAAACAACCAATTTTCAGACATACTTTTTTCATTAAAATTAAAATAGTAGAGCTGATTGTAATGGCTCATGCCTGTAATCCTGACATTTTGGGAGGCCTACATGGGAAGATCACCTGAACTCAGGAGTTCAAGACCAGCCTGGGCAATATAGTAAGGTCTTGCCTCTACAAAAAATAAACAAAATTGGCTAGGCGTGGTGGCATGTGCCTGTGGTCCCAGCTAGTGTGGAGGCCAAGGTGAGAGGATCCCTTGAGCCAGAGAGGTAGAAGATGCAGTAAGCTGAGATCATGCCACTGCACTCCAGCCTGGGCAACAGAGTGAGACCCTATCTCAAAATAAATAAATAAATAAATTAAATATCACAGCTGTAAGAAGCTTTAATAAAGTTATCATCTGATATAGACAAAGACAAGATAGTTCTAGAATGTCTGAGACTTTATCTTTGGATAAGGTCCTCCAGATTGTGCTCATTCAAATATAGTTGAGTCAAGTCAATGGGTGTGTCCTAATATATATTACTTTCTACTTTCAAGAAAATGCAAAAAACATGTTTACATTTGCTAACTACTCTTATTGTAAAGGTAACATGGGCATTTGATAAATGCATTTGATAAATGCAACTAATACTATGCATAAAATTCCCCTTGTTTTTAAGCATTTGTTTGAAGCTATGTTCCATGAGTTTGAAAACCAGGGACAGAAATGTTTGGGTCAAAAGAAACTACAGCAATAGCTTCCTCATTCTCCACAATTTCATTAGGCATATTCTCTCACCTCTTACTTCTTTTGTAGATGCTTCCTTCAACTTCAGCTTACTTCTAACTCTTTGTCCCACGCATTTAGATTTCTGCCCTGGGTCCTCATTTATCTGTCTCGACTCTCTGGATAGCTGAATCTCTTCCTTTGTTAGTCACACTCTTGTCTGCAGATTCTGACTCCACTCAGCATTGCTGTCTGATTTTAGTGTACAGATCAGCTTGCATTTGTGTTTTCTTGATTACGATATGACCCACTTTTATCCTTTGGATTCTGAACCTGGATATATATGCCATGCATAAGTGGCTTCTCGGCTGGCCACAAGATTATTTTAATTCCCAGACGGCAAAATGTGGTTTGCCATGTGTGCCTTTTTTCTTTAATGAATGTAGTGCAATATTAGCAAAAGCATTGAGGCAAAACAATGGGATAATAGCCCAAACAGGGAAAACATTATTTTATTCACATCATAATTATAGTTTTATTTTCTTTTCTTCCTAAACAAATAAAGGTTTAAATTCAGTTTTTTGTTTTATCTTATTATTACTGCCGGTCAGTAAATTACATTATTTTTATTCTTCAAAAATATATGTGAATTTCATAACTTTCGATCTTCATGGCATGAACCGAAGAAAGTACCCTATTAGCTGTTTCAATCAAAGGGTGATTTAAATAGCACAGTGCACCCTTCTAGAAAATGGGGACATATTTTTGTTTTAACATTTATATCTAGAGGCTTAGTATTATATAATAAATTTATCTCACTTGCTTATAAAACCGATTTCCATATATGACATGCATTATAATAGTTTAACATAATTATCGAATGAAGCTATCAATCTCACTACAGAGGCTTTCAGAAACCAAACCACAACCAAAGGTAACTGATTTATTGGTTGCCTTTCCTTACAAATTTTAACTATACTAGAAATTTTTAATAAAATGTGTGTGCTTCACTTTTACACACTTTCCCAGAATTATATTGTATCATAGGGTTCCCCTTTTTTGCATTCTTATCCTTTTACAGGAAAAGGTTGTTGAAATGTAGAGTTCAAGGTTTCTAATCTAAACTCTTCATAGAATTACTAAATCTCACCGAATATGACATTTTTATGTGAATTTCTGTGCTAGGATTTGAGCATAAAGTCACTACATATTTTAGCTATTAGCATCTCTTTATGAGAATAAAGTAAGGGATCGATAGCTCAGCAGAGAGACACTGATTACAATTCTCAAACATTTTCTCCATCTTTGATTTCCCCAATCTCTCGCAATCTACTGTTCTAAAATGATAACATTTATCTGAAAAATAATGTGTCTCTAAATATGTATTTTATACGGAGACAACTAATAAATCCAACAAAGATATCACTGGGAAAAATAAACCCTACTTTATTTCGTGGATTTAGAGAGGGCAACCACACCAAATAATTACAATTACACCATAATACACATTGTAACAGAGGATGAACAAAGTGTCGCTAACCTACCAGAAAACTTGAATAAATATGCCAAAAGATATCAGAGATGCCACAGAGAATGTGACATTTTAACTTAAAAAAAATCTCAGCCTTTATTCTGATAAGAATTCCCAATCATTTCTAACCTAGGATTAAACAAATCTTGCAGTTTACAGTTACTGGGAAATAAACATGAGAAAGGAAATGAGAGAAAGCAGGTTGGGGCAGAGGGTCATGTCAGAGCATCCTGAAAACCTGTAAAATCTCTGCCAGTCTACTGGGCACTCTGGAGCACACACTGAATGAAAGAAAATGTGGAGATCCTGGTAGTACCACCTTACTCAGTCATTAGCTGGGGATGTCTTCATAATGGTATGCCCTCAGCTACCGACCTCACTTAGTCACTGGCCAGAGGCCACCCCAAGAAGAATGTGACTGTAGCTTGAAGCTGAAGCAAGCCTGGAAAAGCTAACAGGCTCTTCACTACTAACTGCTTTCCCCACATCTGGAAAGCAAGTCTTTACTTGAAGAAGTTCCATATCTGCCACAGTGCCTAAATTAAAGGAGTAGTTATATTTTTATAGTGCAAAATCTGCCAATCATTGAAATTAAATTTGTTAATACATAAATAACTGTCTATAATGTACTCTCAAACATTGTCTACTTGGCTATGTTTTAAATGTTTAGTCAGTGTTTTTGTTTTTGCTTGGTTGTTTGGTTTTGTTTTTAGTGATATGATTGATTTTATCTTGAATTTGAGAAGTCATTGGTTAAATCAATTTGAGCTTAAAGAAATAGATGACAAAAATGTAGATGACTAGGTTTCCACTGAACAATAAAAACATTGCATTGTGACTTTTGCTGACATGAATTAAGATATAATTACAGCTTGAGTATCCCTTATGTGAAATGCTTGGGACCAGAAGTGTTTCAAATTATTTTGGATTATTTTGGAGTTTGAAGTATTTCCATATACATAAGATATATTGGGTATAGGGCCCAAGTCTAAGCAAAAAGTTTATTTATATTTTATGGACACCTTTTACACATAGGCTGAAGGTAATTTATAAAATATTTAATAATTTTGTGCATGAAACAAAGTTCATGTACATTGAACCATCCGAAAGCAAAGGTGTCACAATCTCACGCACCCATGTGGACAACCTGTGGTTGTCTGTCATCACCGTCATTCCTGACTCTGAATTTATATGCCACTGATAAGCACCATTTTCTTACATTTATTCACACATTAGTACTACTGATTTAAAAAGATGGCATGCCACTAATACAGTGAAGAAATAACGTGTTCATGGTAACTGAGCAGCACAGTATCATCACCAGAAGACCTGTGTCAGCTGTTAGACAACAGCAACCGCAAACAATGGCAGGCTTTCAGTCTCCAACTATGATGCTGTGTTTTGATTAAAAGGTTTCTATACACTGTACAGTACACATAAATGCTTCTTTTTCTTATCACTGTTACCTGTCGGGATATGTGCAGTCCTTTTTGACATTTTCAATAATATCTTTACACCACAGAGCAGAGAATATACAACAAAACACAGTGAGTAACGCACAAGGGTGTTGGCCTGATGTGAGGCATCATGGGAAACCTGCCATCTGACCTGCACCTGTGTCATTTTAGTACCCTCTGTGGGCAGGCTAGCCTGAGGAATCTGGGCTGGGAGAGTCTTTTTCCCCTCAGGGATGCTAAATAAGCTGTGTGTTGCACACCTGAGTTTTGACTGCAACCTGTTACGGTGTTTGATGTTCCACCTGTGGCATCATGTTGGAGCTCAAAAATTTCAGATTTTGGAGCATTTTGGATAGTGGATTTTAGAACTAGGAATGCCCAACCTGTATCAGTAAACTGAACTTTTTTAAAAACTTACTGAAATCTTGTCATATCCTTTCCTTACCCTTGACTAGTTAGAGTTAGATAATATAAATAAGAGCCATATAATGCGTGTGGGACATTGGAGCTATCCCAGCAACATTAATCTCTGAGTTTTCTCCCAACGAAAGAGCCTGAGGACACATAAGTGGCCGTGTGGGAAAGAGATTTATAACACAATTGAGATAGAATTCCTTAATGTTAAATCCAGATTAAATTTGCAATCATCTCTTTGACAAAAAGTGGCAGAAGTCTTTGCAAACTGCGTCTGCACCTTCTTCCAGTATTTCCCATTGGTGGAGAACTGGCTTGGTGTCAGGCTGGATGAGTCTTAGCTATGATGTGATTGGAAAACACAGGGCTTGCAGTCATAATACTGACATTCAATTCCATCTCTGTGGCTAAAAACCTATGTGACTGTGGATAAATCAGGTAAAATGTTTGAGCCTTGATTTACTCATAGATAAAATGTGAACATTATCTCATAGAGTGATTGTGTTAGTCAAGAGAAATGATATATGTGAAAATCTCTTAGAAAGTCTTTATTCTGGCTTAAAAACATAAGAAAGACCTGGCTTTAGAAGGTTACTGGTATCTCTCCTACAGTATACTTAGTGTAGTTAAGGGAGACATAAATAAAGATTTGCCCTCTACCATGTGGAGTAGAAGTATTCTGCCCAAGCTTGCTCTCCCTCCTGTATGCCATTCCCATCTTAAATCTACATAATCTACATTCTCCATGACCAGCACAAGTCCCTGCTCCTCTGTTAAACTTCCTTGATCATGCAAGGCCTCTCCACACTTATTAATTTTATCTACATTTATATCAACTTACATTATATTAATAATGCCTTATATTATTAATTTTTATATACTTTGACTGAATGACACAAAGATAAGAACAGTAGTACTTGACATCCAATCAAGAGAGAAGGGTTTTTGTCCCAACTCATCCCTTACTATGTTTGAATCCATATTATTGGTTTTCATTATAAAATAAGGAACCTAAACTGTGTGACTTCTAATATCTCTTTCTTCTGGAGAATAAATAAGATATGCATTCTTCTGCCACTTAGTTTTTCCTCCTGCGGGGAAAAATCTTGTTTTGTGTGTTTGTATGTGAGTCTGTGTTTTCACAGAAATGCTGATGGGAACCCTTGGAATTATATTAGAAAGTAAAAATGAAATCGGCTCATGGCAAAGCATTCCTGCCTGAGTATTATGTTCTGTGAGTCCCCTTTAGAGAACCAAATCATTTCTCCATATCCTAGATGACACAGTAATTCAGCTTTTAATATTCAGTATTTTAGTAAGCTGTTTTCTCAAGATTATTAAAATTTATTGATTGTAAGATTTTAGGGCATTTTATTTTTCTGACTCTCAGAATGTGAATATAACGATTAAAATTGTGAGTAAAATAAATAGATTGCATAATACTTCTAATAGGATCCAAGTCAAACACAATCATATAGCAAGCTACCATAATTTTAAAGCTTTTGCTCTAAGTCAAAATAATTAAATTTGAGTTGCTAATTTTAACCTGTCTTAGGGCTCAAAAGGCAAATTAAATGCGCATGCACCCTGTCTCAACAATATTCTCTAGAATGTCTCACCTCTGTAATCTTTTCTGATTTCACAGGACAATCTGTAAACCTGGGGAAATTTCACTTTATGCATTCTCTGTCTAGTTCCACACATAGAATTTTTAGAGATTCTGAATGTTATACCCATTAAAGACTTAAAGTCATCTTTTAAACTTATTCATCTATTTCTACATATATAAAATGGTAGTAAGAATAACACATCAATGTGTTACAATTTATTTGCTCTAACTTTATTCTTATAACTTTAATAGTGCAGCTGTTGGGGTTATTAATATCTGACTCCAGTCGGAAAATATGAATTCTCATAAGATTCGTATACCTTAGTCCATGAAAGTCTATGTAGGTATTGTTTCTGATATGTGTGCAGGCATTAATAAGGCTTGCTTAAGTTTAAGAAACATTACTTTTATTTTATCTTTCATAATTGTTCATTATATGTACACCCATATCTTCCCATAGCTATGGTCACAAACCTAAAATCTGCCTACTATTTACTGGCGTTAGATGGACACTTAAGTTCATATTTCCTTAAATTATCGCACTCTGCTTTATCATATTGAGTGGTTGTTTACCTACTCATTGAGTATTTTTCCTTCCTTCTTTCTGTCCTTTCTTCCTTATTCTTTTACCTTTTTTCCTTAGGTTTTTCCTTCTATTTAGATAAATGTATTAATATGTTTTAGAAGCAAAGTAGTACATAGTTTGTTGGCATTCGGTCTAAACTTAAAAAACTTCACCTTGAATGCTGCCAAGTCTCTCCCATGTGCCTTGGGTCCAGGTGTGGTTGCTAAGATACATGTTATTAATCTTCCAATAAAAATATAGAGGTCACAGTATAAAAATATATATATTTATGAAGGTGTCTTGGTAATTAATATTGTTTTCAATTTGAGAGTACTCATGTGATTAGAAAATATTTTAACTTTCCTAATTGTTTTCCCTTTTTTTAAAACATGGTTAAAGTGTCTCTATTCACAGAGAAAATTGTACATTTTTATAAATTACAGGATATTATTTTTGGAATTATTGTTTTAATTCCATAACCATTTGTGTTGTATGGCATATTCCTTTCAAAAACTGATATGAGTTTTAATGAATTATATATAACAAAATCATCACAAAGAATACATTTTTAAAACACCAGAGGATAAAATATAAGAACATAGCAAAATTAGGCTAATATAAGTAATCAATTGGCTATGAACTTTCATCCCTCCTTCCTGAAACTTGAAACAGAAAGTAAACTTGTCAAATCGTACAATTCAAATTGTCTCACCAAAAAAAAAATCTTGCTTGTTTATCAAGAAATACAGACATGTTCACAGAAACGTATCTATCAATATTTTTATGAGGGAGATATTGAATGTCATAATAGACATTACATCCAGTAATTATGCTGCATGCTGCCAGTATAAGCAGTGACCACACAGAAAACACTTCACATGCACACACAGAACACTCTACCTGCCTATACAGTAAATACTTTAAATTTCGCTGAACTGATTCAACTCCTGATCTCAATGCCCACTACTGGCTCAGCACCACAGCCTGAACTCTCATCATTTCTTCTTGGTGTGTTTAAAACTGCTTAATAAGAGTCTCAAGTCATAGGCTATACTCCACCCTACTATCACAGTGAAGAGAATACACTTTTGTGGTCAATAGGCCCAGATTTGCATCCTTGTTTTGGTCTTCATTATCTCAACAAATTCTCATTTGCCCACAATGAAATCCCAACTGCCAATCCTAACATGTGGCATTCTGCATGACTTAGCCCTGCTTACTGTTCAGAGTACACGATTTCCACGTTATCTTCACATCAATCATACAACCTTTGTCATTCGTAACCCCATTTGGTAGACTCAGCCTTAAATATCTGCTGGTGTTATTCGTTTCTTCTACTCTTTGACTCTGTAACTGGACAAAAACCCATTTTTTTTTTTAATCACAAGTATCATTATCAGGATATAGCTTTCTCTAAACTGTCAAAATTAGGAGAATTGTCCACTTCTCAATCTCTTCCTAATTTATGCATTTCTATAATCATATTTTTATACTTTTTTAGACTTGTTTATATCATGATCTCTAAACAGTTACATGCTCTTATGATACAATTTTTAATTTTTTCTAATATATGAATATTTTTATTTCTGAAATATATCACTGTATAAATATGTATGCACTATATAAAATATGCCTAAAATAGATTTTTTAAAGGATAAGATGAAATACAAATGGAAATGAAAAAAATTTTATCCCACATCTCAATGTCAAGCCCTATTTTGGAGAGTTTAAACTCCCTGTAAACCCTGTAAGCTCTGGGAAAACAGAAGCTTTGTTTTTAACAACAGTACTAAGCATACTGCCCAGTTTTATTGTAAGTATTAAACAAATATTGTTCATGGGGTGAGTGAATAAATGAAGGTTCTTTATGTACGTTTACAATGACATAAGATAAAGTGGGAATAAATAAGATAGACCCCAGTTTATAACTTTATGGATCTCTAAATTGTTAAAACATTGGAGCTCAGAATATATCAGTAGGTGTGTAATTAATAATAAAAAAATAATAATGGGTGATACTTATTAGGCAACTCTTGTAGACCAAAGAATGGATAGACAGAATGTCTTTTAATTCATCTTTGAGTAACAACTATTTTTCCGTAGTGAATTTTTTGATAGAAACTTTAAAGGAAGGAAATTTAAGTTTGAAAAGTAAGGTTGAGATTTGTCTTTTCATTCCGGAATGCAGATATTCTAATTTATTTATTAAAGGGTGATTTAAATATTCTGTGTACAGACATGTAGGTAATGGCAATAATACTACTAATAAAATACCATCACAAAAATTTTATTGAGTACTTCCTATATGCTATCAATGTTCTGAGTCATTTTACATATATATTAATTACCTTAATCCTCACAAAAATCTGTGGTTAATTAATATTACCTCCTTTTTACAGACAAGAACACCAAGGCACACAGAGTTTTAATAGATTGTCCCAAATCACAGAGCTAGCAAGGAATGTAGCTAGAACTGAAATGCATGTACTGTGGCTATAGAGCTTGTATGTTTAATGATTATTTCATACTACCTTGCATATATCTTATTCAAATATTTCTAGAATTGATTACTGGTAGGAAAAAGAAAAATAAGATCACCAGATGTCAATTGCAGCTGTGGTCTACTGTAGAAATTGGAATTTTAAGTGACGGAGTATATAAGCTGAGTTTCATAATGCTACTCTGGAGTCTTTTATAATGGAGCCATACAATGAGTCTTTTGTATTTTAGAGACTTAGATGAGTCCATAAAGAATGTAAAACATGTATGAATGTTCAAAGTGCCTTCTTTTTCTTTATCTACATTTGATAGAATAGTTGAAATTGCTGCTTAAATATCTGCATAATGACTTAGTCAAGTGAAAGAACCCTTTGATATGGTGATTATTATTATGACACCATAGAACTTCATTAATTAGGTTTTTTTGCTCTTTTATTAGCAGTCAAAGTTCTCTATTACTGTGAATGGTCACACACTATGACATTATTACATTATAACTGAAAAATAATTATCTTTATTGGGCAATATCAAATATATAAAGTTTAAGGTTATGGTATGTAAACGTTGTTATTGGAACTTAAAATGTCCCCTTTTTATTTCACTAGGTGCATATACCACTTTAACTGAGCTTTGCACTTTAGCTACAATTTAAATTAGTAAATAATTTGTTGCTAAGAGTGAGAGAAACATAAATTATTATAAAGACCATACATTTCTATCCCAGTTGAAATATATGTAGGTTTTTTTCTATTAAATTGTTATGAGCTGGGTAGGCAAAACAAAATGGTGTAATAGAACGCTTCACCAATTGTTGCCCCTGCTAGGACACCCATTTAATAACGATCTACACAGAAAAAAACACCTTCATAAGAACCAAAAATCAGATAAGCACTCATAGTACCTGGTTTTAACATTGTATCTCTAAAAGAGGCACTGAAGAGGTAGAAAAAAACAGTATTGAATCACTGATGCCACCCCTCTACCAACCCCCTGCAGTGGTAGTGTAGTACAGAGAGTGTCTCTGGGCACTGGGGGAGAGAGAAAACAGCAATTGTGAGGGTTTGAACTCAGTGCTGTCCTGCTAGAGCAGAAAGGAAAAATGGACCAAACTCAGTTGATGCCCAACCATGGAGGGAGCATTTAAACCAGCCCTAGACAGAGGAAAATCACTAATCCCAGTAGTCTAAACTTGAGATCCCACAAACCTCACCACCAAGGGCTACAGTGCTCTCTGTCTCCAAGTAAACATGAAAGGCAATGCAAGCCATAAGGACTGCAACTCTTAGGTCTGCCCTAGTGCTGACCTAGGCCCAGAGACAGTGGACTGGGGGGTGGTGGAGTGTGGGGTAACATACTAAGACACAAGCTAGGGTAGTCAATGGAGTGCTGGCATCACATCACCTCTCCCCTAACCCCAAGCTGCACAACTCATGGCTCCAAAAGACACCCCTTTCTTCTGTTTAAGGAGAGGGAACAGTGGGGAAGACTTTGTCTTGCATTTTGGATACCAGCTCAACTACAGCAAGATAGAGCACTTGTCAGAGTTTTGAGGCCCCATTCCAGGCCCTAGCTCCCAGACAATATTTCTAGACATACCTAGGGCCATAAGAGAACCCTCTGCCTTTAAGGAAAGGACTCAGTTCTGCCAGCATTCATAAACAGCTAACTGAAGAACCCTTGGGCCCTGAATAACCAGCAGCGATACCCAGGTGCTACATTAAGGGCCTTGGGTGAGCCTCTGAAACATGTTGGCTTCAAGGAAGACTCAGCACATTAGTAGCTGTGGTGTCTATGGGACAAAACTCCTGCTTCTTGGGAAAATCAGAGGGAAAAATAAAGGGGACTTTGTCTCACACCTTAGGTACCAGCACAGCCACAGAGTGTAGAGCACCAAGTGGGCTCTTGGAGTCCATGATTCTAGGACTTGACTCTTGGATACCATTTCTGGACCTGCTCTGGGCCAGAGGGCAGCCTATTGCCCTGAAGGGTGAGTTTTAGGTCACGCAGCATTCATTACAATCTGACTTAGAAGCCCTTGGGCCTTAAGGAAACATCGATGGTAGTGTGACAGTACACCTCATAGCCAGTGGAGGTAGCAGGAGTGATGCATATGGGATGAAGCTTATCTGCCTTTGGAAAGGGGACTGAAGAGTGGGGAGGACTACATCTTGTGGTTTGACAGCCAGCTAAATAAGACGCTAGGTAGACTTCTAAGGTTTTTGACTGTAGTCCCTGACTCTCAAATGGTACTTCTGGACCCATCTGAAGCCTGGGAGACCTTGCCACCCTGAAGGGAAAGACACAGATCTGACTGGCTTTACCATCAGGTGATTATAGAGTCTCAAGGCTTAGGGTGAACATAAGCAGTAGCCAGGGAGTGGTTGTAGGAGGCCTTGGGAGAGACCCAGTACTGTGCTGGCTTCAGATCTGACCCAGCAAAGTCATAGTGATGGTGTCCACAGGGGTGCTTGTGTCACTCCACTCCACTATTTGTGTATTTTCAAATAGCTGATCTTCTCTTTCCAAGACTATAAAGGTGGTACTTCTACAAGTTTGCAAGAACCGCGGTGTTACTGGGCTTGGGGTGCCCCCTAATGCAGAAACAGCTTAGATCATCCAAATTCTTTCAAATATCTGGAAGGCCTTCCCAAAAAGGATGGCTACAAGTAAGTGCAGATAGCAAAGACTACAAATAAATACATAACTCTTCAATGCCCAGACACTGAAGAACATTTACTAGCATCAACACCATCCAGGAAAACATAACTTAATCCAATGAACTAAATAAGACACCAGGGACCAATCCTGGAGAAACAGAGTTATGTGACCTTTCAGAGAGAGAATTCAAAATAGCTGTGTTGAAGAAAAGCAAAGAAATTCATGAGAACAACAACAACAAAAAAAAAGGAATTCAGAATTCTATCAGATAATTTTAACAAAGAGATTGAAATAAATGAAAAGAATCAGGCATAAATTCTAGAGCTGAAAAATACAACAGGCATACTGAAGAATGCATCAGAATTAGGCATCCTGAAGAATGCATCCTTTACTAGCATGGAACAAACAAAAGAAAGAATTAGTGCACTTGAAGACCAGCTATTTGAAAATACACAGTCAGAGGAGACAAAAGAAAAAAGAATAAAAAAATAAAGTACTCCTTCAGGATCTAGATAATAGCCTCAAAAGGGCAAATTTAAGAGTATTGACCTCATTAAAAAGGTAGAGAATGAGATGGTGGTAGAGAGTTTATGGAATGGAATAATAATAGAGAACTTATAGAACCTAGAGAAAGATATTAATATCCAAACACAAGAAGGTTATAGGACACCAACCAGATTTAACCCAAAGAAGGCTACCTCGAGGTATTAAATAATCAAGCTCCCAAAGGACAAGGATAAAGAAAGAATCCTAAAAGCAGCAAGAGAAAAGAAACAAATAACATACAATGGAGCTCCAGTACATCTGGCAGCAGACTTTTCAGTGGAAACCTTATAGGCCAGGAGTGTGTGGCACGGCATATTTAAAGTGCTGACGGAAAACATCTTTTACTCTAGAATACTTTATCTGGCTAAAATATACATCAAACATGAAGGACAAATAAAGATTTTTCCAGACAAACAAAAGCTGAGGGACTTCGTCAACACCAGACGTGTCCTACAGGAAATACTAAAGGGGGTACTTTAATCAGAGAGAAAAGGATGTTAATGAGCAATGAGAAGTCATCTGGAAGCACAAAACTCACTAGTAATAGTTAAGTGCACAGAAAAACATAGACTATGATAACACTGTTAACTGTGGTATGTAAACTATTCTTATCCTGAGTAGAAAGAATAAACAATGAACAAATAAAAAATAATAATGACAACAAATTTTCAAGAAATGGTCAGTACAATAATATATAAATAGAAACAATAAAAAGTTAAAAAGTGGGCAGATGAAGTTTAAGCATAGAATTTGTATTGATTTTCTTTTTGCTTGTTTGTTTATGTAAATAGTAAGTTGTTATCAGGCTAAAATAATGAATTATAATATAGTATTTGCAAGCCTCAAGGTAACCTCAAACCACAACACATACAATGGATACACAAAAAATAAAAAGCAAGCAACAAAATCATATTATCAGATTAAATCACCTTCACCAAAGGAAGACAAGAAGAAAGAAGAAAGACCATAGAACAATCAGAAAACAAATATCAAAATGGCAAGAGTAAATCTTTACTTATCAATAATAATACTGAATATAAATAGACTGAACTCTTCAATAAAAAGACATAGAGTGGCTGAATGGATGAAGAAACAAGACCCCATGGATCTGTTGCCCACAAAAAAATGCACTTCACCTATAAAGACACACATAGATGGAAAATAAAGGGATGGAAAAAGATATTCCATGCCAATGGAAAGGAAAAAGCAAGAGTAGCTATACTTATATCAGACTAAATAAATTTCAAAGCAAAAACTATAAGAGACTGAGCAGAGCACCATAAAATGATACAGGGATCAATTCAGCAAGAGAATATAACAATTTTAAAAATATATGCACCCAACACTGGAGAACCCAGATGTATAAAGCAAATATTATTAGAGCTAAAGGTAGAGGTCGGCCCCAACACCATGATAGCTGAAGACTTCAACATTCCATTTTCAGCATTGGACAGATCTTCCAGGCAGAAAATCAACAAAGAAACATTGGGCTTAATCTGCACAATGGACCAAATGTATCTAATATATATTTACATAACATTTCATTCAATGGCTAAATAATACACATTCTTTTCCTCAGCACATGGATCACTCTCAAGAATAGACCATATATATGTTAGGTCAAGAAACAAGTCTTAAAACATTTAAAAAAATTGACATAATATCAAGCATCTTCTCTGACCACAATGGAATATAACTAGAATTTAGTAACAAGAGGAATTTTAGAAACTATCCAAATACATGGAAATTAAACCATATGCTCCTGAATGACTGGTGCGTCAAAACAGAAATTAAAAAGGAAATTGAAAAATTTCTCGAAACAAATGATAATAGAAACACAGCATGTCAAATCATATGGAATACAGTGAAAGCAGTACTCACAGGGAAATTTATAATTATAAATGCCTGCATCAAAAAAGAGGAAAAACTCCAAATAAGCAACCTAATAATGGACCTTAGAGAAAAACAAGAGCAAACCAAACTTAAAATGAGAAACAAAAAGTAATGAAAATCAGAGCAAAAATAAATTAAATCAAAATGAAAAAATAAAAAAGATCAATAAAACAGTTATTTTTTTGAAAATTTAAACAAAATTGACAAACTTTTAGCCAGACTAAGACACAAATGAAGATCCAAATAAATTAGATGAGAAATAAAAAACAAGACACTACAACTGATACTGTAAAAGTTCAAAGGATCATTAGTGGATACTATGAATAACTATAGGCCAACAAATTGGAAATTCTAGAAAAAATGGACAAATTTCTTGACACATACAACTCAACAAAATTGAACCAAGAAGAAATCTAAAACCTGAAGAGACCAATAACAAGTAGCAAGGTTGAAGCCATAATAAAAAGCCTCTCACTAAAGAAAAGCCCAGAACCCAATGGCTTCTCTGCTGAATTCTACCAAACCTTTAAATAAGACATATTACCAAGGCTCCTAAAAATATTTTGAAAAATAGAGGAGTAGGGAATACTTCTAAACTAATTCTACAAAGCCAGTATTACTCTGATACCAACACTAGACAAAGACACATCAAAAGAAGAATACTACAGGCCAATATCTCTGATGAATACTGACACAAAAAATTATCAGCGAAAGACTAGCAAACTGAATTCAAGAATAAATTAGAAAAATCATTCATCATGACCAAGTGGGATTCAGCCCTAGGATACAAGGATGATCTGACATTTGCAAATCAATCAGTGTAAGACGTCATATCAACAGAGTGAAGGACAAACACAATATGATCATTTCAGTCGATGCTGAAAAAGCATTTGATAAACCTCAGCATCCCTTCATTATAAAAACTCTCAAAAAACTGGGTATAGAAGGAACGTACCTCAACACAACAAAAGCCATTTACGAGAGACCCAAATCTACTATCATGCTGAATGGGGAAAAACTAAAAGCCTTTTATCTAAGATTTGGAATATGACAAGGATTCTCACTTTCACCACTGTTATTCAACATAGCACTAGAAGTCCTACTAGAGCAATCAGACAAGAGAAAGAAATAAAGGAAATTCAAATGGGAATGAAAGAAGTCAAATTATCCTTGTTTGCAGATGATATAATCTGATATTTAGAAAAACCTAGACTCCACAAGAAAACTATTAGAACTGATAAACAAATTCAGTAAAGTTGCAGAATACAAAATCAACTTACAAAAATCAGTAGCATTTCTATATGCCAACAGTGATCAATCTGAAAAAGAAAAAGAAAGTAATTCTGTTTACAATAGCCACAAATAAAATTAAATACCTAGGAATTAACCTAACCAAAGAAGTGAAAGATCTCTACCATGAAAACTATAAAACACTAATGAAAAAAATTGAAGACGACATTAAGAAATAAAATAAATATTTTATGTTCAAAGATTGGAAGAATCAACATTGTTAATATGTCTCTACTGGGCTGGGTGCGGTGGCTCATGCCTGTAATCTCAGTACTTTGGGAGGCCGAGGCAGGTGGATCACCTGAGGTCAGCAGTTCAAGACCAGCCTGGCCAACATGAGAAAACCCCATCTCTACAAAAATACAAAAATTAGCCAAGCATGATGTCAGGTGCCTGTAACCCCAGCTACTCAGGAGGCTGAGGTGGGAGAATCACTTGAACACGGGAGGCAGAAGTTGTAGTGAGTCAAGATCGTGCCATTGCACTCCAACCTGGGTGACAGAGTGAGACTCCATCTCAAAAAAAAAAAAAAATGTCCATACTACCCAAAGCAATCGATATATTTAATGTAATTCCTATCAAAATACCAATAACAGTCTTTACAGAAATAGAAAAAAAATTCTAATATTTATACAAAACCACAAAAGGCTAGAATAGCTGAACCTATCCTAGGCAAAAAGAACAAAACTGGAAGAATCATAAAACCTGACTTTAAATTATACTACAGCGATATAGTAACAAAAACAGCATGGCACTGGCCTAAAAACAGACACAAAGACCAATGAAACAAAATAGAGAACCCAGATCTACACACCTACGGTGAACTCATTTTTTAAAAAGGTGCCAAGAACATACACTAGGGAAAAGATAGTCTCTCTAATAAACGGTGCTGGGGAAACTGGATATTCATATGCAAAAGAATAAAACTAGACCCCCATCTCTGACCATACACAAAAATCAACTCAAAATGCATTAAAGACTTAGTTACCTAAGACCTCAAACTATGAAACTCCTACAATAAAACATTGATGAAAATCTCCAGGACATTGATCTGGGAAAGAATTTTTTGAGCAATACCTCACAAGCACAGCAACCAAACCAAAAGTGGACAAATGGGATCACATCAAGTTAAAAGGCTTCTATGCAGCAAAGGAAACAATCAACAAAGTGAAGAGACAACCCACAGAATGGAGAAAAGTATTCCCAAACTGCCTGTCTGGAAAAAGATTAATAACCATAATATATAAGGAGCTCAGACAACCCTATAGGAAACAAATCTAACAAACCAATTTAAAAATGGACAAATGATCTGAATAGACATTTCTCAAAAGAGGACATACAAGTGGCAAATAGACATTTCTCAAAAGAAGACATACAAGTTAAAAGGTGCTCAACATCATTGCTCGCCAGAGTAATGCAAGTCAAAACTAAAATAAGATGTCATCTCACCACAGTCAAAATGGCTTATATCCAAAAGACAGGTAATAACAATAATGGCAAGGATGTGGAGAAAAGGGAACCCTTGTACAATGTTGGTAGGAATGTAAATTAGTACAACCACTGTGGATAACGGTTTGAAGGTTCCTTAAGAAACTAAAAACTGGGCCAGGCGCAGTGGCTCACAACTGTAATCCCAGCACTTTGGGAAGCAGAGGCAGGCAGATCACCTGAGGTCAGGAGTTTAAGACCAGCCTGGCCAACATGGTGAAACCCCTTCTCCACGAAAGTACAAAAATTAGCCGAGCATGATGGCAGGTGCCTGTAATCCCAGCTACTCAGGAGGCTGAGGCAGAAGAATCACTTGAATCTGGGAGGCAGAGGTTGCAGTGAGCTGAGATCATGCCATTGCACTCCAGCCTGGGCAAGAGAGTAAGACTCCATCCCAGAAAAAAAAAAAAAAGAAAGAAAGAAAGAAAGAAAAGAAAAAGAAACTAAAAACTGAATTACCATGTGATCCGACAATCCCACTGCTAGGTATACAACAAAAAGAAAGGAAATCAATAGATCAAAGAAATAACATCACTCCTATGTTTATTGCAGCACTGTTTACAACAGCTAAGATGTGGAAATAAACTAAGTATCCATAAACAGATGAAAGGATAAGGAAAATGTGGTACATACACAAAATGGATTGCTATTTAGCCATAAAAAAAATGAGATCCAGTTATTTGCAGTACCATGGACAGAACTGGAGGTTATTACGTTAAATGAAATAAACCAGGCACAGAAAGGCAAATATCACATGTTCTCACTTATGTCACAATGTGAGATCTGAAAATCAAAACAATTGAACTCATGTACACAGAAAGTAGGATGGTTACCAGAGGCTGGGAAAGGTATTTAGGGACTGGTGAGGAGGTGAGAATTGTTAATGGGTACAAAAAAAAATAGTTAGAAAGGATGAATAAGACCTACTATTTGATAGCAAAACAGGGTGACTAATAGTCAATAATAATTGTACATTTTGAAATAACTCAAAGGATAAATGCTGGAGGGAATAGGTACACCATTTTCTTATTTTACATTGCGTGCCTGTATTAAAACATCTCATGTACTCTATCAATATGTACATCTACTATGTACCCACAAAAATTAAAAATAATTAATAAATTGTTTCAAAATTTTTATGTCCCTAAAAATGTCATTAGCTTTACCTATGAGAAATTAACTTGTCTACTTGTGAATCATTACAATTTGCAAGCCTGGAAGTTAAAAATCATGTTAACCTATGGATCCACTGGCCTTTTTAGGGTAGAATGTTTCTCATCCAGGTAAAAAAAAAAAATAAGTCAGGCAACTCAATTTTAATAACTGATGTGCTGAACTACGTGAGAGTAGGTACAAATAAGCAGATGAGGATCAAATAGAGTATAAGCTACCCTTTCATAAATAGCAGAATAAAGTTCTTCTGGTATGCTATTTTGAAATATGCACTTCAGGACTGCTTGGGTTAAGGAAGCGATCCAAGAATTTGCAACCCTTTTCAAACTGTAATGGAAACTAAAACAAAGCTCCAGATCTGCACTGCTCAGTAGATACCCACTACTAACATGTAACTCCTGGGCCTGTGAAATGTGGTTAGTCTGAATTGAGATATGCTCTAAGTATAAAATGAACATCAGTTTTTAAAAATTTAATACAAAAAAGAAAAACTCTTTTGACCATTTTTATATTGATTACATGCTGAAATGATAATGTTTGAAAATACCATGCTGAACAAAATATATTATTAATTTAACTTTACCTGCTTTTTTTACTTTTTTAACGTGGCTACTAGAATTTTTAAAATTACATATGCAGCTCATATTATGTTTTTGTTGGAAAGCTCTGCTCTAGACCTTGGAGGAGGCCTCTGGATCTGTAGGCCAAAGTCTGGGCACTTTCATTAGCCCATTGCCTAAGAGCCATAGCCTGTTTTTCAGCTTGATAATCCAAGAGAAAGTTAGAGATGGTATCATGTGAAGAAGTGAAACAGATAATGCGCTTCTCTGAAGAAGGAACATTTAACATAGCAAGGAGAAGGACAGAAACTACATTTCAGGCCTCCCTTGCATCTTGGCAAAAAAGCCTCCATGTCTATTTACCACATGAAAGGGAAGAAAATGCTTGAAATCCTACCTCTCCTTAAGCCAGGAAACAAAACACAGGAGAGGTCAAAAGAAAACAAGACATTTCGTAAAGCCACATTTTCTAATTTTTCAATGTCATTCCTCCAGAGGAGTGGAGCAAAAATCCCCATTCCATACTAAAAATGTGATACAGATGCAAGTAAGTGCATCTTCTTTCTACCCTCCACTGTTTTTTTCATTTTTGTTTCTTAACCCATCAAATTTGCTGATCAACAGCTAAGCCAAGATCAACCAGGAATTGGCTAACTTCACCAAGGACGGAGGTAATACTGGACTCAAGGAATCTTATTCCTGCCTTCATTCAAGTGTTCCCCCAACAGCATACGTAGCTGTTTGGTTTATCTTCCTGGGACCAGTGGTGACGCAGCTAAAGTCACTAATATGCATTACAATAGACCACTTCATTTCAAATAATATGAAATCTCTCCTAATATTAATTTCGCAAAGTAAAAATTCACAATAAAATCCCATTATTTTTATAAATTTGAATCTGTAAAAATAAAGTTTAAAATTCTGATGATCCCAGGGATATAAATGGCCCACAGATATATGAAAAAAAGTTCAATAAGTTTAATCATCAGAGAAATAAAAAACCACAATAAAATATCACCTCACATCTGTTAGAATGGCTATTATCAAAAAGACAAAAAATAACGAGTGTTGAAGAGGATATGGAGAAAATGGAACCCTTGCACACTGTTGGTGGGAGGGTAAATTAGTACAACCATTGTGAAAAACAGTGTGGAGATTCCTCAGAATATTAAAAATTGAACTACTATATGATAAAGAAATCCCACTATTGGGTATATATCCAAAAGAACTGAAATCACCATGTCAAAGAGATATCTGTACACTCGTGTTCATTGCAGCATCATTCACAATAGCTAAGATATGGAATCGATCTAAGTATCCATCAATGATGAATGGATAAAGCAAATGTGTTATGTATACACAATGGAATACTATTCAGCCCTAAAACAGAAGGAAATTCTGTCATTTGTAACAACATGGATGAACCAGGAGAACATTATGTTAAGTGAAGTAAGCCAGGCACAGAAAGACAAATAATGCGTGATCTAAAAAGTTGAGCACAGAGAAGTAGAGAGTTAAATGGTGGTTGCTTATGACTGAGCGGTGAGAGTAAGGCATTGAGGATATGTTGGTCAAAGGACACAAAATTTCAGTTTAATAGTAGAAATAATTTCCAAAGATCTATTGAACACTACAGCAACTATAGTTAATAACAATGTTTTGTATTCTTTAAAATTGCTAAGAGAGTAGATTTTTGGTGTTCTCACCACACAAAAAGAAAGTATGTAAAGAAAAGTGTGTTAATTACCTCAATTTAGCTATTTAAAAATGCATATGTTTAAAACTTACATGTAGAACACAATAAATATAGACAATGTTTATTTGTTAATTAATAGATAAAAATAATGTTTAAAAATTTAATTCCCAGGTGTTGTCCTGTTTACTTTTATTCAGGCGGCTCTCATACCTAATAAGATTTTAAATATAACATCTGCAGCAAATGCCACCTGGCCAGGAATGAATTGGAATATTTTCCTCCATTATTCACCCCCTCCCTGTACTAGAATTATGCCTTGCTGTCCACAATCATGTGACTTGCACACATATAATTTAGGTGGAGTATACATACCAGCTTCATTGACTTTGGACTTGGCTATAAGACATGCTTTGCTCAATGGGATATAAGATCATATAATGCTTTCCATGACCAAGTGGAAGCTTAAGGATGCTTATTTCGTTAGGTTAGGCTCTTTCCCATTCTTGACCACTGGCATGAGAATAACAGTCACAGATTGGAGCTACTTAGCCTGGCTTCAAAATGAAAATACAGCTTTTGAAAAAAGAGAAAGAAACATTGGTTGTTGTCAACCACTGATTACTGATGTTATTGCTTACCACAGCAATTATGCCTGAAGTAACTACTGTAAGCTGGTGTTTTGCTTATGATTTATAATTATGGATGCAATGATAATCAGGCAAAATTATGATTCTGAAGCGCAAGGCATAGTGCAATGCAAATTCGCATACTTTTTCCAGCCTAAGGCTGTTGTAGAGACTTGGTGGCATGTGAGGTTAAAAAAAAAAAGATAAATTATGAGAAAACTCAGAGAGTATCTTTGTTTCATCTTTTCAGTTTGTCCATCACTTGTGTCAGTTGTTCAGAGTTCCTCCATAAGAAGATCAGATGAGCAGAACAGAGAGAACAAACAGTAATAATCCTGCTCTGGTCCCCTTTCTTCCTGGAGACTGGAAAAGCAGTAACTTTTTCCTTTTAGAAAATATGTGGGATATGATCATAAACATAATCTGATCAATTACCAAAATAAGAGAATTTGACTGCATTTTGAAAATTGGAACCAATTACATGTCTTAATTTGGTGATTACCCTTTATTGAAATAAAATGCACCCTCCCTGTTATATTTGATTGCCAAGTTTTTTTTCATGTTTTCTATATTTTATTATATGAACATATTTTCTACCACAATATTTAAAGAAAATATAAAGTTACAGGTAACATTGGTAGTATATGATATTTATATAGAACTTTATAATTTCCAATCTACTTTTTACACACATGATGTGTTTCACACAATATACTTGAAAAGCTATGCATGCCAATTTTTATATGTCCAGTTTTAAATGTGAGGAAAGTAATTGAGGGATTCGCCTGGCCAGGATTATGTAACTAGAAAGTTTCTGAGTTATACCTGGATTTCATGTCTTTTTTTCCTGCAGTGTTCTCCATATTATGCTCTTTATTCTGAGACTTCGTTGATGTCGTACACATACCTTATTTCCTTCTCAACCATCCTGCAATACACAAACACAGAATATGATTTGGTTGTACTTTGTTCTGCATTTCCCTTTATCTTTGTGATCATCACAATACATTATGTTGGATTGTGTTTTTTTTTTCTTATTTCTCAAGTAGACTCTAAAATTCTTGAGTATAAGAATCATACTTTATTTACTTATGTAATTTTTGGATCATTTGCCCCATCCCAAAATCCCACACAGACTATGTTTTAAGACAGTCACTATAAAAGGGACATATTTTAATAATCTGAAAGCAACTTTTTCCATGAAAGGTAAGGAAGTCATTAAGATTAATAACAATACATTATAGCTATTAAATTAAAAAATTAATAACTTATTTTAGTAAAATAGATGCTTCTCAAGGGAAATATAACTAGCCTTCGATATACTGTAGCCCTAATTTCCCACACACAGACTACTCTAGGTATATTAACTTGTCTATCATTCTCAACATGAATTATGTGCTCTTACTATCCCTTTCTATAGAGAATCCCAAATATACTGATTGGTTACACAGCTTGTCAATGGAGAAGTAAGGATACAAATGTAGGCTCTTAACAGTGATTCCTAGCCTTGGTTACAGGTTAAAATCACCTGGGGGGAGATTTTAAATATAACAATCCCATAGATTTTTTTTTTAATTAGTCTGGCATGAAGCTGAACATCAGCTTTGAAAAACAAAAACAAACAAACAAAATCAAAACAAAAAACAAAATGCTTCTGGAATCTACCATATAGCTAGGGTTTATAATCTGAGCTTTTAAAAATTATGGTGTACCAGTACCTAATAAGTCTTAAATTTACAGATTATTACAGGAGATTCATTGGACTGTGGCACATGCTGATTTTCATTTAGGAGTTGTCTGAACCAGTGTATTAAGTAAAGGGCAAGGTATTGCCTTAAAGGATAGTTAGCCAGCTGCAGAAGGAAATCTAGCCCTTGTTAAATTTGACTGCCACACAAAAGCTCATAATAAAGATATTCTACCTAGCATCGAATCTTCCAGTATTAGCTGCTTCTTTAGGTAATTAGTATTTTACTCAGTTAGGTCCCTGGCTTGTTCTCCAGCTGAGGCTACCACAGGCTTTCAAATGTAACAAGAACTATGGGTTGGGAGGTCATGAGGCAATTGCTGGAGCTAAGTACAATCCTATGTGTGATGACAAGGAAGTGCATCAGATGCTGTGTGGTCATGCTCAGTCTATGCCTGGATTAGAAAATACTTTATTGAAATGGAGCTACAGCAAGTTCCAAATGAGGGCAGTTCTGACAATTAGGGAAGGTGGTGTCATGTCCCAGTTAATCATAGCCACACAAATAGAACAATGATAAAAGCTGAGAGGAAAAATCTTTAGCCTTGATAGTGAAATACTTTACCCTACAATATTTCAGCTTACTTTGTATTTGTTTCATGTAAGTGAACCTTCTGAACTGGCAAAATTAAGAAAACTTCTAGTTTTCTTTTGTACAGAATTTAATACTTTGAACAGGTAACTATATAGTATTTGAGTCAACCCATCTTAGTTCCCAAATAAACTAACTTTTACAAATAAACAATCAGACCAGGAATAACAGGGATTTGTTAAGTTCAGTAAAGAAAGGGCAGGAAAGTATTCAGAGCAAATGGCCCCATTTGAAAGAGACATATAATAAGAAAGAGGAAAGTTAAAAATATAAAAAAATAATCCATCATAAATGCAATAAGAGTTAGATAAACCAATCTGTAAACCATATTAAATAAGAAAGATTATTACTGAATAAAAAATGTGATGAAGAGAATAAGTAACACATTGGTTGCTGCAAAATACAATAATAAACACTGCATTAGAAGAGCAGATCAAGATATTTTTATAGGTTTAAATGAAAATGAAGATGAAGGAAGAGATAAGAAACTGAAAGAGCCAGGTGATGCAGTATATGTATAAAATGAATTGCACAATTAGAGAAGAGAGCAGATAAAAACAGAAGCAATAAAGAATAATAATTGATGACCACAAGATTTATGCAGAATGATAAAAGAAAGATGCTAAGACATTCCAATGATTTACATTTTTGTCATTCGTACACATGTTTTATGTCTGTGCAGTATTGGGAGCTAACGTAAGTTCTATTGGATATTGTCTTGCTATTTTCTATTCTATTAGGTTCTTCTTAAATACATGGAACTTAATTTTACCTGAGAGGAGTGGGGGGACAAAAGATTCAATGAATAGTAGCCACTATGAATTAAAAGAGACTAAGTACATTTAGAGAAAAGTTAAGTGAGATTTTTACTTTAAGGCAAAAATAAAAATTCTAAATTTTACAGGCAGAAACAAAGGAACAAACAAACAAAACTGTTTAAGACAGAGGGAAAATGACATCAGGCTCTCCATACATAACTCTGAAAACTGGACAATATGGGAACAATATCTAAAAAGCATTAAGAGGAACAGAGTTCATTAAAAAATCAATATGCCAAGTACATCTTGTAAAAGTGATGATGATTGTAGAATATTTTGGAATATTTCCAAATCTTCTCCATAAGAAAGACAGATTATCCCTAATAATAAAACCTAAAACTTATAGACCGCATCTTAAAACAGACCATTCAAGTGACAATTTATCCCCCAAACTAGAAACTGTAAGTGAATTGGAAGAAAGCACTGACAGCTTGTGCTCATGTGATCTCAGGGAATCAATGGGGCATTTGAGGAATGCAAGAAGATGAGAATCCCCCAGAGAGCAAACAGAAGTTCATGGGAAGAACAGTGAGACAATTCAGAAGAGCATGTAAACCTAGGTAGCAGTTTTTACATACTTTAATGCATGGGTCAATGCAACTGGTCCAGAATAAAATCTGAAGGATCTGGAGGAGTCTGGGCCCTTTGGGGTTTCAAAACTAAGTAGAAAGATATCCTATTCATTGGGAAGAAGTTGTTGGGAGCAGTATAAATTAGCAAGATGCAGACATATTAGAAAACAAATATAGGAAACTCATAAAACAAAGAATATACAGATAAGAGAAAGAGAATAATACCAGATTACAGAATTTCAAGGTAATATTTCTAAACTAATCACAGAACCAGAAAGAGTTAGTGCTAGACTAGAAAAGCAAGAAAATCTATTTTAACTTTCTAAAATTTCAGAAAGTGAATTTCATGTATAAATAAGATACTTAAAAGGATTAAGACTGATTTTCACACGAAGTTACATCTATGCTTAGCTTCTCAGGTTACTTTCTGTTAGAGAAAAAAATGGGTTTGGGGTTTGCTTCTTATTAAAAGAAAAATTCCACCGAGAACTTTCACCCTTTCTAGCTGCCTAAAATAATTTCTTAATAATTCCTGTATTATTTCCCCCCTCAGGAGACATAAACCTAACTGCTGTTAGGCGGGTGTTGGATGATGATTCTTTCTGGCTACTTCCTGTTGAAAAGAGGCATCGTGTGGTGGGGACAACAGTTGGGCCTCCTCTTGAAGTTGATAAAGCATTCTGGGAAGAATTGCGTGTACATGCATGGTTTGCAGTGCCATTTGTAGTTTGATTGCGTCTACGTGAAAAGAGATAAATTTTACAAGGAGGTTTGAAAGATAGGGTTAGAATATGAGCATTAAGATTACCACTGGTAGGCCGGGCGCGGTGGCTCATGCCTGTAATGCCAGCACTTTGCGAGGCAGAGACGGGCGGATCACGAGGTCAAGAGATCGAGACCATCCTGGCTAACACGGTGAAACCCTGTCTCTACTAAAAATACAAAAAATTAGCTGGGCGTGGTGGCGGGCGCCTGTGGTCCCAGCTACTCGGGTGGCTGAGGCAGGAGAATGGCGTGAACCCGGGAGGCGGAGGTTGCAGTGAGCAGAGATCGCGCCACTGCACTGCAGCCTGGGCTACAGAGCGAGACTCTCTCTCAAAAAAAAAAAAAAAAAAAAAAAAAAAAAAAAAAAAGATTACCACTGTTAGTGGGGGTCCTATAGACCATAACTATGACAGTAGAGTTTGATACCTGTTAGTTATCCCAGCGGATTGTAATACCAGTTTGCCTCCCCTAGATATCGCTGTACATTGCCAGAAAGGTTAATATAAACAACATTTTCCTTGAGAAAAACATACATTTCCCCCTTAATTTTAGGTTTAGGCGATTTTTATAACTTGCAATATGATTGGGAGAAATATGTCATTGGGTGGCTAATAGAACTTTAGTGTTAATCTTGCCAATTCCTTTCCTTTAATTATTAAATTATTTCATTATTTTTCACTGACCTTCGTACAACATACGCAAATTTTCTAACTTGTTCTAAATATCCTTCCTTTAAACAACCAGTCATTTCCTTCTAGGACAAAAATTTGCCATACAAGATCCTTCCTTATATAAAATCACTTTCTTTATAACCTTCTTTCCATAGCTTAGAGTGAGCCATATTACCAATCTTTAATAAAAAGTCCTATCAAACTTAATGATAGTAAAACTTTCATGCTTACTTCTTATCTGTAACTATTACCAATGCTATAAGCAAAACAACCTTGACTAAATTTTTCCTGTAGTTATTAATTCTGTTATAAGGATGATGATTAGGCAAAATATTACAGCAATTAGAATTTTATAGCCAGAAATCCACATTGTAGGTGTCACAGTGTATAGTTCTATTGTAAATAGTAGTATGACTATAACAATTCCCACAAGAGATGTAGTAAATAATTTCCGTTAAAAACTTTACTTGCCAAGATATAACATTTCCCTTTGGGGGATCTACAAAAGTACAAATGCAATTCTATGAATAATTAAAATCTCCCTGCAAATATGCATTAAAAAGAAGTTATAATATTTGGCAGTGAATTCCTGAGGAAAACGTAGAAATGATAAAAAGTATCTGGTGAGGTAGGAGTGGGACTAAGATGAGTAGCCCTCACTCAGTTACTTATCTTTTATGATTTTCAGCTTAAAATCTATTTCTTCGTGTTGATATTCAGGACATTCCTCTGGGCTGCCAGGGGTTGCTCCCTCAGCTGTTTGGGCTTTGACTTGAGTGTGATGTATTCAGGAGTTGATACCTGTAACTTTTACTGCTGAGGGTGTTGAAAGAAGAACAGTGTGGGGCCCTTCCCACCGGTGTAAGGAAGGAAAGAGAGAGATGAGCTTACACTAAAACCAAATGTCCTGAGTTAAATAGAGGTGATCCTATTTCCTGGGGTTGGATTTCTGCTAGTTGCGTCAATTCCTGTTGGAAGAGAGCTAGTGAGGTTACATGCTTAACCGACTAGGGGTTTTCTGCCTGAAAACAATCTCTGAACATTTTGCTAAGTTTTATCCTTTCCAAAGTGAAAAGGTTGGTGAAGGATTTTAAGGACTTTCCGTTGCCTAGGGGCTGACAAATGGAGTTTGCCATCCTGACTGAAGCCATCGTGAGGCTGGAAAGAACGCCCTCAAGAAGTGGCCTATTCTATTTCTGCAGGGGAATACTGAGATTAAATTTCTCTTATGGAGCTTTCCTAGATTAGAAGGGGCTTGAAGTGTGTTAATGCCTTGAGGCTTCCTTGCCTTTGACTTAGCTGCCTGATTAGCTAACCTATTTCCTTTGGTTACTTTGTTTCCTTTTGATGTTCCTTACAATGAATCCCTGGTATTTCTCATGGAAGAAAAACTGAAGATAATAACCTGTTAATTCCCTGATGATATTTTATAGGCGATTCATTAGTGATAAGAAAATGTCTTTCCTTCTAAATGGCAGCATGAGCATGGAAAGCTAAGAAAGCATACTTCCAGTTAGTATAAGTGTTAGCTACCTTTCCCTTGCTTAATTTCGGTGCTCTTGTAAGAGCTATTAGTTCAGCTAATTGAGCACTTGTGTGTGGGGAGAGATGTTATTTAGAGTAACTACTGTTTATCCTACCTTATGTATTTCTTGCTTTACTGGCTGTTTGTTAGCTAAGAGCTCCCCCTAGAAGGCAGTAATCTTGCCATATTATGTGGGGTGTAAAGAGTTAAAGTTAATTTGGAGGCTTTTCTGACCAGTGAATCTATTGTGGAAGTGGTTTGGAAACAATAGGTCCTCCTAACTGCAACTAAGAGGTTTAGAAAAATATTGGATTAGAGTTTTTCCTGAGATACCCCTTACAAGGTTGTGCTGTGGGAAAAGGGGAGCCCTGGATTAGACAAGAGAAAAGAGGGAGACTGGCTCTAGTGTTTAGAAGGTAGTTTACTTTCCTTCCTTTAATTTCCATAATCACCCAGGGCTCTTGCGCTATAATGGCAGTTTGCTACTCTGGAGCCAGTGTTTGAGCCCCAGGACCCATCAGACCCTCTGTGAGACTGGTTCTAAACACAGTGAACTTTGTCTCTGGGGGCAGTTTGATTTCCGGTGGCCTCCACCATAGGCTGGACAGGGTTGAGGTGGCTTCCTCTTGCTGTTTGGGCATTCCTTCTTAAAATGCCCTGGCTTGTCACACGGATAGCAACTAGCGGATGCACCTAGTGGATCCTGGAATTTGCAAGCCTGCAAAGCAGCTGCTATAGCCTTTGTTCTTCTCCTGAGCATTCCCTCTTTTGGGCCTCCTCCTGGTCCCTATTATAAAAGATTGAAGTGGCCACCCTCAGGAGGCTCTCTAAGGTACTATCTGGTCCTATAGCTTGCTTCTATAGTTTCCTTCTAATATCAGAAGCTGCCTGTGTAATAAACTTGTCTTTTAGAATAAGCAGCCCCTCAACTGAGTCAGGGGTTAAGGAGGTGTACTCTATCAGTGCCTCCCTCAGCCTTTCCACAAAGGCTACAGGATTCTTCTCTGGCTTTTGGTTTATCATAGACAAACCAAATTTACAATTAGACCAACTCAATTTAGAATTGAGAGGTCTGGCCTTAGTTCTTTGTAGCCCCTCTAAAACGCATATTAAAACGTGCTTTCTTTTCCATTCATCTGCAGAGCTACTGGGGTCCCAATTAGGGTTGTCAAGAGCAACTGCTTCTCTTTCAATTGGGAATGGTGTTTCTGCAATTCCCCGTCACATTTCCTTGCTTTTGGTGTATTATAGAACATATGTTGCTCATCTCCAGAGTTGTCTGCTGCCTGCAGATCTTTCTGTTTTTCAGTTGCTCTTAGGATTTAGTTCAGGAGCAGCATAACATACTTCCACATGAGGTGAAACACCTGAGTTAAATTCTGGAAAGCTTCTATATATCTATCAGGGTTGTCAGAAAATTGGCCTAAGTTTCCTTTTATTTGCCTAAGGTCCTGAAACGAGAAAGGAGCTTGAAGAGGCCCCAAATAAGGAGCTGCAGATGGTTCCCATGGAGGTTGCTTTTGTAATTTGGAGGAATTATTATCTTTGGGCCTTCCTGATATGATTGATAAAAGAGCTGGTCTTACAATGCTTGCAAAGGTTTAGTAAAAATTCCATACCCTTGTGTAAAAGAAAATGAGTCACTTTTATCTTCAAACTCCTGAGGTTAAAGAAGTTCCAGTGTTTCAGAGTGCACTCCAGAGGGGTGCAAGCTGAAGACAATCTGTTATTCATCTAGAAAAAGAAGTGAGAATAAAAGCATCCTTTTAGTTGCCTTCCTTTCAGTATGTGACCCAGGGTGGAGAAGAAGACAGTAGGAGTGTCCCCGGATTGTTTTCCCTCCTTGGTTCCTGGGTTGCAGCATCCTGTTAAATGTGCCGCCCATGGTTGTAGGTGTGACCCTCCAAGCCATGGCACCAGAGAAACTGAGCTTTTGGGGCTCGTCACGCTCACCCAGCCAGCTGTAGTTCTCTGCCTGTGATTTCCCTTTGATTTCCTAGACTTGTGTGACCTGCTTGGCTCCCCGAAAAAATGGGTCTCCAGAAAGACTATAATGGTTGCCTTTGGGCAAGGCTTCTTTAATGGAGGCAATGTGCTAGATTGCCTGCTATTATGGCCCGTGCTGAAACATTTACCCTTAGAAAAATGGTTCCGGTTAACTTCCAAACTTGAAATCTCTGTACTAACTAATTTAAAAGACAATAGCGTAAAACAGTAATCATAATCCAGGAATTCCACTAATTAGTATATATTTGAAACAATGAAATTAGTGTACCAAAGACATATTATCTGCATCCCCATGTTCATTGTAGCATTTTCATGATAGCCAAAACATGGAATCAACCTAAATGTCTATCCATCAGTGAAAGGATTTAAAAAACGGAGTTTATATTCAGTTGGTGCAAAAGCAATTTTGGTTTTTGCCATGACCAGAGAACTTTTGCACCAACCTAATTTATGCAATAAAATAATATTCAGCCTTAAAACAGAAGGAAATAATATCATTTGTGACAACATGGTTAAACCTGAAAGACACAATGTTAAGTGAAATAAGCCAGGAACAGAAAGACAAATACTGTGTTATCTCACTTATACGTGGAATCTAAAAATGTTGAATTCACAGAAGTAGAGGGTAGAATGGTGGTTAACAGAGAGAGGTTTAGGGGGATATTGGTCAAAGAATACAAAATTTCAGTTAGATAGGAGTAATAACTTCAAGAGCTCTATTGTACTATATGGTGACTGTGGTTAATAATATGTTGTATTCTTGAAAAATGCTGAGTGTGGATGTAGAGTTCTCACCACAAAAATGATAACTATGTGATGTAATGCATATGTTAATTACCTAGGGTGAGTCATTTTGCAAAGTATATTTTCCTCAAAACATCATGTTTTACATTGTAAATACATATCATTTTATCTGTCAATTTAAAGAATTAAAGATAAAAATAAATAAAAAATGAAACAGTTGTGGTGAGTTAATATATAAAGATGCAATTGGTTTGACAATAACATAAAGCAGACGAAGTCATAGAAAAGAGTGTGCATACTATGGAAAATAAATTTATACTTAACTGAACTAGATTATTATAAAATAATGTTAATTCTAACTCCCAGAATAACTACTAAGAACATAATTCAAAAATTATAGTAAAGAACAAGGAATAAAAATGGTATACTAGAAAATATATACTTAACAGAGAACAGAGAGAAACAAAAAATATGTAACACTTACGAAAAAACAAAGAACAAAATGGGGCTAACTGGACTGAATGAACATTGACTCATGCAATTGAGTTGTAAATTATTTCCTAAGCATGCATCTGATGCTTACTAAGATTCACAGAAATGCAGAAAGTTTCATGGCTTTTCTGAAAAAAGAATGTAGCTTCTTTCCATAAAACTAATTAGCCAAAGCAGACTTTTCCCAATTTGTTTTCTTACCTTCCAAAAATATTTCCTCATTGTTGACATTGGAGGTTCTTAATTTAACAGTAGTTTTTCTGTACTTTTTTACTTAAAAGGATGCTGATACCTTTTTGTATTCATCCAGCATGGTTTCTATCTGTCTTGCCCTGTTTCTAGGTGGAGTATGAAGAAGTATCATTATTTCAAGAAGTGAGTGGTACTTGAGTTTCATACCTAGTTTGGTCAAACTTGTAAGTTCAACAATCTGTTAAAGAGCAGAACTTTAGAATTTTTAAACTTTTATTTTGCATACTTTTTATGATGTGCAACTTAAAAAGAATTCCAAACACAACATCATTAAGTGTGTATCTTAATTTTATAACCAGATTGAAATCCTGGGAGTGTCCAAATGACTACTCAATTTCCTCTAATAATATTTTAGATAATAGCAAATTGCTTTTTGAATAATGCCCAGGTCCTTTAGTTTCATCAGTGAGGAAAAACTGCAGATTTGAAAGATGGAAAAGGTATTTTAAAAAGCAAACCTATGTTTTTCTTATAGTTTGGTTTGCAATTACCTAACAATAAAGTTTCTGGGAATATTCTCAAGAAATGCTTTAGAGCCAAACTGATATTTACTAAAGCCAAACATGGATGATGATATAGCCAGTCAAAAACCAAACATACAAATAACATATAAATTAGCAAAACCTAGGTTTTCTTCCCCTATTTCCTCCACAACCAGACTGATCTCCAGCTACTCTAAGAATCCAGGCAATTGTTAAAAAAAATAATAAAGAAACAAAAATAAAAATGAAAAACAAAGCTAATGGAAAGAGAGTTTGAACAATGATCAATGATGAATATCTTGACAGGAAACTTTCATCCCAAAAATAAGGTTTCTCAACTTGAATTTTGAGAAAATCACAAAGTAATACAGAAAACACCGTTATCAGAAAGAAGCCTGTTGAGAATCTGAAATCTGATATTTACTAATAATTAAACATAGCAGCATTTTGTGTGTTTTTTTAAGGCTTTCACCTATGTGTTGATTGTGGTTTCAAGATAAAGGAGTTCAGTGGCTACTAGGAATGGAGATGCAATAGACCTCCTTTGATGAGTCATGATCTATTTTAGCATGTTAAGCCTGTTAAAAGCTCTGACAAACCTAGTAGTAAAAAAACACTTTGTTATACTGGGCACTTCCCAAACTCTTATAAGCAAACATAAGTTCTATTTTTTAGACCAGTGCCATTGAAAACAGTTTTAAAAGTGTTTAGACAGAGTCAGTTATTAAGAAAATTAAATGAGGAATATTTATTTTTATTTTATAGGCATATCAAACATTGGTGGTAGTGTAGCAAAAAATAAATTGCTGATGAGTACTGCAATTATGCATAATCCTTATGGAAGACCATTTGGCAATATGTGTCAGAAGTTTTTAAACTTCTAAGCATTGGACACGATTATACCACAAGATGAACTGCATGATTAATTTACATAAAAGATACATGTTACAGGATTATTTGTAATATGTCCCCACAAAGGGGAATGAGCAAATACATTTTAGGATGCTATATATTGCAATAGTAATATGATGAAAAAGAATATTTAATGGAATGGGAAATATGCTATATAATTTAGTGAAAAAAGTGCAGGCCATAATACGTATACTATATGTATACCTTTGTATAAAAACCTATACACAATTGTATGTAGAAAAATAATAGAAATATATAAGCTAAAATGTTATCTCTGGTGAGGGTATGTGTATTTTTGTTTTCCTGCTTTGCTTATCTATATTTTTCACATATGTATGTATATATTTTATTATGAATAAATTATGAATATTATGTTTCTTATAGCAATATAAAACTACAAGAAATATATGTATGTATATATATTTGTATACTCCTTGTATTTTTATATTGCTATAATATATATAATATTCATAATAAAATAATATTTATAAAATAGCCCATAACACTTTACCTCATTTTTACTCCCAACAAAAAAATACTTGAAAGCTGAGACTTTGTAATGGATGCTTTGATCTTTTGTATGTCTGTCTTTCAAAAGATTGGAAATATTGAGTCACATTATAAAACCATGTTGCAACCTATTAAGTATACATCTTCGAGTTTGTAATTTGAGGTTGTATCATTTCATTCCTTCTAATTTACTAAAATATATATTTTATTTGAAGTGTTTTGTACAGGTTTTTTTAAATGTTACATATGTTTTAAATATATTTTAATAGGCAAAATACAAGAGAAGAAGTCTAAAGAATTAGAAGCTTATGGCCTCAGAGAGCATAATATGTGTCCCTTACAACATAAGACAGAGAAGATAATGTATGTTTCTCCCTAGAAAATCCAAAGGACTGGAAATGAGCTAAGGAGTTATTTTGATGGTTGGGGAAAGAGAGGCGGTAGCAGGGGCTAGCCTTCCAAAATTAATAGGAGCAAAGAATGTATCAGTGCTTCCTGTGAACACACATCAGCCTTGCATGCAAGGTTATATGGGGTCCTATCCAAAATGGTCACCTAGAGCAACAAGGCAAAATCAGCAAAGATAACCCAAAGTTAGTGCTGTATTTCTACAAAGCTAGGAAAGGGTACATCCAGCAAAAAGTGAGGTGTCTTCACCTGTAACAACACTGTAAGGCAGACATCCCCAGAGATGGCAAGAGGGTCTCCAAAGAAACCATAAAATAAATGTCAAAGGAAATGGTGAGTTTTGAACATATTGAAGAAGATTGGTATTCTGAATAACCACAACACTGTGAATCAAGTCAGAACTTTCTTCTCTCCTTACAAATCCTTCCTCCCCATGCTGCAACCCTGGAGAAGTTAGAAATGTTATTGACAAGGAGTAACACCTGGTAGAAAACAGCAGCTTTACAGGGCCAGTGAGACAAAAATAAAGTTGTTTTACGATTACGTTCCATAGATTTTGCTTGCTCAGGATAATTGTTATTTAGTGGGAAAGGAATAGGGTGGTCACATTAAAAAAATGAATCCCAGTTAAATTTCAATTTTATCTAAAGTCACTAATTTTTGTATATTGAAGCAAATGATGCTTGGGTATTAATACGTTAAAATATTCCCTGGTTGCCTGAAATTCAAATTTAACTGAGATTTCAATACTTTTATTTGCTAAATCTGGCAATCCTACCTTCTTTGTATTATTTAATGCGTATTGGACTAAAGTCTACCTTGCTTGATATCAGAAACTTTACCTTACTTTCTTTTTATTGCATTTTCCTGGTATGCTTTTGTATCCTTTTATTTTTAGCCATTCTGAATCACTTTAATTTTAGTTGTGCCTCATATACACAGCAAAGAATTGGTTTTTGATTTGTATACTCCAATCTGACAATCTTCTCTTAGTAAGCAAGGTAAATCCATTTGGATTTACTAAGATGGTTAATATGTTTGGTCTCAATTCTACCATTCCGTGTTGTTATTTATTACTTGCTAATATAAAGTTATTTCATACTGTTAGCCTGTTTTCTTTGCCTTTTAAATTTTTTTGTACTACCTTGGTAAATAGAGAAGACTATATTTGTATTCTAAATGACTTTTGTATGAATTATTCTCTGACTGTCTCCCTGTGGGGTTGATAAGGGCTTTCTGCTGCTCCTAACTATTAGTTAATATCAGGTGGGCCACTCCACGTGGCTGTCCCTTTCACAAGGTTTTGGGAACTAATGCTTCATTTCAAGCTTGGGGTGGGAACAGCATTCTGGTATCAGTAGTTCTAGAGTGATCAACTCTCCTTTGTAGCATCCTTATAAACAGCCCATATCTATGTATATAGTCCCTCTTTAAATGTTCCTAAACATGCCAAATTTGAGAGGACCATGCATTTTCGGCCATTGCTGACTAATACACAAAGTATTTAATTAACAAACAAGCTAACAAAACAGAAGTCATCGCAGTGGATGGCTACAATGAGAAGAAAACTCATTGAATATAGAAGATAATTTGGAAATATTTCCCAAAACTCATAAGCAGGGGATAGAGATAAAAATAGGAAAAAAATGAAATAGTAGGAACATTATAGACATTTGATGTATTTAAACTCTGTATTTCCAAAGGAAAGAACACCAATGTAAAGAATTGATCATGAAAGGAATAATAGCAGGGCTGACTTGAAGAAAAAAAGAACCTGAAAGTTGAAATGGATCACCCACATTCAGGAAAACTACTGAGGAGGAGATCTCTCCTTAACTTACACTTGGAAATACTCAGCGGGCATGAGAGATATTACTGTGACTGATCATGGAACTGTTTCCCAAAGAACTAAAAGTCAATTTTATATTCTTCTACACAGTCCCAGAGGCAGCCATTAGCAATCTATCCAATTTGGAAGATTAGATGAAATCTCCTTGCCATTCAGAATTTAATATAAAACTTAAGAATAAAAGGGAAGGAAATACTATTTCTCCAAACACATAGGCTGAAAAATGTAGCTGTCTAAAATTTTAGACTCTATGGGCCAAAAAGATCCATGTGGGTGATGACCCAGCCATCATTGCTGCTGTTCTGTTTGCAAACTTCTAGCACTCTAGGAATGCCCAGAATTGTCCACTGTGTAAATAAAAGGAAGAGAAATGGGACTGGCCTGGGAAATCTAAAGGATTAATATCAGAAGAAAACTGAGTAACATTCACAGAGGAAAAATAAATGTGACCCAAGAACTCTGTAGATAAAATAGCTCAGGTTTTATCGAAATGCACTTCAGCCTTATCTAATACCTTCTCTAAAGAAAAAAAATCATAAAAGTATTTTATGTAATTTATGCCAACAAAAATGTTTCAGAGTAAAAATATATGTGTCAGAGTATTATGTTATGATATTATTATTAACCTAAAATTAATAAGCAAAAAATGTAATTCATTCTAAGAAAATATTCAGTGGTGAAAATGATGTTCAAGAAGACAATATTTAATAGAGAAAGAAAACAGTGACCAAAAATCTTTTTTTAATTTTCTTTTTTTTGTTTTTGAGATGGAGTCTCATTCTGTCACCCAGGCTAGAGTGCAGTGGCGTGATCTCAGCTCATTGCAACCTCTGCTTCCCAGGTTCAAGTGATTCTCCTCCCTCAGCCTCCCAAGTAGCTGGGACTACAGGTGTGGGCCACCACACCCAGCTAATTTTTTATTTTCAGTAGAGATGGGGTTTCACCATGTTGGCCATGCTGGTCTCAAACTCCTGACCTGCCTCGGCCTCCCAAAGTGCTGGGATTATAGACGTGAGCCACAGCACCTGGCCTTTTTTTTTTTTTTTTTTTTTTGAGATGGAGTCTTGCTTCGTCACCTAGGCTGGAGTGCAGTGGCGTGATCTCAGCTCACTGCAACCTCTGCCTCCCGGGTTCAAGCAATTCTCCTTCCTCAGCCTCCCAAGTAGCTGGAACTACAGGTGTGCACCACCACAACCAGCTAACTTTTGTGTTTTTAGTAGAGAAGGGGTTTCACCATATTGGCCAGTCTGGTTTTGAACTTCTGACCTAAGGTGATCCACTCGCCTTGTCCTCTCAAAGTGCTGGGATTACAGGGGTGAGCCACCATGCTCAGCCAGAAATCTTATTAATAATCTATGTCATACTCATATCATAGATTAACATGGAGTCATTAATATTATATTTTCAAAGACTTTTCTTTGGTCTAGGAAAAGTCTGGTAGTATAATGTGGTTTTGTTTTGTTTTGTTTTTGTGTTTGAAGTAGAGTCTTGCTTTGCCACCCAGGCTGGAGTGCAGTGGCGTGATCTTTGCACACTGCAACATTTGCCTCCCTGGTTCAAGCCATTCTCTTCCCGTGCCTCCTTCTCCTGAGTAGCTGGGATTACAGTCGTGCACCACCACACCCAGCTAATTTTTGTATTTTTAGTAGAGACGGGGTTTCACCATGTTGGCCAGGCTGGTCTCAAACTCCTGACCTCAAGTATCTGCCCACCTCGGCCTCCCAAAGTGCTGGGATTACAGGCATGAGCCATTGTGCCTGGTCTGTTGTAGTATATCATTAAGTAAAATAAGAGGATACCAAAAACCTAGGTGAGTTTTGGTTTTAGATCTTCTAACAGTCTACAAATTATTAACAATATCATACCACATTACATCATTTCCAAGGTGTTCAGGTTTTCCCATTTTAGCATCCTGCAAAAGACATCCACTTTGCAGTTGATGGGGTCTTAGAATCCTTTAAACATGGTAATTTATTTATGACAAATTGAAAATAATGGAATTTTCTTACTTGCAAAGATAGATCATATCTATGATATTTTTAACCATTCACACACCTAATGAAATATCATTAAATTTATAGTACTTAATGTGTAATGTGATTGTTGGATTACTGAAATAATTTGTGAATGAACATACCACCAATATTTTCTTTGATTTTTTTTTTTTGTTTTGAGACAGTTTTGCTGAGTCAACCAGGCTGGAATGTAGTGGCACAATCACAGCTCACTGCATCCTCGACCTCCTGGGCTCAAGCCATCCTCCCACTTCAGCCTCACAATTAGCTGGGACCGCAGGTGCCTGCCACCAAGCCAACTTAATTTTCTTTATTTTGGAGAAATGAGGTCCCACTATGAAAATACTGGCCCCCAATATTTTCATTCCTCAAGAAATAAGAAATCCTTCAATATTCTAATATATTTTTGTCAGCAAATAAGAGAATTACTTAAATTTTTACTAAATTTTGAAAAAAAAGAAAAAGAAAGTGAAAACAGAGTAGAATTATTTCCTAAAGAGAATGTTTTAAGCAGTGCCTTCAAAGTATATGTATACACCGTGGTAGCTTGTATTCATACATTAAATCTAAATTTTAATGATTTCGTTTTAGTTGAAGATATGGACACAACTTCAGAATACCATCAACATTATGAATTTTCATGCATCTTTTTAAACACTGAGTTTTCTTGCACTATGCTAAGTTTACAGATATTGATTAGCAGAACTATGGAAGATTAAAAAGAATTTTTAAAACCTAAATCGTGTGCTGTTTTGAAGAGATCGCATGTCTTTGAAGTTTAAAAGAATATTAATGCAAAGTAATCCTTTTTATACAAAACCACATCTTTTACTACGATTTGAAATTTAGAAGTAATGTTACTGTCAAATACTGTAGAATATGTTATTTTTTAATTTAATTGGGGAAAAAAGCCTTAAATATTCTCAACTGTGAAGACACATGTATTAATGGTCAATATTCTGTATGAAAACTCTTGGAGGTAATTGGTTTGTCCCAGAGGTACTTATGGTTTTTTAAAAAGTAAATATAGGATCTGGACATCTAACCATCAACATGTCAGGTTTAAGTAGAATTTACATGAAAAATATATTGACATGAGTGTCTCGTTCCAATTTTAGATAGATGGATATTATCTTTACACATCTGCTTAAAATATATAATGGCATGTTATTTTGATATGCAGTGAGTAGTAACTTTTCTACATGCACATTAACTTATTTAAGGTAAGAGTATAGTGTAATATTAAAACTACTTATGGCTCATATGATTGTTTTCATGTTTAAGACATAAATCTCTTCAAATAGAGGATTTAACTCTTAAGGCTCAGACATGTCAATGTGGTTTGTTTATATCTTTGTGAGGAATAAAAATAATAAGAATTCCAGGTTTTGTCAGACATGAGTTATATTGCCTTGGGAAAGTTACGTGGTCATTCTCAGTCTGGGTTTCATTTGCAGACTAGAAGCAATTAGACTTTCTCTTAGATTCCCGTTGAAAATTACATTCAAAACACATATGTAAAGCACCTTATACCATGCTAGGAATATAATACATGTTCAAACACTTTTAGATTTCTTCTTTTTGTGAAAAAAGAGAAATAAAATCTTCTTAAATTATGGCCTTTCCCTTGGAAATAGATTATTGGTATTTTAGCTAGATCTTTAGGAGACTGCTGCAAATTCAAACACAGCACATTCAGTGAACATAAATGGCCTAAAATGCTCAGTTTTACTCTTAACAGGCTTTCCTGCAGTTCTAAAGTTGTACCACAAAGTGGATGTCTTAGTGCTCCACAAATGAACATTTACATTAAAAATGGCCTTTGACAGAATCATATGGATAATATTTGTCTTTAGTTCCAAAACTTATCTCTGTACCTAGCTAATTTACTTAGATTCATTAATCCCCATAGTTGGGTGCCTAAATGACCATCTTTTTTGATGTCCTAGACCTTCTGTAATTGCAGTTTAGAAATATGTCATCTCATCACTGTTTTACAGCAACCCTAACCTATGCTCTCCTTTGATAAATGAGCTTTAACGTGTATCTCTGTTTCTGAGAACTGTTTGGATAGCTTTCCTGGTTCCCCAGGCTCTTCTGTGTATGACACACTGCATGGCTTTCACCAGTCCTGTCTGTAAATCCCCACTTAGTGGATGCTGGAGTCCTGATACTGGTATTATTGACAGAATTCGCCTAACTGTTGACTCTTTGTTAGTTAACAAACTGTCTAGTTT
The DNA here is from genome assembly GCF_000001405.40 of Homo sapiens. Taxonomy (NCBI): domain Eukaryota; kingdom Metazoa; phylum Chordata; class Mammalia; order Primates; family Hominidae; genus Homo; species Homo sapiens. The sequence goes on along the minus strand of NC_000017.11, from coordinate 53,619,097 downwards.
TTCTGTTTTTATTTCGTTTGTTTTGCCACTATCTAGCACTCCAGATTACCTGGGTTTGCAAAATTGGAAGAATGCCTGATCATCCTGGGGCTAGATTATCAACTGTCATTTTACACTAAAGTTTGTTTTGTCATTTTCGTGGAGCTGAGATTCTTTCACTTGGCTGTCAGTTAACTCTAATTTATAAGTTAATACAAAAGCTTTCCTGATATCTTCATACAAAGACTAAAAAAATGAATTCAACAAACCCCAATGAATAAATTATTTTTAAAAACAGAGCCGGCCGTGGTGGCTCACGCCTGTAATCCCAGCACTTTACGCCTGTAATCCCAGCACTTTGGGAGGCCGAGGCAGGCGGATCACGAGGTCAGGAGTACAAGAGACCATCTGGGCTAACACGGTGAAACCCCATCTCTGCTAAAAATACAAAAAATTAGCCGGGCACGGTGGCACACACGCCTGTTGTCCCAGCTACTTAGGAGGCTGAGGCAGAAGAATTGCTTGAACCCGGGACCCAGAAGTTGCAGTGAGCAGAGATCGTGCCACTGCACTCCAGCCTGGGTGACAGAGCGAGACTCCATCCCAAAAAAATAAAATAAATAAAAAATAAAAACAGAAAACATATACATTAAGAGAAGGCATAGGTTCCAAGAAATAATGGAAGGCCCTAAAAATTGATAAACTATCTTAGGAAAATGCATTGATTATTGAGCATCAAAATATGTTTATTTTTACACTTGAAAGAGAAAGTTAAGGCCTTACTGGCTAAGAGATAGAAATGCCGAGTCCTTTAAACATTTCTAAAGAATAAATTACAGTTAGGTATGTGTATTACAGTTTAAAGGATAGCTTCCAAAAGAGAGAGCTAATATACTGCTGCCAACTTACCATAAAAAATAAATAAAACAAATTGTATCAGTTCAAGAGAAGCAAGGGAAGACTAAAAATGAAACCAAGAAAAAGGATGGTGAAAGAAATAAAATGGTAGATATAATGCAAATGTATCAGTCATTAAAACATATGTGTAGTTATTAAGTACCTATCTCACTACAGTAAAATAAAAATCTAGGTAGATCATCTTTAAAAGAGATATATTTAATACAAAACCACTCAGAAAAGTTGGAAGTAAAGAGATAGAATACATTGAATTGGTAATCAAAATATCAGAAAGAGCCAAGGCTAGCTGATTTAAAAGTCAATTTAAATCAAATATATTCATACTTCATGGAATAGGTGATTCTTATTTTATAAAGGCATTTCAAAAAAAACCCCATCTTATTTTTTTGTAAAAAATATTACAACAAATACAATATTAATAGTGAGACTTTAGAAGTTTACCATTAGTGATACCTGATAAAATTGCTGGCTTTCATCACTTCTGTTTTCTAGCATTGTACTGGAGGATTTAGCCAGGATAAAACAATAATAAGAAAGTATAAAATGAGAAAAATAAAACTTGAAAAAAAAAGATATAATCATTTTTCGATGGTATCATTGTCTGCATAAAAAAAAAAATCCGAGAACCTCAGCAGACCACTGGAATTAACAAGAATTCAGCTAAGTTACTAGGTACAAAACCAAAATACTAACATAAATATAGGTATGTAAAAATCCAAATTCTCACAGTATAATAAAAATAAAGATTTAACAATAAAATAAGAAATGATTCTATTGATGTTAGCAATGAAATCTATATGAAAACTAAAAATAAAAGATAGCAAATGAGGTCTAAAGAGAAAAAAGAAAAAAAAAGCATTATTGAAAGACATCAAACTATATCTAAATCAAAACAGAGTTAAACTATGCCTATGTTTAGGAGATATTAACCTATAAAAGAAATGTCAAATAAAAATTAAGTATGAAATTGAAGAAGCTAAGCATAGAGAGCAATAAACAAAAGGAAGAAGAAGAGACAAAGATAAAAGCTGGAGTTGTTCTAATTGAATATGTCCTCCATGTCACAAACACAAATACATTTGTGAGAAATGGGAAAGTTCCTATTCAAAGATTATAAAAAGTCACAATTTCTTACTATAAGATTGTTATCCACTATTAGTATGTGTGTGTGTGTGTGTATATACATATATATATATATACACATTTATGTATTCCAAACCAGCTGTCCTAGCTTGCTCTGGCATGCCTGGACAGAACTAGACAAGCCCCAGCCCATAGTGCATGCCATTCCTTATTTGGAGATGCTTCCTTAACTATCCTTGGGCAACTTCCTTTCCTTTCTTTGTTCTATTCCCCTTACCTAATTAAGAAAGTTTTAAACTAATAGCCAATTGGGTAAAATGTGAAATGTGAGGTCCTATTCCAGCCAACCGGAACCGGACACAGCAGTAGGGTAGATGCAAAAATACATATGCGTTATATAAATAACTGTCTTCTTTGTTCAGCGTGCTCTCGTGGCTGGACAGCTATTGAGTAGCACCCTTTCTGCAGAAAGTAAAGCTCGCCTTGCTGAGAGATCATTTGTTCCAGCGTTAATTCTTTTTTTTGCAACACCAAAAACTTCATTCCCAACACATTTTATAATATAATGGTCAATTTTCTAGAAAAACATTAGCTATAAAAATTGTCTAAGGGAAGATAGAAAACACGGATACAATCATAATTGTGGAAGGAATTGAAAAGTTAGTAAATTATTCATGCCCTTCAAAAGTCTCCAAATAATGCTGATTTCCTCTGAAAGCTCTATAAAGCAGATATTTTCCATCACTGAGATTCTTTCAAATTCTGAAAAAGATGAATCTCTTAACAAAGTATCATCACAAACTAGGATAATCTTGATGCACTCTCCTCATAAGATTAACACAAAAAAGAAATTATAGGCCTGTGTTTTTTAATACTACAATCTACTTTCCCCAGAGCTATATTAAGTTTTATTTTTAAAATTTATGTTCCTAGCCTCCATCCTACTTCTGTAGAATCAGTATCTTTGGGTTGGATGAGAATGAGTAGCTGAGCAGGTGTAAAGCTCAAAGAGATATGCTCTTTTAATAGGCTTTTTAATAGGTTTATTATTTTGTAACAATGTATACATATTGAGTTTTAGCACCACTGCTATAAACAAATTTAAGCAATAAACACAGTAGTATACATTCTACAAAATGTATGAAAACCAAATACAGAATAGGGAAAGCTCTGGAAGAATACATAATAAAAATATAAATAATGATTACCTCTAGACAGTGCTATGAGGAATTTCCAAAGAACTCTGATAAATTGTTTATGTATTGCTTGGGGTAGAATATTAATATAACCCATATTGTTATTATTAGCCAGTCCTAAGTTGAGGCTTGAAAATACATTTTTACCCTGGATTTTTATATAATAATATTGATTGTAACTTAATTTGAAGTGTCTAATGTAGACCGAAACAAAACATTCTTGCATTCGAACAGATTAAGGTTATATAGGGGAGAAAAAATATTGGCATTTTGTGGACTTTAAAATATGTCAGATATAATTTGTTCATTCCCATTTTGTGGAACTAGAATCAATAATGATCTATGTAAATTGACTTAAGTCAATCCTGTAGGAGGGGAATAACGAAAATGACATTTGCCATTTAAATGCCTCTTCTGGTTCCATTTAAAAAATGTCTCATTATGTTTAAGGTTTTACCAGCAAATGAGAAATCTCTATATATTATTGATTGGATTGTATAATTTCATAATGAAATGGAATAATTTACATTCTCAAATGCTGTGAAGTACGTTGAAATTACTATGATGAATATTTCCCTGATCAATAATTATTTCAGATTCTGCTTCATATGTTTCCAGTGCAGATTTTTTGTGCCGATCTACTTGTTTAGCTTGATCATTCAGAGAGGGGCTGAAGCTGTCATAAGAAGAATTGATACTGCTCTCTGGGCTAACTATCTGCAACATGCCATTTACATCACAACTAAGAAGCCCAAGATAGTTAAAACTGCATTCACTTTACTTATTACCCCATTATTATTTCCTAATTGAGCAGCATATTTTAGTGAAATATTTACATGCTTTGCTATTAGATTTGTATATAGTCCCCTCCCACTCCCTCCTTTCCACCCTGGCTACCCCCAGCACATTATAGTAAATATGACATTTTACTACCTCCTGAATGATTAGAATCACTGTAGATAATCTAGTTTGTCAATTGTCATCTTTACAAAAAGAATTGAAGAAACTTGTAATTTAGGGTGGGGTGGAATAATTTGTTTCTTCTAAAATCATTAAGGTATTTAGATTCTTGTAAAGTGTATAAAAATTGTCACTATCATTTTGCCTAGACACACTGCTTTCTGGGATCACAGTTCTTTGAGGGAATGATTATAAAGGCAATTATAAATAAGAAAATCAGAGCATTAAATGTCATGAAGGAAAAATGATTTCAATGCCAATGAAAGAATAGGTGTTGCTTCAGGAAATAGAAAAGGACTGATTTTTCTGTTTTAGTGGGAGGCAGCAGGTATGAGACAGATGAGGCTAACAAGGCCAAGACAGGTTGCTCTAGAGGGCATGCTTGGTATTATCTTTATGAGCAGATACAAGGTTATATAACCCTACAGATTGGTGAAGGATTTGTAGAAAGGATCCTGAGTACACACAAGTTTCACCCTGATTACACTGGGCTTTCCCTTGATTAACTGAGCTGAGTGTGTTTATATGTGTAATTCTCTGTTTTCCCTCTCTCAAATATCCAATACAATCTTCATCTGAACAGCAGTAATAGAGCCCCCAGGAGAGTCAGGTGTCAACGTAGCCAACGATGTTGACTAACCAACCATTATGCTCATCTAACAATGAAGTAGGTGATTTTGGAGCAGCAGACCTGCAGGTATCACATCATTTAGGTTTATAAGGCAGCAGTAGTCAGGAAGGTATAAATTAAGCTAGGCATTTTGTATGAATTTTATTTGATTCTTACAACAATACTGCAAAGTAAGGTTTTCCAAGTTGTATAGATAGCTCAGAGAGGTTCAGTAAACTGCTTAAGATTAAACAGACAGTATGTGGTAAGATTAAAATTCAGACTTGTCTTTTGCCAAAGTCCTTGTGTGTTTCATTCTTCCACACTGGCTCACCCGTTTAAGTGAATTATGTCATCAATAACACAGTATCCAAGCTTTTTTATTTTTAATAAACTTATAAAGTGCTTGCAATATCACTCAATTCTAACATAACTGTCATATATTTTAGCCTTTGAGGTAAACTTTCACAGAATTATTAGCAGTCATTTAAAGCAACACATTCCAAAATATATATTAGATTGCTCATAATTCAAATGAATGTACCTCATTAAAAAACCATTATAGGCAACGAAAAGAATCAACATTGGCCTTTCAAACTTAGCATGCATAAATATAAATAAATAAGACCACTAACAGACGGGAATGCAATCTTAGTGACATAATGGAAGCACAGAGCAATATACAAAGCGCATCTGACCTTGTAATTCATTCAATTTCATGACTCCCAATGTTTTAGTCACATACATGTAGCCAATCACACATAAGTCACAATGCTGATTTTCAAATAAACTTTTTTGTCTTCACTACTAAACTCAAATTTTGAAAATTATGATTAGACCTATTTTCATATTCAATTCACATGTGAAAATAAAAATGATTTTTTTTCTCATTATATGTGCCTAGTCATTAGCCCAATTCAGCCAGAGAACATATGTGAGATTGGTTAAATTATCAAGGAAAATGATCCTTGGCATATCTGGTATCAAGAAAAGTTTTGAATTTGTTTTAATCACTTGCTTTCCTGATTATAATTATATAACGATTATTTAAAAACCCAAAAAGAAAATAGAAATCATCTATAAGTCTAATCACTAAGATTATAATTTTCCATGTCATTTTTTAACCTATGCATGTCTATGTATAATGCTATGTTTTATGACATAACATAAGTAATGTATTTGTAGATTATGTTGCATTTTTCAAAAAACTTTGCCTCAAAATTACAAAAGACTAAATGATGGACTTAGATCTCAGAAGCAATGCAAATGAAACAAATGGATAAATACAGGCATACTTATCACCTGAACACAGAAGAGGTGGAAAGGGAATCATGTATGAATTCCAGGTCTCTGATTTAATGAAGTGCATTGATAGGAATATCACTAACTAGGAAGGGGAGGTCTAAACTGAGTGGTGACAATAGGTTCTCACGTAGAAGGACCTATGAAATGAAGTGAGAAGTAGTAGGAGGAGTTGGTCTCATAGAAGAGAAATGTGTTGAACATGTAAATTTGGTAGTTATCTGCATTCAGAAGACATTAAAGTATGAAAATGGATAATATCAACTTGGGTAAGAATGTACAGAAAGAAGTGACATTGACAAAAGATACTGAGAAAAAGGTACCGGTGGAGAAGGAAAATTAGAAGAGAGCATTTTCATAAAAATGAAGAAAGGAATGTTCCAGGAAGGGACAAAAGAAAGTCAAGGCCTTTGGATGCTGTTGATAGTTCATGTGAAAAGATTACAGAGTAGCCCCTGATCAGATTTAACACCATAGAGATTGAGATTAACATCACTAATACACATAATCCTAGTGACTAAGCACTTTTAGTTCTATCTATGTTAAATACTAGATAACCTTAAAACACTCTTCCTACTAATGCATAAAATTACTACATAAAATATTACAAAATTAATTAAAATACAAATGTGAGTTCCAAGAAAGTATGATGCTGGAGGTATCTAGAAGTCATGGCAATGAAACTGAATCATGAATTGAATTGTAAAGTTGTGAGTACACTCTGCAGTTGCTGTGTGTGTGTCTGCGTGTGTGTGTGTGTGTGTGTGTGTGTGTGTGTGTGTTGTGAGGGAAAGAGACTGTGTTAATCTCAATTATAAAAGAGTTTGGGTCTGGGAATTAAGGCCCTTACACATAGCTAGAACACATTAAGTAAAAAGGTACGCTAATAACAATCTGTCAGCAGCAAGAAAAGTAAAAAAACACAACTATTTATTTGCATTAGCCACATTTTTGCATACAACAAAATCCTCTCGGAGAAGTTGCGCCACAGGGCTAAGCCCTACACAGATTTGTATTTCACATTCACTACTGTATGTTCCAGGAACAAGAGGGTGAAATTAGTGATTAAGTTTGGACCCTGTTTGGACCCTGTTAGGACCCTGTTAGGACAAATAGGCTTATTAAAATAATCAGTAACAACAACAAAAGTACAGCAAACAACTAATGTAATAGAAAATGAATGGGAAAATAAAATGTAATTGAATAAAGGGAGAAAATGAGAACAATAAAAAATGAAAATAAAAAAGTAAAGAAAAAGCACAGTAAACTAAAAGTGAAAAAACAGAAGGTAAAAAAAAATTCATGTATATCAATAAGTAAACATGTTAATTAAAATGACCATAAATTTTCAAGTTATACAAAAACAAATAAAATCTTGTTACATGCTGCTTGGAAGAGACAATTTTAAAACCTAAAAAAGTAAAAGCTGAATGTAAATTTACAGGAAAAGATATTTTTAAAAGAAAAACTTCAGCTGAATTAAATTTAAAGTAGTTTGAGCAATGAACAATTTGCTAATCGGGCAGTCCTCGGAAATTACAGTAGATTCAGAGAGACTCCAGTGCAGCCATGTGGTGGAAAAATATTTATCGACAAAACAAGGGAAGTGACATACATAAATCGGCAATGAGCTACGGAAACAACTGCATTGGTTACAGCACGGTATTTGCCTTATTTGAACACAGTTTGAACACTCAGCAGTGTATGAGTGGTTGAACTACGGCTGCTGAGATTGGCCAAGACTCAGCTATTGTTGCAGGTGCATACTCCTAAGTTAGGTTTTCAATCTTGTCTGCCTATTAAGTCAGGTTGTAGTTCATCTGCAAAGACTCTAATATAAAAGTAGAGAGTCCTTTTCAGGCCATATTTAGTTTGCTTTAACAATTCCCCTCTTTTGGTCATTTTCTCAATTTTGAGAAAATGACCAAAATATTAGTCATTGATGTCACTATCACCATCGTAAATGTACTTATTTGTTCTTGAAACCCACTAGGAAACAGCAGAACAGTGAGTTTTGCAAAAGTAGGAAAAAGGACTGAGTAGAGGGTATCTCCTTGCTGGAATATCCTGTTTATAGGAGAAAAACAAAACCTGATCTGTGCTAGGTCTTATGTGTTTCCTTAAAGTCTTTGTTTGATTATGTCACATTTAGCAAGAACAACTCCATTTCTGTTTGGTGTGGTCTGCTGGGGCCTAGTGCATGAGCTTAGTTAAAAATAATGGCCTCCCATAATTTTGTTTAAAAAAATTCCCCCTTTTTGTTAAGGTCCTCACTTAGGTGAGAGTGTGATGAAAACATAGAGTCCTAACACCATTCTCAGTTACCATCATTTTGGGTTTCCAGTCTCAGCGTGTCATTCATAGGTAATGGTGTCCTCATGGTCGCACATTTCTACAACTGAATAAAAGATATATTATGTTGACAAGATTTTTTTTATTATATTTTTTTTATTATACTTTAAGTTCTAGGGTACATGTGCACAACGTGCAGGTTTGTTACATGTGTATACATGTGCCACGTTGGTGTGAGATTTTTTAAAGCCTGAATAAATAAGAACCATGTAAATTTGCATCCAAATACAGGAAATAAATCTGGTAATATTGCAATGATAAAAACAATGGACTCTCACTAGGAAATCTTATCCAAGTAAATGATATGTAAAACCAACAATTAGCAATCATTGTCCCTGAATCTGCTGTGATTCTGAGGGCTGCAAGATTATTGACTATTTGAAAAACAGAACTATTATGCTTGCTTGAATGTGCATACATATGTGTGTGCATATAAATATAAATATATTTTATATTTATAATACATATTTTTTATTATGTATATATAAGCACACACACACTCAATAATAAGAAAATGTACATTCTTCCTGAGCACACATGGATTATTTACCCAAATTGGCTTTCCATCAGGCCACAAAGAAAATATCAACAACACAAAATAGTATCTGTCATACAGACCAGTTTCTGTGTCAAATCTCCCTCCCCTCTAATATTTTCTAGTAAAAGAATGGCAATGTAACTGTGAGGACCAAGGAAGGGCTTTCTCCTTGGCCCTCTGAAGGGTCTCTGAAAAATCAACTTGCCAAGGCAGTAAGGAAAGAAGCACACAAATTTATTTAAAGTGTATACAGGGGAAACTTTGGATAAACACCCAATCCCCATCCAGGTACAGAAGCTTACACACCATCTTGAGGTTAAAGAAAGAATGCAGACTCAGAGCATGACCAAAGCAGGGAGGCTTGGCTGGCAAAGGTGGCCTTGTTATGTGACTGCAGCCTCGGAGGTAGTAGCCCTCAAAAAGAATAGATGGTAAATACTTCCCTTCAGACATGTAAAGATGTCAAACTCTCAGTCTTTCCTAGATCCTGGAAAGGCCTGGAAAGGAACATCCCAGTTGCATTCATGAAGATTATCTACAGATGCACATTTCCTCCACAAAAGACAGCTTTGCAAGGCCACTTCTGTTTGCTTCTATTTCAAAATATTTCAAATAAATATATTCATCACTTCTCGGCCTTTTGGCTAGGATCAAGTGTCAAATAAACATATTCTGGGGTAAAATACTTTGATTTCCTTCACAACAAAAGAAAAATCATGCTAGATATTTGGAAATCTTTAAAATATATATACAGTTTAAAACCAACAATGGGTTAGAAAAGATAATATTATGGGTATTAAATATTTAGAAATGAATAATATAGAGATACCCATTTAAGTATTTGAGGAAACTATTAAGCAGTAAAAACAGGAAAACTTATATCCGTAACTATAGCAGAAAAACAGAAAGACTGAAAATTAATGAGTTAATTGTTGAAATCAGGAAACTAAAAAATGATCAAGTGTAAAGTATAAGGCAAGAAATAATGAAACAAATATCAAATATTCTGAAAATGAAAACAATAAAACTATTTGGATGATCAAGTAAACCCAAATGTGATTCTTTGAATAGACTCATAAAATAGTCAAATATCTAAGGTTCATAATGAAATAACAAAGAGGCATGAATATGTGTTATTAGGGTGGGAATAGGGAACAAAGCTACAGAGTTACAAAAATATATAAATACATTTATTTCATGATTCTCAAAATTTGAATAAAATTCACATGCTCTTGGAAATATACAACTGATAATGACTTGCCCAAGAAAAAGAAAATCTAAATGTAAGTTCTGTCATTACAGACATTGACTCTGTAGTCAAAAACTTAGTCATAAAAATATACATATGAACATCATGGTTAGAGAGTTTTGCAGTCAGGAACTTCTAAACATTGAAGACAGATAACTTCAATATTTCAGATAGTATAAAAAGAAAGAATACTTCACAACTTATTGGGTGATTCCACTGTAATCTTGATAACAAAGACAAAGACCGTACAAGAAAGGAAAAGTATATTCTGTCATGTGTGTCCATGTGAAGAGACCACCAAACAGGCTTTGTGTGATCAATAAAGCTTTTTAATCACCTGGGTGCAGGAGGGCTGAGTTCGAAAAGAGAGTCAGCAAAGAGTGGTGGGATTATCATTAGTTCCTAGAGGTTTTGGACAGATGGTGGAGTTAGGAGCAACTTTTTGGTGGGCAGGGGGTGGATCTCACAAAGTACATTCTCAAGGGCGGGGAGAATATTACAAAGTACCTTCTTAAGGGCCAGGGAGGATATTACAAAATACCTTCTCAAGGGTGGGGAGGGTGTATCATACAAAGTACATTCACGGGGTGGGGGAATATCACAAAGTCCATTATCGCAAGGGTGGGGAGGGTGTATTGTCACAAAGTCAATCGATCAGTTAGGGTGGGGCAGGAACAGATCACAATGGTGGAATGCCATCAGTTAAGGCAGGAACTAGCTATTTTCACTTCTTTTGTGGATCTTCAGTTGCTTCAGGCCATCTGGATGCATAGTGTGCAGGTCACAGGGGATATGATGGCTTAGCTTGGGCTCAGAGGTCTGACATATTCCAAATTTATTTGTGAACCTAGATACAATAATACTTTTAAAACAAGTGTTAACCCATGGTTGGTAATTTATTACATTTGATAAATATTTGTTCTTGGTCTTGTAACTGAAACACAGGTTCAGTTACTCTCCACTTGCAGAGTCTAATTAACAACAGTCAGGTCTGTTATAAAGAAAGTGACTTTTTATTCCAAAGCTAGCTAAGAGAAGAAGTACAGAATTCCTGACTTAAGGTTACCACTTTGCCTTTGCAGCAGAAAGTGAGGACTTTGTAAAGGGGGCTTGGAATGCATGGCATGCAGTGGAAGGAACAAGCAGGTGTGGGGTTCATGTAACTCTGTTTGGTGCTTTATCTACCAGGTTGTCAAGCTGGTGCCTTCACGGGCAGAACTAGGTTGTAAAAGTGGCTGAAACTCTCCAGATGGGAGAGCATTTCATAGCAAGCATATTTTGGGTTGTAAATTGACTGTTGTCTCTCAAGGGAATCTCCTGGTGGGAGGCAGCTCTGCTCTGGAGCTTCCAAGCTCCTAGTTAGATGAATTTGCCCTGTAGGGAGTGTCTGGTAGGTTAAAAGGTTATATTTGCATTTGTAAAGAGCTAAGCATGAAGTGGGGAACAAAGCAAAAGGAGAAAAAAGTCAAACAAATAATTTTAAAAACCCTTATTCTCTATCTCTTAGAAAAATGAGAATACTCTGTTATAGTTGCGTGACTAAGTACAACTTCTCGGTAATTACCAAGGTCCTTGGCCTTAGCTTGGAATTAATGACAAGTGTAAGTTAGCCTGAAGCTTTTCATGCTCCCCAGTCAGAATTTGAATCCTGAAATCATTATTAAGACTGAGATTTGTTTTCTACATTATTGTTTAATAGCCTATTTTCATCTCTGGCCCCTGCCTCTTGGAAAAAGGGAAGTTTAGTGGAATCCTTCTGGGATCTGTATATATGAAGTAATGACTCACAGACTGACGGATCTCTCCCTCCAGGGCTTTCATCTTCCCTGTGTCTTTCAGAAATCAGTAATTTAGAAATATCAATTTGTTCATTTTAATTTGAAATCCAGGGGAGTTTAAGTTAAATTCATCTTGAAATTAATAATTATTGGAATCCTTAGCATATAGACAAATGCAATTTATGTAAAAGTACTTAAACATAGACACTGCCATGGTCTGTATGAGTTAATGAGTTAGTTAAGTTTACACCAAATTCTAGGTGAATTTGAATGCCATAATCAGAACGAACACCTCTTGAATATTGTTGCATCTGCCTTGAGTGAATCTTTTGATGTAGTTGTGTAACCTAAAAACAAAGAGGGGCTGGGCGTGGTGGCTCACATCTGTAATCCCAACACTTTGGGAGGCTGAGGTGGGTGGATCACGAGGTCAGGAGTTCAAGATCAGCCTGGCCAAGACAGTGAAACTCAGTCTCTACTAAAAATACAAAAAAATTAGCTAGGTGTGGTGGTGGGCACCTGTAATCCCAGCTACTTGGGAGGCTGAGGCAGATAATTGCTTGAACTCAGGAGGCAGAGGTTGCAGTGAGCCAAGATCGCGACACTGCACTCCAGCCTGGGCGACAGAGCGAGACTCCGTCTCAAAAACAAAAACAAAAACAAAAACACAACAAAGAGCTAGAATTATATTGAGTTCATGGAAAGATTATATTTACTGTTTTGTGCTTACTTGATAGCAAATGTTTTTAAAATAATTGTTATGTGACAGAATTTTTTATGTGACTTGCTTTCCTATGGTTATCACACTTTTAAATTTCTGCCATTTACTTTCCAGAAAGAATGACTAAATTGGCATAAGCCAGTCTGCACGTCTGGCCTTCAAAGAATAGTACCATTTGGATTTATAGAAAGGTAAATAGATGTAATTCCTGATAAACAGAAGGCAGAAGTAAAAGCTAAGAAGAGTGCATATGTTTTTTGGATTAAATAAGATTTATCTTTATTCTTTTTTTTTTTTTTTTAGACAGAGTTTTGCTCTTGTTGTCCAAGCTGGAATGCAATGGCACAGTCTCGACTCAACGCAACCTCTGCCTCCCAGGTTCAAATGATTCTCCTGCTTCAGCCTCCTGAGTAGCTAGGACCACAGGCATGCGCCACCACTCCCGGCTGATATTTTGTATTTTTAGTAGAAATAGGGTTTCACCATGTTAGCCAAGCTGGTTTTGAACTCCCGACCTCAGGTGATCTGCCTGCCTCAGCTTCCCAGGGTGCTGGGATTACAGGTATGAGCCACTGTGCCTGGCCTACTTTTATTCTTAAAGGTTTTTTTAGTTGGATGAAGAAATGTAGTTTGAATTGAAGTGTTTTATTTGTTTCTCTTTTGATTGAAGGAGTTTTGTGGGTTGTTTTTTTTTTTGAGTATGCTTTTAAGTTTTTTTAATTTGATTTTTCTGTTTCATGATTTCACTGAGGTGTGTCTGAGTGTGGATTTATTTTCTCACTTAGCTGGGTTTGTTGAGTTACCTAAATCTGCAGTTTAGTATTTCCAGCATTTCCTGGAAAATCTCTGCCTTTATCTTTTCAAATATTCTTCCTGCAAAAGTGTTTATCTTTTCTCTTTTTGGGGTTTCCAGTTGTAACTTCTCACTGTTCTCTCTTGCTCTCTCTATCTCTCTTTCTCTCTCTCTCTCTCACACACACACACACACACAAGCACTTCTTCTCACACTCACTCTCTTCCTCTTTTTTTCCACTCTTCATATTTTGTAGTTCTGCTTCCTTTGCGTATTTTTGACTTATTTTCTATTTCACTCGTTTCACATTAGCTGGAAGTTCCTGTTAAACCCATCTACTGAATTGTTAATTTTGTTAATACATTTTTTTCAGTTTTCTAATTTCTTTTTTTGTTTGTTTGTTTGTTCGAGACAGAGTTTTGCTCTGTTGCCCAGGATGGAGTGCAATGGCGTGATCTCGGCTCACTGCAACCTCTGCCTCCTGGGTTCAAGCAATTTTCCTGCCTCAGCCTCCTGAGTGGCTGGGATTATGAGCGCATATTACCACACCTGGCTAATTTTTTGTATTTTTAGTTGAGATGGGGTTTCACCATGTTGGCCAGGCTGGTCTCAAACTACTGACCTTGGCCTCCCAAAGTGTTGGGATTACAGGCATGAGTCACTGCACCTGGCCTGGTTTTCTAATTTCTGTTTAGAATTTTTTGTCTCTAACACTTTTTATAGTTTCTAATTTCTTGTCAAAGATTTTATATCCTTGAACATAAAAGCATCATCATTTTATATTTCCAATCTCTAATAGCTCCCTCTCTACTAAAATATTATTTCCTGCTTCTAAGTATCATCCCTCCTATCCAAAAAGGAGCCTCTTTTTTTTTTTGAAGTCTTTTTTTTTTTCATTATACATTAAGTTTTGGGATACATATGCAGAACGTGCAAGTTTGTTACATAGGTATACACGTGCCATGGTGGTTTGCTGCACCCATCAACCCATCATCTACATTAGGTATTTCTCCTAATGCTTGTGGGGTTAGGGGAAGAACCTCTTTTTTAATCATCCTTTTCCTTTAAGCATCACCTATTTTTATCTCACTGTTAAAATTTGTAAACCTATAATTTATATTAACCACATTTGTTTATTTCTCAAATAATTATTTTTCCCTGCTTTCAAGTTTGCAATCTTATTGTTTTTAATTCTACTCTGAAAACTCATTAATAAAATATGTATAATGAAAATATTGATGTTTAAAGAAAATGCAATAAATGATGTTTATATTCTTGCTTTTTGATTAATTCTATTGATTTATTTAAAGTAAAAAAAACACATATGGTTTTTTTGCAAATTAAAGGATAAATCCAATATCTGCAGCCAGCACTCAAGTGGCAGAGGAGTTCACACCCTAAAAAAACTGACAGGTAGCATGGCTGCAAATGCAAGTAAATACAAAGGATCTGCGATGCTGAGCAAGAGCCTACTCACCTGTGATTGTGATTAAACACCATCTGCTGGGTGCTTAAGTAGGAGAGAGAGCAAGCAACTTGGTAACATATTTGGGAATATTGTCTACGGAAATTTCCCCAATCTCACTTGAGAGGCTGACATACAAATTGAGAAAATTTGGACAATCCCTGTTAGACACTATACAACATGACCATTCCCAAGACACATTGTCATCAGATTTTCCAAAGTTGAAATGAAATAAAAAAATATTAAATGCAGCTAGAGTGAAGGGGCAGGTCACTTATAAATGGAATCCCACCAGGCTAACAGTGGCCCTTTCAACAGAAATCTTACAAGCTAGAAGAGATTGGGGGCTTATATTCAGCATCCTTAAAGTAAAGGAATTACAACCAAAAATTTCATATCCTTCAAACTAAGCTACACAAGTGAAGGAGAAATAAAATCTTTTGTAGACAAGCAAACACTAAGATAATTTTTTGCCCCCAGGCCTGCCTTACAAGAGATAATTGAGGGAGGGCTAAACTTGCAAATTAAAGACTGCTGCTGAACATTACAAAACCATATTCAAGACAACAGACCACCACCACTATAAAGTACACAAGCAAGTCTACATAGCACCCAGCTAACAACATGACGACAGGATCGAATCTGCACTAATTGATGTTAACCTTGAACATAAACAAGTTAAATGCCCTACATAATAGGCACAGACTGGCAAGTTGAATGAAGAAACAAGACCCAACTGTATGCTGTCTTCAAGAGATACATCTCACATGTAAGGACACCCACAGGCTCAAAGTAAAGGGATGGAGAAAGATCTATTAAGCAAACAGAAAACAAAAAGAAGCAGGAGTTGATGTTCTTAAACAAAAACGGCTATAAACCAACAATGATCAAAAAGAATAAAGAAGGACATTACATAATGATGTAGGGTTCAATTCAATAAGAAGACTTACCTATCCTAAATACATATGCATTCAACACTGAAGCACTCAGATTCATAAAACAAGTTCTTAGAGACCTATGAAGAGACTTAGATAACCACACAATAATAGTAGGAGACTTCAATACCCCACTTACAGTATTACATCATCAAGGGAGAATATTAACAAAGATATTTGGGACCTCAATGTGACACTTGACCTGACAGACCTAACAAATATCTACAGAACACTCTACCTGACAAAAATAGAATATAGATTCTCATTTGCACATGACACATACTATAAAATTGTCTTCACAATCTATACATCTGACAAAGGACTAATATCCAGAATCTACAATAAACTCAAACAAATCAATAAGAAAAAAATAAACAATCACATCAAAAACTAGGCTGAGTACATGAATAGACAATTCTCAAAAGAAGCTCTACAAATGGCCAACAAAGCATATGAAAAAATGCTCAACATCACTAATTATCAGGGAAATGCAAAACAAAACCACAGTGAGATACCACCTTACTCCTGCAAGAATGGTCATAATCAAAAAATCAAAAACAATAAATGTCGGTGTCGATGCGGTGAACAGGGAACACTTCTACACTGCTGGTGGGAATGTAAACTAGTACAACCACTATGGAAAACAGTGTGGAGATTCCTTAAAGAACTGAAAGTAGAACTACCATTTTATCCAGCAATTCCACTACTGGCTATCTATCCAGAGAAAAAGAAGTCATTATATGAAAAAGATACTTGCACACGCATGTTTAAAGCAGCACAATTTGCAATTGCAAAAACGTGGAACCAACCCAAATGCACATCAATCAATGAGTGGATAAACTGTAAAAAATATATATACCATATATATACCATACATAAATACCATATATATACCATATATAAATACCATATATATACCATATACATATCATATATACCATATATATACACACGAGATGTACCATATATGTACCATATATATACCACATATATGTACCATATATATACCACATATATATACCATATATATACCACATATATATACATCATATATATGCCATATATGTATATACCACATATATATATGATGGACTACTACTCAGGCATATAAAGTAATGAATTAATGGCATTTGCAGCAACCTCGATGAGATTGGAGACTATTATTCTAAGTGAAGTAACTCAGGAATGGAAAACCAAACACTGTATGTTCTCACTTACAAGTGGGAGCTAAGCTATGAGGATGCAAAGGCGTAAGAATGTCACAATGGACTTTGGGGACTCAAATGGAAAGGGTGAGAAGGGGGTGATGGATTAATGACAACAAATAGGTTTCAGTGTATACTGTTCAGGTGATGGGTGCACCAAAATCTCAGAAATCACCACTAAAGAACTTAGTCATGTAAGCAAACACCATCTGTTCCCCAATAACCTACAGAAATAAAGAAGGAAAAAAAAAGAGAAAACTTAAGACCAATATTCATGATGAACATAGGTGCAAAAATCCTTAGCAAAATATCAGCAAAACAAATTTAGCTGCACATCCAAAAGCTAATCCAGCATCATCAAGTATGCTTTATCCTTTGGTGCAAGGTTGGTTCAATATATGCCAATCAATCTATGTGATTCATCACATGAACAGAACTAAACAAAAACCACATGACCATCTCAATAGACACAGAAAAGGCTTTGATAAAATTCAACATCCATTCATGTTAAAATCTCTCAAGAAACTAGGCATTGAAGGTAGATAACTTAAAATAATAAAAGCCATCTGTAACAAACCCACAGCCAACATCACACTGAATGGGCAAAAGCTGGATATATTCTTCTTGAGAAGCAGAACAATACAAGATACCTTCTCTCACCACTCCTCTTTAACATAGTACTGGAAGTCCTAGCCAGAGCAATCAGGAAAGATAAATAAATAAAGGGCATCCAAATAGAAAGAAAGGAAGTCAAACTATATCTCTTTATAGATGATATGATACTATACCTAGAAAACCTCATAGTCTCTGCCCAAAGGTTTTTGGATCAGATAAACAACTTCAGCAAAGTTTCAGAATGCAAAGTCAGTTTACAATAATCAGTAACATTTCAATGCATCAGTAACATCCAAGTTAAAATCCAAATTAAAAATGCAACCCCGATGGTCACGGTGGCTCATGTCTGTAATCCCAGCACTTTGGGAGGCCGAAGCCGGAGGATTGCCTGTATCCAGGAATGTGAGACCAGCCTGGACAACATAGTGAGACTCCATCTCACAGAGAATATGAAAGAAATTAAACATTAGCTGGGCATGGTGGTGTGTACCTGTAGTCCCAGATACTTGAGAGACTTGGGACCCTGAGGTGGGAGGATTGCCTGAGTCCAGGAGGTCAAGGCTGCAGTGAGCCATAATCATGCTACCGCACTCAGCCTGAGTGAAAGACAGAGAACTTGTGAAAAAAAAAAGTAATAATAATGCAATTTCATTCACAATAGCCACAAAAAGAATAAAGGACCTAGAAATACAGCTAACTCGGGAGGTGAAAGATCTCTGCAACAAGAATTACAAAACACTGCTAAAAGAAATCAGAGATGACACAAACAAATGGAAAAGCATTTCATGCTCATGGATAGGAAAAATCAATATTATTAAAATAGTACACTGCCCAAAGCTATTTACACATTCAATGCTATTTGTATCAAACTACCAATGATATTTTTCACAGAATAAGAAAAAATATCTAAAATTCATTTGGAACCAAAAACGGGTCTGAATAGCAGAGTAACTCTAAGCAAAAAGAACAAAGCTGGAGGCATCATACAATCCAACTTCAAACTATAGTACAAGTCTACAGTAACCAAAACAACATTGTACTGGTCCAAAAACAAACACATAGACCAGTGAATAGGTTAGAGAACCCAGAAGTAAGGTGACACACCTCTAATCATACGATCTTTAAAAAAGCTGACAAAAACAAGCAATAGGAAAAAGATTCTGTTCAATATACACTGCTGGGATAACAGGTTAATCATACACATAAGATTAAAATTGGATCCACATGTTTCTCCATATACAAAAATCAACTCAAGATGGATTAAAGACTTAAATATTAAGCCTAAAACTATAAAAACTAAAGAAGCATATCTAGGAAATACCACTCTGGACATTGGCCCAGGCAAGCAATTCAAGACAAAGATTCTGAAAGCAATTGCAACAAAAACAAAAATTAACAAGTGAAAACTAAGTAAACTAAAGTGCTTCTGCACTGGGGAAGAAATTGTGAACAGACCAGGTAGACAATCTACAGAATGGGAGAAAATATATACAAACTATGTCTAATATCCAGAATCCATAAAGAACTAAAATCAATGAGTGAAAATCGAATCACCCCATTAAAAAATTGGCAAAGGATGTGAACGGACACTTCTCAAAAAAAGATATACATGTGGCCAGAAGCATATTAAAAAATGTTCAATATCACTGATCATTAGGGAAATGCAAATCAAGACCACAATGAGACACCATCTCACAATAGTCAGAATGGTTATTATTAAAAAGTCAAAAAAATAACAGATGCTGGCGAGGTTGCAGAGAAAAATGGAATGCTTATACACTGCTGGTGGGAATGTAAATTAGTTCAGCCACTGTGGAAAGCAGTTTGGTGATTTCTTAATGAACTTAATACACAACTACCATTCAACCCAGCAATCCAATTATTGGGTATATACCCAAAGGAATCAAAATTGTTCTCCATAAAGACACATGCAAATATGTGTTCATCACGGGAGTGTTAACAATAGCAAAGAAATGGAATTAATCTAGATGCCCATCAATGGTGGACTGGATAAAGAAAAGATAGTACATATATTATATATTATGTGGTACGTATATTATATACTCTGCAGCTATAAAATAATGAGATTATGCCCTTTGTAGCAACATGGCTGTTGCTGGAGGCCATTATCCTAAGCGAATTAATGCAGGAACAGAAAACCAAATACTACATGTTCTCACTTGTAAGTGGAAGCTTATTTGAGAGTAGAGGGTGGGAGGAGGATGAGGATTGAAAAACAACCTAACAGGTACTAGGTTTACTACCTGGATGACAAAATAATCTGTATGCCAAACCCCCATGACACACAATTTACTCATGTAACAAAACTGCACATGTACCACTTTAACCTAAAATAAAAGTTGGGAAGAAAAAAAAAATTTTAAGGATATAGAAAGATATAAATATAAAGTTACTTTTCTTAAATAAATCTTCAATTTGGTTCACACTCTCATAAATCTATGGGAAAAAATGTATACGTGCACATACTGGTTCTGCAAAGGAACATTTATTAATAAAATTCAATCATTTGCTTCCCTAGATATCCTAGCTGTCTTGCAGTTTGGCAGGCCTTGTGACTCATTTGAGACAATAGGATTTGACGGACAGTGAATTGTTTGTGTCGCCTATGTACTTTCCCATGCTGCTGTGGCATGTGTGGAGGCTGCAGTTTGTGATGTAGGACAACTGCAATGAAAAGCTGCCAAATTAAAGTTTTGCTTTTGTTTATCCTAACACATTTCTCACATTTTTGTTATTTGTTATTTAACCTGTCACAGCAGAAATGCAACATTGACAATACAATGCAGAAACTATACATATAAAAAATGTTATCTATGTTAACAATCACACTAACTGTTCAGTGATTAAGATATAATATTTTCAATATAATATGCTATATTTTGTATCCAATACACACACATATGCATATACACATCCGTGTGTTTTACTGTGTTTTAGTTACATTTAAAGAACTTGTTAAGTGTTTTGTTTGTTTAAACATTATGTTCTTTCATATTTAAAATTATGGGATAGAAGTTCCTGTTAAGTGCCTTCATAGAGAAGTTCTGATTTTGAGAAGCAGATTATCAATGTAAAATGAGGGAAGCCTTTATATGCAGACATATATAATTCTTTATTATCAATTCCAGTTGAATGTCCTCATTGTTCAGAAACCCAACATTTCCTGAGTTTCTGTCAGAATAGCGTGCCCCTTCTAGGTGCACATCATCCTTTGACTTTTGTAACATTGCTCTCTTGAGTTACCTTTACATGGCTCTGGCTTTTTTCTCTCCCTGTCTTGACTTCTAGTATTTTCTTCATCTCTTTCCATCCAAACTCAGTGCTCCAAAGCTTCTTTTCTTAACCTTTCCTCTTTTTCTTTCTTTGTTTAGCAATAGCCTCTGCCTGAGATATCAGCTGTATAGGTACAATATAATGATATCTATCGCCTTCATATTCGCAGCTGCATTCCAGACATCTCTTCCAGATTTCATAAACCCTTCCTTCCTACTTGCATGTAAAGCTCAGTTATCTGTTAGATGTTCGTGAAATCTTCTATGAATTTCTGCAACTACATACAATGTTTCATCTGATAAATCTTTAGAATATTTAAATATTTTCTAATATAAATTATCATATATTTTACCTAGACCATGAGCTATAGATATAAGTGTACTTTTTCTAGAACTTTGAAGACAGAATTTTATTTGTTCATCCCAAACCTCCCAGTATATAATACAGTTTATAAATGACACAGTCAGTGCTCAGTTATGATTAAGTTATACATAAATCATTAAGTATGCAATCATCATAAAACATGGTCAACCAACACAAGGTTAGTTGAAAATGTACATAGGAAGACCACTATGTATTAGGTTCCCTGGGGCTTTTCTAGTGTTAACATTAAATGTTCAGGTTTAGGGAAACTTCTCTATCTCAGGCTAACAAAGACTCTTGGTCACCCATGGTGTGTTTGTGTGTGTTTATGTGTGTGTGAGTCGTATTTACTTTGTTTAAAATTGATGGTAGGCCAGAACTGGGGAGGCAGAGATAGCTGAAACTGAAAAATAGGGAGCAGAGAACATAAATTTATTTTTCTGAATCAAGACTCAAAAGTAAGAGATAATGAGATCAAAGAGATTGGAGCATGGTATCAAGTGTTCAGATAGCTGTTGGTCTCCAATGTTCGCTAGAGACAATAAAAAAGGAATGAAAGACTAAAAATTAAGAACGATTCACTTAATATAGCAGTAGAAACTCCATCACTGCTTTATCAAAGAGTTTTATATAGCTCTAGCCCTCAGATGTTCAGGGAGCAAAGATCTAGAAAGGAGTTTCTGGGAAGACTAACATAGGCATAGATTGAATTAAGAATCTTCCTCTTCGTTATATTGGAAATAACTGATGTTTTTCCTTATAAAAGTGATTTAATCCTGAAATCTAAGGTAGAAGACTTCTATTTCCGTATTTCTACATCCCGTTGGAAAGAACCCTCATAAAATCCTTACTGACTTAAATCATTTTGACTCAGTTATAGACAGGGTCAACTCTAATTGTGCAACTGTATTTAGCGAGCAGTGGTGGCACAGGGGAAAAGCCAGCAGATGTACAAACTAACACAATGACTTTATTGGCATCGAGGTAATCACTGCAATAGGTATAAATCATTAACACCTAAACTATTGGCCTTGTTGAGATCTAGTGTTCTCAACACTTCTTCTGTTGGCCTCTTAACTTGCTCTCCTATTTGCAAAAAGAGAAAATCTGTAAAAACAAAGCAAACAAACAAAAAACTTCATTCATTTCCTAGCTGTAGAGAGTAGAACCCTTATGTTAGGCTGAGAGAGCAGTCTATTCTCATTAAGGCAAAAGATTCTGGGAGGAGTTCAGTAGGGCAGGGCATTACAGGTAAACCTGACGGCTTGCCAACACCCACGGATACTAGCAGGGTGAGCTGTTTGGTGGAAGCAGGTTCCAAGACTGTCAGAAACAATCATATTCAAATATAAAAACCAAAATTTATTCAGGACCAATTACATTAGTTATGGTTTTGAAGTAACGTGACAAGATTTCCAAAATGTATAGGCCAAAATGAGTAATTTTATATTTTCACCCACTGGTATGTGAGTTAAGATGATTTCATTTGGGGAATATACCTCTGTTCCAATGACATCAACTTGTCCATGAGACTTACTGTATTAGTTCGTTTTCACGATACTAATAAAGACATACCCCAGACTGGGTAATATATAAAGAGGTTTAGTTGACTCACAATTCAGCATGGCTGGGGAGGCCTCAGGAAATTTACAATCACGGCAGGATGGGAAGCAAACATGTCCTTTTCATGGCAGCAGGAAGGATAAGTGACAAGCCAAGGGGGAAAAGACCCTTATAAAACCATGAGATCTTGTGAGCACTCACTATCATGAAAACAGCAAGACCGTAACCACCCTATGATTCAATTACCTTCCACTGGGTACCTTCCATGACATGTGGGGATTATGGGAACTACAATTCAAAACGAGATTTGGGTGGAGACACAGCCAAACCATATCACTTGCTAAACAATTAATTAGATATTGCCTCGCCTAAACTTCCAATGTTCTCATCATTTCTCTTATTTCCCATCTCTTTGCCTCTTTGTCTACTATCCTGAGAGATTCTGTCAACATTATCTTCAAACCTATCTGTTTAATATATTCTCTCACTTATGCTATCTTTCAGTATTTTGTCTAGGGAATGTAAGCATGCTTGCCTGCATTCTAAAAGCCCAGTAAAGAAAAATTCTGGAATTCCCAATATTGATATATTACTTTTCACTCAGTTGCCCAGTTTTAGTATTATACCCTTGCTTTCCACTATAGCTGCTGTGCCCCAATCTAGGGATTTTTGTTTTACAGTCTTTAGAGAATAATTTCAGGAAATCTCTCAGGTATTCTTTCAGGTGCTATCCGATGCCATGTGTTGCAAATTAAGTTAGTTACTTTTCTGCTTCCCTACTGCTAAGTCAGTTATCTCTGTCCCTGCTGTTTTACGGTTTCTAAAATGTTGACATTTTCTTCTTTCTTATTTGACATACATACAAATCATTTTTGGGGGATCATTGGAAAGAAGACTAAGTAAAGTTGTGTGTTAGATTTGCTATTTAAAAGTAATTAGGTAGGGAAGAGTGAAGCAAGATGGCAAAATAGAAGGCTCTACGAATCATACCCCTCCCCAACAAGGATATCAATTTAACAACTATCTACACACAAGAAAATTATATTCATAAGAACCAAAAATTCGGTGAGCACAAATAGTATCTGGCTTTAACTTTGTATTTCTGAAAGATGCAATGAATAGGTAGAAAAAATACTCTTGAATTACCAACACCACCCTCCCCCACCCCCTGAAAGCAGAGGCATGGTGAGGAGAGCATTTCTGTTGCTGGGGATGGGAGAGCTCAGTAACTGTGAGGCATTGAACTCAGTGTTATCCTGTTAGAGTAGAAAGGAAAACTGGATCACACCCAGCTGACACTCATCTACAGAAGGAGTGTTTAGACCAGCCCCAGTCAGTGGGGAATTGCTGATTCCAGAGGTCGGAACTTGAGTTTTGGCAAACCTCACCACTGTGGGGTAAAGTATGCTGGGGCTCTAAATAAACTCAAAAGATGGTCTAGGCCACAAGACATGCAAATCCTAGGGGAGTCCTAGTGTTTACTATTGAACTAGGTTTGGAGACAGTGGATTGGGGGACACCTGACCTACTGAGACACCAGCTGGGGTGGCTAAGGGAGTGATCGTATCACCCCTCCCCTAACCCTAGATTGCAGAGCTTGCAGTTGCAGAAGAGACTCCCCTAACCCTAGATTGCACAGCTTGCAGTTGCAGGAAGAGTAAGGAGGACTTTGTCTTGCATTTTGGATACCACTAAGTCACAGAAGGATAGGGCACAGGTCAGAGTTGTAAGGCCACTTTCCAGGCTCTAGCTCACGGACATATGTAGACACTCCCTGGTCCAGAAGGGAACCCATTGCCTTGAAGGGAAGAAATTAGTTTTGGCAGGATTCATCACCTGCTAACTGAAGAGTCCCCAGTCCCTGAATAACCAGTGCCAGGTACTATGCTGAGGACCTTAGGCGAAATCCTGAGACTTGATGGTTTCAGGTACCAGCTTGGCCAAGGGGGTGGAAGTGGTTAGAGCACCGAGCAGGCACTTGGTGTCCCTGATTCCAGGACTTGATTTTTGGATGGCCTTTGTAGACCTGTGCTGGGCGGGATAGGAGCCCATTGCTCTGAAGGGTGAGTCCCAGGCAAGGTAGCATTCACCACAAGCTGACTGAAAATCCCCTGGGACTTAATGAAGAATGGGAGAAAATATTTGCTAACTATATTTGTGACAAGGATAGTTATCATCATCAGAGAAATGACCCTCAGAGAAATGCAAATCAGAACTACAATGAGGTATCATCTTACCTCAGTTATAATGGCTTATTTCCAAAAGACAGGCAATAGCAAATGCTGGAGAGGATCTGGAGAAAAGGGAATCCTCATACACTGTTGATGGAAAGGCAAATTAATACAACCACTCTGGAGAACGGTTTGGAGGTTATTTTAAAAACTGTGAAGAACAGTTTTCTTCTTTTTATTTAGGATCGCTTTGGTTATTCTGAGTCTTTGCACAAGGGATTAATAACTGGAATATATAAGGAGCTCAAATAATCCCATAGAAAAAAAATCCTAATAATCCAATTATTAGCTTTTGGGCAAAGATGTGAATAAGAAATGATTTGAAAAAATGGGAAAAAGATTTGAATAGATATTTCCTAAATGAAGGCATGCAAATGGCAAACAGGCATATGAAAAGGTGCTCAACATCACTGATCATCAGAGAACGCAAATCAAAACTACAATGACCTATCATCTCACCCCAATAAAGCCAATAAAATGGCTTATTTCCAAAAGACAGGCAATAACAAATGCTTAAAAGAATGTGGAGAAAAGGGAATACGTGTACACTGTTTGTGGGAATGTACGTGAGTACAACCACGGTGGAGAACAGTTTGGAGATTCCCTAAAAACTACAAATACAGCTATCATACGATAGAGCAATCTCACTGCTAGTCATGTACCCAAAAGAAAGGAAATGAGTATGTGGAAGGGATATCTGTTCTCCCATGTTGGTTGCAGCAGTGTTCTCATTAGACAACATTTGGAAACAACCTAACCGTCCATCAGCAGAGTAATGGATAAACATAATGTGTTATATATACACAATCGAGTACTATTCAGCCAATAAAAAAGACATCATTGTTGTCATTTACAACAACATAGATGGAACTGGAGATCATTATGTTAGGTAAAATAAGCCAAGCACTGAAAAACATTGTATGTTCTCATTTATTTATGGAATCTAAAAATCAAAACAAATGAACTCATAGACATGGAGAATAGAAGAATGGTTACCAGAGGCTGGGAAGGGTAGTTGGGGGTTGGGGTTGAGAGGAGATGAGGATGGTTAGTGGGTACCAAAAATAGTTAGAAAGAATAAATGAGACCTATTTGATAGCAAAACAGGGTGGCTATAGTCAATAATTTAACTGTGCATTTTGAAATAACTAAGAGTATAATTGAATTGTTTGTAACACAGAGGATAAATGCTTGAGGGGATGAATACCCTATTCTCCATGATGTGTTTATTATGCTTTGCATGCCTGTATTAAAACATCTCACTTACCGGATCAATATATATCGCCTACTATGTATCCAGAAAAAAATTTAAAATCCCAGCAACTAATTAGTTATCTTCTTCTCCAATATTTTTTTTTAACACATACACTTAGTTTACGTTATCCCCAAAGCAGAGCCTGAGAAAGGATTTATGTAAAAACAATGTATGAAAAAGGTAAAACTGTGAGGATAGAAGAATGGTCACTACTTGTTAAGAAATCATGGGGGAGAAGAGAGGGACAAATGGCGGAGCAGTGGATTTTTATTGCACAGTGCATCTATTCCATATGACACTATAATGGTGGATACATGTTTGGTATATTTGTTAAAACCCATAGAATGTACAATACAAAACGTGAACCTTAATGTAAACTATAGATTTTAGTTAAGAATAATGTACCAACATTGGTTCATCAGTTGTAACAAATATACCACATTAATACAAAACACTAATAATATGGAAACTGTGTGCTTAGGGGAGAGTATGAATAGTATGTGGGAACTTTGTACTTTCTGATTAATTTTTCTGTAAACCTAAAGCTGCTCTAAAAGATTAAGTCTATTAATTTTTAAAAAGGGTACATATTGGCCGGGCACCATGGCTCACGCCTGTAATCTCGGCACTTTGGGAGGCTGAAGTAGTGGGTGGATCACGAGGTCAGGACATCGAGACCATCCTGGCTAACACGGTGATACCCCGTCTCTACTAAAAACACAAAAAATTAGCCGGACGTGGTGGTGGGCACCTGTAGTCCCAAACTACTCGGGAGACTGAGGCAGGAGAATCACTTGAACCCAGGAGGCAGAGGTTGCAGTGAGCCGAGATCGCGCCACTGCACTCCAGCCTGGGCGACAGAGTGAGACTCCGTGTCTTACACACATGAAAACGTACAGATCTTGTTCTGGCAGGTGGTTATTTGTGAATCATTTTGAGATTTATTTTACACTTTTTGGGGAGGTCCAGATTCCTTCAATCCATGGCTTTTCAACGGTTTTTACCAAACTCTATGGTTCTTCAATGAGGGTCTCCAATTTAGCAATTCAGAACTGAAATGTCTCAGCTTCATGTAAGCTCTCTTAAGCTCTTTTTGTGATTATTATCTATGGTGTGCCAGATTAAAACATCTCATGTACCCCATAAATACATACACCTACTGTGTACCCAGAGGGATTTTTTTTTTAAATAACTAATTACCTCCCATTACTCTGCACCACAAATTCTAGCCACCTTCACCTCCTCAAACATTGCATAGGTCTTCTGGATGCTTAGGTATCTTCTCCTTGTGTTATGGCATAAAAAGTGCCTCTCAGTGAAAATCTAGGGCAATAATAGAGTTCAACTATTTCTTTTCCTTCTCTAAGGAATCAAATTTATGTAGTTCCCATTATACTTTGTTCAATGTTACACATTTCTATTTAATGGCAGGAGGCCTAGTCTAATACACCTACTTCATCTAGGTTGGCAGAGTAAGTTTTAACAAGTGATTTACATTTTAAATAGATATATATTTTAATTTATAACACTTGTGATACATTTTTTCTTATCTACCTCTTTTAAAATTATTTGTATATTTTGTTTTTTAATATCTTGTTCCATTTTAAAGAATTGATTTATCTCTTGACGTGTTTTAGGAACAACTTGGAGTTTTATTTCATTATTTTAATATTGTGCAGACTAAAATCATCTTCTGGTTGTTGACTATTTTTCATAATATTTTTCTATATGTTGTATTTTATTATCTATTTTAGTTTATTTTAGATTCAGAGGGGACATGTGCAGGTTTGTTACATGGATGTAATGTGTAATGCTGAGGTTTGGGTTTCTACTGAATGCATCTCCCAAATAGTGAAAATTTTACCCAAAAGGTAGTTTTTTTCAACCCTTGCACCCTCCTGTCCTCTCCACTTTTGGAGTCCTCAGTATTTTCATCCTTGTATCCATGTGTACCCATTATTTAGCTCCTATTTGTAAGTGAGAACATTTAGTATTTGATCTATATCTGAGTTATTTCACTTAGCATAATGGCCTCTAGCTACATTCATGTTACTGCAAAAACAAAAACATGATTTTATTCTTTAATGGCAGTGTAATATTCCATGGTGAATATTTACCATATTTTCTTTATCCAGTCAAACACTGGTGGGCAATTATTTTGATTCCATGGGACTTTGCTATTTTGAATAGTGCTGAGATAAAATATGAGTGCAGGTGTCTTTTTGCTAAAACAGTATCTTTTCCTTTGAGTAGATACGCAGTAGTGGGATTGCTAGTCGAATGGTAGTTTTATTACTTTGAGAAATCTCCATATTGTTTTTCATAGGGACTGATCTAATCTACATTGTCACCAACAATATACAGTGATTCCCTTTCTTCTGCATCTTCATCAACTTGTTCTTTTTTTAACTTTTTAAATAATAGCTATTCTGACTAGTTTGAGATGGTATCTCATTGTGGTTTTTATTATAAAATCTAATGGTTACTGATGTTGAACATCTTTCCAAATATTTGTTGCCTGGATGTATGTCTTCTTAAGTTTTTTGTTTGTTGAGTTGTTTGTTTCCTATAGATTCTGGATATTAGTAGACCTTTGTTGGATGCATAGTTTGCAAATATTTTCTCCCATTCTGTAGATTGTCTATTTACCCCATTGGTTTTTTTTTTTTTTTTTTTTTTTTGCTGTGCAGAAGCTGTTTAGTTTAACTAGATCCCACTTACTAATTTTTATTTTTGTTGCAATTGTTTTTGGAAACTTAGAAAAAATTATTTACCAAAGCTGATGTCAAGAATGGTATTCAGTAGGTTTTCCTCTAGGATTTTAATAGTTTGAGGTTTCATATTTTAGTTTTTAATCCATCTTGATTTAATTTTTGTATGTAGTAAAATGTAGGGATCTAGTTTCATTCTTACGCATATAGCTAGACATTTTTCTCAGCACTATTTATTGAATAAGGCATCCTTTTCCCATTGTTCATTTTTGTTGACTTTGTCGAAGATCAGTGGGCTGTAGGTGCATGTATTTATTTCTGGGTCTTCTGTTCGATTGACAAATGTGTCTATTTTTGTATTGGTACCATGCTATTTTGGTTATTATAGCCTTCTATTGTAATTTGAAGTCAGTTAATGTGATGGCTCCAGCTTTGTTCTTTTTGCTTATGATTGCTTTAGCTATTTGAGCTTTTTTTGGTTTTACATGAATTCTAGAATTGTCTTTTCTAATTCTGTGACATTGGTAATCTGATAGGAATAGCGTTGAATCTGTAAATTGCTTTGGGTAGTATAGTTGTTTTAATAATAATGACTAATACTTGCCATGTGCGTGGGATATTTTTCATTCGTTTACGTTAATTATAATTTCTTTCATCAGTGTTTTGTAGTTGTTTGTTGTTGTTGTTGTTGTTGTTTTTATTTTTTGCAGACGTCTTTTACCACCTTGGTTAAATGTATTTCTAGGTATTTTATCTTTTTGTATCTATTTTAAATAGGTTTGCTTTCTTGATTTGGTTCTCAGCTTGATTGTTATTGGCATATAGAAATGCGTCGGCTTTCTGTACGTTGATTTTGTACCCTAAAATTTCACACAATTGGTTTATCAAATATAAGAATTTTTTGGAGAGACTTTAGGGTTTTCTATGTATAAAGTCATGCCATCAGCAGAGATAATTTGACTTCTTTTCCATTGTGGATGTCTTATATTTCTTCCTCTTATCTGATTGCTCTGGACCTCCAGTACTATGTTGAATAGGATTGGTGAGAGTGGACATACTTGTCTTGCACTAGTTACTAGGGGGAAATGTTTCAACATTTCTCTATTCAGTATGTTGTTGTCTGTGGGTTTGTCATATATGGCTTTTATTATTTTGAGGTATGTTCCCTAGTTGCCTAATTTGTTGAGGGTTTTTTTTTTCATGAACCAATGTGGGATTTTACTAGATCCTTTTTTCTGAATCTACTGAAATTATCATATAGTTTTTATTTTTAATTCTATTAATGTGGTGAATCACATTTTTGATTTACATATGTTCAACAATCTTTACATTACTGGGATAAAATCTATGTGATGGTGATGAATTATCTTTTTGATGTGCTATTGGATTTGTTTTGCTAGTACTATGTTGAGAATTTTTGAGTCTATGTTCATCAGAGGTATTGGCCTGTAGTTTTCATTTTTTGCTGTGTCATTGCCAGATTATGTTAACAGGATGATACTGGTTTCATAGAATGAATTAGGGGAGAATCTCTCACCTTGATTTTTTGGGAATAGTTTGAGTAAGATTGGTACCAGCTCTTCTTTGTAGGTCTGGTAGAATTCAGCTGTGAATCCATCTGAAAATCTACCATTGGTTGGTAGAATTTTGTTATTACTGATTCAATTTCATTACTTGTTATTGATCTGTATAGGGTTTCAGTGTCTTCCTGTTTCAATCTTGGGAGGTTGTATGTTTCCAGGAACGTATACACTTTGCCTAAGTCTTTTGGTTTGTGTGCATAGAGATATTCGTAGTCGTCTCTGATAATCTTTTGTATTTCTATGGTATGATTTGTAATGCCACCTTATCATTTCTGATTGTGATTATTTGCATCTTTTCTATTTTTTCTAAGTTAATCTGGCTAGCAGTCTGTCAATTTTGTATATTCTTTGAAAGAACCAACTTTTTGTTTTATTGATTTCATTGTATGGTTCTTTTGGTCTCAATTTTATATAGTTCTGTTCTGATCTTTGTTATTTCTTTTCTTCTGCTAGCTTTAAGTTTGCTTTATTCTTGTTTCCTAGTTCCTTGAGGTGTGATGTTAGGTTGTTAATTTGAGATTCATCTTTTTGATGTAGGCCTTTAGCACTATAAAATTTCCTCTTAACATCACTTTTGCTATATCTCAGAGGTTTTACTATGTTGTGTCTGTATTTTATATGTTTCAAATTTTTCTTTGATTTCTACCTTAATTTCTTTGTTACCCAAATGTCACTCAGGAGAGAGTTGTTTGGTTTCCATGTACTTGTGTGGTTTTGAGAGTTGCTCTTAGTATTTATTTCTAATTTTATGCCACTGTGGTCTTTGGTGAAACTTGTTATTATTTCAATTATTTTGAATGTATTGAGGCTTGCTTTATGATAAAGCATATGGTTAATTTTATAGAGTGGTCCATTTGCAGATGAGAAACACATATATTTTGTGGTTGTTGGCTTGAATATTCTATTACATCCATTTGGTCAAAATTCCAGTTTAAATCCATAGTTTCTTTGTTAGTGTTATATGATGATGATCTGTCTAGTCCTGTCTTCTGTCAGTAAGGTGTTAAAATTCCCCACAATTATTGTATGGCTGTCCTTCTGATTTCTTAGTCCTGATAGTATTTGTTTTACAAATCTAGGTACTCCAGTGTTCGGTGGGTATATTTTAGGATAGTTAAATCTTCTTATTGAGTTGAACAATTTATCATTACAGAGTGCCTTGTCTTTTTTTTTTTTTTTTTTTTTTTTTTACTGTTGTTGGTTTAAAGTCTGTTTTGTTTTTGTTTGATACAAAATACAGCCACTGCTATTATTTATTTTCTATTTGGGTGATATGTCTTTCTCCACCTTTTTACTTTGAGCCTGAGGGTGTCATTACACATTAGGTGTTTCTCTTGTAGGCAGCAGATGTTTCGGTCTTGTTTTTTAATCCACTTTGCCCATTTGTATCTTTTATGTGGAGCATTTTGGCAATTTGTATTTAAGGTTAGTATTTATATGTGAAGTTTGTTCCTGTTATAGTGCTGTTAGCTATGGGCCTTGTAGTCTCAGTTGTATAATTTCTTTATAGGTATTTGTGAACTGTGTACTTACGTGTGCTTTTATGGTAGTAGGTATCATCCTTTCAATGTTTAATTTTTTTGAGCATTTCTTGTGAATTGGTTTAGTAATGGCAAATTTCCTTAGCATTTGCTTTTCTAGGTTAGGCTTTATTCCTCCTTCATTTATGAAGCTTAGTTTAGCATGATATAAAATTATTTGTTGGCATTTTTTAAGAGGGCTAAATATAGCCCCCCTCACCACTTGTAACTCTAAATCTTTCTGAGAAGAACTGGCATCTGATATCCGTAGTTAGCCATCTTGAAAAAAGAAAAAAAAGTTTTTTCTATGTGTTTTAGAATTTTGCTTTTAGTCTCATTTTGACTTTGAAGCAATTTATTTCTCATTGATTGTTTAGTGTTCATGTTTATTTTTTCATTCCTGTGTGGTGTGTTTATAACCAACTCCTCTCCCAGTCAATACCCATTCGTTAACTCAAATTAGACTTCTGGTGTTCCTGGTTCATAAACAGGTCTTATTAACTTGTTTGAATAGGGGTAGCCACACTGTGAACAGAGTAGAGATGTTATCAGTCTAGTAACTGAATTTTTGTTTCATTCCATTTTTGGCTCAGTTTGGTTCATTTCTCAAGTGGAGGTAATGCTTGCTTCTTTTTCTTTCTAGGTACAAACCCAACATGAGCCTTAGTCACAGGGATGCAGTGGTTTTACTTGGATACAGTGGTTTTACTTGTTCTTCTTCTTTTTTTTTTTTTTTTTTTTTTTTTTGAGACAGAATCTCACTCTGTTGCCCAGGCTGAAGTGCAATGGTGTGATCTCGGCTCACTGCAACTTCTGCTTCCTGGGTTCAAGTGATTTTCCTGCCTCAACCTCCTGAGTGGCTGGGATTACGGACGCACGCCACCATGCCTGGGTAATGTTTGTATTTTTAGTAGAGACGGAGTTTCACCATGTTGGTCAGGCTGGTCTTGAACTCCTGACCTTGTGATCTGCCTGCCTTGGCCTTCCAAAGTGCTGGAATTAGAGGCATGAGCCACTGCGCCCGACCTACTTGTTTTTCTTTCATGAATAATAAAGATCTCAACCCCTCATTTGCTAAAGCCAGACACTTACATAGCTAATTTTGTACTTTTTACCCCACAGAAGCCAAACTCTTAGTCATTTCTTTCTGCGTGCAGGCTTGTGGCAGACTTGTAGCCATCTCTTGATTTTTGTCCTGCTTCACTTTTCTGTTCCATTTCTGTTTATAGAGACCATTGGCTTATTTCAGATATCATCTGTGTTCTTTGAATTTTTACTTTTCTATCCTTGCCACATACTATAAAGTATTAGCTTAAAGAGCCATCATAAAGAAATCTCATATTGTTTTTCTGAATCCTTCAAGGACCACATTATCTTAAAAAATAATGTCAGACATTTAATAATGTTCAAATTTAGCTCTTTATCTGTATGTGAACAGCAGACCGTAATGTCCTCAAAGGTAATGACTATGTCTAATGTATCTTAACTTCTGAAATGTTCACTTAAATTGTACTTTGCAAGCTATCATTCCTGACAGTGGATTTAAAATTTACCAATTCTTCTGTTCAGCTTCCATCTATTATATTGACTTCTTTCACCTTTGCATCTAACCTGTTCAATACCACAAGAGAAAGAGCAATTCAATAGAAGAGAAAGAGCAGATACTAAAATATGTTTAATGAGACTAATCTTACAAACAGCAGTGTCGTTAAGACATGAAATCATGATGTCAAAAATATAAATATCGGTAGTAGATATACTGAAACTAAATATCACTGTTTGTGATTCCCTGACTACTCCAAATTTATTAAAGAACATAAAGATATGTTAAACCTAGTCTTTTTCACTTCACAGTATGATGTTCAACTAAGAATTCTTCACAATGAAGCCAAAGATTTGAAATGATTAACTTAAGTAAGCCATTACAGTTTAACATTTTGATTTGTTATTTTCTTTCCACAAATATTTATGGATTGTGCTACAGATAAGTTACTTGGCATTAGATGTATAAAGGACCATTTATATGCTAAAGAAATTCAAGGTTTGTGTAATATGGACACATAAGGGCATAGTTACAATATTTGGAAAAAAGTACTAAATAAAAAACATTATAGGATCTATCAGGCTAGAACAATTATGCCAGGGAGCATAAATTATGTCAAGTACGCTCAGAATGGATTAGCTGAGAAATGTAAATTTAATTTCGCAGGTGAAAAAGGATGTATATAATGTACTTTGATACTTACATATGTCATAACTTTAATCCAAAATTGAGTTCCTTATTCATGTTTGATCACCTAAGAAGACCTCAGATTACTTTCATCTCAAATTGGTATATTGTCAAATATCATAACCACTTTAATTTTAACCTAAGGAACATTCAACATTCAAATATCAAGTAAATTTATAGCTTTGAAAATTTATATTTGTGTAATATTTAATATGTACAAAATGTGTATTATTTAGATGTAAGTTATGGCACATTAATGAAATGAATACCTGTGAGGCTATATTTATGAACTAGAATACTATAAACACTATTGAAGCCACGTAAATTTGTGTTTATAATTTTTTCTTTTAATTTTACATGTGGAATATATATTATCTTACATGTATATATGTAATGTCTGTGTTTATGTATATATATATGTATGCATGTATATATTAATTATATAATTAATTTTTGCTTGGTTTTGGGCATTATACAAAATGCTGTCATTTTATGATGGGCTTCTATGATTTTTTCTTCAATATTATATTTTTATAATTTAATCACATTAACCTGTGCCATACCAATTTTTTTTTTCTTTTTTTTTTTTGAGACAGAGTCTCACTCTGTCACCCAGGCTGGAGTGCAGTGGCGCAATCTTGGCTCATTGCAAACTCCACCTCCCAGGTTCACACCATTCTCCTGCCTCAGCCTCCCGAGTAGCTGGGACTACAGGCACCCGCCACCACGCCCAGCTCATTTTTTATATTTTTAGTAGAGACGGGGTTTCACCATGTTAGTCAGTATGGTCTTGATCTCCTGATGTCGTGATCCACATGCTGGGATTACAGGCGTGAGCCACCACGCCAAGCTAATTTTTTTTTTTTTTTTTTTTTTTGTAGTTTTAGTAGAGACGGGGTTTCACCATGTTAGCCAGGATGGTCTCAATCTCCTGACCTTGTGATCTGCACACCTCGGCCTCCCTTCCACTGCTATATAATATTTCATGAAGTGAATAATGTATCTATTCTTTTGTTTATATATATTCACATTGTCTGCTGTTTTTGTTATTTTATTTTATTTTTTCCTATTTTAAGTTATGTTTCTATTAACATTCTATAAATGTCTCCTGCTAAACATGTTCAAGTTTCTCTAAGGTGTAACCCCAGTAGCGTTATTGTTGGGTCCTGGTAGATTGTGTAAATGTTCAGCTTTATAAGATAATCCCAAATTGCTTTCCCAAAGCTGTTGTAAAATCACATTGTCATCAGGAGTACCTAAGAGTTTCTGTTGATCCTCAGATTGCCAACTCTTGTCAGATTAATCTGTTCAATAGAATATGCATAAAATTGCATCTCACTTTAGTTTTAGTGTGCATTTTCCTGATTTCAGATGAGGTTGAATATCTTTCCCTATGTTTATCGGGAAATCGTATTTCCTATTTTGTAAAAATGTTTTATTTTCTATTTTTGGTATGGGTTTTTTATTGATTCAGCAGAGTTCTATATATTTTTTGGATGTAAACTCATTGACACATGATTATGTTCTCCATGTTTGGTTATTTGATTAGCTAACTACTTCTCTTCGTGTTCACAGATTCTACCCTAGTAAATGCACCATTATTTCTTGCCTGGAATATTGCAGTAGCTTTCTAACAGACGTTTATGCCCTTCTTTAATCTTCTTATGGTAGAACAGCCAGAAGGATCTAGTTTTACGTGAGCAGATCATTTTACTCCTTTCCTAAAATGCTCTGATGATTCCTCATTTTACTCAGAAGAATCTAATTCAAATGATTTAGTATGACTGAAGAATCCCCTGTGACACGGCCTCCAGTACTGTTTCACCTGTTTCCTCCTACTCTCCTCATACATCCTTTTGTAGGCAGGTGGCCTCCTCACTGTTCCTCGGACACGTAAAGCATGCTGCTACGCCAGTGCCATTTCACTTGCAGTCCCTCTGACTGGCACGTGCTTCCCCAGATGACTACATGGAAAATCGATTTCTTGCTTCATTCAGGAATTTATGCCAAAAATGTCTCAGTGAATCTTTGCTGGTTACTTCAATATAATAACTCTTCTCCAGTGGCTCAATTGCTCCCTCACTCCTTAATGATCCCCTCCCCATATAGCATACATACTGTGTATCTTATTTCTTCTTTCTTTACCTTCTTTCTAGAATGTAAAATTCACCAAGGCAGGGATTTGTTTTGATTACTGTTATGTATCTAATGCCTAGAATATACTATTTGGTACTAGGCACTCAGTAGATATTTGTTGAATGAATAATTAAACAAACAGAAGTTTTTAATGTTATTGTAGTTTAATTGGTAGGTATTTTATGGTTAGTGTTACTGTGCCTTATTGAAGAAACAATTCAATGTCCTGCATTTATAGAGATATTGTCCTAAAGTTATGCCTTTTACCTTTAATTAATTTGTTCATTTTCATCTTCTGTAATAATTTTCGTCTTCTTATATAAGAAGACAAATAATTTTAGCATTTTTATTAAATCTTTCCTCTTTTCACCCCTTGTTACAATGAAATCTCTATTTTATTGCTTCTATAGCTGCATAGGTTT
This sequence comes from Homo sapiens, assembly GCF_000001405.40. Classification (NCBI taxonomy): domain Eukaryota; kingdom Metazoa; phylum Chordata; class Mammalia; order Primates; family Hominidae; genus Homo; species Homo sapiens. The sequence goes on along the minus strand of NC_000017.11, from coordinate 53,582,090 downwards.
GCTTCTGGTTTCTCTATTCTTTACCACTGGATAAATTTGATTTCAGAGTGTCATTACCACAATCTCTTATTCATAACAACTTTATGATAAACAACCTTGATATGTGCTTAAAAATACTTCTATCTTTTTCTTCAGAAATGCTTTGGCCATTCTTATACTTGTCTTCTTTTATTTTTAGAATTTGTCAGCACACTCAAAAATCCTATTAGATTTTATTTAATCTATAGATAAAATAGGGAAGAATTGGCATTTTTATGACTGAGTTGAACTATCAATGAACATGATATAGCATTCTACTTATTTATCCTTCAACTTACTTAAATCGTGTTTTATACTTTTTGCTACATTTTTCTTACACTTTTTTATTATATAATAATAAAAAATTTAATCATAGATTTATTATACTGATTTTTTGGCCTTGTAATGCACTCTTAAAGCTATTGGTGATTAGTTGCACTAGTTTTCTATGCAGCGTATCACATATACAAATATAGCAGCTTAAAACAACACACATGTATACATAGTTTTCATGGGTCAATAATTCACATATGACTTGCTGTGATCATTTGCTCAGAGTCTCACAAGGCTGCAAGGTGCCTGTGGGTTGCATTCTCATCTGGAGGCTTGCCTCCAGGTGAATTCACTTTGATGCTCACTGAGAATTCTGGCAGTATTTATTTCCCCGTGTAGGACTTGGGGCCCAATATTTTGTTGGCTGTCAGCTGGATGTGACTGTCAGTTCCTACAGGCTGCCAATAGAACCCAGATATTTCCCACAGTTCTTTACCACATGGCAGGCTTATTTAATCAAGCAAACAAGGAGAGTTTGTAGGGAGAGTCTGCTAGAAAAAAGTGTCATGTAATATCACTCAATCATGGAAGTGACATCCCCTCACCTGTGACAATTTCTGTTCGTTGACAACAAGTTATAGGTTCAGCCCACACTCAGAAGGAGGGGATTATACATGGGCATGAATACCAGAGGTAGAAATTATGTAGGATTCTTCTAGAGGCTGTCCATCACACTAGGATATATGTGATGGGCTTTGGAAACTTATTGATATAGTCAGCCACCTTGCTAGGCTAATATGTATTCTTAGTAACTTATGTATGGATACATTAAGGTTTTCTGTGTAGATCACAGAAAATCATAAAAATAACTGCCTTGTTTTTTCTCAGATTCTTAATTTTTAATTTTATGTTTGTTCTTATTGTACAGTATAAGTGATGATGGTAGAGATGTTTGACTTGTCTCTGATTTTAAAGAAAGTGACGCTTATGTTTTACAGTTAAGATGAATAATTTCTATACATATTTCATATATACCCTTTTATTAGGTTAAAGAAGCTTCTATTATTAGCTGCTATAGACTTTGTTTTAAATTATAATTGGGTTTTATATTTAATCAGAATATATTTATGAATCTGTTGTAATACAGTTTTTTTCTCCCTTTAAGCTACAAATATGGTACATTTTCATTAATACATTTTCTGATGTTAAATACTTCTGACATTCCTGGGGGAAACACAACTTGTTAATGACGGGTGTACACACACATAAACAGACTACTTGTATTATTTTACTATTGCTGTTGCAGCAAATTACTAAAAACTTAGTGTCTTAAAAACACACATTTGTTATCTTACCGTTGTGACAGTTGCAGAGGTCACAATTCTGAAGAGGATCTTACTAGGCCAAAATAAAGCTATCAACAGAGCTGTTCCTTCTGGAGGCTTTAGTGGAGAATCCATTTTCTTGTCTTTTCCAGCTACTAGAAGCTGCCTGCATTCCTTGGCTCATGGCCCTTTCCTTTATCTTCAAAGACAGCAGCATAATGTCTTCAAATCTCCCTTGTGTCTGAACTCTACTTCTGTTGCCTCATCTCCTCTGACTCTGATCCTTCTGCCCTCCGGTTTTTCTTATAAGGACCCCTGTGAATTCATTGGGCCCACCTGGGCCATCCAGGCTAATCTTCCCATCTGAAGATTCTTAACTTAATCACCTCTGCAAAGTCTCTTAGTTATATAGGGTTGCATACATACTGGTTCTGGATACTAGGACAAGGACATCTTTGGGGGCCATTTTTCTGTCTATTGAACTGTTAGATTCAGTTTGCCATAGCATTGTTTAACATTTGTGTGTCTTTATCATTAGTTACTGAATTTTCTTTATTGTTTCCATTCTTGTCTAATTTTGGAATCAAGTTTACACTGGCCTCATTTAATGAGCTAGAGAATCTTCCCTTATTGTCTGTTACATAGAATAATGTATAAATTGAAATTATTTATGTCTTGAAAATTTAGTAGAAATTATTTGTAAAACTGTCTGGGTCAGATGTTTGATTTGTGAAAGTATTTAAAAATTTCTGTTTCTTCAGACTTCCTATCTCTTAAGTTTCACTAACATTTTTCTGAATATTCACTCATTTCGTCCAATTTTTAGAATTTAAGTGACAAAAGTTGTTCTTAATACTCATTTTTAATCATTTGCATGTGTCTAGTTATGTGCCCTTTTTGTTATAAATCTATTTATATATGCATTTTTAAAAATTTAGTCAGCTAGATAAATTTCGTTACTCTTTCACTTACCTTGTTAATTTTTCAAATAACCACTATTGACTTCGTTGAGTCTCTGTATTCTATAAGTTTTTATTTTATTTTATTAAATTTTGCTCATATCTTTAATATGTTTTTCTTTATGATTTCTGTGATTTCCTTTCTGTGACTTCCTTATGATTCTGCCCTTTTTCCCTAAAATTACATTACATACATTTCCCTTATTAATGTTTTAAAGTCTGTATTTTTTAAATATAAACATTAAATGCTATGAGAGAATTAAATGCTATGGATTTTCCTCTAAGTTATGTTTAATTGCATAACAATTATTTTATTTAACTGAAAATGATAACTATCATTTAAAAAATACAGCTTTGCTAGGTACCGCATTCCAGAGTAATAGCGACTTTTACAATGTTAAAAATCCATGTTTCTTTTTTGCTATTGAGAAATCAGGTGTCAGTCTATGATAATTGTGGTTCTGTGTTGATGATCTGGCTTTATGCTGTTTATTCTTCTTCCTCTCTGGCTCCAAGCTTAGGTCCTGCCTCTGTCTTTAGCGTACCCTAGTTTTAATAGAATATATTAAATAATTTTCTTATATACATTGTGGCCCATGTACCCTTTGAAAAGTATACTTTATTAGTTTGTTATTAGTTTTTAACAAATAAAACTCAGATTTTATAATGTCATATATTTCCTCTCTATTTTTCTCTCTTTTTTTTTTTTTTTGAGACAGAGTCTCACCGTGTCACCCAGGCTGGAGTGCAGTGGCGCAATCTCAGCCCACTGCAACCTCTGCCTCCCAGATTCAAGCAATTCTCTGCCTCAGCCTTCAAGTAGCTGGGATTACAGGCACCCATCACCACGCCCAGTTAATTTTTGTATTTTTAGTACAGACAGGGTTTCATCATCTTTGCCAACCTGGTCTTGAACTCCTGACCTCATGATACACACCTCAGCCTCCCAAAGTGCTGGGATTACAGGCATAAGCCACCGTGCCTGGCATCTATTATTTCTTTTTGAGATTTCTTGTTGTCAATTAGACTTTTAATTCTCCAACTCTTACATTTAGTTTTATATTTTACATCTTTTTGCCTCTCTGCTGCACTCTGGGTATTAATTATTTCCATTCATTAGTTTGTTCATTCTCTTCTTACCTTAATTTTTTAGTAACCCATTCATTTAGGTTTTCCTAGTAATAATCCTTTTTTTTCCTTGAAGTTCTATTTGATTATTTTTCAAATTTTCTTGTTCATTTATTGTAGATTCCTGTTGCTTCATCATTTTTGTTATTTTTATTTCATATTTTTAAATTGTACACATTTATTTTATGTTTTATATTTTAAATCATTTACATTCTAGGCCAGTTGACTTATTTTTCTACTAGGTCAACTGGCCTAGAATGTAAGCGATTTAAAATATAAATGCTAGCTTGTTTCCTTGTTGGTTTCATAAGTTTTATTGTAAATGCAATTTTGATTGATTGAAGTCATGGGGATCCCTGTAGCCTAAGTGATGCTCTCATTCCTTTACTTCTTCTAGGAGGTATGGGGGGTGCTACTGAAGAGGGGACATTTTAGGGCCCTTTCAGTGTCCCAGGTTTAGTGAGGGAGGAGGAGTTCTAAATACAGTTCTCCCATTTTGCCACTGACTTGCAGCTTAGTCTTTAGATAGTAGCATGTATTGTATAATTATCTTCAGGATAATGCCACATTTGCATTCATTACTGTTCCTGCTCATATATTTGCCTTCCAACTCTTTTTGAAAGGAGGGTTGATAATTTCCTTTATTTCCTGCTAGTCATAATATGTAATAAGATTCTGTTTCACACAGGGTCTAATTCCACATTTAAAATGGAAGAAGCTCTACCGTCTTATGATGAAAATAAAGAATAAAAATAATAAGAAATAAAATAAAATGGAAGAAATTTTAAGAGTGTTTAGTCTACCGTACAATCAGAAGTAGAAGAATAAAACAATAAATTTTTTTAGAGAATTCATTCTTCTTTATTCAGATATATAATCTATAGCTGATTTTCTAGATTGCACCCTTTTCTAAATCTTAAATAAGTCTCTAGATGTTTGTTTGAATTTTAGACATATAAGTTGTTTTAAAGATGTCCTCATTGGTTTTTCAGCTATCAGAAAGCAAAGGAACTATGCTTTTTAAAACCCTATTTGCTGATACTGTGAGTTTAAAAAAATTGTATTTCAATTTTTTTTTATATTGTCTTTGACTAGGGAAAATTGATTTTTATTCTTAAGGCAATAGAAAGAGTTGTAACTTTTTGTTCTTTATCATGTTGAAATTATTGAAACAGAAGAAAATTAGATTTTATGGTTGAGGTTATGTGTTAAAGGGTGATGGAGGAGTTAAATTACATAACATATAAAATATAGACTGCCTGTGCCTCAGTTCAGTGCTCATGGATTTGCTGGTATAAAATTTCATGAAGACATATATTTTGTAGATTTTATACTATCTTTTAAAAATCCTTTTTGCTAAATCTGAGAGCATGTGTATTAGGTCCTACAGAGAACAAAATCAGTGTAGACCATATAAATTATAACATCTGATAATAGCCTGATGTATCAGTACTTTATCATTATTTTATCTAAATCTACATTCAAGGACAATAAATCATCTTGGGTGGTGAAATACTTGATCAAGGCTAAACTTGTTTTTCTGGCTCTGTTAAGTATGTGACATGTAATCTGTGACCATGGCTAAATATTTGTGCACTACAAATAAAAACAACACACCAACAATACTTGAATTGAGAAAATACCTAGTTTTATAGAAATTTTAGGCTCTCAGAATTAATGTTTTCTTTCTTTATGAACACTTCACAATTGTTAACCCATTAGTAAATGCGAATGATCTGATATTAGGATGGCTTCCATTGGTCTCTCACTAATATTAGGCTTTTGAATTATGATATGAAATGCACTGCTTTTAGAATTTTCCTACAGAAAAAAAAATCAATTTAGAATGTCTCGATCACACAGAAAACATAGTGATTTATTATTTTGTAAGATAAGATTGGCCACAGCTATTTCTAATATGACTTCATAGATGGCATTTTGTTTTTTCACATCCAGGATATCCAGGAAAATAAAAAATAATAACCTAATTGCCTGAATTATTCAACACGGAAATAATATTTGAGTTTGAAGCTTTGAAATACTTCTAAATTATTTCTTTATCTTAACAAAGATAAAATAAATAAAACATTTGGAATCATTAGAAAACCTAACAAATCCATACAAACTAAGGGAATGAATTATGAGATTATTCAAGAGAGTTGAATTATTTTTTCAAGGGTCATGGTTGCTGTAAGTGCTTAAGCCACTTACAAGTTGCTAAGTTGAGGTTTGGCTTTAGATACAATAAATATGGTATGAAATATTTCTTTGCATACAAATAAGTTATATGTGAATGTTCCAAAAGCTAGTGTATAAGGCAGGTTGGCATTCTCTACATAAATTTTTTTACATTATTAATTTGCTTAGGATAATACTTATTTCTAAAATGAGGAAAAGATCGTGTGTGTGTGTGTGTGGGTGTGTGTGTGTGTGCGCGTTTGTGCGTGCTCACATAAAATTTTCTTCAATCATGGCCAAATGATTATACATACTGAAATGATGGAGTTTGAGTTAATATGTTGTATGGACTATTTTTATTGATGCCTGGTAATATTTACATATTAAAAAATCTGCAGATTGACAAGAGATCTTTCTGAATTAATTATAGTAGCAGTTGTTACATCAAAGTTAAGACATCAAAATCATATTGAATAATGTATGTTTATTGCCCTTTCAAAATTAAAACTCTAGAGATTTATCACAAATATTAAAGCTAAAAATTGAACCAGGTAATTCTCAGAATTTTTATAGAAAAGTTTATTTTTAAAATTCAAAACAGAAATAATTTTGATTTGAGTTAGGTGCCTTATACAATAAATCAAGAAAATAATTATACCTAGGTGCTATTCTCAATATTTGAAAATATTTTTAGTTTATTATTGGTAGAGAGAATTTATTTACACGTAAATACTTACAGCAAATGTACAATAGCATGTTTTCTTTCCATGTTTCTAGTGGAGTCAAAGAAAAACAAAACATAAACTTTTGAAAATGTATTTTATTTCTAGCTTTAGAATTAATATTGATATGGCATGGTGGCTCACATCTGTAATCCAGGCAATTTGAAAGGCTAAAGTGGAAGGATCCCTTAAGCCCAGGAGTTCGAGGCCAGGCTAGGCAACCTAAGATCCTGTTTCTACAAAAAAAAAAAAAAAAAAAAAAAAAAAAAATTAAAATAAAAAAACAAAAAACAGCCAGGTTAGGAGGCACATGCCTGTAGACCCAACTACTCTGGGGGCTGAGAGTTGAGGATTGCTTGAGCCCAAGAGGTTAAGGCTACAGTGAGCCATGATCATGTCACTGCATTTCAGCCTGGGCTACAAAGTGAGACCTTGTCTCAAAAACAAACAAACAACAATAAAGAACAAAAACAAAAAAACAACGAAAGGATTAATAGTGAGTAAAAATAGGATATCCTGATTTTGGGGGTTTTGTAATTCATTAAAAACTCAAGAATTCTACAATTTCTGTTTCTACTCAGTTACAACTGGTATTCAAGTTGAGAGCCCTGAGTCCTGTCTCCCAAGAGTAATATTTGAGAGCTGGTGTTTCCTACACCTAAATCGGGTGTGGAGAAAAGAGTGTCTTCTCTGAATCAGAATTTGCATTCTTGTAGTCTATGACACTTGTCATGAATCTCAATTTCTGGAAACAATTACTAACAGCCTCAATTAAGAACTTGTTTGTCTTAACTTCCTCTACATGATTTTTTTGATATTTAAGGTTTTCAGAAACTTCTAGTTTATCAGATTCTGAGTCTTGGCCCTTGCTTCTGCACTACACTATGTCTTTTATTTTCTTTCCTTTCTACTTCTCCTCCTGATTTCTATTTTTTAACAGAGTAATATCTTGATAAAAGTGTGCTTTTATTAAACATGTTGATAGAAGTGTGCTTGATAAAATTGTGCTTTAGCATGACATCAGGAGACTCAAATTCATATCTTTACTTGGTGTGATTTAGGACAATCAGTTTTACTTCTAAGGGATTTAGCTTCTTTATGTATAAAATGACAGAATTAAACTAGTTTCTACCTTGTCCCTTGCTGTTCGACAACAATTTTTTTTCCAGAATTGCCATTTATTTTTATAGATATGCTGTTTTCTAGCTTGCAGTAAATTAAGAGATACACTAAGTCTACATTTTTGAATGTGTCGGCAATTTTTTTGCAATATGGAATTAATCTAAATAAGTATTTTTGGTAAATGGTTTTGCTTCAACTTAGTGTAACTCCATTTTCATCATAACTGTGTCTCTTAAAATTTTTACTCTAGAGGAGCTTTTCCTTGACCTTCTGTGTATTATGTTTGATTTAACTTTTTTGAGTTATTGCCCAAATGTATGTCTTCTATCTCTTTCTCTCTCATCAAGACCTGATATAAGAGCTGGGGTATTTAGAAGATGAAGACTAGTATGAACTCTTGAGATTTTTAATATCTTTTATTGTACTCATTTCTCTGAGAGAGACAGAGCAGTTAATTGAGAGGAACTTGGTTTCTATGTCTGGGAATATTATCATGCCTGGACTTCATAATAACACTCTTTAAAATGAGAAGCATAAATAAGATTGTTTCTAAGGTCTCTCTTACCATGGAATTTCTATTCCATTATGAGTACGGAGGCCTCGATTCTAGATCAACCTCAAGAGCAGTAAGCCACTTGTATAATAATGAATTGTCCAAAAAGGGGAAAATGAAGTGCTACAGGACCAAAATTTTAGCACTCCTAGTCCACAACTCTTCTATACACCATGTCAAACTTTCCATTCTGTATAATGACTTGGGGCCTAACTTTAACATTAATAAGCAACACTCCTTTACATTTAAAGAGACCCATGAGGGTTTGAGGATAAATATTCCTTATTCAAAGTAACACTTTTTTCAAGAATTATTGAATATTATAGGTTATCTTTGCAAGAAGCTTTTTCTAATCCAGTATGTCAGAGAAATCTGTGCCCTGCTTATTTTTCTGCTTACAAATAATCTTGCCATTTGGACCTTGATTCTTCAGGAGTGGAAATGATATCCTAGACAGCTTCCTGCTTCACTTCTGTTCCCTCAAAAGTCCCTTGTCTCTGATCCAGACCCCACTAGTGTATACCATCTACATGCACAACCTGACCTCATGTATAACCTAAATTTAGCTACTCCCTTCTCTTATCATCCAGCCCAGCCATCCCAGATCCAAAAGTCACTTACCTGAATAGGTTCACAATGATCCTGCAAAGACCAATGGTATACCTTCCAAATATTTCGTAGTCAGTTCTTTGTGGAAAGCATTTCACATAATAATACATTTTCAAACTCATTTTTTAAATTAATTTCTTTATTTTTATTTTTATTTTTTGTTGTTACATACTGCAAGCAACCTAAGTGCTCATCAAACTCATTTTTTTTTTGTCCCTATAGTTCACTCAATTTTCCCATAGGTCATCTATCAGACATTTGTTTTTAGTTATTATCAACTATGTCACTAATAAGTTTTTTTTTTTTTTTTGAGATGGAGTCTTGCTCTGTCACCCAGGCTGGAGTGCAATGGCGAGACCTCGGCTCACTGCACCCCTCCGCCTCCCAGGTTCAAGTGATTCTCCTACCTCAGCCTCCTGAGTAGTTGGGATTACAGGTGCTCACCACCATGCCAGGCTGATTTTTGTATTTTTAGTAGAGACGGGGTTTCTCCATGTTGGTCAGGCTGGTCTCGAACTCCTGACCTCAGGTGATCCGCCCACCTGAGCCTCCCAAAGTGACTAGAAAGATATTTGAAAAAAAATCAGCTTAATATTAATAGAAAAGAATGTTTACTTCTTATAATGACAACATAGTAATTATGAACACACCTTCATTGTTGAAAGTTTATGTGTCTAATAATGGTTAAATATGTATTTTCATTAGCGCTTCCACAAAAGCTCTCTGATAGCATTTAATATGTTTTCTAAATAAACTCCAATTACAGATTTTCATGAGATGCAAGATAGTCTAGTTTTGCCAAAGAAGAGGAAATTTAGCAATGTTTACTATGATGAAGAAGAGAAGTCTTCCAAAGCCTGCAAAACACTTCATAACCTCAGTCTACAATGGCCAGTGAGCTCAGCAGTATCTTTATATATGTACAGTGGTACTGTTTACAAAGATGTGATAATTTATATATTTTATTACGATACATTGAAATGCATATTTGATATCTTCACACAGGATTAAATACATCAACTTTATTTTAAGATTAATCCGGGAAAGAGTATTATCATTGTGGAAGATGAGTGGAACTAAAATCTATTTTAATGTTCTGTGAAAACATTATTAAAAAATCCATCATTAGTTGCATTCTCCCTCAAATCACTAAGCTCAGTTAAAATACATTAAGCTTACTTTAAAATCCATAAAGTATTTTAAAAGGTTTTTTTTCCCTGGCACCAGGCAAAAGTGAGATGTATTTATTTTAATCTCTCCTAAACACAAGTACCTAATCCATCATTTGGGCTCATGTATTCCTGAAAATATTATTTTGTTGAATAAAGTGTCATTTCAAAGTGTATGTTTCAATTATTTCCTAGAATCATAGGAAAATCTTTCTCAGTCCTACTTGGGCTTTTAAATTGTTTTGTTTGCATATTTTTCAAGTGTGGTAATTTTTTTTATTACTTCTTGTAAGGATCCATATGGACCCAAATTGAATCAGACATTGAAAAATCACAAGACTCAAGAAATCTGTAGGGACACAAAAGGACGACTACTGAACTATTATATGCTTACACTCACATGAAGTATGTAAAGTGGTCAAATCCTAGAAACAAAATAGAAAGATGGTTGTCAAGGACTGGGAGTAGGAAGGAGGGAGAATTACTGATTAATAAATTAATCAGTTTCACTTTCAGTTTTGCAAGTTGAAAAGGTTTTAGAGGTTCTAGATCTGTTGAACAATAACATGAATATACTTAGCATTAAGGAGCTGTACGTGTAAAAATGATTAAGGCAGTAAGTTTAACCTTATGTGTTTTTTAACCACTTTTTTTTTTTTTAGGGAGAAAGAAAATTATAGGTAGTGACAACTTCCTTAACCATGGGAACTCTTTTTTTCTCATAGCATGTCTCAGATTTTCTTGTTGATTTCATTTTCTTCCCTGACTCATTCTTTCTTCTACTTTTATATCATGTGTCTACTCCATAATGTCTGTGTCCTCATTCTTTTGTCTTATTAGGAACATTCATAGACCCAATTCAATCTACCATCTTTTTGTCTGTAATTTTTAATTTCTATTGCTGATTTTTTTTTCTGTGTTGCCCAATATAATTCCAGAGACATAATATGGTTGTTGCAGCCCATTCTTGTCTTCTCTTGCACATCATATTTAGTTGGCTATTTTATGGAGTAACTACTCTTGGCTTAGAAATCAAATGCTGATTCATTAAAAATATTCAGGTAAAATGATTTGAATAATCATTGCAGGGCTGCCCCTTAAGCAGTGGGTGGCAACATTTCTCTTAGAATATATTGTAGCTGCAGTGGGCTCTGTAGTTGACAGATCAAGCTTCACCTGTTTTTGTTTTGTTTTGTTTTGTTTCTTTCTTCTCCTTATTCCTTGGCTTTCCCTTCTCAGTCAACTTCATTTGTTTTCATCCTGTCCTCACATTTTTTTTATGACTCCATGCTTCTCACAAGTATATGTTTCTTTTCTCAACCATCCATTATTATTCTCATGTAGGAGGATCATGTTTTCTCTTTAGCTTCTAAAAATGGTCAAGATGATTCCTGGAATTTTTCCAGTTGTGTTGCCTCACAATAATTCACAAGGCAATGTCTCTAGAAAGTGATCTGAAGTAACTCCTCCGTTTATTTTATTTTTTTATTTTTATTTTTATTTTTTGAGTTGGAGTCTCTCTCTCTGTCTCCCAGGCTGGAGTGCAGTGGCACCATCTCGGCTCACCGCAACCTCTGCCTCCCAGGCTCAAGCGATTCTCCTGCCTCAGCCTCCTGAGTAGCTGGGAGTACAGGTGTGTGCCACCACGCCCAGCTAATTTTTTGTGTTTTTAATAGAGACGGGGTTTCACCATGTTGGCTAGGATGGTCTCAATCTCTTGACCTTGTCTTCCACCTGCCTCTGCCTCCCAAAGTGTTGGGATTATAGGCATGAGCCACCGCACCCGGCCTCCTCTGTTTATTTTTAATGTCATAACAGATAACCCTGAGTAGGTCATCTTAAATATATAACTTGTTTTCCCCTTTAACACCTATTTCACAATTCAATATTAAATATTTTCTCTAACCTTTTTATTTCTTCATGGAGACTCATGAAATCCTTCTCATCTTTATCTCATTGGATTTTATTTTATTCTCTGTGGGATCTAAGAGCCAGCTGTAGGTATAGTGACTTTACTCTTTCTTGCACTCAGGTATCAACATAGCAAATATGTTTGTTTGTAGTTTTAAGGTCTACTGATGTCAATCTAAAGAAATGAAAGATTTTTTTCTCTTTAAATCTTAAAGTCAGTTATTGGTCAAAGGCAATCCCCCCTTGCCCTCTCTGAACCTATAAAGCAAAATGTAGATATTTGTAGTGTATCTATATGTCCCAAATAACTATACTCGCTTAAAATTTATATACATATTTTCAACATATAATTAATTGTGAGGAAAAAACTATAAAGTTCTAATCTTTCTAACATAGTTAAATATGTTAACTTGAACAAGCCAGTTAACCTCTGTGTTTCCATGTACATTTGTAAAATTAGCCTCCGAAAGACTTTCACTTTTGACCCGTCCAAAAGGTGGAAAGACAAAATCCTCTGGCATTGACTGCCCAATTTTACTTTTGAGTGCAAGTTATGAAATTCTCTTCCAGTTTATAAAATCATCTATTTTCACTTTGGACCAAAAGACCGGATATATGTGAGACATGCAATTGAAGTAGTATCTTATAGAAAATTAAATCTTTTCTCCTCTTGTATTAGTGCATTTTAATTATTATTGTATAAACTTGTTCAAAAGAGACGAGTCTACTTTAAAATTCAATCTAAAAACACCTGCACCCAGAGGTGGGTCACTGGGGCCTCATTCTGCATTAACACATTATGATCTGACAGCATGGAAATTTGTTTTGCTATCCATTCAAAGAAGGATATAACTCTTTCTGAGCTTTATCTTCTGTTAGATATGATACTGATCTTTACCTAGCAGATATAAGATTTAACTTGGTTTACTTTTATAAGTGTTTAACACACTTTCTCTTTCAAGAGAATGTTTATACTTAGTCTGTTAGACAACTAATGAAAACACCAAGAAGCATAATATAATATGTGCTTTGCTTACTAACAGACCTTCAAAATTGAGTAAATGCAGCACACCTGGATGAGCTAAATGCATTTTTTAGCTTCTATGATGACCTGTCATTCTAAATACTGTATTTCACTTGCTTTTATCTATAGTATTCCCTCCCCCTTGGTCTCTCTAAATGAGGTTCTCATTTCAGTGTGGTTGCAAAAGCAATTTCCCATGGTTTCCTGCAGACTCTCAAGCTCCAAACATTATTAAGATTTTTCCATATACATTATAAACCTTTCTGCAGCATAACAGTGAATCATCATAATTTTGTTATGCCAAATCTGCAGGTGATAGAAACAATAATAAAGAAACCAAGAAAAGACTCACAGTACATTTTACCGAATGATTTCTGACCAGTTTGACAGCTCTATAAAATTTTAAGAAATGTGCTTATTCTGTCCTTCTCACAGCCTTTCACCATTGCCTTTCATCTCAGTGTATGAATATAGTGAGTATGTCACCTAGCCCCTTTACTCACTTTCTTCCTTCCTTTTTTTTTTTTTTTTTGAGACAGGGTCTTGCTCTGTTGTCCAGACCGGAGCTGGTGTGCAATGGTACAATCATAGCTCACTGCAGTCTTGAACCCCTCAACTCAAGCAATCCTCCCACTGAGCTTCTTGAGTAGCTGGAATTACAGGTGGCACCATTACACCCAGCTAATTAAAAAAAAAAATTCTGTAGAGACAGAGTTTCACTATGTTGCACAAGCTGGTATTGAACTTCTGGCCTCAAGCAATCACCCTGGTGTGGCCTGCTGAAGTGCTGGGATTACAGGCATGAGCCACCATGCCCGGCCCCCTCTACTTACTTTCTACACTTCTCTATGTCAATTTCATCAAAGGTATAACAAAATTAAAGAGAACTTGGAAAATAGGGGCAGAGTATGACACTACAATCTTAACATGACCATTGTTTGTATTTTTGCATCAGTTCTGTTCTAGACCTTATCTGTATAAATAACTGTTTTGACATGTTCACAGGTAGAGTGCTCATATTGTTTGCTTTTAATATCTTTACTCAACAGTACATAGTATGCATGTTTTAGGCTGTTGTGTAATAATCATAACTATATTTTATTATAACTTTTCATTTCCTTGATTATTTCTTTGGCACAATCCGAACGAGCTGCTAACTAATCATATGATCTGTTTCAAGGCTTTTGAAACGCATAGCGAATTTACTTTCCAAAAATGTCAGAATTTTTATTGTTGCTTGCCAAACTCTGCATGACAATAACCTGTTCATGTATTCTCTATAGTACTAAGAATTAGGTTTCCCATATTTAATAAGAATAAATTATATCTAATTTAAATGTATACTTTTAATTAAAACAAGGTTACTAGTTCACGGACTTTTTTTTTTCTTTTTGAGATGGAGTCCCACTCTGTCGTCCAGGGTGGAGTGCAGTGGCACAATCTTGGCTCACTGCAACCTCTGCCGCCCGGGGTTTAAGCAATTCTCCTGCCTCAGACTCCCGAGCAGCTGGGATTACAGGAGCCTGCCACTGCACCCAGCTAATTTTTGTATTTTTAGTAGAGATGGGGTTTCACCATGTTAGCCAGGCTGGTTTTGAACTCCTCACCTCATGATCCACCCACCTCGGCCTCCCAAAGTGCTGGGATAACAGGTGTGAGCCACTGTGCCCGGCCACAGACATCTTTTTAATATTTGTTATATGTTATCACCGAATAGTCTGTTCTATTTTCTTGCTTATTTAAGCACTGAGTTCTCAATATTATTCTATGAAATTCTGTATGTACTTTTTATATGACAATTCTGTTAAACTTACTTCTGCCACAATTCCTGAAATGCCATGTATAAATTGTTTGGTTTATTAGTTTTATGTTATTTTAGAACTATTTTATATTTAAGTGGTTGATCAGGACTTTCTTTTTTAATTTTACAGTAACTCTTAGAAACACAGATTCATTTTATTCCCTACAAGTTTTGTTAAATCTGAGATGCTATAGGAAAAATATCAGTATAGAGGATGACTTGGAGTTTCTACACAAAATATTTTAATATCTAAGGAATATGTAGAAGCCAATGACACAGTTAATTCTTTTATATTTTATTTTGAATTATTATTTAGTAATATCACTTCAGATATGACTGAGAATATTATTATTTCCTTATTGCAATTCAAGAGGTCATTTATATAAAACAATATTTGGATGAGCTAGTTAAAATTATTGGTTAAACAAAAGGATTTCTGTCTAATGAGTATCACGTGGAACAGTAACATTTCTCTCTTTGCAGTAGTCCATACAGAATAACTCTATCACTACAAAAGGCTAAAGAACTCTATAATGGGAAATACCACCCTGCCCCCCCAAACCAGGCTACATATCTTAAATACCATTTTGGGTAACTGACATTCATTTCAAAAGCAAAGCACCAACTTTAACCTGAATTCCTTTGGAAAAACGTTTTATTTGATTTGATTTATAATATTTTACATATGTATTGGATACAGGTGATATTTTGTTACATCATAGAATGTGTAATAATTAAGTAAGCGTATTTGGGGTATCCCTCACCTTGAGTATTTATCATTTCTATGTGTTGAAGACAATTCAAGTCCTCTCTTCTAGCTACTTTGAAATATACAATACATTGTTGCTAACTATAGTCAGTCACCCTACTCTGGGCAAAACATTAGAACTTACACCTTCTATCTAACTGTATGTTTGTACTTATTAACCAAACTGTCTTCTTCCCCCTCTCTTACCTCCCCTATACTTTGTAGCCTCTGGCGGCTCTCATCCTACTCCCTACATCCATTAGACCAACATTTTTAGCTCCTACATGTGAGTGAAAACATTCAATAATTGATTTTTTGGTGCCTGACTCATGTGACTTAACATAATGACCCCAGTTTTATCCATGTTGCTATAAATGACATGATTTCATTTCTTTTAATGGCTTAACAGTATACTATTATGTGTGTGTGTGTGTGTGTGTGTGTGTGTGTGTGTGTGTGTGTGCATATCACATTTTCTTTATCCATTTATCTTTTGATGGACATTTAAGTTGATTCCATATTTCTCTATGGTGACTAGTGCCATAATAAACATGGGGGTACATGTATACCTTTCATATACTGATTTCCTCTTCTTTGAATAAATAGTACTGGAATTTCAAGATTATATGGTAGTTCTATTTTTAATTTTTGAGAAATCTCCATTTTTTTCATAGTGGTTCTATTATTTAGTGCAGATACCCAATAGAAGTGTATAATAGTTTTCAGAGTGGCTTTATTATTTTATTATTTATTCTTTTTTTTTTTTTTTTTTTTTGAGACAGAGTCTCTCTCTGTCGCCCAGGCTGGAGTGCAGTGGCGCGATCTCGGCTCAAGGCAAGCTCCGCCTCCCAGGTTCACGCCATTCTCCTGCCTCAGCCTCCCGAGTAGCTGGGACTGCAGGCACCCACAACCACGCCCGGCTAATTTTTTATATTTTTGGTAGAGAGGGGGTTTCACCGTGTTAGCCAGGATGGTCTCGATCTCCCGACCTCATGATCCACCCGCCTCGGCCTCTCAAAGTGCTGGGATTACAGGCGTGAGCCACTGCGCCCGGCCTATTATTTATTCTTATACCCAATAACAGTGTATAAGAGTTCCCTTTCCTCTGTATCCTTGTCAGCTGTTATTAATGGTGCATGTCAGAATTTTTATTTCAGTTTAAGAATAAATAATATGGAAATAAAATATACCAATAATTTATACTCTTCAGAGGTAGGGTCATGGTCTTTAATTTACACAAAGTGCTCTCTAAGTGATGCTGTTGGGAAATTCTAATAAAGAATGACTACTACAAAATATAGTGAAATAGATCACGTGTACAAAAAACTTTACTTATAATCTCTAAATTAATTATAAATGCCTCTGATTATTAAGTGCCTTACATAATCCCAATTTCTGCTCCTCCTGACTGAGTCTTCCATTTTCCACTAGACTGTATTTACATCCCCATCTTCATGAGTTGAGGGGCCATTTTGCTTTTCTTCATTTCAGTGAATGTGGATTGTGATTAGGTTAAATGAAAGTAGGCTGATATTCTGGAAGAAATCTTTAGAATATATTTAAACTTAAAATTTAATTTTACTTAAGAATAAACTATAGCCCACAAATGAAAATTTATGTTTCCAAAAGCACGGTCGAAGACCACTTAACATTGACTATATACTCATAAAATACATATCACGACAACAAAACATCTCTCCTTACCATTAAAATTACACCTAAGGGTAAATATTCAGTGCAGGCCTACCAGGCACTGTTTATTGGGTAACTCATAATTTGAGTAAGAGTTTATATAGAAAGTATCAGGGACAGACTTGACAACATTTAAGAAAATCTGTTTTTCATATATTTCCTGGACCATGATGAAAATTTCTTTCATTTGATTCTCTTGATAACATTTTTTCATGCAAATGTTTTTCCTAGTTACTCTTTAGTACGGGAATATTTAATAGATGGTGGTAGCTTAGAAATTTCTCCGTTAACAAAAAAAAAACCCTTCCCCCACCAACACAGAGACACATCCTCCAGTGATTTTTTAACTCTCTATTCCTTTCCCTTTCCGTGTCCTCACACTTCAAAACATTCCCAGCTTCTGCAGCAACCCTGGCTTTTATCTTACTTCCTTTCTTAAGAAAGTCTAGATTAGGGAGTTCATTAATTTGTGATCATCATAAACTCACTGACCAGGGTTGTTGACTCAACCCAAACAAGGTAGGTCTGATTTGTAAATAAGCAACCAACTGGGGAGTTGTACTAACTTCACACTCAAAAGGTATATATGACTTTATTTTTGCTATTTCTTCTACTGATAAGTGGGTTTGAATTATTATTATTATTGCTTTATTTATTTATTTATGTGAGACGGAGTCTTGCTCTGTCACCCAGGCTGGAGTGCAGTGGCACCATCTCGGCTCACTGCAAGCTCCGCCTCCCGGGTTCACGCCATTCTCCTGCCTCAGCCTCCCAAGTAGCTGGGACTACAGGCGCCCGCCACCACGCCTGGCTAATTTTTTGCATTTTTAGTAGAGAATAAACTATTTTTGGTTTCACCGTGTTAGCCAGGATGGTCTCGATCTCCTGATCTCGTGATCCGCCAGTCTCGGCCTCACAAAGTGCTGGGATTACAGGTATGAGCCACTGCGCCTGGCCGGGTTTGCATTATTTTTATTACTAAATATCATGGGATAAAATGAAAAGCCTATTGCATAAGACAGACAGAAATTTAATTCCAAGCCTTGGCATTTAGTAGCTTTATGGCCTTGGGTAACTTATTTATTCATTTTTAGCTTCTGCTTGCTTATCTTAAAAAAAGGGACAATATGATCTCCTTTATAAAGTTATAAAGATGAAAAAAAAGTGCATTCATAACTTCCTAGCACAATGCCTGGCATATGGAAGGTACTCATTAAGGGTTTTCTCTTTGTACAAACAAGGATTGGTGACAGATTTATGTTAATAAGTGTAGCCTGGACAAAAGATATAGGACCCCCTCAACACTTACCCATCTTGCAGCAGTAATTCGTTTCTTTTTATATTGTTAAAAAACATTCCATTTTATTAATAAATCACATTTTAAAATTCATTCATCAATTGTTAAACATTTAAGTTCATTCAATTTTTTGCTACTGTAAATTATGCTTCTGTGGAATATCTGTATACAATTTTGGCTATATACCTGCGAGTGGAATTACTGGGTCAAATGGCAACTCTAAATTTAACCTTTGAGTTACTGTCAGATTGTTTTGTAAAGAAGCTAGCGTATATTCCATTTTACATTTCCATCAGCAGTGTATGTTGGTTCCAGTTATCCACATTCTCACTCAAACTGGTAATTTTCTGCTTTTAAAATTATAGCCAGCCAAGCAGATGTGAAATGGTATCTTATTGTGGTTTTGATTAGCATTTCCTTGATGACTAATCTTGTTGAGGCTCTGTTTATGTGCTTATTGGCCATTTATATATCTTCTTTGGAGAAATGTTTATTCATATATTTTCCCATTTTAGAATGTTGTTTTTTAATATTTGTTGTAAGAATTATTTATACTTCTATAAACAATTTTTTATAAGATATACGATTTGCAGATACTGACTTTAATTCTGTGGGTTGTCATGCCACTTCCCTAACGTCTTTTGAAGCATACATTTTTAAAAAATTTTTCTTATGTCTTTACTTCTACTTGTTTTGGATTCAGTTTATTGTGTTATTCAGTGTCTAAAAGTGGGAGATAGCATCACTAATAGCTATATTAACCTTCTAATTTACCACTTACTTTCTGATCATGTTAGTCCATTTTCTGTTGCTATGAAGAGATACCTGAGACTAGGTAATTTATAAAGAAAAAAGTATTATTTATTTATTTATTTATTTATTTTTTAAAGACAAAGTCTCACTCTGTCGCCCAGGCTAGAATGCAATGGCATGACCGCTGCTCACTGCAACCTCTGCCTCCTGAGTTCAAGTGATTCTTGTGCCTTAGCCTCCTGAGTAGCTGGGATTACAGGCATGTGCCACCATGCCCAGCTAATTTTTGTAATTTTAATAGAGACAGGGTTTTGCCGTGTTGACAAGGCTGGTCTCAAACTCCTGGCCTCAAATGATCCTGCCATCTCAGCCTTCCAAAGTGCTGGGATTACAGGTGTGAGCCACCGCCCTTGGGCAAAAGAGGTTTATTTGGTTCACTTTTTTTTTTTTGAGACCGAGTCTTGCTCTGTTGCTCAGGCTGGAGTGCAGTGGTGCAGTCTCGGCTCACTGCAGCCTCTGTCTCTCGAGTTCCAGCAATTCTCCTGCCTCAGCCCCCTGGGTAGCTGGGGTTAAAGGAGCACACCACTGTGCCTGGCTAATTTTTGTATTTTTAGTAGAGATGGGATTTCACCATGTTGGCCAGGCTGGTCTCGAACTCCTGACCTCAGGTGATCTGCCCACCTCGGCCTCCCAAAGCGCTGGCATTACAGGAGTGAGCCACTGCACCTGGCCAGTTCACATTTTAAACAGGCTATACAAGAATGGCATCAGCATCTGCTTTTCTTCTGATGAGTCCTTGGGAAGCTTTCAGTCATAGTGGAAAAAAAGGGGAATCAGTGTGTCACATGGTGAAAGGGAGAGGGAGAGGGACAAAGAGGTGCCAGGACCCTTTAAACAACCAGCTCTCCAGTAAACTGAGTAAGAACTCACCCATTACCATGAGGAGGACATTAAGCCATTCATGAGGGATCAACCCCTATGACCCGAGCATTTCCCACTAGACCCACCTATAACTTTGGAGGTCAGATTTCAAAATGACATTTGGAGGGAACAAAACATCTAGAACACATCACTGGTTCTACTAATTTATTCATTTGGATTCAAATTACCATCTGGTATCATTTCTGCACTCCAAAAGAAGTTTCATGACACCTACCTCTGTGCTATTACTGAGAAATATATTACATTTCTGTATGGTTTAGGTCCAGCAATACAATTACATACATGTTACTTTATACAGTTTTTAAAACTCAGTTAAGAAAAGTAAAGAGAATAAATACTCATTTATATTCTCTTTGATAATTATTTAATTGTTTTATTGGGTTTTTTTTAAGGATTTAAATTATGATCTGGTGTTACTTGCTCTTAGTTTGAAGTATTCCTTAGTGTTTTTTGTAAGGCAAGCCTGTTTGCAAAACATTGTCTTAGTATTTATTTATTTATGTTTTAATCTACTAATATTTTTCATCTCCATTTTAAAAAGAGCATTCTGGATATAATAGTCAGTTGATAGCTGTGTGTGTGTATGTGTTTTTGTTTGTTTGTTTGTTTTTCTCTTTGAGCATTTACTATATGCTCCTAATGCCTTCTGGGCATGCATTATTTCTGATGAGATGACAGACGTTAATCTTATTGAAATTCCCTTGTATGTGATGAGTCATTTTTCTGTTGCTGCTTTCAAAATGTTCTCCTTGAGGCTTTCTCTATTGTAACCATGATGTACCTAGTGTGAATCTCTTTACATTTATCCCACTTGGTTTTGGTAAACTTGTTTGATGGGTAGATTGATTTTTTTCATAATTTAAAAAACTTTCAGTCATTAGTGGTTTTCACTCATTTGGGAGTTTTTCATCCATTATTTTTATCCTTTTCTTTCCTGTTGTTTCTTTTCTCTCCTCCTCTCCTGGAACATGTACCCATTAAATGTATGTTGATGCTCTGGTCATCCTTTTTCATTTGATTTTCTCTGTATTCTTCAGATTAAAAAATCTCTATTAATGGGTCATTGTTTCTCTGCCAATTCAAATCTGTTAGGTTGGTGCAAAAGTAATCACGATTTTTGCATCAAAAGGAATAGCAAAACTGCAATTACTTTTGCACCAACTTAATATGATGAACCCCTGTGGTGAATTTTTTATTTCTGCTATTGATTTTTAACTGCAGTATTTCTACTTGAATCATTCTTTTCTAATTTCTAACTGTTTTACTGAATTTTCCACTTTCTAAGACATTGTAATTATGCCTTCCTTTACTTCTTTAAACATGCTTTTTTTTTTTTTTTTTTTAGTTCTTCAGATACATTTATAATGGCTGCTTTGAAGTCTCTGTTTCATAATTTCTGGATCGTGTCACAAATGGTATCTGTTGCTTGTTTTTAAATTTCCCTTCCCAAGTGTAACACCATTTATTTGCATTTCTCGTACTTGTCGTTGTTGTTTACATTTAGTCACTTAAGAGAATCTATCATAGCAACTCTGGATACTGATTCTTCCATTCCCTGGGCCTTGTTTTTCTTGTAGTTTTCTTTTTTCTTGTTTAGTGATATAGTTGGGCTATTTTAGTGAAATCTATTATCTTTTCCGTGTAAAGCATCTGATGTTGATTCACAGAGAGTGCACTGTGGGCATGCACACAGTCATGCCAGGATGGCAGTGGTTTTAGCAGGACTTTCTTTGGCTGTCTTTTTCCCTGATATTCCTATAAAGTGTCTGCATTTGTTATGTCACATCCAGCTTTCAGGGTCCACTAATTGCTTGCTGATTTCTCTTTTTTTTTTTTCTGTGTGATGAAGCACTGGGACATAAATTGCTCCACAGTCTGATCCAATTAAGCTGGGGCCCATTTTCACAGGTAGATTTTAATTCAAGTCCTTGTTCTTTCTGTCAAACTGCTGGCCTTTGGTCTAGGTTGTTGCACTTAGTTACTTATCACCAAAATGTCCATTGTTTTTGAGAACACTCTTGGGCTTTTTAATGTCCCATAGTCAGTTTCAAATAATGGCATGTCCATTGGGGAGAGATTCAGATCTCTGTTTTGTTGTTGTTGTTTGTTTTGTTTTGTTTTTATACTGCCTCTTTTCTATCAAAATCTCTGGATCTGGCACATGGACAGCCGCCTGCTTCTATTGGTGTGACACCTCTGCTTTATGAGAAGAACCTGGGGATGGGACGCTATTTTCTGCTTTTCTTGATTTGTCTCTACCCGTATGGAACTTCTTTTCTACAAGTGTAGTGAGGGAAAGGCAATCAGCATCCCAATATTATTGGCCTGCTTTTCCTGGGCTCAAGCCTCTGTCCTATGAAGCAGGTATGGATGAAGGAATGGCATCCTCAATCTCTCTACCACCCTTAATGGAATTTACCCTCTGAACATGAAGTTTTCAGGGGCAGTAAGAAATGCTGTCAGCCTGCCCTTTCCAGTGAGATACCCTGTCCCTTGTCTGGTGGACCCTCCTTCTTTATCATATCTCCCTGAATTAGAGCTTCTGTCATCATATTATGTTACAGAAGGAGTAGGGAGGGAATAGGTCATGGCTTAGGTGCCACACAATCTACATTCTCCTTACAGGGCTTTGGTAGATTTTCTTGAATAGATGTTTCTTTATTTAATGTATGTTTTTAGGACAATCCCGAGAGATTTTATTTATAAAAAATAATAATTTGCACCAGTAATGGCTGTTTCATGAACAGTGGGTTGATGCTGCTATTCTAGAAGTTACCCCTGTTATCTTCCCTAAAAATCACCAATATCTTGAGGTCTATTTAGACTATATATCATAAGTTATCACATAGGTAGATATCCACAGATACTTCTTTTATAAAAATTTGGAAGAAACTTATATATGTAAGCTATACTTTCCTAACATTACTTTTTGGCCTACATTGTAGTTTTGAGTTTTATGTATAGCTTTAATTAATTTCAAATTAATTAACTGAAATATAGTTTATATACTGTTTTATTCTATATAATTTTACTACAATGTATTCATTTTGTGTGAACCACAGATCTTTAACTCAGAGTTCTAGGGCATATATCCAGGTCGATTACCAATGATTTGCACTTTATTTGCATTTCTCTGGTTATTAGTGAAATGAAGCATTTTTTTTTAATGTGTTTGTTGGTCACTTGTATGTCTTCTTTTGAGAGTCTCTGTTTATGTCTTTTGACTATTTTTAATAGGGTCATTTGTTTTTTGCTTGTTCAATTGTTTAAGTTTCTTATAGATTCTGGATATCAGACCTTTGCCAGATGCATAGTTTGCAAACATTTTCTTCCATTTTGTAGGGTATCTGTTTACACTGTTAATAGTTTCTTTTGCTGTGCAGAAGTTCTTTAGTTTAATTAGGACCAATTTGTCAATTTTTGTGTTTGTTCCAATTGCTTTTGAGGTCTTAGTCATAAATTCTTTCCAAAGTCCAGAATGTTTTCTATTTTTCTTCTGGGATTCTTATAGTTTGTTGTCTTATATTTAAATCTTTAATTTATCTTGAGTTAGTTTTCCATATGGTGAAAGATATGGGTCCAATTTTATTCTTCTGCATGGCTTGCCCATTATCCCATGACCATTTATTGAATAAGGAATCCTTTACCTATTGCCTATTTTTGTCAGCTTCATTGAGGATCATATGGCTGTAGGTGTGTGGTTTTCTATATAGGTTTTCTGTTCTGTTCCATTGGTCTATGTTTGTTTTCGTTCCAGTATCATACTGTTTCTGTTAACTGTAGCCTGATAGTATAGTTTGAAATTGGTTAATGTGATGCCTCCGGCTTTGTTCTTTAAGCTTATGATAGCTTTGACTATTTGAGCTTGTTTTTGATTCTACATGAATTTTAGCCTAGATTTTTTTCCAATTCTTTGAAGAATGTTGCTGATAGTCTAATGAAAGCAGCACGGAATCTGTAGATTGCTTGGGGCAGTATGACCATTTTAATGATACTGATTCTTTCAGTCCATGAGCATGGAATATTTTTCCCTTTGTTTGTGTCATGCATGATTATTTTTAGCAGTATTTTGTATTTCTCCTTGCAGAAATCTTTCACTTCATTGGTTCAAAGTATTCCTAGATATTTTATATTTATTGTATGTAGACTTTGTTTTCAAAGGTTTTTTTCCCCCTTCTAAGCACCCAGTTTTCTAATCAAGGCAAAGGAGAAAAGAACTAAAAGTGAAAAAAAAATATGTCAGCTGAGCCTGTTACCTTTAAAAGTTTTTTTCCTGAAACACCAGTCATCAATTCCATGTATATCTCAACAACGTGATATGGGTTACATGGTTATCTCTTCATGTAAGATAATCTGCGATGTAAGTATTTGCAGCTGGGAACATTAAATTTTGCCATATAACACATGAAGATACCCATTTCTTTTGAGCTGTCTTATTGTTTGTTTTCTTCTTCTTCTTCAAAATAATAATAACAAGCATTGCCTTGATTGGCATATGTCTACATTTATAATTAGAGTTTGAAGGTCAGAGAGTGGGTTTTCTAATATATAATTCAGTTATGTTGCTGGAATCGATTTGTGTTTATTTTAGATACATCAATCTTCTGAAGCTAGTTGGTACATTTGAAGTATCAAGCATTCTTGTGAAACCCTTAGAATATTAGTTAGAAGACATCCTAAAAAGCAATTAATTTGATTTTTTCCTTACAGTTGTACAAACAAAGGCTATGAAAGCTTAAGTGGCTTTCCTAAAGTTACAGCTGAGATTAAAAATTATTTTTTTTTCTGATTCCCGGTTTATTCAGTGCTTGTTTACTATGGTTTTAGTTAGCTTTTCCTTATCTTTCCAATTATACTACAAAGTTGCTTGAGGGCAGGGCTGTGACTTAAACAGTTAAATAATTCATTACTCATTACTGTCATTCAACACCTAATATGTATATTTAATTAAAGAGGTGCTCAATTCATCTTGTTGATTTATAAAACTCAAATAGTTCCTAGAATAAATATTACATGCTGATTCTGAAAGTTTCCACATCCTGTAAAAACAATTTTGATTTTATAGGATAAAACGGAAAAGATATAATTTAATGATTCTATTATCTAATATAAAGCAGATATAATCTTATACATTATTTGTCTCATATACACTAAAGTTATTAATAGATCTTTTTATGCCAATGTACTTATGTAAAAAATATACAGACAATGTAAAGAGAATTAAGCCATTATTTTTCATCAACAAGATTAAGTTGTAATAATTTTCTAACCAAATTTTAAGAACCTATTTCTATAGTGGAGAGATTAAAAAAAAGACTCAGTAAATATGTCAGAGGCTTCCTAAGAACAGTTTCTGTCACACTCTAAATATATATAATGCGTGAATCTAATTTTTGTTTCCCATGAGGAATAATAAGTAATATCAAGTTGATATTTAGCTGTTATAAAGTCAAATGACAAATATTTCCAGTTATTACAGAGGTAATTATATATATTCAAAAATAATTGAGAAAGAAATGCTATATAATCTTTTACATCCGAATGTCATACAGGAGTGTTTGTGTTTTTTGTTTTTTTTTTCCAGAAGAAGGTAGGATAAATGCCACTCTAAGAGGACTAAATAAAGGTATTTAACTCTGATTTATCTGAAAAAACTAAATATTCATTATTTTCACCATGTATGTATGTGGAAGATAGCTGCAAGCAAATTGCTTTGAAGTAAAAAATGCTATCATTAAAAAATTTAAATCCATTCATATTTCTATTCAAATCTGTAAGAGAATATAATTAAGTATCCACTCCCCACCTTCAATTTATGAAGCCTGAAAAAAATGTTAATAATATACTACAGATGTCAGACATCTGGACTGAAATTATTCTTGTGTGGTAGGATAATGCTCCCAGGTATTAAATATTTGCCTAAAAGCAATTTCTGGTTTTACTATTTAGGGACAAAATATTGGCTTAAAATGATTATTATTAAAAGTGAACTCATCGAGTAATGTCATTCCTCTTCTCATTAGATTTAAAAGAAAGGCAAAGTCCTTTTCCATCATTTCAAAACTCTACGTGATCTGACTTTGGCTTACTTTGACTTTTTCTAGGACTGTCTCTCTCTCCCTGATGATGCTCCAGCATCCACAGCATTCTTTTTATTACTTTAACAGGTCCTTGGAATCTTTGTACTGCCTGGAATGCTCTTTCTATATCTTTGCATGGCTAACATTTTATCCTTCAGAACCTGGCTAAAATGCCATTTATATCTGAGATACCTTCCTGCCACTCAATCTAAAATAGACACCCAAGAGTTGATCTTTATATCATCTTTAACCCCTTGGTGATTTTTATGATTCTTTATTTTATTGTCTGCGTGTGTCCCACTGACCTCTCCTCCAGAATTTAAGCTTTCTGAGAATAGAGGCTTTCTTGTCTCATTCATGTTCTTTCTCTAATACCAAAAAAAATTATGTCTGCCATATAATACAGAATTCAAAAATGCTTATTGAAACAATATATCAATAAAACTGGACAATAGAAAGCAAACAGATGAACTTTGGCAGGAAATCTCAGATTATCAGCTTTAAAACCTTAGAGCTGAAAGTGCCTTAGAGATCAGAGTCTTGATTCGACTCATGGGGATATAATAAGCCTGAAAGTTTAAGCTACTACCCAAGGTCACACACCAAAAGGGGCAGAAAACACATGTATCTGTCATACAAATACTCTTCACTGTTCATTCTCTTAATATTAGCTATGCCTGAATTCCTGCTCTAAAGAAATAATGTACCTAGTTTCATTGACCAGAAGACTAAACAAGTATTTAGAAATTTATTGAACTAATGATTTTATTTTGCAAATAATTTTATTGCGAGAAAAGAATAAAGTTTTAGAAATTAATAGATGGGAAAGATCAATATTTGTCTTGGTGACTATATTGAAAAAGAAGGGATAAGATATAATTTAGTCCTTGAAAATGAGGTAGAATACATTACTTGGAACTAATAGAATACAAAACACAAGGTATAAGAAACAGTGTTAACCAAAACTGACGTAAACATTTTGGGTAGATGGTGAATTTCAAATGGTTGTTTTTAATCAGATAATAGGAGAGTTCCAGGTGGCTAAAATGCTTGCCATTAATTTAGATGAAAACTAATAGAAGCAAAAGAACTTAATTAATTTATAAAGAAAAAAGTTGAGACCTTTTTTTTTTCTCTCCCTATATAACAATGCTTCTAAAAGTTGTGGGCTGTGCAGCATAGCTATGGATATTTTGCAAATAAATGTCTACTTCTGCCTCTAATAAATGTGAAAGTAATTTAGAAAAAGTTCCCCAGGTAGACTTTGATAACCCCTTGAGTTTTCCCTCCATAATGAAAAAGTTTGTTCTGTTGAGTGTGCTTTCCTTAAAGCAAATGAATTAACATTTTATAAATTGGGTTTACATTTGCAGAGAAGGACCTCCATGTTAAAATTATTTGATTACTAAAGAGGGTAGGATATTATAAATAAAATATTTAAATAATAAGTTAATCCAAAGAAATACATTAAATATTCTTGATTTTAAAGCAGAATTACTAACCTCAATGTTTAAAAAAATTCTTATGTCATTTTAAACACACTAAAGAACATTCACCAGTTGCCAACCTATAGGAAAATGTCAACCTTATAATTTGTATATCTACAGTTGCAATAAAGAATAATTCAAGATGTCCAACTATGGAAAATGGCACACAAGACGAAAAAGTCTTTTTTTGTCCTTAATTCTTTCCATTGTTCTTGTAGTTTATAGTTTTTTTTCCCCAGGGATAGAGATTAATAATTATCTTTTTGAATATATAAAGATATTTATAGATGTTGTGATTTCTTAACATATCTCATGAAAATCTAGGTTACAGAGCCTTTCCTAACTTGTAACTTTATATATGAATAATGTTTTTTAGTATCTTTGTGGTCTGCCTTAGAGATCATAGGAGGAAATTTATAATACAGAAATTTGCTCAAAGGATAGGAATAGCAACTATTCACCTCCTATGGAAGTCATGATCTAAATGACTGAGTTTATTGCAATATTTTTCTTGTTTTCCTACTTATAATGATGCCTCAGAAAGAGAGATAGAGAGAGAAGACAGAGTAAAAGGGATTATCAGTTATTAATCACTGCATATAAAAAACTACTGCAAAAGTGAATAGCTTAAAGCACAACAATTTATCCTTTTTTTTTTTTCGAGACAGATTCAAGCTCTGTCGCGCAGTCTTAAGTGCAATGGCTCAATCTCTGCTCACTGCAACCTCCACCTCCCAAGTTCAAACAATTCTCTTGCTTCAGCCTCTCAAGTAGCTGAGACCACAGGCATGCACCACCACACTCGGCTAATTTTTTTTTTTTCATATTTTTTGTAGAAACAGAGTTTCACTATGTTGGCCAGGCTGGTCCCGACCTCCTGGCCTCAAGTGATCTGCCCGTGTCAGCCTCTCAAAGTGCTAGGATTACAGGTGTGAGCCACCACACCCAGCAAACTATTTAATTTGTTCTTGAATCTGCAGTATAGCCAAGACACAGTGGGAATGTCTTGTATATGCTACATGTCATGTTGATTGGAGAGATTTGTCTGGGGTAGAGTTTTGCAAGATGACTTCATCTACCTGTTTATTGGTTCCTTTGGTGTGACCAAAATGTCTAGGACCTGGCTGGTCAGTCTCCCTCCCTCTCTTTCTTTCTTTTTTTTTTTTTTCTCTTTCTCTTTCTCTTTCTCTATAGGCCCAAACCATTAAAGTTGTCACTATACTCTCCCTTTCCAGCATAGTAGTTGAACAATTTTACATGATAGCTCAGGACTTCAAAAAAGCAAAAGTGGAAGCTACTGGGCCTCATAAGCATATTTTCATTTCTGTCCCATTCTATAGCTCAAAGCAAGTCTTGAGGCTAGCTCAGGTCAAGGGTAAAATAGACTTGATTTTTTTATAGAAATAATGTTATGTATGCTCAAGGATGCAAGGTGACATTGGTGTCTATCTTTGCAAACCATCTATTATAGAAAGAAGGAAGAATGAAAATGAAGAGAAATGTAACAAAACACAAACCTTGAAAATGTTGCTTCTCCTTCAATGTTATTCTAGTCAGTATCTCCTCTACTCATCAAGTTGTTCAGTTTGGGAGTCTTAATCTTTCTTATTATATCAAACCTTAACTATACCTCACTAACTCTGTATATATGTCCCACTTCCCCCTTCCCTATATCCAATTCAAGCATGCTCCAGCCATCATCTTTCTTCTGAAACTAGTTTTATATCTGTTTCTCCTCCTCCCTTCACTATATCCTTCATACTATTACACTTTTGCAAAAAGAGTCATCTTTTTAAAACACAAAACTTCGGCCAGGTGCAGTGGCTCATGCCTGTAATCCCAGCACTTTGGGAGGCCAAGGCAGGCGGATCACGAGGTCAGGAGATCGAGACCATCCTGGCTAACACAGTGAAACCCTGTCTCTACTAAAAATACAAAAAATTAGCTGAGTGTGGTGGCGGACACCTGTAATCCCAGCTACTCAGGAGGCTGAGGCAGGAGAATGGCGTGAACCCAGGAAGCGGAGCTTGCAGTGAGCCAAGATCATGCCACTGCACTCCAGCCTGGGCGACAGAGCTAGGCTCCCTCTCAAAAACAACAACAACAACAAAAACACAAAACTTCATGTTACTTTCTTTCTTAGAAAGCCTTGAATAGCTCCATATTGTATAAACCATGAAATCTAAATTTCTTATACTTTTACATAAAACAGTCTCTAATTTTTGTTTTTGCTGCTATATCTCTTTCGTTCTTGTTATTTCCTTACATATATACAACTTACACTGTTATCATTCTGATTTATTCACAGTTCCCCAAAGTCACCATACTCAGATTTTATCTCCCTGACTTTATACATGTTTCTCTTTCTCCAGAAAGCTATTTTTCTTCATTTATTTGAAAATACCTCACTTTTTCTATAAGACCCAGCTCAAGAATTTCCCATTCTCCAGAGATTTCCTTGACCTAATCAAATAGGAGTGATAAAGTTTAGGTCTAAATTATTTCTGTACCAAACATTTATAGCACTTAGCATATTGACTTCCGTAAAGTATCAGTTAATATTCAGCAAATTACATATGAACAAGGAGATACAACACTGTTTGCCATGGGTAACTATGAAGAACATTATTTTCAGTAAGAACAAGCCCACTTTGCAAAGATAACTATGATCTGGAAGTAGGTTGGTCCATGTACATAGTTTATCTAAACTGGGCAGAGATCATGATCACAAAGCCCACAATGTTTTCAGCTGGGGCTTTTATGATACAAGATTATAAAATGGTACTATGGTCAAGTGCCTTTTATTACTCATTCATCATCTTCTGGAGGTAACAAAGCAAGAAAGTGGCAGAACTGATCACTGCAAAAGCGAGAAGTTGAGAGTTTGGTGTTTAACGGTTGTCATGATTCCACCCTATTGTCAAATTTGCAAAACCCATTACATTTAAAAAATGTTGTTTAGACTAGATTTCAATGTAAAATCTATCATCAATGCGTGTATTTTAAAAGATGATTATGCTAGCTAAGTAGCAAACAAGCATTAGAGTCTAAAAAAGAGCAGGATGTTTTTCCACACAAAAACACATAAACCTCAGTAAATCTTGAAATGCTAGTGATTAAAACCAATGTGAAAATTTACAAACAAGTTCAAACTACCAAATAATAAGTTGGAATAAAGTAGTAGTAGAATCTTATCTGGCAGTCATGGCTTTATTTTTAATCTAAGATAAACTTCTATTGTCTCCCAGATCAGTTGAGTGTAGGCATGTTTTGGATATGAAAAAAACCTGGTTACTTGTGGGTCTTGAAAATTTTAAGGTTTTGCTGAAATACACATTCTGGGCTGGGCGCTGTGGCTCACCCCTGTAATCCCAGCACTTTGGGAGGTGAGGCGGGCAGATCACGAGGTCAGGAGATCGGGACCATCCTGGCTAACATGGTGAAACTCCGTCTCTACTAAAAATACAAAAAATTAGCTGGGCGTGGTGGCGGGTGCCTGTAGTCCCAGCTACCCGGGAGGCTGAGGCAGGAGAATGGCGTGAACCCGGGAGGCGGAGCTTGCAGTGAGCCGAGACTGCACCACTGCACTCCAGCCTGGGTGACAGAGCGAGACTCCATCTCAAAAAAAAAAAAAAAATAGAAATACACATTCTGTTTAACATTTTCTTTCTTTTTTTTTTTTTTGAGACGAAGTCTCACTCTGTCACCCAGCCTGGAGTGCAGTGGCACGATCTCGGCTCACTGCAAGCTCCGCCTCCCGGGTTCACGCCATTCTCCTGCCTCAGCCTCCCGAGTACCCGGGACTACAGGCACCCGCCACCACGCCCGGCTAATTTTTTTGTATTTTTAGTAGAGACACGGTTTCACCATGTTAGCCAGGATGGTCTCGATCTCCTGACCTCGTGATCCGCCCGCCTCGGCCTCCCAAAGTGCTGGGATTACAGGCGTGAGCCACCACGCCTGGCCTCTGTTTAACATTTTCTCATGGTGCTCCAGGTTTATGTTTTGAAGTACGTATCTAAAGGGAAAGTATCAGTATTGTGGAATGGGAAATGAAGTACTATTCATTAGGTGATTAGTATCTTCTGGAAATTATGCTTGATATTTCTGCATACATCAGTTTTAAGAACTTGCAATAAATATTTAAGATTAGTAATATTAACTTCAGTTTACATATAAGGTAATAGAAGCCCAGAAATATATTTATATTTAAAATTATTTAAGCAGGATCACCTATTAATAGGTACAGATAGAGATGGGAATTAAAGTCATCCTTTTTGGTTCTTGTAGTTGAGCCCCACAGGAAATCCATCTAAGATTCATACATGCCACTGTAGCTTCTGAGGAGTAATTACCCAGCATTTGAAGTTCAGAATGTGAAAGTTGCTGGACAAGTTTCTCGACTGTCATGTGAAGAAAATGTTTCAAGGATCAAATATTAAGACAAAAATTATCAGTAAATTGCTTGGCACCAAGAACCTTAAAGGACAAATTATTATTCTTTTCTCATCAATGAGCCAAACTAAGGTTTGGAGATGAAGTTTTGAATCAGTCAGGGTGGGCAAACAAAGTCAACAAAATCTACTTCTCTGATGCTAGTTTATTTTCCTCTGCTTTGCATTA
Organism: Homo sapiens; assembly: GCF_000001405.40. Classification (NCBI taxonomy): domain Eukaryota; kingdom Metazoa; phylum Chordata; class Mammalia; order Primates; family Hominidae; genus Homo; species Homo sapiens. The sequence goes on along the minus strand of NC_000017.11, from coordinate 53,549,676 downwards.
TCTTCATTCCACGATTTTAGTTTGCCCAGAAACCACTAACTGAAGAAAAGGGAATGAGAGAATGCTGAGAAGCACCAGTGAGCAAATAATGCTTTTGCCCCTGAAGTGGCCCATGCAACTCAAGCTTCATTAGCTAAACCTGACTGACCAAACCCAGTCTCAGTGAAGAGTCAACCTCTCTTTCTGCTCCAATTTCCTAAAGAAGTGAAATGAGTGACCAGTAATAGAGTCTCTCATAAACATCTTTGTCTAACTTCATATCACGTCAGCAAGCAACCTCAATTTAACTCTAAAGCCAATTTTTTTTTCCGAAAGAAAAAAATCAACGAAGTGAAAAGGCAATTTACAGAGTTAGGGGAAATATTTGCAAACCATACATGTAAAAAAAGTTAAACTATATAGTCAAAATATTTAAGGAACTCAGTAGAAAAAAAAATGATTAAAAAATGGACAAAAGACCTGAATAGACATTTCTCAAAACAAAACATACAAATGGACAACAGGTATGAGAAAAGGTGCTCAGCATCCCTAATTATCAGAAAAGTACAAATTAGAACCACTATGAGGTGTTACCTTATACTTGTGATAATGAGCATTATCGAAAAGAAAATAAAGATAGCAAGTGTTGATAAACATGTGGAGAAAATAAAACCCTTGTACACTGTTGGTGTGAATATCAATTAGTAGAGCTATTAACAAAAAAGGTATGAAAATTTTTCAAAAATTAAAAATAGAACTCCCGGGAGGCAGAGATTGCAGTGAGTCTAGATCACACCACTGCACTCCAGCCTGATGACAGAGTGATACTCCGTCTCAATAAATAAATAAATAAATAAATAAAATTAGAACTACTATAAGCAATACAATTTCTAGGTATACATTCAATGAAAATGAAACCAGTGTGTTAAAGAGATATCTGTACTCCCACATTCATTGCAGCATTAGTCACAAAAGCCAAGAAACAGAAATAGTCTTACCTCCATTGATGGGTGAATGGATAAAGAAAATGTACACACACATACACAGTAATATTAATCAGTGTTAAAAATAAGAAAATACTTATTTGAGACATTTGGGACAACATGGATAAAACTGAAGGTTATTATGCTAAGTGAAGTCAGCAGACACAACATTGACAAATCCCACATGATTTCATTTAAATGTAGAACTTAAAATAGTTGAATAGATATATACCGAGAACGAAATAGTGGTTGCCAGAGACTGGGGGGAGGCGGAAATGGAGAGATGTTGGTCAAGCGGTTGAAAGTTTCAGTTACACAAGATGAATATATTCTGGAAATCTAATGTACAACAATGTGAATATAGTTAACAATATTGTATTGCAAACTTCAAATTTGCTAAGAATGTAAATCTTAAGTACTCTAATGACAAAAGAAAATGGTAACTATGAGGTGATGAATATGTTAGCATGATTGTGGCAATTACTTCACAATGTACACCTATATTAAAATATCAATTTGTACTTCTTAAATGTATACAATTTTCATTTGTCATTTATGCCTTAATGAAGATGGAGTGGAAAGTGGGCCAATGCTTTTTAATATCTACATTACATTTTATCTCACCTAATAATAGCTGGCATTCTATTTGTCCAGCACTTTACTAACCGTTTTGCATAGATTTTCTCACTGAACTCGTATCAATCCAACAAAGAGAGTACTTTTACCATCGCCATTTTTCAAATCAAATTTTGTTTTCAAGGCTTGAAGGGATGGATTGTCTTACTCAAGTCACACTAATGCATGATATCTGACAACAGAGCCAAGTTCTTAATGATTACCAAAGTGAAAAGCAGTGGAGTATTACAAGTACATCAGATATAGATTAATTCCTAGATCTTACAGTCAAATTAGAACACTGTTTTGAAAAGCAACATGGCATAATCATTTATCAATGTGTAAGTACAGCTATGCTCTCAGAAAAATAACATGGAGAAATTATAAAAGAAGTGACTGTCTTTAAAAATATGTCTACTTGAGGTTGCATGTAGTGCTAGTTCCTTACTTAAGGTTCAACTCTTAGGCCCCTTCTCCAGTATACTTTTGTAATATTATCCGATTTCACAGTTCTACTTCACTACCCCAATATTTGGCTACAATTATTTAGTATTTCTTTTATATAGTTAAATATTTGCTTTTCATTTGGATTTTTTGTTTTGTTTGTTAATTTACATCCAGCTAAATTATTTTAACATGGTATACTCAGCCCCAAGCCTCTTACAGTATTATTCTTTTTTGGGGGTCTGAAGTGCTTTCTAGGGACAATGGTTTTATTTTAAAAGTCATTTTCACTGGGCGTGGTGGCTCACGCCTGTAATCCGGGTACCTTGGGAAGCCGAGGCGGGCGGATCACGAGGTCAGCAGATCGAGACCATCCTGGCTAACACGATGAAACCCTGTCTCTACTAAAAATACAAAAAATTAGCCAGGCGTGGTGGTGGGCGCCAGTAGTCCCAGCTACTCTGGAGGCTGAGGCAGGAGAATGGCGTGAACTCGGGAGGCGGAGCTTGCGGTGAGCCGAGATCGTGCCACTGCACTCCCGCCTGGGCCACAGAGCGAGACTCCGTCAAAAAAAAAAAAAAAAAAAAAAAAAGCCACTTTCATATAATAACAGAACAACTACCACAAAAAGAGTGAACACATATATTGCTAATTGCATATCAATTACTGTTTTAAGCACAACATAGATTAATTCACCTAAATCTTCCAGTGACCTTATGTGTCAGTCATTTCCTAGATGAGGAAACAGGGCACAGAGCTACGTGGCTCATAAGTGATGAAGCCTAGAAGTCAAAGCAATCTATCTTTGATTTTTAAAATGTTGTTTATTTTTAATTTGTGTTGGTACATAGTAGTTCTGTATATTTATGGTGTACATGAGATGTTTTGATACAGTCAGTGTGAAACAAAGCAGTCTGTCTTGAAGTTGTGAACTTAACTTCTATGATAAACTGCTTGCAAAATTTAGCAATCTCCTTTGAATCCATTTTCCTACATTTGGGAGATAATTCAAAAGAAAATGGAAAAAAATCCATATATATCGTGGTGTTAATGAACATATTAATTAATAATGTAATATTTGAAAGCATTACCAAATAAATGAAAAAGTTAATATACTACCATCAAAAAGTCCATATTATATCACAATACTCTCAAAAATGTTAAGTATCAGAATTGCATACACAGAAAATATTTGTTTTACTATCCAATATATATTTTATTAATATCTAACTTGTGCAAAATCCTAGTAATATATGGAACAAGATAGATGAGAGCCATGCATTCTTCTACTTATATTCTTGTTACTAAAACAGGAAATAGAGACAACCGAGAAATAAACAAATTAAGTAATTACAGATTGTTATTACTAAAGATAAAGAATAGGGTTCAAATTGCATCATCACATTAACTAAATACTTATACAATGCACATATTTGCCTTGAACTGAAGGCAATTCACAATAAATAATTTAGTCTTTACTTTTGGTTGGGACATTACACTGGATTTATATCTCCTTTAAATTTTCTTTAATATGTTTAATTAGAAAAAGACAAATACCCCAATTGAAAAATAGGCAAAGGAAATGAAAAGCTAGTTCACAAAAGAATAAATTTAAATAACCCATTATCAAGAATAAATAAAATTTCAGGGAAAATTGCACTCAGCCTCTGATTAGATTAAGTCACTGTTCTATATGCTGTGCAGCACTTATTATTATTTGTTAGTATGAAACCACTTTGGTCCCAAGTTTAATTTTTTTTTTGCCATCTAGAATCTAAATTTCTGTAAAGCAGGAACCATGTCTGTTTTGTAACCCCCTCTCCAATTAAATCTGGAGTTCCTGCACCATGATAGAAACATAGTAGGCAATCTGTAAACATTTGTTGAATAAATTAATTTAAAATACAGCATTTAAATTGAGTAAATGAGTTCAAACTAATAAAATATAGCACTTTTTCTCCATTTCTCAAGAGGAATTAAAAATTACAAAAATCAATGTTGGTTTCTCATTTCTTGCATGGAAATAAATTGATGAAATATTTTCTGAAATTCAATTTGTAAAGTGTTTCAAGGGCCTTCAAAAAAGTTCTCTTTCAAACAAAGAAACAAACTAAAACAAAAAAAGCAACAGGAGACCTGCTCATCTGATGTTACTGCTGAATCTTTATATTCCCCTCAATAATAGCTGTACTAGAAGTCTTGGGGAAATCCTAGCATATGAACTTTTAAAAAGTTATCTTTCAATTCTGTAATCTCCTGCATATAAACTTGTCAATATTAAACATTTCTGAAAAGCATGAGTCATTGTTTCTCTTTGTTCTGGAATTGTATACAACATTTTGTTCTTCATGTTTTTTTGTGAATGTTTCGTAATATCTATATTTTTGCCATCCACGAAACACATTAAAACAGGCTTTTTAATATTCTTATGATTATGTTATTTTAGCATTATAATATATATTTAAAGTCTATTATAAAAAATAAGATATAGATTGAATGGCAGGTGGGAAGTATAAGTCCTCTCAGAAAAGTATGGGTATGTTATGTTGGTTGCTAAGTTAGAAATATGGCAGCTCAGAAGACAGTAAGCCAGGGATATTGCATAAAGAAGTTGGAATTCAAAGGGAATCCTGAAGTCTTGGTAGAATAAGAACCTGCAACTATGTTGGAGCGGTACATAAGGCAGTAGTAGAAATAATTTTCCAAGTAGCAGGAGCAAATGAGTATGCATATTGTGAAGGAAAGGCATGGGGCGCAGAGCGGAAGCTCTGAAATTCTCAATTGACTGAAACATAGGATGAGGGAAGAACACTGAGGTAAACATTGGAAAAGAAAATTTGAGGACCACAGTTTGGCCTTGACTGAAGGTGGACAACACCAACAGAGAGAAATCATCTTCTAATGGCCAGAATTGGTCTTTGGAAATATAATTTATTAGACAATTATAAGTTTGAAATGGGAAAAGAGACTAAGGTTTAAAGACCAGATGGTAGCTAATAAAATACTTCAATATCAAAGCTAGTGAGAAATTAAAACAGCGTGGTGGCAGATTGATAGAGGAGCTGTTAGGAAATAGAGGGATGGTTCTAGGCCTATGATTGAATACATGCAGATAGAGAAAGTTGGAATCAGAGATGAAGTCAGAATACCCAAACTTGTTTTTTGGAAGATGATTCCAGGATCAGAGATGGTTTTATTATTGTTGCTTTTGCTATTGTTATAATATTAGCAAGAAAACAAAGTTGTAAGTAAACACGATATGTAATTTATGCAATTTGAGCAATATTGAGCTTAAGATTGTGCTAAGAGAGCAGACATATGAGATGAGATCAAGAATAAGTCATATTCAAAGAATACCCAAGATCATAGCAAAAGCAATTTGTAGTATATTTAGATCTGTAAAATCAAGAAAGCTAAAAGGATATCCTTAACCTTATTAATGTACCAGTGTGATTTAGGTGTAAATTTCCCAAATATTTCTGTCATCTGGGAAGTTCATAAGCACAAGGCATAAAATATTTTCTTTAGGATGGGTGCGGTGGCTCATGCCTGTAATCCCAGCACTTTGGGATGCTAATAACCTGTTATTCTTTAGTATTAAAGAAAGACAGGCAAAATTTAAATGTTAAGGTTACTTCTACTGACTTTTTTTTTCCCAAAGGAAAACAGCTTTGAGAAGTCTTGGACTCCTTCTATAAAGGATACAGCAAGTAGTTTTAAAATTCACAAGATAAAGTAATATTTATCTTGGCACTACTATTAGGGTGAGCTTAAGAATGAGGGTGTTGGTCTTGTATCCAATACTCGTGGCAGGAATTCCTACATGGGGAATTCTAGCTTGATCCATAAGCAGCTAAATTCAATCAACTCCCTCACGTGACACCTTATCTGTAACAGTCATTACATATCCACAGATGATAATACTATGTAAGCCAGACATAGCGTTATTTTTATAGGATGGCAGAGTATTACTGGAAAGGGTCCCAAGGCTTTCGCTATTTGGGAGGGGAATGTTTCTCTTTTTGGTTTCTTTTCTAAAAATAGACACATAGTCCAGCAGAATAGAGAGCCCAGAAATAAATCCACATATCTACAGCCAACTAATTTTTAATAAAGGGGCCAAGAACACACATTAAGATAAGGATTCCATTTTCATTAAATGGTGCTGGAAACATTGAATATACACAGCAGAAGAATGACCTAGATTCTTACCTCTCACTATGTACAAACTCAACTCCAAGTGGATTAAAGACTTAAATGTAAGACCCTATACCATGAAACTACCAGAAGAAAATGTAGTGTAAACACTTCATGACACTAATCTGGGCAATAATTTTTTTTGATAAGATCTCAAAAGCACAGATAGCAAAAGAAAAATTAGACAAATTAGACAAACAGATTACATCAAGTTAAGCTTCCGCACAGCAAAAAAATATCAGCAGTTGAAAAGACAACTTACAGAAGAGAAAATAATATTTTCAAACTATGCATCTGATTGGAGGTTAATATTCAGAATTTATAAGGAATACCAGCAACTTAATAGCAAACAAATAATCTAATTTAAAAATGGGCAAAATCGCTGAACAGACATGTCTTAAAAGAGTAAATACAAATGATCAAGAGATGTAGAAAAAAATGTTCAACATCACTAATCACAAGGGAAATATAAATCAAAGACACAATGCGATATCACCCACACATGTTAGAAGCACTATTATCAAAAATGTGAGGCTGGGCATGGTGGCTGTAAAATTACAGGGCAAAGTCCTGTAATTCCAGGACTTTGGGAGGTCGAGGCAGGTGGATCACCTGAGGTCAGGAGCTCGAGACCAGCCTGGCCAACATGGGGAAACCCCATCTCTACTAAAAATACAAAAAAATTAGCTGGGTATGGTGGTGCATGCCTGTAATCCCAGCTACTCAGGAGGCTGAGGCAAGAGAGTCGCTTGAACCCAGGAGGCAGAGGTTGCAGTGAGCGGAGATCGTACCACTGCACTCCAGCCTGGGTGATGGAGTGAGACTCTTTCACAAAAAAAAAAAAAGAAAGTGAAAGATAAGTGTTGGCAAGGATGTGGAGAAAAGGGAACCCTTACACACTATTTATTGGTGGAAACCTAAATTAGTAGCCATTATAGAAAACAGTATAGAGGTTCAGTAACATAAGCCAGACACAGAAAGACAAATATTTTATGATCTCACTTATATGTGGAATCTAAAAATAAATTAACTCACTCATAAAAGTGGAGAGTAGAAAAGTCATCACAGGAAGCTGGGGTAGGGGGAAATTGTGGGGTTAGGAAGAGTTTGGTCAATGGCTAAAAAGTTACAGTTAGATAAGAGGAATAAGTTCTAGTGTTCTATTGCACGGTAGAGTAATCATAGATAACAATAATTTATTACATATTTCAAAATAGATAGAAGAGAGGATTCTGAATGTTATCACGTCAAATAAATGATAAATATTGAAGTGATGGTTTACTAATTACTCTGACTTGATCATTACACAATGTACGCATGTATCAAAACATCACACTGTACCCCATAAATATGTATAATTGTTATGGGTGAATTATAAATAAAATAGAACTTTAAAAATAGTGTAAATAAACAACAAATAATTAAAGACATGGAATACTCTCAAACGAACTAACAAACATACAGTTGGGATTGCAGAAGGAAAGAAATGAAAGTGAATGAATAGAAACAATATTTGAAGAGATAATTAACAAAAGAGGTTAATCCAATAATCCAAGAAGCTCAGCAAACTCCCAGACAACAACACATAAGCAAATAGCCCTAAACTTTTGAAAACTAAAGACAAGTAACAAAAAAAGTCTTACAAGCAGCCAGAGGAAAGAAAAGACATCATACTTTCAAAGAGACAACAGTAAAACTAATGACTACAGAACAAGAGGAAAAAAATAAATTCTGAAAATAAAGTAATGCCATGTATATTGGATTGCTAAGGTTGCTATTACAAAATAGCACAGACTGGAGGGCTTCAAGAACAGAAATCTATTTGCCCACAGTTCTGGAGGCTAGGACTCCACGATGCAGGTGTCAGCAGGTTTGTTTTCTCTGAGGTTGCTCTCCTTAGCTTACAAATGGCCACCTTTTGTTGGTATTCACATCGCCTTTCCTCTGTGTGGGTGCATCCCTTGCTGTCTCCTTTTCTTAAAAGAACACTAGTCCTACTGGATTAGGGTCCCACATTAATGACTTGGTTTAACTTTATTAATAATTACCTCTTTAAAGACCCTATCTCCAAATACACTCACATTGTAAGTGACTAAGGATTAGGACTTCAACACATAAATTTGAAGGAGACTCAATTCAGCCCATAATACCCATCTTTAAAGTGGCAAAAGAAAATACACTTCAACATAGAATTCTATATCTAATAGATAATATTCGGCAAAACCACATGTAGGAAAAGACATTTTCAGACAAAAATGGGAGAAATTTTCTTAAGTAGATCTACAAGAATGGAAAATCTAAAGGGAATTCTTTAAGGAGCAGGAAAATGATTCCAAAAGAAAATGCAAGGGAAAGTGAAAAACATCAGAAAAAGCAAATAGGAAGTCAAATACGAACAAACACTGATTTTATGAAGCATAGTTTCATTTAAATTATACACAGAACTGAAATTAAAGGCAATCATAGTAAAAACTGCTAAGGAGTTTCAAAATTTCTATAATTCTAGCTGCATTAAGAATATGGCAAAGACAAAATTTATATTAGACTTTAAAAAGTAAAGGATGCATGTTGTAATCTCTGAGAATGGTAAGAGAATATATATTTAACCAGTCAATGAAAGGAATGTATGGAATAATAAAAATATAAAATTATTGAAAGAAGTAAATAAAGGAGAGAAAAGCAACATAAAACTGATGAGCCAAAAGAGATTAATAAACCCAATTTGGTAGTAACTGTGTTAAATATAAATAAGCTGACTGCTTCAAATAAAATACAGCTGCCAAAATGAATTGAGTAAAACATAGGGACACTCTTTAAATATATGTATGTAATATGTATTATGGATAAGTATATTTTATATAATATATGTTATCTATCTACCTTAAAAATCAGAAGTTAAAGAACAGAAAAAACATTTATACAAACACTACCTGATAAGAAGATGGTATAACAAAACAAATGTCAGACAAAGGAGACTTTATGGGAAGAAGCAGTGCTAGAGGTAAAGAAGGATTCTCTATAATGTATCTATATAATATTAATATAATGCCATCCATATAACATTAATATATAATAATCTTAAATGTATATACATACAAAAATATAGTTTGAAGACATTTAAATTAACTGTTAACAGAAAGGGAAAACATAAAAATTGACCAGCATAAAGGGAAATAAGACACTTTTCTCCATAACAGAAAATACAGACAAAATATCAGTGAAGATGTAGAATATCTGAGCAACACAATTAACAAACTTAACCTAACTCACTTATATACTACGTAGTCACAAAGTCTTGAAACATATATAAATCTGAGGGAAGGAAAGGATTTGAAGAAAGATCTTTACATGCTGGTAATAAAATATTTACAAATCTGGAGGCTGGTTACATGGATTCTCTGAGCTTTCTCTGTGTGTGTGTGTGTGTGTTTGTGTTTGTGTGTATATACATATAAATGTATATTATTATTTATTGTATTTTAGTATTTATATGATTATATTTATATAATTTTATTATTTTATTTATATTATAAATGTACATTATTTATATAGTTTTTATATACAAATGTATGTTTTATAATATATTATATAATATATAATGTATGTATGTTATATTATAAAATATATATTATATATAACCTATATTAATATAATGCCATCAATATAACATTAATATATAATAGCCGGGCGCGGTGGCTCACGCCTGTAATCCCAGCACTTTGGAAGGCCGAGACTGGTGGATCACGAGGTCAGGAGATGGAGACCGTCCTGGCTAACATGGTGAAACCCCGTCTCTACTAAAAAATACAAAAAAATTAGCCGGGCGTGGTGGCGGGCGACTGTAGTCTCAGCTACTCTGGAGGCTGAGGCAGGAGAATGGCATGAACCCGGGAGGCGGAGTTTGCAGTGAGCCGAGATCCCGCCACTGCACTCCAGCCTGGGGGACAGAGAGAGACTCTGTCTCAAAAAATAAAAATAAAAAAAGTAAATAAATAAAAATTAAAAAACATTAATATATAATAATCTTAAATGTATATACATACAAAAATATAGTTTGAAGACATTTAAATTAACTATTAACATAACATAATATATATACAACATATATTATATATATTTATTATATATAACATATATGTATATAAATAGAGTCATGTAATACAACAATTCATAGAGACTTCCATGCAATCTACTTTAAAAATTATTCCTAACCATAGAACAAAATCTTTCCGGTCCATGTTTGGCGACTTTCCTTTATTTGAAAATGTATTGATTTAACTCTGTGAAAGCACTTAATTGTCACATAATTACTCCTAATTTATAAAAGTTATTTATTCCCGTGGTGGTAGAATTCCATTCTACATACATTATACTACCCTCTTACCAACACTTCCTCTGTAACACCCCGTTCCCCATTCTAACGTGAAAGATGATGAATAGAAAACGCTGAGGTTTTCTCAACCAGTCACATGTATTGTTTAATTATGAAAAAAAATTGAAGTGGGCTATAATCCAAATTTTCTGTGAGAAAATAGATTCAGAAGACACAATTAACTCATTTTAAGGTAATGAAGTTGTAAAAGCCGTACTGGGACACAAAGCTACTTCACCTTTCCATTTAACTTTACTTTGAATATGATAAAGTCATTGAGCTTCTGAATTAATGATTAAAAATGGCTTGATAGCTATTAATATCTAGTGTAGGTAAAGTTCATATATCAAAAGGAATTTTTAGTACTAGACTGAAGATATAAACGGCATGATAATAATAGGAACTGATTTAGGACTTGTGAGTTAAATTCTAAATCAAGGCCAGGTGCAGTGGCTCATGCCTGTAACCCCAGCACTTTGGGAGTAGTTGAGGAAGGAGGATTGCTTTGACCCAGGAGTTCAAGACAAGCCTGGGCAACATGGCAATACTCCATCTCTACAAAATAATCTTAAAAATTAGCCAGGCATGGTGGTGTATGCCTGTGGTTTCAGCTACTCCAGAGGCTGAGGTGGAGGGATCACCTGAGCCCAGGAGGTGGAGGCTGCAGGTAGACGTGGTGACGTCACTACTCTCCAGCCTGGAGGACAGAGCAAGACCCTTTCTCCAAAATAAATAAATAAATAAATAAATAAATAAATAAATAAATAAATAAATAAAATAAAGAATGTCTTTCAGCACCCTGAGATTGTTATCTCCAAACATTTGGGACTTCTACCTATCTATATCTACAGCTAGCTTGGTCTTCTATGAATATATGCTATGCAATACCTTTGAAGCATAGTCCTTACTTTGTTGTAAGCCTCAACTACACACACACACACACTAACTTCCTCATAGATTAAGTTAATATAATTTCTTGACTCTTAGTTTTAATGAGAGAAGCTACTTATAAATAAGCTATTAGGTGAGTTATTAAGACATACGATCATTTATTACTCAAATTAAATTCAGGGTGTTATTAAGGTTTCATGAAGATTGTAATTCTGTATTCTATTAAAAAATTTGGCTTCTAAGAATGCCAGATAATTTTACAAGGCTCCTATAGATAATTTGGATTTATATATTTTTTCTATAGGAAATGTTACCTGTGGGTCATCAGAGTTGTTTTGAGTTTGTACTATTCTTGAATTAATTAAATACTCTTGATTTTTCTTCATCATTATCAAACTAAGCTGTTGTGGATATTTTTCTTAACCCTTTTTTTGGGCAGCATATTCATGTCCATGATACGTTTATGTTTAGCAGTTAGAGTGTGAATCACCCATAAACCTACTATTTTAAAAGAGAGGATGTATAGCGACTGAAAAATCTACTTCCTTACTGGTGGGTTGCCTATGATTTCATTTTACTTAATCTATTGCTATATATTAGGTTGGTGCAAAAGTAATTGCAGTTTTTGCCATTAAAAGCAATGATAAAACCACAATTATTTTTGCACCAAACTAATACTATCAAAATAATGATAATAACTGTATGAATAGAAATACAAAGTAAAAATAAGAGGCTTAATTCTTGGTTTCATGGAAGAACTGTATATGCAAAGTGACCCACAAATGCTGAAGTAACTGAGAAATCAAAGCAGACAAATCCAGTTTGTTGGTAAAGTGTTTTGTTGGGGGAATTTACAGACAGAAGCATGGTCTTAGGTGACAACAAGACAAGCAAGTCTCCACCCCATTACTCTCCATACCCAGGGCTTCTAAACCATAGGGAAAGGGCATATGCGCTCCAGCAAGACAATTAAAGGCAAACTTCCAGAACAGGCGAGCATGCTATATGCATCATAGCCTATAATTTGTGCAGTAACATCAAGGGTGACATAGTCTTACCATAACAACAGTAAATACAGTAGAAATTAGGAGGCATTCCTGGGACTGGGGCTGATCAGAAGTCAATATGGCAGATTAGCATCTAAGATGGAGCCACTTTTGTCTCCTCAATTCTCCATGTTGAAAATAGAGATTTCTCTCTTCTCCTTTTTCTTAGAGCATTTACGTTAGAAAACTTGTAATTACATAAGTACTTTCTCCCCTCTTTGAGATGTATGTACATCCTTTTGAAAACTAGATAGGCTTTTATGACCTAGGCAAGTCTTTCTCAAAAGCATGGGAGCCATCTCCTTGAAATGCAAACATCAAGAGAAACAGCACTCCTATATCCCAGTTATTGTAAGAGGGTAGGAGCCTCACTTTAGTGGATGCCTTGCTCCAAGTTACAAAATTACCTTTTTTCATAAAAATATAAAAGTGTGTTTTTTCATTGAATACCATCAATTAGCTAACACCAGTCACTGCAGTTACCAGGTATGTTAGTCTGCTTTGCATTGCTATAAAGGAATACCTGAGGCTGGAGTAATTGATAAAGAAAAGAGATTTATTTGGCTCACAGTACTGCAGGCTATGTAAGAAGCATGGCACTGGCATCTGTTTCTGGTGAGGGCTGCAGGGAGCTTTCACTCATAGTGAAAGGTAAAGGCAGCTTGTGTTTCATGTGGTGAAAGAAGGAGCAAGGGAGAGAAAAGCAGGTTCCAGGCTCTTTTTAACCATCAGATTTTTCTGTAACTAATAGGGTGAGGACTCACTCATCATGATAACTCACTCATCACTGCAAGGACAGCCCCAAGCTAAGCCATTCATGAGGGATCCACCACAGTAATCCAGACACCTCCCACCAAGCCCCACCTCCAACACTGGGGGCTACATTTCAACACGATATTTGAAAGAGACAAATATCCAAACTGTATCACCAGGTGAATCTAGACTGAACCATGTGTGACAAATGGTGCTATCAAGTTTTCTTGGGGATTATCTATTGTTTATCTTTAAAGTATGTATGTAATGGGTTGCATTTGTTTGACTATATAAAAGGATGAAATTTATTTCTGTTTTTGAAGCCTCTCGGATTGCCTGTGATGTGCATTATATTCATGTTCAGTGTTTATTCAATAATAAAATTGTTCTCATTTTTGACTACATTTTTGGACATTTTGGGGAGGGGTGGGAGACAGTTTTTGTAATTGTATTTTCCCAAACAACTCTCTAGATTATTTTTAAACGTATAGTGTTTTGCAAAAATGAATGAGTACATGGGCTGCCAGGTCTTTTATCCTACCTGCATTGAACCAGTCAATTTGAGAACTGAGGTGCTCTCAATCCTTGCCTCCCCAGTTTACCCATACATTTCTCTTCTCTATCTTTACAAATATCCTTCTTTTTCCAACATTACCTATAGAATCTTTTCAGTGACCCAAAGTTTTGCTGAAAGCTCTAGGGAGAGACTTTAATAAAACAGAAGGAACTTTCAATATGCTGTGTTCTATTTAGCTATTCCTTTTAGCTTTTCCTTTGGACTTTAAGTTATTGCATAAATCATTCTTACAAAAATCATACAAATATAGGTGTTTTAATGACAGCTTATGGCTTATACATTAATTTTAGCATTTTCTAAAATTTGTCTGTTAAGAGATTCATTTTGTTCATAGGTTGGTAAGAACAGAATAAAAAAACTATTTTAAATGTTTTGATGAAAGTCAAATGAAAAGGAAGGAATTGATTTTCGATTTTTTATTGCTTAACAAACACTTTTTTGGTAATGGATCTATTTTAAAAATGAGTTCTGTGACCATTATGTGCCACTATCATTGTTGCAGCAGACTGAGTCTCCTCTAAATTGGAATTAACTTAAACTATGAATATTTTAGTACAAAGTTCTCTCTTGACTCATTTAAGCAATACAATCGGCATTTTTAGCAAAACTATTTTATTTCGTATGTATTTCTTATCTTGGTCAATGACCATTCTCATCTAGTGTGTCCTTGAATTAATTCAAAGGAAAGCAGTCTTCTTTCACAATGAAATTTCATATTTCTTCTAACTCGATCAGTTCTTTTGAGTGCTTACTGTGTGTCAGGTATCATTCTAGACACTGAGAAAATGGTATGAAATAAAACAAAGTTTTACTTTACTGGTTAAAAAAATTAGGTGTTTATAGTGAGTTATTACTATTCTGGAAGAAAGGCCCCAGCAGTGAACTGTTCTAAGAATGAACAACTGGCAAAGGAGTGTTGCTGTCCTTCATCATTCCTCATTAAAGATTTGGTTTTTGAAGATGATATGCATACAGTAGTCCCCCATAATCTGCAGTTTCATTTACCCAAGTCAACTGCTGTTCAAAAACAGGTGAATACAGTACAATATTTTGAGAGACAGAGATTATATTATCATAACTTTTATTTATTACAGTAGATTGTTATTGTTCTATATAATTACTGGTTATTATTGCTCATCTATTACTGTGCCTAATTTATAAATTAGAATTTACGGTAGGTATGTATGTATAGGAGAAAACAAAGTATACATAGAGTCTGGTTTTACCTGTGGTTTCAGGGATTCACCAAGGGTCTTGGAATATATCCCCTGCAGATAAGGGGGTACTATTTTATTATTTTGTTATGGTTTCCATAACAAAATACTGCAGACTGGGTGGCTTACACAAGATAAATTTATTTTCTCACAGTTTTGGAGGCTGGAAATCCAAGATGGAGATGTCGACAAGTTTGATTCTCCTTGCCTTGCAGGTGGCCACTTTCTCACTGTGTCCTCAAAGGGTCTTTCCTCTGTGCCCTGCAAATCCTGTTACCTCCCTGTATATCGTTTCTTCTTATACAGACACCAGTCAGTTTTAATTAAAGCCTACCCTAAAGGCCTTATTTTAACATAATTATCTCTTTAAATGACCTATCCTAAAATAAATGTACATTCTGCAGAATTGGGAATTATTAACAGTACTGGGGTTAGGGCTTCAACATATGGATTTCACGGGGGAGGGAGGTGCATATATGCACAAATCAATGACTTTCTATATAAATATCAAATATTTTGCATAGGTGAGTATTTTATAGGGATCAATTAAATATTTTTGAAATTATTGAAAACGTTCTTGTGTTATTAGTAAAGTATGTGTCTTTAATATGTATTTAAAACATTGAAACTCATATTACACAAAATTGTTTAAACATTGTGCTGTCAGACAAGGAGAATACTAAAAGCATCACATTTTCAGACAATTGTATAAGTAACTTAAAACAAAGATAACTTTTTTATAAGATGTCAACAACTGATAGTGGAAATTATAACAATGTTTCAAAAATAGTCCATTTTCAATCCACTCATTATTTCCTCCAGGGAGGGAAATCTGCAGACCTTCTTCCTGCCAGCTCATGTTCTGGTGTAATGTTTTCAGTGCTGAAATTCTCACAAGCCTCTTGTGAAAAGCCCTAGAAGAAAGCAAGTTATACTAACCCTAATGTATTGTATGTATTCTGGCTTTCAAGATACCAAAGCATGGAGTTTGCCTTGGAAAGGGATTGCATTGTAACCTAGCATGCACCAAAATTATACATTCCTTTCTTGATGTTCAGCCTTTAATCTAACTTGAGATGTTGCAGGATGTACATTGCTGCTGCTTGCTTCAATTGAGTATGGGGGCATCATATAAATAAATTACAAGTGGGGACCTAGTGTTTGTACCGATTTTCCATTCCCTACTATCTGAAGGAAATAATAGAAACATATGTTCCCAAGCCTATTGTTCAATATATTCACATAGTGAAGTTAAAATGTTTGGTTAGAAAATCAATATTGTTATACTAAGCATCAAGTACAGTAAACTAGGAGAATTGTAAGAAGCTGTGAACTCACTTAAAATCAATGTGTATTTAAACCAAGGAGTAAAAAAATAGATAAAACTACAACTCTAAACAGTAACCTAGGGAGAGTTAACCAGCATCCCAGCTTCTGCCACTGCAGGGATAATCAATGAAACACACAAACAAATAATAAGAGCAATATAATATTTGAGGTAGCATTAAGATTCATCTGTAGTAAATTTGAGAACAATGACTACTATGCAGTATTGGCAACTATATTAAGAATCCTCTGTGCAATGAATACAATGCCAAGCACAGAAAAAGAAATGAGAACATAGATCTAGAACTCTACTTTGCATAAGTAACAAAATTTAAATAAAAGGTGAAAAAAATACTATTGCATATTAACTTCTCTTGAAATTTGGAAATATGGCATATAACATAGTCCCATGAAAATTAAAATTTTAAATAAACACACCATGGTTGGTAGCACAAATATATAAATTGCTTGAGTGTGAGACTAGGCAGCAATCCAATAGCATGTATAACATATTTATTGTAGTAATGTGCTGCTTACAATAAAGTGTGGCAGGAATGACATCCACATAAAACAAGAAGTTCCAGAGCTCATCTAAAGTTCATTGCTAGAAAATGGTCAATGACTAATCCAAGTTCTATTAAAAAAAATGGGGCAAGATGAGTTAGCTTAAGGATGCACACTTTGAATCAAGTCATCAAGGTTCAAATAATGATTTGAACACCACTAATATTCTGTGATATTGGGAAATTATTCAACCTCCTTGTGCCCTAATGTCTTCCTCTGATATAGAGTCTTTGAGTGAATTAAAAAGTGTAATCTAGTCCTGATACCAAAACAGAGATATAGATCAATGGAACAGAACAGAGCCCTCAGAAATAACACCGCATATCTACAACTATCTGATCTTTGACAAACCTGAGAAAAACAAGCAATGGTGAAAGGATTCCCTATTTAATAAATGGTGCTAGGAAAACTGGCTAGCCATATGTAGAAAGCTGAAACTGGATCCCTTCCTTACACCTTATACAAAAATTAATTCAAGATGGATTAAAGACTTAAACGTTAGACCTAAAACCATAAAAACCCTAGAAGAAAACCTAGGCATTACCATTCAGGACATAGGCATGGGCAAGGACTTCATGTCTAAAACACCAAAAGCAATGGCAATAAAAGCCAAAATTGACAAATGGGATCTAATTAAACTAAAGAGCTTCTGCACAGCAAAAGAAACTACCATCAGAGTGAACAGGCAACCTACAGAATGGGAGAAAATTTTCTCAACCTACTCATCTGACAAAGGGCTAATATCCAGAATCTACAATGAACTCAAACAAATTTACAAGAAAAAAAACAAACAACCCCATCAAAAAGTGGGTGAAGGACATGAACAGACACTTCTCAAAAGAAGACATTTATGCAGCCAAAAGACACATGAAAAAATGCTCACCATCACTGGCCATCAGAGAAATGCAAATCAAAAGCACAATGAGATACCATCTCACACCAGTTAGAATGGCAATCATTAAAAAGTCTGGAAACAACAGGTGCTGGAGAGGATGTGGAGAAATAGGACCACTTTTACACTGTTGGTGGGACTGTAAACTAGTTCAACCATTGTGGAAGTCAGTGTGGTGATTCCTCAGGGATCTAGAACTAGAAATACCATTTGACCCAGCCATCCCATTACTGGGTATATACCCAAAGGACTATAAATCATGCTGCTATAAAGACACATGCACACGTATGTTTATTGCGGCATTATTCACAATAGCAAAGACTTGGAACCAACCTGAATGTCCAACAATGATAGACTGGATTAAGAAAATGTGGCACATATACACTATGGAATACTATGCAGCCATAAAAAATGATGAGTTCATGTCCTTTGTAGGGACATGGATGAAATTGGAAATCATCATTCTCAGTAAACTATCGCAAGAACAAAAAACAAAACACCGCATATTCTCACTCATAGGTGGGAATTGAACAATGAGAACACATGGACACAGGAAGGGGAACATCACACTCTGGGGACTGTTGTGGGGTGGGGGGAGGGGGGAGGGATAGCATTGGGAGATATACCTAATGCTAGATGACGAGTTAGTGGGTGCAGCGCACCAGCATGGCACATGCATACATATGTAACTAACTTGCACATTGTGCACATGTACCCTAAAACTTAAAGTATAATGATAATAAATAAAATTAAATTAAATTAAATTAAATTAAATTAAATTAAAAAAAATAAAAGCTTCCTGGTGGGAGAGCAACAACAACAACAAAAAAAGTGTAACCTATGTGGATAACACAGATGATCACATTGCAAGGCACTGCAATTCTTATTATTATAATGGGAAAGATAATCTCTAATTGGAAATGGGTGTGAAATTTTACCTTGGTAGTCATTTTCTCAGAGAGACTCTGTCTAACCCTACTGTCTAAATGATCTTCAATTTTGTTACATCTTCTTCAGTCCATTACTCCATTTCTTCACAATATTTATACATTTGTCTCTTTAGATTATTTGTGTAATTTTTCTTTTTTGGGGGAAAGAATTGTCTTTCCTTACTTCTTCGCTCCCCTCCCTCCCTCTCTCTCTTCCTTTCTCCCTCTCTCCCTCCTTCCCCCTTTCCTTCCATCCTTCCCTCCTTCCTTCCTTCTTTTCTTCCTTTCTTCCTTCTTTTCTTCCTTCCTTCTTTTCTTCCATTCATCTTTTCACTCTTTCTTTCTTTCTTTTTCTTTCCTTCCTTCCTTCCTTCTCTTTCTTCTTTCTTTCTTTCTTTCTTTCTTTCTTTCTTTCTTTCTTTCTTTCTTTCTTCTTTCTTTCTTTCTTTCTCTCTCTCTCTTTTTCTTTCTTTCCTTCATTTTTTTCTTCCTTAAAGAGTAAGCAAAATAATTTGGGTAAGCATTGAACAAATATTGTTTCTAGCTCTTTTCAGGAAGCCTGCCACATAGTAAGTGCTCAAAAAATACTACATCAATTAATCAAACAATGCAAGATGTGTTAGATAATGGACTTTGTGTACTTATATGTATCAACAAATCGCCCCTATTTTGAAACTGATGTAATGGATTGGCTTCACTTCATGTCAGCACACTTTCCCCAGGTAACAGCTATTATTTTTTATATATTTACACACCCACGTGTGTGTGTGTGTGTGTGTGTGTGTGTGTTTTAAGAGACAGATTTTGCAATGTACTCCAGGCTAGTCTCCCACTCCTGGCCTCAAGCAATCCTCCTGCCTCAGCCTCCCAAAGTGCTGGGATTACAGGTGTGAGTCACTGCATGTGGCTAGCTATTCTTATTTTATTGCAATGTGTAACCAAATGAGAGGTAACATAATGTTTTCATTTGACATTCTTCACAAATGGTAGAACATTAGCAGTTGTCTACTCTTTTTTGTACCTGCAATATTTGTGCTTCTGATTTATTATTCACTAGCTCTAAAGGAAAAACAAAAAATCAATTTGTAATTGTGCTGAATTTATTAATGTGGGCCACATGTGCAGTATGTGAATGTAGCTCACCAGCTTTCAGCCCTTTTTCTAACAAAGTAATTGTACAGATATGCCTATTTTTTTCCCTGTGGAAAGCATTATTAAGTGATAGACAAAACTTTAACACATATAGAAGATAAAATAAAACAGTGGTGAATAAATTATGGATCTTGAACCAAATCCTGTCTACCACCTGTTTTTGAATGGCCTTTGAGTTAAACATAGTGTTTACATTTTTAAATGCTTGAAGACATGTGGCCAAAAAGCATACGAAAAAAAGCTCAATATCACTGGTCAGTAGAGAAATGCAAACAAGAACCACAATGAGATATCATTCTCATACCAGTCAGAATGTCTGTTATTAAAATCTCAAAAAATAACAGATGCTGGCAAGGTTGTGGAGAAAAGGGAACACTCACACACTGTTGGTCTGAGCGTAAATTGGTTAAACCTTTGTGGAAAGCAGATGGCAATTCTTCAGAGAGCTAAAAGTGGAACTACCATTTGATCCAGCAATCCCATTACTGAGTATATACCCAGAGGAATATAAATCATTCTATCATAAAGACACATGGATACAAATGTTCACTGAACCACTATTCACAATAGCAAAGACATGGAGTAAACCTGAGGGCTTACCAATGACAAGTTGGATAAAGAAAATGTGGTACATTTGTACCATGGAATACTATGCAACCAGTAAAAAGAAGGAGATTATGACCTTTGCGGGAACATGAATGGAGCTGGAGGCCATTGTTCTTAGCAAACCAAAGTGGAAACAGAGAACCAAATACCGCATGTTCTAACCTATCAGTGGCAGCTAGATGATGAAAACTCATGACCACAAAAGAAGAGAACAACAGACACTGGGGTCTACCTGAGAGTGCAGTGTTGGGAGGAAGGAGAGCAGCAGAAAAAATAACTATTAGGTACCAGGTTTAATACCTGGGTGGTGAAGTAAGCTGTATAAAAACCACCGTGACACAAGTTTACTTATATAACAAACCTTCACATATACCCCTGCACCTAAAATAAAAGTAAAAAAAAAATGTAAAATGTATCAAGTAATTGCAAAATAAGAATGATTTTATTTAAAAAATATAATTTTCAAAATCTTCAGGAATTGATTTATGAATGATTTCTGGATTAATAGTTCCCATTTTTATTTTATTCTAGAACAAATTTATTTCCATGAAATTCATCTTCAAATGGCTCTCATTATCAGTAGAGTTTTAGCAACTGTATAACACATAGATTTTGAAAATATTCTCATTTTTAAAATCACAGGAACTTAAAAGTATTAGCAACATATTATGCTGTTTAATTTATAATATGAACAATGTATTTGTTCAAACTAGTTTTTTTCATTTTCTTATGTGAAATGTTGTAATCAATGTTTTTAATTCTAATCCAAATACATTTCCCAAGTAAGTTATTGTTTATTAATTTTACTGAAATACTATCTTCTAAGTAAAGAGTTGTAAAGGCCAGAGATTCTTTTTCCTGAGAACAGTGTCATTAATTCTAATAGCAGTGACTTAAATAATCTGGTTACCAAGGGATTTGATCATTTATGCCAAAATTTCTCTCAATTTATTTCCACATTTACAAGCAACTAAAACGAATGTTTTTTTCATTGCCTTGTCTTTGTGAGTTAAATCACTTTTGTTTCCTAAAATAACAATTTTATAACCCTGAGTTGTGTCAGTTTCTAAATGTTTACGGAAATAAAAAATTCCCTTTTATGAAAAAAAGAAAGAAACATTTCAAAGAAAAATATTATGTGACATTTGAAAGCTATATGAAATTCAAATTTCATTATCCATGTATACAGTTTTATTGCAACACAGCCATAGTCATTTGTCTGCATATTGCCTGTGGCTAATTTTGAGCTACTATAGCAGATTTGAGTAGTGGCAGCAGATATCATATGCCCTATAAAGTATAAAGTATTTAATGTCTTTGGTACATAATCATTGAATATTTAAAGAAATTTATTGATCCCTCAGTTAATATATAATAATATGTAGGGGAGATGAGTACTGTAGGAAATGAGACTCTATAGAAGGTTAGAATCTTTTACAGGTCATGAATTCAGGACCTTGGAAAGGTCTTGGACAGTCTAAGACATGGAAATTACAAGGCAGAAACAAGTGCAGTGAAGATAGGGAAAAAAGAAGTGAGAGAGATGTAAGTTTGTTCTCTTGTCAAAGACAAAATAACTGGGGACCATATAGTACTTCTAAATGGCAATTACATGATCTCACCTCACAACTCCACTGCTCTGTTTGGGTTTATCAACATGCTTTAAAAAATTAAATTTTTATATTTCTAGCTTATGTACATTTTATATTCAGAACATAGCAAATTACCATCAAAGGATAAAGAAACAGTGTGGCTACAATTTGAGAAAACTGTCAGGACTTAATTTCCTAAACATCAGTGTAACAATGAGTTCACAAAGTAGTCATTTGACACATTAAGAACTTTTATTTTTAACACTTATTAAATACCAAAGTCTATAAAAATCACAAGTGTATCAAAATTGATACTATTTAAAATATATGCTAATTTGCTTTACTATAGTAATTGTATTGTTATTTATGTGTCCCATAACATCATGTTGTATACCTTAAATATACAAAATAAAATTAATTTTAAAAAGCGTTGTTAAAAGAAATATAAGAGCTTATAGTGATTGTGACAGTGGATAATTCAAAATGATTAAAACCATAATTATTTGGTTGATACTCATAATTCTTTAGAGAACACCCATATATATGTGTGTGCATTTATTTCTCAAATATAATAACTTGTCTACATTTTTTGTAATATTTGTGAAAGAAAGAAAGAAAGGCTCAAGTTATTAAAAGCACAAAGGCAGAAATAACAAGACTATACAAATGAAAATTCACCATTTTTTCTCCTAAACTAACTTCTTTTACTACCCTAGCAAATTTCTCGCCTTAAAGGAATTAGTTTCTTCCATTGAAGAATCCCTCTCTCTCTCTCTGCCTCTTTTTCTGTCTCTCAATTTCTCTCTCTGTTTTTCCTCCCTTGCTCTTTCCATGCGTAAACTGAAGAATTATTTTTGGAATAACATATGAGGTTTGTCACGTATCTTATTATAGAATTACAATAACTGAATTTAAAATTACTGATGAAAGCCTCTACTTTATTCACTGTATGAAGACTCACAAATCATTGTACAAAAAAGCACCAATTTAAATCTTTTATCAAGCACTCTATTCTACAGAGTGACAACATAGGGATTGATATCTACTTTGAAAATGATTTGTGAGGTCTCAGAAAAGTAATAAAGTAAAACAAAGATATGGCAATTATAAATTTAGTTCTTGCAATTCTGTAATTAGATTTAAATTTCATGGAATTAATGATGAAAATCAATCAGCTAAAGAAGTGATTTTTAATCTTTCACAAAATCAAAAGAACGCTTTTTACAAATGAAATTTTATACACATTCAGATACGTGAAACAAAAGTGGAGATGTTTTGGTTGAAATACACCAGTGTTTCCAGAGCTTTGCCCTGCTGTCAACCTAAGGCAAGTCTGCAGAATCTTAGGGCTCCACAGTGTGTAATATGAAATCACCAAACTAAATCAATCCATTGTAATCCCTTTGGTCATGTGGAAATATATTGTACAATAGAAAAAAAAGTCAGTGTTTATCTAGCTGATTATTTTTATTATCAGTCCTAAAACTTTGTATCCTTTTACTGTAGATAATTTTCACCATTGAGATGGAAGTTACATACTTCTAAACTTTCCTATCCTACAGCTGGGGTCAGAAAACATTTTCTAAAAATGACCAGGTAGTAAATATTTTAGGGTTTTCAGTTTAGGCAGTCTGTTACAACTATTCAATTCTGTCAATGTAGCTCAAGAGATGCTATAGATTGTAAGTAAAAGAAAAAAGTGGCTGCGTTCCAATAAAAATCTATCTCCAAAAATATACAGTAAGGCATGATGTCAGCAAAAATGACAGAGTAGGTAGTTTCAAGGGCCTGTCCCTCAACTGAAACATCGAAAAATTAAGCAAAACTGTCAGAATCAATTTTCCCCAATGTCTGAAAAATATTCAAAGACTGTACCAACAAACTAAATGCTGAATCAAGGAAAAGACAACTTAAAAATGACAAGAAATCTTTGTGATGTTTTTACTTTCCCTTGCCTCACCTACTTCGCTGGCAGTCTTGAAGACAGTAGCCCACATTCCTAGTATAGAACACTGGCCCTAGGTTATGAAAGGAGTAAAGCAGACATTATTCTCAGATAATTTGTGTTTGTCTGTTTTGACCTGTCTGAGGGTTACCTGAAGGAATGGCCCGAGGTACTTGCTTTTGTTTCACAGAACTCAGAATTCTCTCAGTGCAGACCACAACTATGCAGAGGATATTTCTTCAAAACATTATAAAGCAATTGAACAACCCATTGCCAACTGCAGCAAAACATTACAGTCAAGGGAAACAACAGAAAAGCTGAAGCCTGGGAGGAAAAGCTGGAGAGAGTTTCTTTGGGAATTAGGGAATTGAAAAGTGCCTGCATATACCAGAGAACACACAAAGGAACACATGAAAACAGAGTAGGACTCATCCTCAGACAAGACAGAAGGCCCAAAGCTTTCACCTTGCGCTGATCCCTGGTTTCAGGGCAGCAGGAAGTGAAGGCTTAGACAGAGTTGTAAACGGCCTGATTAAGCATTAAAATGATGCATCAACATAGAGCCAATCTTGTCAGAATAGGAAAATAATATTTTTTCATTTTATTTTTTTCTTTTAATTTTTTGTGGCTTCAGTTGTTTAAGAAAATCTCTGTTAAAACACTGGTAGACCACAAGCTAAACCTACAGAGAATTCAGAGACCATACGTAAAAAAGAATATAGACTTTCTGAAAATACTTTTAAAAAGTCACTACCGAAACTATCTCAACCCACAAAAAGCAAATTAAAAAAAAAAACCCAAGGAAGGAGAAGAATCAGATTTCAGAATTATTTCATCATAATACTTAATATGTCCAATTTGCAACAAAAAATAGAATGAAAAGATATCGGAAAGTATAGTCCATTCTCAAGAGACATGAACAAAAACTATCCCAAGGAAACAAAGATGTTACATTACTAAACAAAGATTTAAAATCAATGATATTAAATATGCTCAAAGAGCTAAAATATACCATGTACAAATAGAGAAAGAAAACCAATAGGACACCATATAAACAAATAGAAAATATCAATAAAGAAATATATATTATTTAAAAAGAACCAAACATAACTCTGGAGCCAAAACAAACACAATAACGAAAATAAAAATTTACTAGAGAGTTTTAATAGTAGATTTGAAGAGACAGAAGAAATAAAATCAACAAATTTGAAGATAGGTCAATCACAATTACCCAGTGTAAGCAACAGAAAAATGAAACAAGGAAGAAAAATAACAGAGCTAAAATACCTGTGTGACACCATAAAACATACCAATATAAACATAAAAGACGTCTCACAAAGTGGAGAGAAAGAACAAAAACAGAAACAGTATTTGATCAGAAACAATATATTCAATAATGGATACAACAACTTAACCAACACTCAATACTTAAACAGACATAAACAGAATGCTCCACCCAACAACACCAGAATACACATTTTTCTCAGTTGTACATGGAACATTCTTGAGAATAGCCCATACATAAAGTAAAAAATATGTTTCAATAAATGTTGAAATATTATGATATTTCAAAGTTTATTCCACAAGCACAATAGAATGGAACTAGAAATTAATAACAGAAGGAAAACTGGAAAATTCACAAACATGTGGAAATTAAACAACACACCCTTAACCAATGAGTAAAATAAGAAACCACAAGAGAAATTTAAAAGTACTTAAAGATAAATGAAAATGAAAGCACAGAATGCTAAAACGTATGGGATTTAATAAAAATTAAGCTTAGAGGGAAATGTATAGCAGTAAATGTGCGTAATAACAAATAAAAAAATCTCAGATCAATAACCTGATTTTATACCTCAAGGAACTAGAAAAATAAGAGTAAACTAAATCTAATGCTAGTAGAAGGAAGGATATCACAAAGATTACAATAGATATTCTAAAAAGAGAAAACAGAAAAACAACAGACAAAATGAACAAATCCAAAAGTTGGATTTCAAAAAATATCCACAAAATTGATAAAGTTTTAACTAGCTTGACTCATAAAGGAGAAAAGACTGAAATTACTACACAGTCAAAATGTTCATTATAGATTAATAAATACACAAATTGTAGTATATACATATAATGAAATGTCTTTCACAAATAAAAAGAAATGAAGTACTGATATCTGTTATAACATGGATGAATCTCAAAAACGTGCTAAGTGAAAGAAGCCGGGCAGAAAATTCACATACTATATAATTGGATTTATGTGGAATATCCAGAATAGGTAAATCCATATAACCAGAAGCA
This sequence comes from Homo sapiens, assembly GCF_000001405.40. Taxonomy (NCBI): domain Eukaryota; kingdom Metazoa; phylum Chordata; class Mammalia; order Primates; family Hominidae; genus Homo; species Homo sapiens. The sequence continues at coordinate 53,523,307 of NC_000017.11, read as the reverse complement.
CATTGGCGGTTGCCAGCATCTGCAGGAAGGGTGAATGGAGACTGACTGCTTAGTAAGTGCAAAGTATCTTTGGGGGGATTATGAAAATGCATTACACTTGATAGAGGTGGTGGTTTGCACCACATTGTGAATGTATTCATTGCCACTAAATTGCGTCCTTTCAAATGGTTAATCTGATGTTACATGACTTGCTCTTCAACAAACAAACAACAAAAATATTGACAGTGAGCTAGATTTGACTCTGAGACATACTTTGATGATTCCAGCATTACGTATGTCTGTGTGTGTGTATATGTGTGTTGTATACACACATACATACATATATACACAAATACACATATAAAAAAGTGTCTGTATATATGTATGTATACACATATATATACACATTTTTTTCTCTGAACCAGAATATTTCAGAACTATATTGTATTTTAAAATGTGTTTTAGCTATATTCTAGCAATATTTGGAGTTAACTTTTAATGATCAATAATAAGTATACATTCTGAAAGATAAAGGTTCTGTATAGTTTAATGAAATGATGGCTATGGCCTTATACTCCCATTTTATTTTTGATACTTAAGGTATTAGAGGTGCTACAGTTGAATTAATGTGTTGTATTTGTAGAGATTTTTCCTTCTGTGAGGGAACACATAATATGCTAATATTGTAGTGGGCTCTAAGAATAATTATTTAATTTTCTATGAAATATATGACCTCTTTTCGTAATAATTTTTTATAACTTTTGATTATATGTGGTCAAAACTTCTATGAATACTTACAGCCTGCACTGTCTTCTGTTTTCTAAGAAGCATATATTGAATTCAAGAGAATGCAGGCTTCCCAGGAGCCCAATAAATAATAATCCTCTTTTTTTTATTTCTTTTTAGAATCAGGAGTTACATCAGAAAAAAACTATAATAATTCATTTAGATATAATGGTTTTTGAGGAGAAGAATTAAACAAAATAAAATTTGAATATTTATTATAGGTTTTTTCTTATCCCTTTACGCAAAGTAAAAAAGAGCAGAAATTTGGAGATGACAGAATTTAAACCTAGGAATATAGCTCATCTTTTCTTTAAACATCAATAGTATTTTAACCATATAAAATGTATGAGAACACAAACTTATCAAAACGTCTGAACACCTATCTATAACAGATACTTATATTTCTTGGGTCAAATATAAGAATTCAGAAAGAAAACCAACTAATTTGTATCCCATATATCATTTCAAAAAAATGAACAAATATTTAGGATTTTATATTCCTGCTATCGAAGAAAAATATTATTATGTTCTTTAGAAGTTTTTATTCTTATTTGCAGTTTTTTGTTTTTATTATGAGTACAGGCATACTTCACTTTATTGTACTTTGCTTTACTGTGCTTCACAGTACTGCATTTTTAACAAATTGAAAGTCTGTGACAACCAAGCATTGACCAAGCCTATTAGTGCCATTTCTCTAATAGCATATACTCACTCTGTGTCTTTGTTACATTTTGATAATGCTTACAATATTTCAAATCTTTTCATTATTATTATAACTGTTATGGTGATCTCTGACTAGTTATTTTTGATGTTACTATTGTAATTGTTTTGAGATGCCACAAATTACGCCCTTATTTGATAGATACTGTGTGGTCTTCTCTCCGTTCCATCAACTGGCCATTCCTCAATATCTTTCCTTCTCCTTGGACTTCCGTATTTTCTGAGACACAACAACATTAAAATTAGAACAATTGATAACCCTACAATGGTCTTTGGGTGTTCAAGTAAAAGAAGAGTCACATATCTCTCACTTTTAATCAAAAGCTAGAAATGATTACGTTTAATGAGGTAAGCATGCCTAAAGCCAAGATAGGCTGAAGGCCAAGACAGACTGAAAGCTAGATTTCTTGCATCGAACAGCCATTTTGTGAATGCAAAGGAAGAGTCCTTGAAGGAGATTAAAATTGCTGTTGCAGGGAACACACAAATGATAAGAAGGTAAAACATACACACACACACACACACACACACACACACACACACACACACACAGAGGCTTATTGCTGATATGAAGAGTTTGAGTAATATAGATAGAAAATCAAAGCAGACACAACATTCCCTTAAGCTAAAGCCTAGCCAGACCAATGCCCTAACTCTCTTCAATTCTGTAAAACCTGAGAGGTGAGGAAGCTGCATAAGTAAAGTATGAAGGTAGCAGAGGTTTGTTCATGAGATTTAAGGAAAAAAGTTATTTCTAGAATATAAAATTGCAAGGTGAAACAGCAAGTGCTTATGTAGAAACTTCAACAAGTTATTCGGAAGGTCTAGCTAAGATCATTTATCAGTGGGGCTACACTAAACCAAATTTCCAGTTTAGACGAAATAGCCTTACATTGGAAGAAGATGCCATCTAAGATTTTCATAGCTAGACAGAAGTGAATGTCTGGCTTTGAAACTTCAAAAGATAAGCTAACTTCTTTGTTTGGGGTTAATCCAGCCGGTGATTTTAAGTTGAAGCCAATGCTCATTTACTATTTGAAAAACCCTGGGGCTCTTAAAAATGATGCTAAACCTAGTCTGTCTGTGCTCTGTAAATGGAACAACCACACTTGGGTGACAGTATATCCGTTTACATCATGGTTTACTGAACATGTTAAGCCCACTGTTGAGATTTACTGCATAGAAAAAAAGATTCTTTTAAAAATATTACTGCTCATTGACAATGCATCTCATTACGCAAAAGCTCTAATGAAGATGTGCAAAGAGATGAATGTTGTTTTCATGCCCTGCTAACAAACACCCATTCTGTAGTCCTTGTATCAAAGAGCAATTTTGACTCCAGTTTTCTTATTTAAGCAATATATCTGAAAACCTATAGCTGCCGTAGATAGTAATTCCTCGGATGGATCGGGACAAAGTAAATTGAAAACCTCTGGAAAGGATTCACCATTCCAGATGCCCTTAAGGACATTTGTGATTCACTGGAGAAGGTCAAAATGGCAACATTAACAAGAGTTTGGAAGGAGTTGATTCCAACCCTCATTGATGACTTTGAGAGGTTCAAGATTTCAGTGGAGGATGTAACTGCAGATGTGGTGGAAATAACAAGATAATTATAGAAGTGGAGCCTGAAGATATGACTGAATTATTGCAATTTTGTGATAAAACTTCAATGGATGAAGAGCTGCTTCTTATGGGTGAGCAAAGAAAGTGGGTTCTTGAGATGGAATCAGCTCTTGGTGAAGATGCTGTGTAGAAGCAACATTGTTGAAATGACAGCAAGTGATTTTGAATATTACATGAACTTAATTGTAAAGCAGTACCAGGATTTGAGAGAAGATGGTGTCCAATTTTGGGAAAAAAATCTACTGTGGAGAAAATGCTATTAAACAGCATAGAATTCTACAGAGAAATGTTTCATGAAAGGAAGAGTCAATCAATGTGGCAAACTTCATTTTTGTCTTATATTCAGAAATTGTTATAGCTGCCCTAATCTTTAGCAACCACCACCCTACTTAGTCAGCAGCCATCAACATCAAGTCAAGACCCTTTACCAGCCAGAAGATTGAAATTTCCTGAAGCCTCTTATGATTGTTAGCATTTTTTCAGCAAAAAAAAAAGTATTTTTAAATTAAGGTACATACTGTTTTTGAGATATAATACCTTTGAACACAATACACTATGGTATATTGTAAACATAAAGTTTATATGCATTGAGAAACCAAAAAAATGTGTGGCATGCTTTATTACTATATTCCCTTTATTGTGGTGGTCTGGAACTGAATTCCCTATATCTCCGAGGTATGCCTATATATTTAAAGCCACTTAAAGTAATAGGCAATCACTTTATGTTATTTAACATACTCAATTAGCTATTACTACCTTTGTATTTAAAAAAAAAAGGTTTTTAAGTAATCCTAAGGAAAAAGAACAAAACCAGAGGCATCATATTACTCAACTTCAAACTATGCTATACAACTACAGTAACCAAAACAGCACTAGGCGGGTACAAAAACAGACATACAGAAAAATGGAACAGAATGGAGAACCCAGAAACAAAGTTACACATCTACTACACCCATCTGATCTTCAACAAAGTCGGCAAAAAATAAGAAATGAGGAAAAGACTCCCTATTTAATAAATGGTGGTGGCATAGCTGGCCAGTCATATGCAGACGCATAAGACAGGACTCCCTGGCCTGGCTCGGTGGCTCACGCCTGTAATCCCAGCACTTTGGGAGGCCGAGGCAGGTGGATCATGAGGTCAGAAGATTGAGACCATCCTGACTAACACGGTGAAACCCCGTCTCTACTAAAAATACAAAAAATTAGCTGGGCGGGGTGGCGGGCGCCTGTAGTCCCAGCTACTCAGAGGCTAAGACAGGAGAATGGCGTGAACCCGGGAGGCGGAGCTTGCAGTGAGCCGAGATCGAGCCACTGCACTCCAGCCTGGGTGACAGAGCAAAACTCCATCTCAAAAAAACAAAAAACAAAAAAACCCCGGACCCCCTACCTTTCACCATATACAGAAATTAACTCAAGATGGATTAAAGATTTAAATGTATCTGCCTCATTGGAGCAGTAGTCAGCATGTCAGTCTCATCATCTGAATATTTAAATGTGAGACCTCAAACTACACAAATTCTGGAAAACAAACTTAGGAAATACTATTCCAGACATTGGCCTTTGGAAATAATTTATGGCTAAGTCTTCAAAGGCAATTGTAACAAAAGCAAAAATTGACAAGTGAGACCTAATTAAACTAAAGAGCTTCTGCACATCAAAAGAAACTATCAACAGAGTTAACAGAAAACCTACAGATTGGGAAAAATATTAACAAACTATGCATTCAATAAAGGTTTAATATCCAGTATTTATAAGAAGTTTAAACAATTGGACAAGCAAAAATCAAATCTCGTTAAAAATGGGCAAAATACATGAACAGACACTTCTCAAAAGAAGACATACAAGTGACCAATAATCATATGAAAAAGTACTCCACACCACTGATCATCAGATAACTACAAATCAAACCCATAATGAGATACCATCTCACAGCTGTTACAATGGCTATTATTATTATTATTATTTAGGAAACACAGATTCTGGCATGGCAGCAGAGAAAAGAGAATGCTTGTACACTGTTGATGGGAATGTAAATTAGTTTAGCCACTATCAAAGGCGGTTAGGAGATTTTTAAAATAACTTAATATAGAACTACTACTTAACCCAGTAATCCCATTACTGGGTATCCAAAAGAAAATAAATTTTTCTACCGAAAAGTCACATTCACTCATATGTTTATCACAGCAATGTTTCTAAGAGCAAAGATGTGGAATCAATCTAGGTGACCATCAGTGGTGCATTGGATAAAGAAAATGTAGTACATATACACCATGGAATACTAAAGAGCTTTCAAAAAGAACAAAATCATTTCCTTTGCAGCAATATTGATGTAGCTGGAAGACATTATTTTAAGCAAATTGATGCAAGAACAGAAAAATAACATATTTTCTCACTTATAACTGTGAGATAAAGATTGGTTACTCAGGGATATAAAAATGATAGACACTGGGGACTACTAAAGAGGGGAGACGGGGAGGAAAACAAAAGTTGAAAAACTGATAATATAATAATAATTATTATTTATAATGAATAATAATATAATGATAATAAAACTAATAATAATGGCACCCAAAACTAATTTTGGATGCTATTCTCAGTTCCTGGGTGACAGGATGAATTGTACCCCAAATCTTAGTATCATACAAATACTTAGGTAACCAACATGCACGTGTATCTTCAAAACTAAAATAAAGGTTAAAATTATAAAAAGGAAAATGATAATCTTTTAATCTGCAAAAAACTCACAATTTAAAAATTTTGTTTATATATATTTATATATTCTACTTACATGTTTCAGTTATCCTTTCTGCTTATCTTCATGATTTAGAAATTGATGTATTGCTCACAAATTATTTCATCATAAGACACATGCTTGGTCATAAAGTCAAATAAATGATATTCTAGCAATCAAATTACTTTTTTGTTGTTTTATTAATTACTATTTATTACTTTTGCAATCCCTGAGGCATTAGAAGTACTTTGTATGGTTCCTAGGTTTTGTTTCACAAAACTCATGAGTTTCACAATTCAGTAAGTCCTCATGGGATATACGACACTCTAGTACAGTCTTCTAAGGAATAGTACAAAACTTCATACTAAGATGGCAAAATGTACCCAGACTTTCCAGCTCTGCTCTGAGCTTCTCATAATTATGATCAATAAAACATAAAAATGGGGGAAATTTATTGTTGGTCCAAAGGGAAACCAACCTACATTGTTGTCTACTTGTAAGTACATTGAGAAATGTTTATGAGGTATGATAGCAATAAGGCAGTATTAGGTGGAATTCCTCAAATCCCAACTGGATAAAAATAACAGGGAACAGGTTTCTCTAGAAGCTCACTCGCTCCCCCTAGCTATTCAACGTAGTGTTCTTTGTGGTATTAAGATCTTAATATGAATGAGACTGATCCAGCTGCTGAACTGCCCTTCAGATGAACCCATCAGTTTTGTTCTCCCCTGCGTGAAGTCTGCAATAATTAGAAGATGAAAAATATATCTCTTTCAAAGGTCAACAACTGCTACAAACAAAAGACTGTGGGGTGGTAACTTTGATAAGCAGAAGATAAGTAAATGAGGTTTATCTTGCTAAGAGACCCAGAATTACAGGGATTATTCTGTCTGTAAAATCAGTTATACTCTAAGTTGTTGAAGAGTAGAAGTTGTTCAATGAATGATTGCATAAATAAATTAATTAGTTTATAAAGTCAATAAGTGAAGTGAATGGCTATGTATAAAATGTGTTTCCTTTCTTGGTTTAATCTTACACTCATGAAAAAAATAAAAATCTTTTGACTATAAACCAACACTAAATCCATTACTAAGATAATTGCAAAGAAGAAAATAAGAGAACAAGAAGAAAATACAAATTACTAAATTCAGAATGGTGAAGGAGTCAATAAAAAGCCACATTTCTGCAATTCTCCTAAACTCAGGGGAAAAAAAGAATTATAATACCTTTTTTAAAAAATGGCAAACCATATGGAAAACAGCACCTGGAGATATAACAAAATTAGAAAACATGGAAAAATAATAGAAATAAATATTCAAAAGCTATTAAGGAAAAAAATTAGAAAACATTGATTCTATAGACAAAATTCTCATTGACCAATAAACAAAATATATTTGAAATTATATCTGGACATAACTAGAATAAAATTTCGTTCCAAGACAAAGGAACTTAATATTACCTTCATATAAAAAATGTTAGCCATGGAGAAACATAAAAAGATTAGGAAACATGATGTCTTTTTTTCTATAATATTAAAGCTTTTTTTTCTATAATATTAAAAAGAAGAGGCCAATGAAGAAATCACATAAAAACCTTTGTGGTGAAAACATATTCAGGCTTGTAGTCAGCCAAGTAACCCCTGATGTTCAAAGTTTACTTCAAGGAGCAGAGTATGGCTATCACTTGCGACATTGTTAAGGATGCAAGATCCAGACCTATTGGACCGGAATCTGCATTTAATGTGATCTCCAGGTGTTTCATGTGCACATCGAGTTTTAGAAGCCCAGCACTAGGGCATACTGTGTGTGTGTGTGTCTATGTACAGATACGTGTTTATTTCATGTTTCATTAACTGATTCAGAATTTATTTTCATAGGTAAACAAATTCATTAGGAATCTACAGATTAGGAATACTGTTGAAATATTCTATTGGGATAACATTCAGTATATAAGTCATTATAAACAAAAGAAAACAATGAAAATAAGGAAAACTCTGAATGATTGCCAATTCATTTCCTTTGCATTACAGACTCGTGTTCTTTATTCTTGTTCTGAAAATATTTACTCCTAAAAAGAAGCATTCAGCTACCTAGATTTTAGTTTTTATTAGAAAATCCAAGTGGATTTGGAAGTCAAAAAGTGCTACTTTTTCTATTTTTAAAATCAAGATAAACTATTCTAACAGAATAAAAACATGCCTTTTATACATTGCATGCCATATAATGGAGGCTAGCTAAAATTATAGTAATTTATTTTTCAAAGTATTCAATACTTTGGTATAGAAAGACATGTTATCTTTGTTCCTGGTCTATTATAATAAAAGTATTAAGATTTATTTAGAAAAAATATTTTGTTAGAACGTGAAGACTTCTATTTTAATAAAATGAGTTTAGAGATGACCAGAAAATAAGTTAGGCATCTCTGAAACATATATCAAAACATCAAAATTTCTTCCCAGAAATTCCATGTGTTGGCTTTTTAAATAGATTTTACTATTTTTTCATAAATGTACAATGAAATCATGAGAATACACAAATTTATGTACTCATGTATTGTTTTATCATTTATTGACTCATTTTAAAATTGTTAAACATCATCATTTGGAATTAAATTAACCCCTACTGTTTAACAGCTCCTAATGCAATTTCTTTGAGACTGAAATCAAAATTGTGTTGCAAAAGCTCCACCAGTAATTGAGGTTCTAGATATCACTAACATAAGGTGAATTTAAATCATGATATTACAGTGAAGAGCTTAGTAAATAGATCACTTTATAGTGGTAATATTAAAAAATCTCATTCCTCATCCTAATAAATGACCCAAGAATGATACACTTATGTAGTCTTTCAAATGGTTCATAATTTCTTCCATGTTTGTGTATGTGTGTGCATATATTAACAATGTAAGTCACACCAATTCTTGCACCATCCTTACACACTAAACCCTCTACAGCAAGTGATATAGAAGCTTCTTCTAAGTGAAGTGCACTATTGAGTTGGCTCTATATCTGTGGGCTCCACATCCATGGACTCAGTCAACCATTAATGTGAATGGAAAATTTTAAAAATAAATAAAAACACTAATTCAAATAACATAATAAAAATAACTCAAACAAAAACAATACAGTACAACAGCTATTCACTTAGCATTTGCATTGTAGTAGGTATTATAAGTAATCTAAGGATGATTTAAAGTGTGTGGGAGAATGTACATAGCTTATATGCAAATACTACGCATTTTATATAAGGGACTTGAATATCCATGGATTTTGCTATCCACGGGGGTCCTGGAACAAATCCCCCAAGGATACAAGAGACAACTGTATTCATGTTTACTTTTAATCGTACACCTCTTTCTTTAGCATGTCTTGTCTTCCACATTCTATGCTGGATTTTTGTTACCTGTGAGTATAGTTTACAAAATCCATATGAATAAGACATAACCCACTTATTTGTTTGCAAATTGTGTAATTTTTATTGTTTTAAAGCATAACTTAAATTTTTTATTAACGGCAGATATCTTTTAGGGAGTCAGAAATTCAGGAGTCTTACCATATCATGGGCAACTTATTGATTTCAATCAAAGGAATAAAGTGCCATTCTTCAATTTATACAAATATAAATATAAAATTGTTTATTATGTACACTTTTTAAATTAAAGCTGATGTAGAACTCCCGACTAAAGAATACAAGATAAATTGTTTTTCTCAGATAAGTGAAAGGTCCACAAGCTTCAGGCACAATTGGATATAGATGCCCACATTATGACATTCATTCATTCAACAGACATGAGTATTAAGTGTTGACTACTATTCTAGAGCTAGAATAGAGAAGTCAATTAAAGAGACCAAAATCTCCTTCAAGTAGCTTTCATTCTACTAGGTGAAACAAAACATAAATAGATTTGAGATCAGCCTGGAACACATAAAAGACCATGTCTCTGCAATTTTTTTTTAATTAGCTTAGATTGATGGCACAGGCCTGTACTCCCAGCTACTTGGGAGGCTGAGGCAGGAGGATCACCTGAACTCAGGAATTTGAGGCTGTAGTGAGCTGCACTCCAGCCTGGGCAACAACATGAGACCCTGTCCCTAAAAATTAAAAAAAAAAGAATTTAAATGGTTTATTATATAAAATAATTGCTACGAAGAAAAAAAAATAGGCAAACTGGGGAAGGGCATCTGTGTGATAGCTTGAACAGCCAGTTGGCTTTACTGAGAACTTTGTATTTTAATAAAGACCTGGCTGAAATGAGAGAATACCTATGTGCATATCTAGTGGAACAGCATCCTAGGGACAATAGTGGCAAGTGCAGAGGCCTTGAGGAGGAAGTGTGTTTTGCATGTGAGGGGAATTGAAATGAGGGCAGTGTAGCTGGAGAAGAGGCAGAGAGGAAAGCCACAGATACCAGTATTTCTCCATCTTTTGCTCCTGCTTTCCTGTTGCCTTCATTTTCAGGTAGATTTCTACAGAGATTGCCATCACCAACAGTCGTATGTCCTATTTGATAAGTAATTTAGTAGAAACAAAATGTTTCCTTCCCAATATTTCTAGCAAAAGTTGAAGAATGGCTTCATTGGCTTAGCTTGGATTAAGTGCTGACTTTTGAGTCAACCACAGTAGACGAGGGATGTTATTTCTCTAACTGCTCCGGCCTAGGTCATGTGTCAACCCCAATGGCGTGAGGGTGGCATTCTCCCTTCCCAAACTGTGAAAACGGCAAGTAGGAGTAGGTGGATCAACACCAGAAAATCAAGTGGCTATTTCTTAAAGTAAAAGAGTATGGAACCTAATTAGGCCCAAACAGCAGATGTAAACTTCACGCTGTTATAGTTTTAAATATTCTCTAGTCACTGTGTGCAAATGAGATAGTTGGCCAAAAAGCCATTGAACACATTTTATAATCTGGATTTTGCCAATAAGAGAAAAAGATAATAAACAAGAAAATGGGTAAAAATGAATAACTAAATTATGACTTAGTTATACATATATGTGTTCACCTGCAGGTCAAAATGACAAAAGCAAAATTATTTTTTGAGTTAACGAGTTTACTTTTGTTGAGAAAAGACAGCTTATGTATAAAATATGTATGGCATTGTTCTCAAGTTTAATTTATGCAGATATGGACTCTTGGTTATGAATAGTTCCTAATATAGATTACATTTGGGCTTTAGTCTTCATAATATATTCTAGCACTGCAATTGAACATACAAAGGGTATACAGGAGATACTAAGCACTGCAGGACTGAGAACAAGTCAGTGCATTAAATTGTAAAGCAGGGCCAAAATTGTGAAGAGGTTTTATCAGTTATGCTTATTGTCGGGTTTTCATTTTTATTAGAACTGCCTAAAATATCTTAGATATTCCGGAATTTTTAAATGTCTGAAAAATGTCAGCCAATTGCAACACACTTGCAATGTAACACTTGCTAAAAATCAAGACAAATTAAAATCACAACAGCTTTGGCATTTATATCACGTATTTCTGATTCAACTGCTCTCCTCTCTTTTGTAATAGATGTTCTTTCTCATCAGAAAATGTCCTATTAGGTAGGAGTTTAAAACTGTATTTGTACAAATAATTAACACAGAATAACAGGGGAATATGCAAACTAAAAGTAGATTGCACTGGCTTTCTTCCATCATTCTTTTATCAACATTTATTTAAATGCCATAACAGAAGTAGTTCCTTATTCAAAAATTACTCCTGTTGCAAACATTGGGTATAAGTAAGTTTGCATAGTAAACATTTAATCACTTAGAAATGATTTATTACTGGCAACCAAGTTTTCAGATTTACCAACAACTATATGAATCCAAATTTGTTGAATACTTAATTTCTGTCAGGCATTATTCTGGGCACCAGAGATATAACAGTTAATTAACAGACAAAAGCATTTGAACACTTAGAGCTTCCACCCTATTGGAGTAAGACAGATAGTGAACGTATAAATAAAACAAATAATATCTCAGCAAAAAAAAATCAATGTAGAAAATACAACATTTTATATAAAATAAACACAAGAATAAAATATACACTGTTAAATTTGAGGCTACAAATACAAGCCACAGTGGAGACCTAATTAAGTTTACCTTGACCTTTGTCTGTGTTGCTAGGACTTAAATACTAAAAGGTACTCTTGAATCATTAAAGCCTGCTCACGCTTTTTTGAGAACAGTTTTCTTTTTCTTTTTTTCTCCAAATTTTTATGTCTATATGCTTTAGAATATTTTTATGAGCTGCATGGCATTGAGTATGCTTTTTATTAATATGATCAGTGCTGGCTTTTAGCCAGGGAGCTTAGTTTATTTATATTTATCAGTAACTAATACATTTAAATTGTTTTTTATCATTTGTATCTTGTGCTGCACTAACCCTAATTTTTCTATTATTTTTTATTTTTTATCTCTTTAAGAAGTCACTTTTGTAAAATTTCATGTTTCCCACCTAATGATATCAAGAATATATACATTATTTCTCTTTAGTGTAATTCTTAAAAATTTGATAAACATAATTAAAAGTCTATGTATTATTTTTCCTGACACAATTGAAAGAACTTAAAATACTGTATGCCTGATTCTTCACTTTCTGGATTACATTATTGCTGTCTAATGTTCCCATCCTGCCTTGGTTTTTCTCCTATTAACAAAATTCACAATATTATATTTATATTATTAGTGTATGCTTGGATGCACTTATATATTTATCAATGCCTTTGCCTCTTTTTACTAATTGCATCTCAGCTCCCCTCTGGTTTCTTGTTTGTTTCCTCAGAGAACCTTCTTAAAAATTTGTTTATGAACATCTGTTGGTAGTAAAATTTTCACTTTATTTTAGCCAGGAAAAGTCTTTATCTCAACATCTTACAGTATGATGGAGTAGCTACTTACATAATTGTGGCGTAACAGTTATTTTCTCTTAGTATCTTGAAGATAGTATCGCAACGTCTTCTGGCTTCCAGAAAAATTACCCAACAGTCAAATTATCTTCTTTTTCAGATAGTCTGTTTTCTCTAATGGATGGTAGGATAATTTTGCCTATGTCATTAAGCTTAGCTCTAATATGCCTATATGTGGTTTTATTTATTCTGGTTAAGTTTACTGTATATCTTCAATCAGAAGAATCATGCCATTAGTTAATTATGGAAAATTCTTATCAATTATCTCTTTAAATACTCCCTCTACATTTTCTTCTGAATTCTGAATAGACTTATAATTTGTCCTTTATATCTTTTAGCATTTCTTTTACATTTTCTATGTCTTCTTCCCTGGGTGCAGCATTCTTGATAATTTCTTCACATTCATCTTTCAGTTCAATAATTCTCTTTTCACTGTATCTAATCTGCTTTTGAATAATGGGCACAATTTCTTAATTCCAGTGAATATCTCCTTCATGGTAAGAATTTTTATTTATATCTACTTCCTTTCTAAAACCTGACTATTCTCATTTTACAATTATGTTTTTGAATTACCTTTTATGTTTTTAATCATTGCAAAATTATTTTTTATGGTTCTGGATCTCTTTTTTTGTTTGTTTCCGAGGACACTTATAAGGATTTATGTCTTTTTTTAAATGTTTGATTATGAACTTATCTTTGGAGATGGGAGCCACATGGTTTCTATGGGAAACCTATTTGAGTTATAAGTTAGAGAGATGACCTTTTAGAGGATATTTGTGTTTATTACTGTAATACTGCTAGTACTATGTGGCCGTTTCTCAGTATGGAGATGCCCTGATATTTTAGAGAGAGTACATGAAAACACAAACTCTAGTAGTAGTTTCATAGTTTGAGATCTTAGATTTAAGTCTTTAATCCATATGGATTTGAATTTTGTATATGGAGAGAGGTAGGGGTCTAGTTTCATTCTTCTGTATATGGACATACAGTTTTCCCAGCACCGTTTATTGAAAAGACTGTCGATTCCCCAATGTCTGTTCTTGTCATCTTCTTGAAAAAGAGTTCATCATAGATGTATGAATTAGTTTCTGGATTCTGGATTCTGTTCCATTGGCTTATATGTCTGTCTTTTATGCCAGTACCATGGTGCTTTGGTTACTATAGCTTTGTAGTATAATTTGAAGTCAGGTAAAGTGATTCCTCCAGATTTATTATTTTGGTTTAGGAGAGCTTTGGCTCTTCTGTATCTTTTGTGGTTCCAGATAAATTTTAGGGTTTTGTTTTTTCTATTTCTGTGAAGAAAGTCATTGGAATTTGATAAGGATTGCATTGAATCTGTAGATTGCTTTGGGTAGCATGGACATTTTAACAATGTTAATCCTTCTAATCCATGAACGTGGGGTATCTTTCCAATTTTATGAATCTTCAATTTATTTCATCGGTGTTTTATGTGCTTCATTATAGAGATCTTTCACTTCTTTGCTTAAGTTAACTCATAGGTATTTATTTGTGGCTACTGTAAATGAGACTACATTTTTAATTTCTTTTTTAGATTGTTCAGTGTGGACATATAGAAATGTTACTGAGTTTTGAATGGTGATTTTGTATCCTGTAACTTTCCTAATATGTTTATCAGTTTTGATAGTTTTTTTGGTAGAATCTTTAGGTTTTTGCAAATATAATATCATATCATCTTCAAACAAGGATAATTTGACTTCTTCCTTTCCCATTTGGATTCCCTTTTTTTCTTTCTCAACTGATTGCTCTAGCCAAGGCTTCCAGTACTACGCTGAATAACAATGGTGAAAGTGGGCATCATTGTCATGTTCAAGATCTTAGAGAAAAGACTTTCAGTCTTGTCCTATTCAGTAAGATACTAACTGTGGGTCTATTATATATGGCTTTTATTATGTTTTTTGAGGACTTTCATCATGAAAGAATGTTGAATTTTATTCAATGTTTTCTTCAGCACCAATTGAAATGATCATATGGTTTTTGTCCTGTATTCTGTTGATATGATGTATCACATTGATTGGTTTGCATATTTTGAACCATCCTTGCATCACTAGGATAAATCCCAATTAGTGATAATGAATGATCTTTCCAATGTGTTGTTGAATTCGGTTTGGTAGCATCTTGTTCAGGATTTTTGCATTATTATTAATCAAGGGTGTTGGCCTGTTGTTTTCTTTTTATAATATACCTTTGTTTGGTTTTTCCTTTTTCTGGTTTTTGGTAATACTAGCCTCATAGAATGAGTTTAGAATTACTCCTTCCTCCTCTGTTTTTTGGAATAGTTCGAGTAGTATTGGTATTATTTCTTCTTTAAATGTTTTGTAGAATTCAGCAGTAAGGTATTTTCTTTATTGAGATACTTTTTCTTATGTCTTTGATCTAATTATTTGTTATTTGTTAGTTTGGGTTTTGGATTTATTTCTAGTTCAATCTTAGTAAGTTGTATGTATGTAGGGACTTATTCATTTCCTCTAGATTTTCCAGTGTATTGCCATACATTTGCTCAGAGTGGTCATTAATGATCCTTTTAATTTCTGTAGTATTACTTGTAATGTCTCCTTTTTCATCTCTAGTTTTATTTATTTGGGACTTCTCTCTGTTTTTCTTAGCTACTAGCCTGGCTAAAAGTTTGCCAATTTTTTTTATCTTTTCAAAAAACCAACTTTTCATTTATCTGATCTTTCATATGTTTTCTTCATTTCAAATTCATTTATTTGTGCTCTAATCTTTATTGTTTCTTTTATTCTACTAATTTTGGATTTTGTTTGCTCTTCCTTTTCTAATTCTTTAAGGTGCATCAGTGGGCAATTCATTTGATGCTATTCTTCTTTTTTGACACAGGGAGTTATAGCTATAAATTCCCCTCTTAGTACTGCTTTCACATTATCACATTGGTTTTCCTATGTTGTATTCCCATTATCATTTGTTTCATTTGACCTTTTTAAAGTTTCTTTCTTAATTTCTTCACAGACTCATTGGTCAATCAAAAGTATATTCTGTAATTTCTATGTGTTAGTATATTTTCCAAAATTGCTCTACAAGAAAAAATTGGAAAAACTCTTCAGGACATTGGTGTGGGCAAAGATTTATTAAGTAATACTCCACAAGCACAGGCAACCAAACCAAAAAATGAACAAATGGGATCGCATCAAGATAGAAAGCTTCTGCACAGCAAAGGAAACAATCAATAAAGTGAAGAGTTGAGCCATAGAATAGGAGAATATATTGGTAAAATAACTCTCTGACAAGGGATTAATAGCCAGAATATATAAGAAGCTCAAACAACTCTATAGTAAAATATCTAAAAATCTGATTAAAAAATGGTCAAATGACCTTAATAAGACACTTCTCAAAAAAACACATACAAATGGCAAATAAGTATATAAAAATGCTCAAAATTGTTGGTCATCAGAAAAATCCAAATCAAAGTTATAATAAGATATTATCTTACCCCAGTTAAAGTGGCTTTTATCCAAAATATCGGCAATAACAAATGCTGGAGAGGATATGGAGAAAAGGGAACCCCTGTACACTATTGGTGGGAATATAAATTAGTATAATCACTATGGTGAAGAGTTTAAAGGTTCCCCAAAAAGCTAAAAATAGAGCTACCGTAAGATCCAGCAATCTCATTGCCAAGCATATACCCAAAAGAAAGGAAAATAGTAGATGGAAGAGATATATGCACTCCCATGTTTATTGCAGCACTATTCACAATAACCAAGATTTGTAAAAAACCTATGTGTCCACCAACAGATAAGTGGATAAAGAAACTGGTTCATATACATAATGGAGTAATATTGATTCATAAGAAAAACTGAGATCCTGTCATTTGTGACAACATGGATGAAACTGGAGGTCATTCTGTTAAGTAAAATAAACCAGATACAGAAAGACAAACTGCCCATGTTCTCATGATTTGCAGGTGCCAAAAATTAAAACAATTGAACTTATAGAAAGTAGAAGGATGGTTATTAGAGGCTGGGAAGGGTAGGGTGTTGGTTACTGGAGAAGTGGAAATGATTAATGGGTACAAAAGTAGTTAGAACGAATGAATAAGACCTAGTATTTTTTAGTACAACTTTCAATAATAATCTAAGTGTATATTTAAAAATAATTAAAATAATATAATTGGATTGTTGATCACACAATCCAAGGATAAATGCATTAGGAGATGGGTACCCCCTTAACATGATGTGATTACTCTGCATTGCATGTCTGTATCAAAGTATCTCATGTACCCCATAAAGTACCCCATAAATATGTATACCTGCTATGTACCCATCATTTTAATTTAAAAATTTAGAAAAATCTCACAAATCTAGGTAAGAGCAGGGATGTGACTTAGATTTACAAGTGACATATTTTTACTATGGACAGCCAGGCTGAGACAGTCAAATTTCCTCATGTATCTCTTTGCTGTCAGGTAGATATTTCTAATATATATCTTTTTAAATATTCATGGGTCCCATCTTCATACACAGGTGTTGGTTCCAGTGTACCCCTGTGCAGTTACATGGATTCATTTTTGATACCCAATTACTACTAAAACCAAGCACTTTGTCAAGATAATGAAATGTTGCAAGGGCAGCCATAGTATCATTAGCTTATTTCTATATACATTTTTACCCATTTTAAAATCTTTTCTGGGCCGGGTGCCGTGGCTCACGCCTGTAATCCCAGCGCTTTGGGAGGCCGAGGCAGGTGGATCACGAGGTCAGGAGATCGACACCATCCTGGCTAACACGGTGAAACCCGTCTCTACTAAAAACAAACAAACAAAAAATTAGCCGGGCGCGGTGGCTGGTGCCTGTAGTCCCAGCTACTCGGGAGACTGAGGCAGCAGAATGGCGTGACCCAGGAGACGGGGCTTGCGGTGAGCCAAGATCGCGCCACTGCACTCCAGTCTGGGTGACAGAATGAGACTCTGTCTCAAAAAAAAAAATTATAATCTAGCATAAATAGGTATTGGTGATAAAATGCAGTGAAAAATAGTCATGACCTATTTCCTCCTTGATTTTTTGGTATATTGGGAGAAATTAAAATTAATTGAATAATCATACAATTACATGTACGTCGAGCAAGTGACATCTGTTAACTATTATCAGGAGTAGGAGTCTGAGCACTTTTGCCCACTGCATCTTGATACCAGAATCATTGAGGAGAAAAACAGTCAAGTACTGGATGAAACCACCCTTTACTCATAAAGAGGCAGAGTAGCTTCAGCTTTCGTAGCAGGAGTCAGTCCTCTCTGTCCAGCAGGTTCCTCTGATAGCCAACACTTGGTGATTGGCCTGCATGAATACCTCTTGTGCTGCAACAGAAGAATATCATACCCTCGTCGCAGGGGACAGATATAGTAGTGGGGTTGCCCAGGTGCCATATGACACACATGCTTAAGCAGGAGCAAAGGAGTACATATTGAGCCTGAAACATAGAAAGATATGTGTAGTAAATGGGGAAGAAACTTTTTTTGGGGTGTTTAAGTAAAACTCCAACATGTTGTAAAAATTATACTTGGAGAAGCATATAAAATTAAGGGACTATTATACTCACGGGTCCTAGAGACATGAGGCACAGCATTCCATGTAGGACCACATGGGAAAGACACTAGGGCAAACAAGAGGCAGAAGACAGGAGTAAGGGGAAGGTTTAGGCTACTGCCTTTATTGGAATTTCCATGGCAAAGGCAAGGCAGGGCAGGGTGAATAGTTTAAGACTGGTTAGTCTGAATAATTTTGGTAGGCTTTCATCTGTAGGGGTGGTCTCTAGTTACCTGGTACCTGGCTCTGGAAGATTTAGGCAGAGGAATATTGTCTTCTGGGGTATACAGCCCAGATACAGAAGATATGACTCTGGCTTGGTTAGTTTGCATATCAAAGACATACTCCAGGCTGAGCCCTTTTATACCTAAGAATTGGGTAGATCTGGGAAGGGTAATCTCTTTCAGTGAAAAAGGATTTTTAAGGTGTCAAAACATCATAATATACAGAAAATTCAGAAATATTTACCATACATCATGCAAGTTGATAAGGCCAACACAGGCTGAAAGGATTCAATTTCTTGGTAAGAATGTGTACCAGGTCCAAAGCCTATTCTTGTACAGCAGAGAGGGTGTCCAAAGAATGCATGTGTGAGCTGCCTTCCCCAACAATGTATAGCTAGAATTTTGATAAATAATGTGATAATGGGAATTTGCTACAGGAATGGAGATTATAAGCAAGAGTTAATAGGTAACTAACATTTACCTCTGTGCTTCGGCTTTCCTTATCTGTAAAATGGGGCTGATGTTAGTACCCATCATATGGCACTGCTTCAAAGATTAAGTAGGGTAATGTATGGGGAGTACTTAGAATATTGCCATGTACATAGTAAATACTGAATTAGTACTGAGTATTATTGTTGTTATTATATTATATATTATATTATAATTACATGTGTTACATATGCAATTGAATATGTTAAATATGTAATTACATATGTGATATATTACTTATATTAATCTATATTGCAATATTAATATATAATGTATAACATATATTATCAGGAATATTATAATAATATATGTAATATATACAGTATATATTATAATATATATTAGTATTATGCATTTGAATATTACATTTATTATATTATATATAATTCTATATAATAATTATATTATGTATAATTATGTTATGTGTTGTATATTATATTAATATTAGTATAATATAGTCTAATATATTATTTGATAATTATAATTATTATATATTATTATTATATTTAGTGATCTGTTAACTCAAGGAATCTTCTTCCCTGATTAGATTTTGCTATAAAATATAAGTATTTGTTTACTAGGTGAATATTGTCTATTGCTGTGTAACAAACACACACTTTCCACATGAACAACAGAACAACAATTTTTTTAAAGCCCTGGTAATTTGAAATAATAAGAAACTATTTTTCGTGATTATGTGTGTCCAGAAACATGGCTATAAAGTTTGTTATGTTTTCATGTAATATTGATTGGAGAAAATAAACTGCATTTAGCTGGCAGTGCTATTTTGGTTAGATGGTCCAAGAAGCCTTCACTCATGAGTTTCATGAATTAGTGCTCTTCCTTATGATCTCTCTGTTCATGTGGTGTCCCTACTATTCAGTAACCTAGCCAATGCTTCCTTACAGCATGGTGCTATGTACCTCAAAAAGGGTGCAAATACTGCATGCTCTAATATACAAGAAAGTATCAGCCTTAGCTTGCTAATATTCCATTTGTCAAAGCAAGTTACACCCAGAATCAGTGTAGGAAAGGGCTACAAACTGATGTGAGTTTCAGCAGCATGGTTTATGAATGACCACCATGTAAGTATCTACCACAGTGAAAATTGTGAACAAATACTTCATGCATTTAGAAATGCCTGTACAAAGGCTCAGAGGCAGAGTAAAGATCAATGAACATGAAAGAAGGCCGACATGGTAAAAAGAAATTCAGACAGAATGTGGGTTATGGAATGAAACTAGACTAAAATGTAGAACTCAGACTGCAACCCTCCTTGGTCTCATTAAGGAAATTTGCCTTTATGCTAAAATGCAGTGGAAAATCACTAATGTGTTTCGATAGCAAAATATAACATCTTCTGAAGCTGAGCCCTTTGGAGGAGAAAGGCAAGTGTAGGTGCAGATTTACTGCTTTAAAAGCTGTTTGAGTGTTTCAGGTAAGAGTTACTATTGCCTTGGTATAGACAGATATAAATAGATAAATTCAAGATGAATTTTTAAAGTGATATTGACTTTTATCCAAAATATACAGGTAACTCTTAAAACTCAACAGTAAGAAAACAAACAATTAAAAATTGAGCCAGTGATCTTAACAGACACCTGACCAAAGAAGATATATAGAAGGCAAATAAGCATATGAAAATATGTTACACATCATGTGTCATAAGGAAAATGCAAATTCAAACAACAATGAGATGCCACTGCAGACCTATTAGAATGGCTAAAATCTAGAACACATACAGCATCAAATGCTGGTGAGGATGTGGAGCAACAGGAACTCTCATTCACTGCTAGCACGGATGCAAAGGAACAGCCACTTTGGGAGACATTTTGTCTGTTTCTTACAAAACTAAATATACTCTTACCCTATGATCCAACAACCCGTCGCTTTGTTATTTACTCAAAAGAGTTGAAAACTTATGTCCACTCAAAAGCCTGTAAATGAATGTTTATAGCATTTTTATTTATAATTACCACATATTGGAAGTAACCAAGATGTCCTTCAGTGGGTGAATAGAGAAATAATCTGTGGCATATCCAGACAATGAAAAATAATTCAGTGCTAAAAGAAAAGAACTGTGAAGTCATGAAAACACATAAAGGAAACTTAAATGCATATTACTAAATAAAATAAGTCAATCTATAAAGGTTACAGCATGTATGATGCCAACCATATGACATCCTGGAAAAGTAAGAACTATAGAGACAATAAAAAGTAGAGTAGTTACTGGAGATTACCAGACAGGAAATGGTGCATAAGAGGATCACAGAGGATTTTTAGGGCAGTGGAACTAGTTTGTATGATACTGTAATGGTGGATAAATATTATTACATATTTCTTCAGACCTATAAAATATACAACACCAAGAGTGAACCCTAATGTTAACTATGGTCTTTGGGTGATAGGGAGGTGTCAATATAGGTCCATCAACTATAACAAATTTACAACCCTGGAGGGGAATTTTAATAATCATGGAACCTATCCATGTGGGCCAGGGAGATAAATGGGAAATCTCTGTACCTTACTCTTAATTTTGCTGTGAATTTAAAAGTATTAAAAATATAGTCTCTAAATTGAGAAAAAAAGGGACACTGAGAAATGATTGTAAGAATAACAAATATCTCAGCAATTATTCTCAAGATTCTGTCTGGAATAACTGGATGGATAATGCTACTATTCAGTGATATAAGAAATCCTTGGAATAAACCAAGTTTTGATTGTAAAAATCTGAGTTTGATTTCAGATATGTCAAGTCTAAGGTGTCATAAATCATTTGAGATGAGATGTTGAGTAGACATTTTGAAATATGGGCCTAAAATCTTAGAAGATAAATCTGCATAAAGAATAGAATTTTGTGAGTCATTCATGTATGAATATTAATAGTTAATATGGACATAGATAAAATATCTTTGAAAAATAACATAGATAATAGCAAATTTCCAGGCAATGAGAATGAGTCCTGCCTGAAGCATTTCAACATTCAATTGCCAGGTAAGTAAGTCCAAATCAGTCCATGAACGAGGAACCTGAGATACAAGAGGGAAACTAAAAGAATTTTATGTTACAGAGGCAGGGACAGAGACATTTTTCATCACTCCTGGTAAGAAAAACATTTCAGCAAAAGAAGAGGTAAGATTTGGATAGAAAAATAGTGGCAACAAAAGCCAAAATTGACAAATGGGATCTAATTAAACTAAAGAGCTTCTGCACAGCAAAAGAAACTACCATCAGAGTGAACAGGCAACCTACAAAATGGGAGAAAATTTTTGCAACCTACTCATCTGACAAAGGGCTAATATCCAGAATCTACAATGAACTCAAACAAATTTACAAGAAAAAAACAAACAACCCCATCAAAAAGTGGGCAAAGGATATGAACAGACACTTCTCAAAAGAAGACATTTTTGCAGCCAAAAGACACATGAAAAAATGCTCATCATCACTGGCCATCAGAGAAATGCAAATCAAAACCACAATGAGATACCATCTCACACCAGTTAGAATGGCAATCATTAAAAAGTCAGGAAACAACAGGTGCTGGAGAGGATGTGGAGAAATAGGAACACTTTTACACTGTTAGTGGGACTGTAAACTAGTTCAACCATTGTGGAAGTCAGTGTGGCGATTCCTCAGGGATCTAGAACTAGAAATACCATTTGACCCAGCCATCCCATTACTGGGTATATACCCAAAGGACTATAAAGACACATGCACACGTATGTTTATTGTGGCACTATTCACAATAGCAAAGACTTGGAACCAACCCAAATGTCCAACAATGATAGACTGGATTAAGAAAATGTGGCACATATACACCATGGAATACTATGCAGCCATAAAAAATGATGAGTTCATGTCCTTTGTAGGGACATGGATGAAATTGGAAATCATCATTCTCAGTAAACTATCGCAAGGGCAAAAAACCAAACACTGCATGTTCTCACTCATAGATGGGAATTGAACAGTGAGAACACATGGACACAGGAAGGGGAACATCACACTCTGGGGACTGTTGTGGGGTGGGGGGAGTGGGGAGGGATAGCATTAGGAGATATACCTAATGCTAAATGACAAGTTAATGGGTGCAGCACACCAGCATGGCACATGTATACCTATGTAACTAACCTGCACATTGTGCACATGTACCCTAAAACTTAAAGTATAATAATAATAAAAAAAAGAAAAATAGCTATTTATTTTAATGTGATGAAAGCCATTGGCGACTTAAACTGAGCAGTTCTGATAGATGCAAATTGAAGAGAATTGAGGTTGGAGAAGTAGGAGATCACTCTCTAAGCTCCTTAAACTATTTTGAGATATTTAACTTTGGATGAAATAAATAAGGCAATATCTGAAAAATGTGTGGGCTTAATTGAGGGTTTTATTTGATTTTTAATGAGAGATAAATGGGAATATTTAAAAGCTAATCGAGTTAAGAGAGTGCATAATTATGTAAGAGAAATCATGTAAGTTTTCTGAAAAAGTGAGAAGAGCCTGGCACATTGTGAGTGCCAAATAAACTTTACTCATCATCATTGCCATCATCATTGCTGTCGTAACATAGAAGCATCTATGGATGGAAGCTCCCTTTTGCAAGATGAAAGAAAGAGTATGGGTACAGATGTAGACGCTATGCAGATGAAGTATTCCAGTCAGCTGGCCTCTATTTTCTGTGTAAATTTGGATGCAAGCTAGATGTAAATATTTAGGAAATCATGAGAACATTGTTTTCATGCATTGGTTCAGTAGACATTTATTGGGCATCTGCTATATGTCAAGCACTAGCCACTAGGGATATCATGATGTGTAAAACCAGATGTCTAGGAAAGTTTGATAAACACTCATCAAATCAAATTCACTTCTAATTATGATACATGTTTGTGAGGAAAGTACATGCACTGCTCTGAGTGCATAAAATGAAAGACCTAACAAAATGAGAGAGGTTGGTGAAGACTTCCTTATGTATGTAGTGTTTGAATTGAGGTAAAAGTAGGAGGTAGTAAGATGAAAAGCGTTATTAATATCAGTATTTTTATTTCAACAAATACATACTAAGCACCTGTGCCAGATACATTGTTAGGCATTGTGGATCATGTAAAAAATAAAATAAAACAAAAACGGCACTTTCTGTATGGTACAGTGGAGAGACTGCACTGCTATTTCCTTTCTTTGGAATGCTTTTCTGCTGAATATCTGCATGGCTGGTTCCTTCACTTCCTTCAGGTTTTCACACATACATCTTTTTTTTTTTTTTTTTTTTTTTTTGAGATGGAGTTTTGCTTTTGTTGCCCAGGCTGGAGAGCAAAGGTGCGATCTTTTCTCACCACAACCTCCACCTCCTGGGTTCAAGCGATTCTCCTGCCTCGGTCTCCTAAGTAGCTGGCATTAGAGGCATGCACCACCACACCCAGCTAATTTTGTATTTTTAGTAGAGACGGGGTTTCTGCATGTTGGTCAGCTGGTCTCGAACCTGACCTCAGGCGATCCACCTTCCTCAGCCTCCCAAAGTGCTGGGATTACCAGCACCCGACTAGATATCACTTTTTTAGTTAGCCTTTTTTCTACACACTCTGAGGCTTCCTATCCCTCACCCCTCCTTTATTTACCTACATTTATCACTCAACATATTTTACATCTCTGCCTTGTTTATTGCATGTCTCCCTTTTTGGAACAAAAGACTCATGTGGATAGGAATTTTTGTCTGTTTTACTCACAATTATATCCCTGATGTCTGCATTAGTGGTAGACAGAGTTTGATACTCCATAAATATTTATTGAATGAATAAAATAATTATGAATACATGGAATGTTATAAAGGAAATTCTAGCTCTAAATGGTAGAACCAATACAAAAAAATATGTTTACATGTAATCTCCCTTTTAATTGTTACTGCCATGATACTACATTACAATACCTTTAATACTTATAAAAGTGTTTACTAAAAATTTGCCTTAGCCTTCCCTGGGCTTCTTCACACCATTTCATAAGTACTTTAAGTTTAAAGGTAGCAATTTCATTAAAAGAGACAACACATAATGAACATTCACATCCAAAGATTATAAATCAAACCTAAATCATAGAGTCCTATTATAGTTCTATCTGTGCATCTTCATAAAACACCCTGGCATTGAAGAGAAAAATAATAGACTTCCCAAAGTAGCAGCTGTCATGTTGATCCTTAGTGAATTATCGCCTATAATTCCTTGTAAATTACAGCATATTGCCAAAATACTTTGGTTTCATAGCAGAATAGCCTCTGAATTTTTCATGGCAGGATTTCTCTCTTTTGTTCTATGGCTACCATACTCTGCTTTACAAACTTTTGCATTGCACATCTTTTGATTATTCCTACGGGATTTATTTTGTATTTATTTATTTATTTTGAGACATGGTCTCACTCTGTCACCAAGGCTGGAGTGCAGTGGCATGATCACAGCCCACTGCAGCTTCAACCTCCTGGGCTCAAGCAATCCTCCCACCTCACTCTCCTGAGTTGCTAAGACCACAGGCGAATGATGCCACACCTGGCCATTTTTTTGTAATTTTTTTTTTTTTCTGTAGAGACAGGGTCACCATGTTGCCCAGGCTGGTCTTCAACTCCAGGGCTCAAGTGAGGTGCCACCTCGGCTCCCAAAGTGTTGGGATTACAGGCATGGGCCACAGCACCCAGCCAATTTTGTTTTTAAATAAAATACTTAAGTTACAAAATAATTTAAAAACAAGACGGCTTTCAGTATGTAAAGTAAATTAAGGACTCTTTTCATTGTTCCCTAAAACAGATCCGTTACTCTGTAGTTCAGGTCTATTGTCACATTATTTCTAACCACTCAACCTTCCCTGTCTGTGGGTAAAATTATCCAATTACTTTTTTTTCCAACTACTTTTTTACTGAGTCTTTTTTTTCCTTTAAGTTTTATGTCAAACATATATGTTTCAAAGGCATTTTCAAAAGTGTGCTTATTATCTTGCTCCAATTCTTTTATATAACAATAACATTAATATGTCTTTATTTAATTTATACCAGGAAATATCTGTGATGCCTCTAATAGGAATATGGGGGGGAAAAACACTTTTGTTTTTTCCTACGCTCACACAACAGCCACACAATTCTACAGCAGACACTAGCTGGGTGTCCTCTAATTCAATTCCATTCTGACACAATCTACATAGAGATAGCGTTAGATTCCACAGGTTCAGGGCTCAGTCCCACCAGACTCCCCCCACTTCAGATGCCAGTTTAAAGTAGTAGGTTGTCACCTATACTTATTAACAACTGGTAATACCAACCACAAATCGGGGGTTCCTGTGATTTCCTCCTCAGGTTCGATTAATTTGCTAGAGTGGCTCAGAGAACGTAGGGAAACATTTTCCATAGATTTACTTATTTAGTATAAAGAATATCAAAAATTATACAAATGAAAACCCAGGTGAAGGGATGCATAGGACCAAATATGTGATATGCCCTCTCCAGGTGTGCCACCCTCCAGAAATCTCCACATTTAGCAATCCAGAAGCTCCCAAGCCCAATCCTTTTGCGTTTCTATGGAGGCTGTTTTGTAGGCATGGTCAATCAAATCATTGGCCATTGATGAATATCTCAAACTTCAGCCTCTCTTTCTTTCTCAGAGTTTGGGGTGGGGCTAAAATTTCCAACCCTTTAATCAAGTGGTTGGTTTTCCTGACAACCAGCCTTTATCCTGAGGCAATCCAAGAGCTTAGCAAGAGTCACCTCATTAGAACAAAAGGGGCTATCACCCAGGAAATTTCAAGGGATTTAGGAGCTCTGTGTCAGATGTTCCTATTACTCAGGAAATTACAAAGTTCCTAGGAGGTCTGTGTCAGAAACTAGGGGGCGGAGATCAAGAATATATTTCTTATTATATCACAATATCACAGCTTTCTTTTATTAAGCAATGAAAGCCAGGTGATTTTTCAAAATTTCCTTTTGACCTTGGCCTTCAGGATTCCCAGGGCTAAATTTATCTCAAATACAGTAATAGTTCTACATTTGCTGTAACTCAGTAATGTCCTCCTGCAACTGTGTGTGCATCTGTGCATGTGCATATATGGGCATGTGGGTTTGTGTGCATGTTAAGGTATTGTCAGTGATGTTTATCTACAAATTTTGGGAAGTGTAAATAAAAATTAAATTAAAATTAAAGGGTATAATTACTTTTCAGTTTCACATGAAATAACCCATTAATTTGATAATGCATTGTTACCCGTTGTTCATGATGTCAATATATAAATATATCTCTTTAAAAAGTGACATACAAAGTGACACGTTTTCATTTTTAGATTGTTTCAACTCTATCAGAGACAATCCTAAATTTTTCATTTTAGGTTGTTTCAACTCTATGAGAGGGAGTCATAAATTTTTCATTCATAATGTCTTTTGTGTAACTGTATACCAATTCTTTATTTCAAAATAGTTACAGCTTAGTATAACTTCTATTTTATGTCACTCTCTCTCTTATTCTTTTTTTTTTGTTCTCCTCCAGTATTCATATTATTAAAATGCAGTCACCCACTCTCAGACTAGTACTATCATCCTGAATAAATAAGCTTCAGTCATTCTGGCATTTTCATTTATTCAAATTACATACTCAAGTGTAATTGATTCCCTGTTCCCTTCATTTACTTAGAGCTAGAGATTTCTTTAAAATACAGATTTTATGATCTATCTCCACCTCCTTGTTACATTTTTTAATACACTAAGGCCCCAAGATACAATTAAATAATTTGGGCAGAAGCTGAATAGTCCCCATGTGTAAGTCTTATTTGGAGTTCTGTGAAGCATTTTAAGCCAAGAGATTTCCTAAAAGCTTTTTCCTTTGCTTTAATTTCAATGGTATTATTAAGAATGGAAGAGGAAGAATTAATTACTTGTGTTTGCTATTTCCTTTGTATTCAATACTCTGAAGAGAAGAAATGGTACCAATTAACATTCTTTTTAGATGCCTTTAATAGTCATGTGTAAAAAACAGTCAAAATTGTGAATTTTTTCAATAGTACAAAACTTAATATATCAGATGAAGCAGCAATGGGGTGAGATTTTTCTAGAAATAAGTAGTTGTGTTGTATTTGAATATCAATCTACTATGTGACACTGGTTAACTCCTCAATGTCTGTAATTTAATAATCTTGTTTGTGTATGTGTTTGTTTTGTGAGAAATATAATAGTAAAATAAGACCTGGCTTCAGAACTCCCTTTCATTCATCATGCTTCAGTTCCAAAATCTGTGCAATATGCCTGCTTTCTAATGTATTTCTCATTGGTCCCTTCTTTTGGCAACATTACTGGTTTGAGACATCTGCTTCAAGCATTCTTAAAAACCTTACCTTTATTTATCCATCTGCTTTTCTCCCTATGCAGCTATCTATACATTCACTGTAACAGAGTATCTGCAAGGTACCTGCTGTTAATACACTGGGCAAAGTACCACAAAAACTTCTATTTGATATATATCTGAGATAGGTCCACTCAGAGAACAATATCATCTCATCACAGAAGTACAGAAAAACAAAAATAGCTGCCATTTGAACAGTGTCTATGTGCCAGGTTCTGAATTAGGTATTTTATATGTCATCATTTTTAATTCTCAGAAAATCTTGTAAATGCTATTATTTTCATAATTAATACAAATTATAAGTCTGCAAGATAAAAAGAGCTATGGAGACTCGTTGCAAAACCATGTGAATGCACTAAACACTGCTGAACTCTACACCTAAACCAACAAAATTTTTTAAACCTAAGAGATTTTACAATTTAAGTATTTTCCCCAATGTCACAACAAGTAAGTGCAAAATCTTGTATTAAAATTCAGGGTTTTTTTTTTTTGAGTTTGACCTTTTTAAATTTTATTTTTAAATTGACAAACAATAATTGTTCATTCAATGAGTGAACAATTCATTGAATAATTGTTCATTCATGTGATACATAGTGATATTTCAACATATATATATAATATATATAATATATGTTGGGAATGTTCAATATCCTCCTTCCAGCTGCTGGAAACTCCATAATATATTCCTGTTAACTATAGTCATCCTACAGTGTTATAGAACACTAGAATTTATTGTCTAGTTGTAATTTTATATCTTTTAACAAATCCCCCCCCATATCTCTCTTTTCCCCCTACACTTCTCAGCCTCCAATATCCTCTGTTCTACCTTTTACTTCTATGAGATCAACTGTTTTTGAACTTACACATATGAGTGGAAACCTGTGACATTTAACTTTCTGTTCCTGGCTTATTTCATTTAACATAACATCCCATAGCTCCATCCATGTTGGTGCAAATGACAAGATTTCATTCTTTTTTATAGCTGAATGGTATTTCATTGTGTATATATACCACAGTTTCTTTATTTATTCAGCTATTGTTGGACATATAGTTTGATTCCATGTTTTGGCTACTGTGACTGTACTACTACTGCAATAAACTTGGAGACACAGATGTTTCTTTGACATAATGATTTTCTTTCCTTTGGATAGATTCCCAGAATTGAGATTCTGGATCATATGGTAGTTCTATTTGTAGATTTTTGAGGAACCTTCATATTATTCTCCATATTAATTGTACTAGAAATGGTTTTCCTCATTCTCACAAGCATTTGTTTTTGTTTCTCTTTTTGATAACAGTCATACTAACTGGAATGAGATTGCCATTTTGATCTGCACTTGCCTGATGATTAATGTTGTTAAATATGTTTTCATATATTTTTGACCATTTTTGTGTCTTCTATTTAGAAATATCTTTTCAGATAATTTGCTCATTTTTTAAATTGGATTGTTGTTTTTTCCTTTTTCTTTCTCTATCCTTTTCTTTTTTTCTTTTTTTTTTTTTTTTTTTTTTTTTTTGGCCGGTCAGATGGTTCAGTTCCTTGTGTACTCTGGATATAAATTCCCTGTCAGGCGAGTCATTTGCAAATATTTTCTTCCATTCTGCAGGTTGTCTTTTCTCTCTGTTGATTGTTTCCTTTGCTGTGCAGAAGCTTTATAGTTGTTCTTAGAGTTTGATAGAAGCAATAAGACCTAGTATTCCATACATAAGTGAGGTAACTATAGTTTATAACAATCTATTGTGTATTTCAAAATAGCTAGAAAAGAATAATTTAGATGTTTCAAGCATAAAGAAAAGCAAACATTTAAGGTTATTGACATCCCAAGTGCATTAATTTGATTTGTGCAAATTATATGAATGTATTAAATTATCACATGTACTCCCAAAATGTGTACACTTATTATGCATCAATAAAAAATAACTTAAAACTTCAGTTAGGTTTCTCTTTCCACTGTATTTTCCTACTGAGTAACATTATTGCCACAGAAGGGGCACTGGCATTACTTTGGGAGTTTGGATAAGTAATGGATAACATTTTTTGCACATTTTCTCATTAGTCACTACTTTGTATTAAAATTAATTCTGTACCAGCCTCTACAACACCTGGATTTCCCAAAGACAGGGACTTTGTCTTGTTCATCTTGCTGTTTAATACCTGAAGATTTTACTTGGAACACTGCAGTGTTTAACCATCCAATGTGAGTGACTCAGCAGGATCTTGGAGGACCTGATGTTAGAGATAAGCCTTAGAACTCCATGAGGTGGAGAAGACAGGGGAAGAAGACGAAAAAGTCTGGTTGAAAGGAAGTATTTGAAAATGACAA
This sequence comes from Homo sapiens, assembly GCF_000001405.40. Lineage (NCBI taxonomy): Eukaryota > Metazoa > Chordata > Mammalia > Primates > Hominidae > Homo > Homo sapiens. The sequence goes on along the minus strand of NC_000017.11, from coordinate 53,492,619 downwards.
TGTGAACACGAGACAGCCACAGAATATATTAAAAGTAAAAATCTGTCACCTCAAGTGGAGAGTGCATTTAGATGGCGGTATGGTTTGGCTTTGTGTTCCCATCCAAATCTTATGTCTAATTGTCATGTCTAATAGTCATTCTCCAGTGCTATAGAATACTAGAACTTATTGTCTAGTTGCAATTTTATATCCTTTAACAAATCTCTCTTTATCTCTCCTTTCCTCCTGCACTTTCCAGCCTCTAGTAATCTCTGTTAGGGGAGGACCTGGTGGGAGGTGGCTGAATCGTGGGGGCAGATTTCAGCCTTGCTGTTCTCATAGTAGTGACTGAATTATCAGGAGATCTAGTTGTTTAAAAGTGTGTTTCCCCCTTTGCTGCTCTTCCGTGTAAACATTGTGCCTGCTTCCTTCCGCTTTGCCTTCTGACATGATTGTAAGTTTCCTGAGGTCTCCCCAGCCATGCATCCTATACAGCCTGTGGAACTGTGAGCCAATTAAACCTCTTTTCTTTATAAATTACCCAGTCTCAGGTAGTTCTTTATAGCATTGTGACAATGGACTAATACAGAAAATTGGTGTCCCAGAAGTGGCGCATTGCTATAAAGATACCTGAAAATGTGGAAACACCTTTGGAACTGAGCAGAGGCTGGAACAGTTTGGAGGGCTCAGAAGAAGAGAGGAATATGTTGGAAAGTTTAGAACTTCCTAGAAACTTGTTAAATGGTTTTGACCAAAATGCTGATGTTGATATGAACAGTGAAGTCCAGGCTGATGAGATCTCAGATGAAGATGAAGAACTTACTGGGAACTGGAGTAAAGTTCACTCTTGCTATGCTTTAGCAAAGAGACTGGAGTCATTGTGCCACTGCTCTAGGAATCTGTGGAACTTTGAACTTGAGATTAAAAGATTAAGGATATCTGGCAGAAGAAATTTCTAAACAGAAAAGTGTTCAAGATGTGTCCTGGCTGCTTCTAAAAGCCTATACTCATTTGAACAAACAGAAAAATCACCTGAAAGTGAAACATATTTAACAGGGAAGCAGAGCATAATAGTTGGGAAAATTTGCAGCCTGGCCATGCAGTAGAAAAGAAAAACCCATTTTCTGAGGAGGAATTCAACCAGCTGAAAAATTTACATAATTAAAGAGGATTCGAATATTAATAGTCATATCATATCAATGGAATAATGTCATAATCTATTATTGACAAGACAATGAGGAAAATGCCTCCAAGGCATTTCAGATACCTTCATGGAAGACATTCCCATCACAGTCCCAGAGGTCTAAGAAGGAAACATGGTTTCATGGGTCAGACCCAATGCCCCGCTGCTCTGTGCAGCTTCAAGACATCGTGCCCTGCATCCTAGCAGCTCCAGATCCAGCTGTGTCTAAATGGGGCCAAAATATAGCTCAGGCCATGGCTTCAGAGGGTGCAAGCCCCAAGCCCTGGTGGCTTCCATATGATGTTAGACCTGTGGGTGTGCAGAAGGCAAGAGTTGAGATTTGGGAGCCTCCATCTCAATTTCAGAGGATGTATAGAAACACATGGATGATCAGGCAGAAGCCTGCTGCAGGAATGGAACCCTCATGAGGAACTTCTACTAGGAAAGTGCACAAGGGAAATGTGGGGTTGGAGCCCCCACATAGAGTCCCCAGTGGGGCACTGCCTGGTGGAGCTGTGAGAAGAGGGCTACTCTCCTCCAACCCCAGAATGGTAGATGCATGTACAGCTTGCACTGTGAACCTGGAAAAGCTGCAGGCAGTCAATGCCAACTCATGAAAGCAGCCACAGGGTCTTTACCCTGCAGAACTGCAAGGGTGGAGCTTCCCAGGACCTTAGGAGCCCACTCCTTGCTTCAGCATGCCCTGGATGTGAGTCATGGTGTCAAAGGAGATTATTTCAGAGCTTTGAGATTTAATGACTGCTCTGCTGGGTTTTGGACTTGCATGGGGCCTGGGGCCCCTTTGTTTTGGCTGATTTATCTCTCTTGGAACAGATCTATTCACCCAGTGCCTGTATCCCCAGTGTATCTTTGGAGTAACTAACTTGTTTGTGCCTGTACAAGCTCATAGGTGAAAGGGACTTGCCTTGTCTCAGATGAGACTTTGGACTTGAACTTTGAGTTAATGCCAGAATGAGTTAAGACATTGGGGAACTGCTGGGAAGGCATGATTGTGTTTTGAAATGTGAGAAGGACATGAGATTTGGAACGTGCCAGGGGTAGAATAACATGGTTTGTCTCTGTGTTCCCATCCAAATCTCATGTCAAATTGTAATTCCCAGTGTTGGAGGAGGGACTTGGTGGGAGGCAATTGGATCATGGGGATGCACTTCCACCTTACTTGTCTCTTGATAGTGTGTTCTCATGAGATCTGGTTGTTTAAAAGTATGTAGCACTTCCCCCTTTGCTCTCTGTCTTCTGCTTCACCATGTAAAGATTGTGCCTGCATCCCCTTTGACCTCTGCCGTGATTATAAGTTTCCTGAGGTCTCCACAACCATGCTTCCTACACATCCTGTGGAACTGTGAGCCAATTAAACCTCTTTTCTTTATAAACTACACAGTCTCAGGTAGTTCTTTATAGCAGTGTGACAATGAACTAACACAGATAGGTACTGTAGATATACTGGGAGACACAGATATAAGTCAGAACACAGTAGACCTTAAATGCTATAAGTTTCAACAGACTCAGACTCACTGAATTGTATGTGCTACACCCGATTACCCACTTCCTGGTTCAAAAAAATACCTAAAGTAGTTTCATTAAGCAGACCTTAAATAGAACAACTCAGAATAAATTAATATTAACAGATAAACAGTCTAAATGTTACTCTACTATAACCATGGAATTCACTCTGAGAATTTTCCAGATAATATTATGAAAGAGTTAATGATTGTAATGATAATGAAAGATGCTTAGAGAGAGTAAATTGCTTATAATATTTAGCAAGTAAGAGACACTGTTAGAATGTGAGCTGTGGACTGCATTATACCATAAAAAATGACACCTTTTAATTACTGAAAATATTTTTTAAACTATGTTTTTCTAAATCTTCAGAATAATAACTAAAATTTATTTATGCAGATTCTTTGAGAACCTCATGTGTCTTCTGAGTAATCAAATAAATACTAAATTATTTGATATTACTTAAAAATAGATTCTATACTATTTCAGTTCTCTAAAAAACTGGTATTCCACACATGATATCTATGCCATATATATTAATTAGAATGCTTAATCATTCCGAGAACTTCATTCTTCAAAGTTGCTGAGTGCTAAAAATTTCACTGTGCTCCTCCCACATCAACATCTGAGATATTAAATTTGGGGAGTAGATTCAAAGTCATCTGCCAGCTCTGAGCAGTATCATCTTGAACACCTTTTCCTTTCTGCAAAAAAACTTGTTTTCTAAGTTCAGATTGGCATGTGAATCCATCTATATCATCTATGGCATGGTCATGACCATTATATAATTATGTATGGATTGCAGAGATGATTATACTTCTACTTTTTTATGTAAATGCCTTTGGTTGGAATGCAAAGTTTAAAATATTTTTAAAAATCATAATCTATTATTGACACGAAACTTTATTAACCATTGTCAACATGCATTTCTCTGTGTTCATATTTCAAAGAGGCTGATTAGAGCTATTGTCATTTCATTACTTCGAGGCTTAGAAACTGTGGTTCCGTATTTCCTTTACCTGTATATATCTAATATTTAATCTTTTATCAGTTATTTTCTCCTATAACTATAGATATCAAAGCATTTAAAAAATGGTCAGAGTTATGACCAGGCTTTTATCAATGAGAGAAATTAAATGTATATTGGATTGAATATAAGGGATTATAAGGAATTTTAAAAATTCAAATAGAATTTTAATAAAATAGTAAAGGAGGTATAATCAACTCGTGAGATCTAGGAAGCCAAAGGAATCTTATGTGAAAAAAATTATAAAGTAGTTGATCAAGGTATTTTTACCTATAGTGTAGCAAGTAGTTACTGCTCAATAGCCACATATCCTTCTCCTTCTATAGTGCAGCAAGTAGTTACTTCTCAATTAATAGCCACATACCCTTCTCCTTCTATGTAACTCAGCTGTCTTTCAGTTACACGGGGCCAAGGAACTAGTCCAGATCAAGGCACCATAAGCAAAAGTGACATATGTCATTTATAGGCTGAGTCACAGAAAAACAATATCAATTCACTACACCCTGTGTTCTGTTGAAAATCCCAAAGAAACTGAATGTTTCTAATGGTACAACAGCTGGGTCACGGAAGAGCTTTCTTTATCCTGGAAAACCAAGTGACTTTGAGCAGTAAAGCCCTGTGACACACAGAGCAGGACGGAGCAAGACACGTAATAAAATATTCATGCATTTAGCCACTGAATTTTCAGAGTCGTTATCTCAGCATAGCCTAAGTTAACCTCATCAGAAGACAAATTTGTACTAGAATTGGAGTGATGATGTAACACAACATAAAATATACAGTGTTGGCCTAGGAAAACTAATATAGAAGGCTGAAAAAAATGCTGATTTATGTTATGCAGTGTAAAACATTTGATAAAACACTTGCTTATGGTAGTCTAGAAGGCAGAGGTTCTTCCTCTTTTAATAGAATTAGAATTTGAAAAAACACACTTTCATGTTGCCTGAAGGAGATGAGCCAGGAGAGGATTGGCCAGGATGCATGAAGAAATACAAGATCATAGTATAGAAATTATGGCTGCTGAAATTTTGCAAAAACAAAGTATTTTAAGGCCTTAAGTTGTTAAAAAAAAAAAAGAAAGAAAGAAAGAAAAGAAAGAGAGAGAAAGAAAAAGGGCTAGAAAGGCTTTGAGTGCCTTAGGGAAAAGATGAGATTCAGAGTGTAGCCTCCTCACTAAATCCAATAATCTCAAACTGACTGGAACTGAATTGAGAGCAGCTGGAGGGTGAGAAAGCAAATCTATACAGCAAATCTATGAATTGTATTCTGAAAAGAGAATGGGTTATGATTATTAGTAAGCAAAACTAACTGAATAAGGTGAATGAGAAGCTTACTAAGTTTTGGAATAGTTAATTAATACTGAGAAAAAAAGTTATTCTCAGGAAGAAGAGGTGATGATGAGCAGATTTGAAAGGTTTATATCACTGAAACGGTACTAGCTAAATATTGTCATTAGGACCTGTCCTCCTAATTGCTATATTCAATGGCAGTGAAGTAGATACTTTAAATGGATAATATCAGGTTATTGTTATTATGCTGATATTATTTTTCTTATTAAAGCTCAAGTACCATATAGAATGAGGGATTCACCTAATTAGTCAAGAGTGCATGTCATCAATTTGTTACTCGTCACTTAAAACTTAAACTTTTTTTGGTAGACTAATAGTATGGCAGAACAGCAAATGAAGGAAAGTATGTTTATTACTCTTGTTCTTTAAGTATATAGCCACTTAGCTGCCCTCACAATTGAAGCCATTAAACATTAAGTTCAATCATTCTGAACTCATCTTTGAAAACCAACAGAGAGGTGGGGTGAGACTGAAGCAACAATTCAAATAAAATTCCTAATGGAATAACAAACAGTAAGCAAGTTCTCAGACTTATGCTAAGCATGATTTGCAAACTCATTTTCATTTTCTCTTTATATACTTATACAAAGTGGGTCAAAGAGTGCAAAGGTTCATGCATAAACTAATGCTTAGTGGGCTTTACTGAGTTTATCTTGTTAGAACTGATATTATCGTAATAGGACAAAAAAAATCCCCTCACGGTTTAAAAGGTAAGAGAAAGGAGACAGCTTTTTAAATTAATCACTGCATTATTTCATGGAGATATAATTTTTTCTCTCTGTCTCCTTCAAGTAAAGGGGGCTGTTCTTTGGTAGCATGCTCCGTATCTTAGCACTACCAGGGACACAGATATTATGATTTCATATAATTATATTTTTATAGAAATCAAAATAGGACATCCTCAACAAATGTTCTCACCTCAAACTGTTCTTTGCACCCTTAGAAACTACTGCCAGACTTTCAAAGCTGGCATGTGCCTGAAGCATCTAATTAGATAGTAAGACTATCAGCCACTCCATAAAGCTATACTAGAAACAAAACCCCAAAACTTGAGATTCCTTCCCTGACTGTGTGATCACTATAGTTTTCTCTCCTTGAAACAAATGAAGTTAGGTCTAACACCATTGGAGTAAAGATGCTAGAGTTTCTCTGAAACTATTTTGGGAGGAAAGATATATGGGTGAGAAAATGAAAAGACAATCTGTGAGTGGTAGCAAAATGATTCAGAGTACTTACCTCTGAATATCAATAGAATTGCAGTATGTTGAAGGAGGACATATCAGTTACCCTGACAGGGACAGGGAAGACTATCTCTTTGCCCAGCTTTTGAGTTTCTAATTCTGTTTGACAGCCATTATAATTATAGTAACAATAATAATATTTCATATATGTTGAATTTGTTCCTTATGCTGGTAACACAAGAATCATTATCTCCATTTTGAAGATAAGAAAACCGAGGCTCAGAGAAATTAAGTAATTTATCTAAGGTCCGTTAGTCATCAGTGGCAGTACTGAGATTTAATCCAAGTTCTATTTGGATCACAGTATCTTGCCCATTAAAATTTGGAGGCTCGTCCTCTTACATCTGTGTTAACTTCTAAATTGTCTGTATTTAATAGTTTTGTGCATCTATATATGTGCATTTTCGGCCTTTTGGGAAGAGGGTTCATCTTTTACATCCAATTTTTTAAGAGTGATATCAGTTCAAAACCATATCTGCTCAAATATTGGAAAAGGAGAATAATTTTCATCAGTCTTTATTGATTCTATTATCTGTTTTCTCCTTCTGTGAGGTCTCTCAACTATGTCTGCATGTGACTGTCCATTTGCAATGAACCACTGCAAAATCTCCTGTATTGAACAGGTATTTTACATGTTCATTCCCTATCAATTAGCAATGTTTGCTCACAAACACTGTGCCAGTTTCGTCTTGTTCTACTTTCCTTCTCTCTATATATTGTTCTTCTATACAGTGAGGAGAACACATCATTACATAATCCAATTTTGAAGTCTCTACTATGAGCAACTAAAGAAACTCTATTTGCAATAACAATTTTGCCTTTTACTTTTAAGTTTAATTTGAAACGTTCATGTGATTCAAAAATCAAAATATTAGAAAATCTAGACATCAAGAAGTCTTGCCCCAAGTCTTGTTCCTTTTCACTGTGTCTGACACTGCCCCTTGCTTTATACAGATAAGAATTGTATTAGTTATATATGCATATTTTCAATTTTTCTTTGTGCAAATATGAGAGAAAACCAAAATATATTCATTTATTTTTTCATTACTTGCCCAACAACAGAAAACTACCCTATTATTTTAAACAACTCTCAATATTGTCACTCCTATCTGCATTTTATTTACATTTCTGTTATTCATGATCCCTCCTAAATTTCTAAGTCAGATTGTATTCGATGTTGTTCTGTCTTTGACAGAGCTTAAAGATTACTTAAGACATGCAGATTTTCAGAACAAACACCAACTTTTATATTTATTTTTTGTTTGTTGGTTATGCTTTCTTTTGTCTCATTTCTAAGTCTTTGGACAGATTAAAAGCTGCATCTAAGTAAATATGTTACTAGTGCCTTCATAAATTGATTTATGGAACAGGAGATTCAAATTTTAAAAATATATAGCTATAATACTTTATTGGAAATAGTGAGAGCAAGGATCTTAACATATACCATCCCCTTTACATGTGAAATGACATATTAAACTTCAGAAATTCTCAATTCTTTATGTAAGTTAATTTACATTTGGAATCTGTTAAAAAAAATCACATGTGCAGTATTTTCCCCAAGTTACCTAGAAATCTGGTTAACATTGTTAAGAATTAGTGCTTCTCTTAGCACAGTTTGGCTAGGAGTATGTAGTCTCAGGATAATCAGCAGTAAAATAATTATTTTGAATCCACCAATTATATTCAATATTGCAAGCTTTGTAGAGTAAGTGCTGGTGTCACTGCCTGTTGACTTCAGTTGTTGGTGGGATATGTAGGTAGAAACAATTCCAGAAGAATTTCACTTTGTCAATATATTTCTTGGAAAAATCTATATTCTCAGTATATCCAATGTATCACATTAATAAGAGATGATTACAAACAGATTAAAGCTATTAATAATAGAATGCAATTTAGCTTAGAATCTGGATAATATCCATGCCTACCCAAGACATAGTCACAGGAAAATGAAAACTGACATGACATTAAAAAAAAAATCTATCAGTTGGCAGCTATTTGTCAAGAATCTCAGGTATAAACTCTGCAGCTAAAGGTCAGAAGAGTTTTTGGTTTTTTACTTGCTATTAAAACTCAGTGGTGATATACTGAGGACGTTCACACTACTCTGATTAAAGAAGCAAGCTTGGAAGGTAGAAATGTCAGAATTAGAAACAAGGTTCATGAATACTAAAGGATTTTTGTATTTGTATAGTATGCCAGGGGATTAATTTTTATATCTAAAAACCCTTTCCTCTAGAAATTAATCTTTAAAAATATAGCAAATCCCTGTTGAGTCTTAGAAAATATGACATTTCCAAGTATAGATTTCAAATGAGTCATTCATGTTAAAAAAATGTCTCTGTAGTCAAAGAAGAGATACCAGATAAGTAAAATAAGGTCTCTGCAAAATCTCAGTTAAGACAAATTTCGCTCTAATGAGTAAAGTGTCATTTTTTGCCCCTCTCTAGAAATGTAACTACTTTTAATCTCTCCTTGGCTCCACTGTGATATTTAAAGATGACTTTCCCTTCTTTGAGAATGACTTCAAGTGATGTGTTTATGTCTTTTGCTGTCTGGAATGTGCCTTTTCCATCTTATGCCAGATGGTGAGACTCTATCTGTTTCAAGTTTCTCTTCATTGCTACCTCCCCCGTAAAGACTTTCTTAATATCCTTGAATTGGATATGATTTCTAATTCTTCTGAAGTACCAGAGAACTGTGTTTGCACATTTGTTGGAACTCTTGAAATACTCAAATGTACACCTCTTTTTCTATCTTAGACTCTACTTCAATGCAAGTGCAATCTTGTACATTTGGCAAAATAATTTATAACTATTAAGAGCCCACAGAAAGGCTAGTAAATGAGTTGACTTGAATATAATTCAACATCTGTCAACACGGGTGTAGTAAAAAGAGGAAGAGTGTTTTATATTTGTGACATTTATGCATATGACTATGATCTTTATTAAGCTTTAATCTTTTTTTACAAAGACTCAATTTTGATATTTAATAAATATACATACATTTAATATCCATGAAATAAGAGGACAGATGAGTATTTTAATACATTTTGAGATAAGTAAAAATTTCTAAAATAATATAAAAGTAATTGATCAGTGTACAATCTACAGTTTCCAATATGTCCCTAATGCTTTATAAATATCTACTTGATCACTTTCTGTGGTTGAAATTTATTTTGGGTAAAAAATATAAGGTAATTGGCAAATTATTGTTGAACACACATCATGTGCCCAGTATATTCTGACTGAAGTAAATGACAGAATAGGAGCCCACAGCATTGAGAGCCACTTATTACTGATCACATGCAGATTCACATCTACAAGAAAAGGTATCCAAGTCCAAAATCCATGATTCCAAAAAATAACAAAATAACATTTACCAAAGGTCTGTCTTACAGATTTGTGCTGGGTGACTTTTTATGAAATATGAAAGAATTAAAATACATATTCTTACCTGCTAGGCCATTTTTCATTTCCTTTGCCTAGAGCTACTTTGAAATATGAAAGTTGTGCATACTTTTATGTTTTCTTCTAAAGCATAGTTCTATTCCAATTATAACAGCTATTAGTATGCAAAGTCATGGAGTCATAAAACAGAAGAAAATGCTTCTAATAAACTTTCATTACTGTCTCTCACAGATTGAAACTAGGAAGTTTCGTGGCTATGGGTGAATTGCTTTTACCTCATATTTATGTAGAAACATTTTTGAAAATGTTAGTGATCTAATAATAAGACACCTGAGAGAGTAAAACAAGACCATGTTGATTAGATTAGAGGCAAAGCTAAAAAAGTAATAGCCTCATTATTTTTGTGCTAAGCATCACCAGAATAAGTGACCCTTGCATCCAGCAGCTGAATAAATTTTTTTGTTGCCATTGCAAAGTAAGACATGTTGCATTTGTTTTCTACAGTTTCAGAAGTGGGCCTATTTTTCATGCCTGTTATTTTGACATAAGCCTCAATTTTAATAGTATTTCAAGAAAAATACGTTTTGGGAGGATTATTTTTATTATTGATAGGATTCTGACAATGATTGATGATTGATACTTCTAACCCATTCATAAATGCTTCAGTGCTTTGATTGCCTTTGGAAGTAAAACTAAGACCCAAGGTGAAATATTTTATTCCTTTGAAGCATGGCTTGGGCCTATAAGAACAAAACTCAAATCAATGGCAACATAGATTCAGTGTTACAATAACTGAACAAGTGGTTATCATATTTTACCTCTTATATACAAATCTGACTCCACAAAATGCATATTATAATTTTTATAATTATTATGCTTTATATGACTGTATAGTTCATTGTAATCCATGCTTCTTAGTTCTTCGTGTGGTATTTTGAGGAACAAGCTAGATGTAAAATTGATATCAGATTCTCAAAATAAAAATTATTGTTCTACTTCAACGTAATAATCTTGGTTGCTCACTTGATTTCGTCTTACCTCCCACAGAGTAGTCAGAATTGAGCATCACCATTCCTTTAAGTCAACAACATATAACAGACATAATTTTGATTTCAATTTTTATAGATAACAGAAAGAGAAGAATTTTGTTTGGAAAACGAAATAAGTGGTGTTAATATTTTCTAAGAAGAGGAGAGATTTGACTATGGGATAGCAAATACAAAGCAGTTTTGGTTTGGACATGCAGGGTGGAGGTCCACTTTAGAAATGTACAATTTAAGAATCGTCAGTGAATATATGGTGTTTAAAGCCATGTGGATAGATGAGATAATTGGAAGAATAAATGTGGATAGATAAAAGATCAAATCTGAAGGCAGAATTTTGTGGGAATGAAACATAAAGAGGTCAATAAAGAAGGAGGATCTTGGCCGGGCACGGTGCCTCACATCTGTAATCCTAGCACTTTGGGAGGCAGAGGCAGGCAGATCACAAGGTGAGGAGATTGAGACCATCCTGGCTAACACGGTGAAACCCCGTTTCTACTAAAATACAAAAATTTAGCCAGGCATGGTGGCATTCACCTGTAGCCCCAACTATTCAGAAGGCCGAGGCAGGAGAATTGCTAGAACCCAGGAGGCGGAGGTGGCAGTGAGCCAAGATTGCACCACTGCACTCCAGCCTGGGCGACAGAGCAAGACTCCATCTCAAAAAAAAAAAAAAAAAAAAAAAAAAAGGAGGATCTTTTGCATATATACCCAGTAGTGGGATTGCTGGATCTCACAGGAAAAGAAAACAGTATATTGAGAACATATCTGCACTCCCATGCTTACTGCAGTATATTCACAATAGCCAAGACGTAAAATCAACCCAAGTGTCCAACAATGGGTAAATGGATGTATTAGTCCGTTCTCATGCTGCCATGAAGAAATAGCTGAGACTGGGTAATTTATAAAGAAAAGAGGTTAATTGACCACAGCATGGCTGGAGAGGCCTCAGGAAACTTACAATCATGGTGGAAGGCACCTCTTCACAGGGCACCAGGGGAGAGAATGAGTGCCAGCAGGGGAAATGCCAGATGCTTAGAAAACCATCAGATCTCTTGAGAACTCACTCACTATCATGAGAACAGCATGGGGGAAACCACCCCTATGACTCAATTACCTACAACTGCATCCCTCCCACGACTCATGGGAATTATGGGAACTACAATTCAAGATGAGATTTGAGTGGGAACACAACAAAACCACAACAATGTACAAAGAAAATGTGGTATGTATGCATGATGGAATATTATTCAGTCATAAAAAAGAAACTTTGGAATTTGTCACAACATATATGAATTTGGAGAACATTATTTTAAGTGAAATGAGCCAGACGCAGAAAGACACTTTTGTATACTTCATGACTAGATACTTCATGACCTCAATCACATGTGGAATCTAAAAAAGCAAAAAAGTTCATATCATAAAACTGTGATTATCAGAGACTAAGAGGAGGAAAAGGTGAGAATGAGGAGAAGTTGGTCAATGGGTGCAAATTTACCATTAGATAGGAGAAATAAGCTCGGGTGATTTTACTTAGATAATATGGAGGGATTGTTTGGCAGTGCTGAGACTTGATGAGATTTGTAGTCATGAATTTAAAGTGATACTGTCAGAATGGCTGTGTGTACTGCTCTGGTTGCATTTGGATGTATGAGTAGAGGTATAGTGTGAGCACAAGGAATTGTGTGCAATCAGGGTAAAAGCCATGCACGGCAAGGAGGGTAGATGTCAAGGGATTTGAAAGAATATGCAAGTTAGTGATGATAATGTTGGAATATAGAACCTTCTCTGGATAAAAATGATGCCAGAATTACAATGGAGCTAACACAGTAGATAAGTGAGTTGAAAGTCCTAGTGAAGTTAGAGAATTATGGAAATAGAGATAGTAGAGCAAATGAACTGGAAATATAGAAAAAATAGATGGAGAACAAGATATTTAAAATTGGCATAGTTAACATGTCAGGAATTATGGCGTAATCAGTGGTGAAAATTCTGGTCGTGATGGTGAGATATAAAGAGGGTTGGAACTGAAGAGGTTAAAGGATTAAGAGGTCAAAGTGCTAAACAGGAGTAGTATAGACACAAAGACAGCAAGCCATATACTAAAACCTTCAATGGGGTTTATTATATATTACATGCATGTTAACACAGAGGTTAATATACGTGTTCCTTAATGAAGGATGGCTGATAATGTCAGTGAGGAATACCTGATGTTAGGTGTTTCTAAGAGGGATGGAGAGAGTAGAAAAATAAACAATGGCCTGGAAACATAAGCTAGCATCAGGAAATACATTGAGTCTGGGCCCTGAGATAAAATAGAAATACGAGAAAACCAAATCATCTCTTGAAAGGCTTCCAACTAATGCAAGTGTGCTAAAGGGAAGATACAAGGACTTTCACCAATGACAAACCAGGGGTCCCAGAGGTACGGAGAAAAGCTTTTGCTTAGGTTAGGAATGGGCAATGAGTCCGAACAGTGTCTCTGCAAAGCCACATAGGAATGAGGATCTAGATGAAGGTGTTTGACCTCCTGTAGTGACTGAGATAAATAGGAACGTAAGGCCCAATGTGATTAGTGTTGCTGGACTCTTTGTCAAAAGTAGGTTGTCACTTTCTTGGGATTGGTCTGTAGCCAATTTGTTGACACCAGATGAAAATTACGGGGTAAAGGGGACAAGAAAGATAGGTTGGAGAGCTTACCAGGAACACTAGTAGCTCTGAGGAACTCTTTAAAAGCTGATCTGTTAAATGTTGGGGCTTGTGAAAAAAGCATTACTATATACATGGAGCCCAAGCAACCTCCTTCAATCTTTCTGGGAGCATGTTTGTGGAAGAAAATTTGAAGGACAATCTTATCAGGATCACTTAGAGTCTGTGTTGTAGATGTTGTTAAGGCTTAAGGTTAGGGGAAATCTGAGAAGGAGAGAACATATATTTCTCTATAGAGTCTGAGTCCTTGACTTTCACTGATAACAATGGAAATACTTTACCTTGTTGGAAAATGTACGTGATCATCCCTTTTGCCCTTGAAGATATTTTTCTTCTTTTCCCACCCTGCTCTGTGCCCTGAGTGGCTGATCCACATGAATTGCATCCTTTGTCTTCTAGATGCTGTCTGGGCTTGGCCAACAGAAGATTGGAGACAAAGAGGAGAACAAGCCCACAGTTTTATTTTCCCTGTTACTCTCCCATGGAATTCTGCATGAGTGATTGTGTCTCATAACTGAAGAACACATAATCTATTATTTGGCCTTCTACACACAGCTTTTTTACTCTCCATTATCTGCTAACTGGCCCTTGCCTTTGTTCCTTCAAGCCACCAGGTGTTTATGATGTTCCACTATTTCTGGTCCTGGAATACTGTATTATACATTGTGGATTCCCTACACTCTGCATACAGCTTTGCAAATAGTTTTCTTAAGTTACTTAATTTGAGTATACTGTTTCCTATTAGAAGAATGGTAAATGCAGTACCATAATCTATTTTCTGTTTCTATAACACAATATTACATATTGGGTAATTTACAATAAACAGACCTTTATTGGCTTGTGATTCTACAGGCTGGGAAGTCCAGAATTGAGGGACTGGAATCTGGTGAAGACATTAGAGCCCCATCGTCTCATAGCAGAAGGTAGAAAGGCAAAAGAGGGTGTGAGAGAGAGAGAGAGAGAGAGCATGAGTGCACACAGGAGAAGGCCAAATTTGTCCTTTTATAAGAAATTCACTCTCATGATAATGGCACCAAGACACTTATAAAGGTGATGTTCCATGACTCAAAAACCTCCCATTAAATCACAATTCCCAATACCACTGAATAGAGGATCAAGTTTTCAATACATGAACTTTGGGGGCCACATTAAAACCATAGCATACAGTAAGTGGTATTAGGGGCAACACCAAGAAAAACCTTAAGTGAGATTCTGGGATTGCATGTTTCATATATTTGAGAAATGATAGATAACCTTTTTGCTATGGAGAAATGGGGATGAATAATCCACAGTATGTGGTAGCATGCATATTTGCATGTGACATTCAATGAAGTCAGGTGGAAGCAAAAGTGTTTGGAGATCAAGGGCTGTGGTGATCTGTTACTACTGCCACATAGTGGCTATAGATTGTGTCCTCAGCTGTCTATTATGAAGGCTATGCAGCACAACCACCCTTTGACATATTGATGGTTTTTGATTAGATAGTCAATAAAGCTTGTTGAAATAATTACTAATATACAGTTGGAATTACACAGAAATCATTTTCTTTTTATTGATTCAACTATATGTTCATTGCTTTAGGTAGGGTAAAGGTTTTGGTGTTTAAGCTTCTAACGTTACCTGTGCTCTGGAACCTCAATTAACCTCATTCAATTCCGATATAAGATGTTAAACTAAGGCAATTCATCACTATGTAAACAAAATTTACCAGCATATATACCAATGATAAATTAAGAAAATGTCACACTTAATGTGCTCTAGGCAACATTGAGCGGCCCATTAAATTATCAGCTTTGGTAGATTGTAGCACAGCAAACTTTGTTGAAGAGGAACTATCTATCATGTCATATGTAATTTCTTCTATTTCTCTTCCCACTTTCTCCCTGGTTCCAGAAAACTAAAAGGTTGTATGGTACAGTTTGGATACTGACTCATCCATATATCTCTCCAGGACAAGTTAATTTACTACAACTAAGTCATGTTTTTCACATCTGCGTAACTTCATTATTATAGTACCTTCTAGTGTTTTGGTAATAATAAAAATAGGACAATGAATATGGCCAGCAAAGTGTCCAAACAATATACAATGTGGAGTGAAATTTCTACTCATAACCCCTGCCCCAAATTTTACCTTGGGAAAATCACCCAAGCTTTATCAAGGTCATTTATGACTTATGAATAGAAGAAATGAGAACACATAGATTGATAATGCTGTAATAAGTGGGAGAAAATAGAAAGAAAGAACCTGGCATTCTGGAAATTATACAGTCTTTTAAAAATACATGTTTAACAGTGAGAATCATTTGTTTCACTAGAATGTTTATCTGAAATTACAAATATGCCATTTAGGCATTGTTATGGGTTGAAATTGTCTTCAGAAAAAATGGTATGCTGAATTTTAACTCCCAGTACCTCGGAATATGATGTTATTTGAAAACAGGGTCATCGCAGATATACTTAGTTAAGATAAGGTCACACTGGAGTAAGAGTGGTCGCTAATCCACTATGGCTAACATCCCTTGGAGATGATTATGTGAAGACAGACACAGGGAGAATGCCGTGTGATAATGAAAATGAAGATTAGAGTAATGCAGCTGCAAGCCAAATAATACCAAAGGTTGCTGGCAACTACCGGTAGCTAGGAAGAAGCAAAGAAGGATTCTCCCTACAGATTTCAGAGGGAGCATGACCCTGACAACACCTTAATTTTGGACTTTTAGAACTCAGGAACTGTGAAAGAATAAATGTTGTTTTAAACCACTCCATTTGTGATGCTTTGTTATGGTATCCCTAGGAAACTAATACGGACTTAAAGGTTAGATACAGATACCGTAGTAGAAATCAGTGGGAAGTATCTTTTAGCACTCTACCTGGCTGTACAGAATCACTCACATAGGCATGGTCTCCAACCATTTAAGGAGGCGACAATATCCCACATGGAACAGAGATTATAGCATTTCTCTTATATAAAGCATGTGGAATTTGGTTAGTCTTGGGTATTTTTCTTTCATTTTTTACTGTTTTTCCCTATCATTTAACTAATTAGATAATGGTTTCAGACATCTTTCTTATTTCTTATCACGACTATTAATCAGTCCAAATGATGATTTAGGCAA
Source organism: Homo sapiens (assembly GCF_000001405.40). Lineage (NCBI taxonomy): Eukaryota > Metazoa > Chordata > Mammalia > Primates > Hominidae > Homo > Homo sapiens. The sequence continues at coordinate 53,476,041 of NC_000017.11, read as the reverse complement.
ATTTAAAATATTTGATTACAGCTTCCTCAAAGATAATGGCTCAACTCATCTTGCATTCCAAATTTAGAACTTTCAAAAGAAATAAAAATTAATGGCTCTGGTGATCACCAAAAAAAGCAATAAATACATCTATTTATTTATTTATTTATTTATTTAGATAGAGTCTTGCTCTGTTGCCCAGACTGGAGTGCAGTGGCGCGATCTCAGCTCACTGCAACCTCTACCTCCCGGGTTCAAACAATTCTCTGCCTCTGCCTCCTGAGTAGCTGGGATTACAGGCACCCACTACCACGCCCTGCTACTTTTTTTATATTTTTAGTAGAGATGGGGTTTCACCATCTTGGCCAGGCTGGTCTTGATCTCCTGACCTTGTGATCCACCCACCTCGGCCTCCCAAAGTGCTGGGATAACAGGCATGAGCCACCGTGCCTGGCAACACATTTATTATAAAACTTACTATCTTAATAAAGATATGATGTTTTATAGCATTCTCCTCTTTATTGTTCTTCATCACCAACAGGAAAACTCACAAAAGAAAGAAAGTGTGCATCATTATAGTTAGAAAATAATTTTCAAAGTGAGGGCGCTTGCTATATATGCATGTTGTTTAGGTCAGACATATTGAAGAGTCACAATTTGAAGACAAATATTAAAACATCTTTTTAATTAGTTAAAGGCATTTCTGCAAATGCCTAGGGATCATTCTTATGTTGACACTTATGCTGACACTAGAGTGCTTTTTGGATGATCTTCATGGAAGAATGTTCTCGAGATAAGTGCACTTCGGAGAAAGTACGTTAGTGCCAACATTGCTAAATTATAAAAGGTTTAATATAGTTTCCATAGGAAAAACCCTGTGGAATATTCCTGGCAGGATAATTTGGGAAGATAATCAAGTCATGTAGACTGGAAGATCAGCCAGGAAGGAAATCAGATGTAAATGGGAACCACAGGAATCTGAATCATTTCAGTATACTTGCTTTATTTACAAATGGACTGAGAAAAATGTCTTTTTAAATAAAAAGTAGTTTTCCAAGGGAAAGATTAAATATCCTTAACACAGAATAAGAATAAAGAAACAAATGCCGAACATTCAGCTACAACAAACTGTGAAATTAGTTTTCCTCTGCCTAATGGAGAACAAAGAGTTTTCCATGTTTATTACTTATCAAGCACATTCCTCGGGCAATAATTTCTTCCCACAAAAGCTATGAATGACCATTTTGTATTAGGTTTACTTCACCAAAATAGCAGAATTCTAGCTTCCATACTTTTAATTCAATAATAATGTGTGGTCTTTTACAAATGCAGATGATAAAGTAGTTTTTAACAGTATTTTCCAGGCCAGGCTCCATGGCTCATGCCTGTAATCCCACTTTGGGAGGCTGAGGCGGGCAGAGTGCCTGAGCTCAGGAGTTTGAGACCAGCCTGGGCAACAAGGTGGAACCCTGTCTCTACTAAAAGACACACACACACACACACACACACACAATTAACTGGGCGTGGCAGTGTGAGCCTGTAGTCCTAGCTACTTGGGAGGCTAAGGCAGGAGAATTGCTTGAACCCAGAAGACGGAGGGTGCAGTGAGCCGAGGTCATGCCACTGCACTCCAACCTGGGCAACAGAGTCAGACTCCATCTCCAAAACAAAACAAAACCCCAGTATTTTCCAGGACAATGCAACCCAGAGCGTGGTGTGTAGACTAGGGTAGCTCTGCAAGTTATTTATTACCAGAATGCAGTTAGTACAAAAATTACAAGTTTAAAAAACTTTTCTAGCAATTGGACATTCTCACAATAGCTAAGCCCGTGGTCAGTGGACTCTTCTTGAATGGGTTCTAGACCAATTCGGGGTTCTTGAACTTGAGTGATGAGTTTCACACAGCAAGAACTGCATACTAATCATGCATAGCTGGACCATGTATTAGTCTGTGCCAGGAAAGAAAAAATATGTTCTGTATTATATGTAGTTTGAGAACTACTAGTACACTAGGAATAGCATGGAGTTTGAAGTCATAGAGATCTTGATTCAAATCTAACACTACATTTTTTTTATCTCATGTGATCCTGAAAGAGTTTCTTAAATTTAAAAATGAAGATGGTAATATTTATCTCAGAGGATCATTGAGAACCTCATATGGAATACATAGACTGTAAATAACACAGTTATTCACCAGTAATTCTTTGGTATCCAACTAATTTTATTTCCCGTACTTCCTTTCCCACTGAGGAGGACAACACTATCCTACCCAGGATGGCTAAATCTAGTTTTTCTGGAAAAACAACATGATTTATAACAGAATCAGTAGGTGCAACAGTCAGTAACTCTAGATTAAAATTATCTGGACAATAATAGAGGAACCACAACACACTACATATCTGTCTATATGTAAATAAAGAATCTAACATTTATATCATCTTTATTTTTATTTTATTTTATTTTTTTGAGACAGAGTCTTACTCTGTCACCCAGTCTGGAGTGTAGTGGCACAATCTCGGCTCACTGCAACCTCCACCTCCCGGGTTCAAGGGATTCTTGTGCCTCAGCTTCCCGAGTAGCTAGAATTACAGGTGCACGGACCATGCCAGAATAATTTTTGTATTTTTAGTAAAGACGGCATTTCACTATGTTGGCCAGGCTTGTCTCGAACTCCTGAACTCAAGTGATTCACCCGCCTCAGCCTCCCAAAGTACTGAGATTATACGTGTGAACCACCATGCTCGGCTTTAAATCATCCTTTTATCAGAGTCAAATAAATGCATCACCAACCAGGTCTTCAGAAATCCTTCCTAACGTATTTCCATGAACTTTATTTTTCCTTCCAATCAAGCTATGAGCATTAGTAAAGGCATAATGTTATCCCTTTTGCTCCAAACCATTACTTAGTTCACATGAAAACTTGAATAAAATTCAAACGTATCAGATTGATTAAAACTTATCAGGATTGCCCACATTTTCTATACATTTTTAGATATTTCTGAATATAGACTCCACTGTTCACATATTTAGTTTCTCCTTGCTTGTATTATGTTGATACACATGTAAAATTAACTGGTTGGGGCCAGGAAAGATGGTCACTATCTATGTCGATTAAAGCTCATTTTAGAAATATAAAGTACTGATCAAGAAATGCAAGACAATAACCTGAAGCCTAATATGAGAATAACAATACAAAGTTTTGACTAGTATGTAAAGTTGAGATCATCATGCAATCTAAGAAGAAGAAGGCAGCCTCCACCAATGAGAGGTACTATCAACTGTGACTCCCAGTCCTGGAATGTCAACTATGTTAAAGTTAGAAATACACAACTTAGAAGCCTGAAGGCAAAGTTCAATGAATTAATATGACTTTTAGATATCTGTTAAAGTAAAGTTAAGAGAGCTTTAAGGTTACTTATTTCTTTCCCCTATAGGTCCTACTCTGTCTTGAAAATAAATATTGTAACTCATCTGAGTAAAGCACGTGAATAGGAACTTCTCAGGAAAAGAAATACAGATGGCTAAATAAACATATAAACCATGTCCAATATTTCTCATATTAAAAGAAAAAATTAAAACGGTAATGACATTTCTCACATTTTACATTAGCAAAAATTAAAATGTTCGATAAAATAAAGTACGGGAAGTTCTAGTGAGAGACTGAAATTTTCACCATGTTGATAGGTCCAGTGGACTACTGAATGTTTATGTTTCTCCAAAATTTATCTGTTGAAATCCCAACTCTCAATGTGATGGTGGTAGAAGATGGTGCCTTTGGGAGGTGATGAGGTCATGAAGGTGGAGACTTCATGAATGGGATGGGTGCCCTTATTAAAGAAACCCCAGAGAGCTCTTACCACTATGTGAAGACACAGCAAGAAGATGGCCATCTATGAACACACCACGTCTGCCTTGAGATTGGACTCTCCAGCATCCAGAATTGCGAGAAAAAAATCTTCTTTAAGCCAACCACTCTGTATTCCTGTTATAGCAGCTCAAACTGACTAAGATAGTAGGAATAAACATTGGTGGAGCCATTTGAAAGGAAAAAAAAAAAGTAGTATCAAATTTTAAAATGCACATGTCCTTTGACATAGAAACTCCATTGTTAGGAATGTACTATAAAATAATCTTGCAAAAAGTTGGCATAATATACACACGAGGATATTAACGATGTCATTGCTTATGGTATGATAAAAAACGGAATAGTCTAAATATCTACCAAGATGAAACTAGAAAAACGAATTATGATACATCATAAAAAAATGTAGTTGCAGGCATCAACCCATTCCAGTAAATATGTGGGGTGTGTGTGTATGTGTCTGTGTGCGCACACGCATGCATGCGTTTGCATGTTTTGTAGGGGAAATTTTCCATAAGAGTTCCCTCAGGAAACAGATGGCACATTCAAAATAGGATAATTTGAAGAGTATTTGATGAAAGGACTTTTTAAAGGAGTGAGCACAGTATTGGGACACAAAGAACAGTGCATACCCTGGAGCTAGTTTCTGTGGAGCCCTTTTAATTTCTAGGCCTGATGTAAGGGAGCAGGTAGTAATTACCAGAACCCAGACATGAAGAGACTAATGGAGACATTTGTTTTGAGAGAGTATTCACAGACAAACACAACCTGCTTCAGGTAAGCCAAGAAGGATGGGACTAGAGAAATAAAATCTTTAGCCCTCTCATCCCTCTACCTTCCTTTCGGAGTTTTCAATTGTTCCAATCTAACTAGAAGCTAGAGGCCAAGGACACCTATTGAGATCAGACTTTTGGGGCAGAGTAAGGATTTGGAGGAAGACACACAGAGAAGATGTCCATGGTAGCATGTGTACACATACACATGGACACACATGTGCACACACATTCACATACAAGAGAAAGAGACATCTGCCTGTCTCTCTTAAATTTATCAAAATGTTAACTATGGTCATCTAGTAAAGTGAGACTCGAAATGAATTTTACTTGATTATTTTCGTAGCTTTTTTTTTTTGTTATTGCAATGCATTTACTTTTTTAACTCAGAAAAGGCAACAAAGACATTTGCATTGTAAAAACAACAAAATAAAATAGCTGGTAGTCCACAAGACAAACATAGTTGAGAGAAGACATAATCCAAAGCTGGGAGCCATTTTTTCTCAACCCCATTTAAGCTTACTGGATTCTCAGTACCTCATGCAGTCTCTGTCCAGCACTTTGTAGCAAAAGAAACCAAACAAACGAAAAGCTGAGAGTTAAGAAGGACATTCCTCCAATGCTGCAGAATCAGAAGGGATGAGAATTAAACACTCAAAAGCTATTTCCACTTAACCTCAAGTTGTGAGTCAGAACACACAGTTAGAACTCTGTTTTCTCCAAATGGATACAGATGATTCCCTACCATGATTTGTACAAAGTTCATGGATCCCTGGACAACACAGGGTTAGTAAGAGGGTCAGGGATAGAAAAATCACATTTGTATTAACAGTGCTCCATATGAATTGCCTCTAAATAAAGGCTGATATAAATTTCAGATTTTGTTTTCCAAGAAAAAATGTTTTTGTATGTGTATGAAGCAATCAATGATAAAGCAGGGATGTGAAGTGTTGAAATCTCAACTCAAACACCTACTGATACCCATGACCTTGAAAGTCCATCACATATATATAGATCAGTATAACCACCAGCATGAGAAATAGTCCAGTCAGACAAGGTGAAAACTCTGTAAGAGATGAAGCTTTTGATTTTTTTCAGGTGTTATAAATGAATTACTAACCTAGTTTTCTTTACTATAATTTTAAGAATATCTCAGAGAGGTTCAGTATAGAGTACTTGTAGGTCTCAGACACCCTTTTCTCCTTGTGTGATCATGTGTGGTCAGCATAACATAAGGGGAAGGCAAGGCACTATCAAGGTTAGGGTTATGGGAAGGCTTTCTTGTAAAATGATATCTAAGTTGACAATCAAAGAAATGTGGCAGTATGGCATACTGGTTTAGCAATTAAAGGACTCTAAAACCATACAGCATAGGATTGACTGCCTACTCTGAGATATATTATTAGCTTTGTGACTTTGGACTAGTTACTTAGCTTTTCTGTACCACTGTATCTTTTTCCATAAAATAAAAATAATGATATCTACTAAATGGAACTATTGAGAGGATTAATAGAGGTAATACACATCAAGTAATCGTAACTGTCACTATAAGTATTTGTTATTTTTAAATATGTGTAAAGTGGAAGGGATCCTCTTTTAAGGAGTGGGAAAAACAGTGTGCAGGAGGGCTCTGAGAAAAGAGAGGGCTTGGAGCTTTTGAAGACCTGAAAGACAGGTCATGGGAAGACAAGATACCTATACGGATAGTAAGTAGGGTTAGCTCGGGGAGGACCTTTTTAGGTAAGGTAAGGGTTTGGAATATTGTCCAAATGGCAGTAGCAAGGCATTAAAAATACTTATCAAGAAAGTTTAAAAAATCAGATTTGAATTTTAAAATGGTCATTTTCACCATAACTGCAAAGCCTGTTTGGACTAGGTCAGTGGAGATTTGAGTGAGGACCCCCATAAGGACATTTTTGTGATAGCCCAGGCTAGACATCATGATAGGTTGGACTATGGTATGGTAGATGAGATGGACATGAGTAGAAATATCTTGTCCAGCTTATTAAAATCAATTAAACTAATTTCTTGATTTTTAAAGTTTTTTTAATTTAAAAAAAAATTACTCATCTTATCCTTAAACTATAACTGAATTTATAGATCTGCCTGGAATTGTATTCATAAATTCCACCACTCCACATAGTTGAGTCACCTAGACTATAAAAACCAACTTACACTTCCCCACCATACCACAATCCAACTTTTATCTCACATTATGTTATCAGGTCATTGATGGCTGTAACTATTATTTATTTCTCTAACTCCTGTACTCAGTACAGTGCCTATACAGCTTCCCTTTTCCCCAAACAATCAAAATTTGCAGGTGTATTCATTTTCTATTGCTGCTATAACAAATCACCACCATAACTTAGTGGTTCAAAACAAAAAATAATAATTATCTTACAGTTTAGAAGGTCAGAAGTCCAAAATGGGTCTGTAGCATTTATGAAGGCTGTAAGGGAGAATCTTTTATCTTGTCTCTCCAGCCCCTACAGGCTGCCCGCACTCCTTGGCTCCTGGCCACATCATTCCAAACTCTGCTTCCATCATCACATGTCTGAATCTGACCCTCCTGCCTCTGTCTTAAAATAACCCTTGTGTAATTACATTGGACCTGTCTGAAAAATCCAAGATAACCCTCCCCTCTCCAGATCTTCAACTAAATCACATCTGCAAAGTAGCCAGTTGCAATGCAAGGTGACATGTCATAGATTTTAGTGTTTAGCACATGGTCATCTAGGGCAGGAAGGGTTATTCTAACTCCTCTAGGAGGGATCAGCATTAAAGCAGAACTTACCTGAGTAACTCTGATAAATAATCTGCCTTTAGTATTAGAATATTATCACACTATAAATTATCAAAAATATTTACTAAGTGAATTAAGAAGCCCTACCTCATTAACTTGCATTAAATTCTAATGATATGAATCTCACTCACTTTGTTGAATCATTCATGTACCTACCCTTGTTTTTTGTTTCTAAATTCAGGTCCTTATTTTATATCTCATTTATATAATCTCAGCCTCTATCCTGACCACCCCACCTACCCATGCCAAATCCTTTCTAAGAACATGTAAATGCTCATTAAATTGAGATCTTTCTTGTTTATTCTTATTTTTCTTCCCGAAGGACTAAAACACTTTTTTGCCTGTTTAACAAATAAACACTACCTTTTCCCAAATCTTTCTGAAACTAAATACCTGCAAGACTGTCTTTCTGCATAACGTTTGCTTACAATCTTTCCATCACATGCCATGTGCACCGGCCAAAATTGCTAATTTTCATCTTTACTTTCTGCTTTGCAGAAATTTATTTTTTAAAAAACATTTAAAAGATGTTGTTTAATTTAATTTTCTATCTCATGACTATCCACCAAGCTGCCTTTTTTTTTTTTTTTTTTTTGAGATGGAGTCTCACTCTGTCACCCAGTCTGGAGTGCAATGGTGTGGTCTCGGCTCACTGCAACCTCCACCTCCCGGGTTCAAGCTATTCTGCTTCAGCCTCTCAAGTAGCTGGGACAGATTTTTGCATTTTTAGTAGAGATGGGGTTTCACTATATTGGCCTGGCTGGCCTCAAACTCCTGACCTTGTGATCCACCCACCTCAGCCTCCCAAAGTGCTGGGATTACAGGTGTGAGCCACTGTGCCTGGCCCAAGCTGCCTTTCAAAGGGTAAGCTGCATGTTTATTGTTGTCATAAAAGCTGTTAAAATTTTCAGGATAACTTCTGGAGGACTTTCATGACACCAGCTATATACTGACATTAACATCTGGCCTGTTTCCACCCTGAACAGCAGCATGTGTACTGATGAAAGGCAGGTCTCTAGAGCTAAAATGTATGGCTCTAACATCCACCCCACATTACTAACTTCTGTGTGCTCATGGGTTTTATGGTAACGCAAATTTGGTTAAGTCAATACATGTAAAGAACACATTGGCCCTGGTTAATCAAAGCATTAAAATAGTAATGTTATTTTTGGTACACCCTATGATTATGGTTGTACCCATAGCTTTACTTTCTACCAATGTAACTGGGTTTACCTGGAAATTACTGAAATTGATCCCGTGAGTGCAGCAGTTGTTTTTAGGTGTCATGTTCTTCACTTGTCACCTTTCTAACCAACTGTGAAGGCTGTCCTCACATTTTATAATGCTTTTGGTATTAGCTGACAGTATTTACTGCAAATCACTCAACCACAGAAACACGATATAAAAATATACATTTACACAACTCATCATTAATATTTTTCTTACTCTCATTGCTATGAAATATTCTTATTGCCTATCATAGAGCCAGGCCTTGTAATAAGAGCTTCATGTATCTTGTTTAGTCAAAATGTATTTAATCATAACTTCTAATGTATGTTTATCATCAGCTTCTGAAGATTTGTTATTAGTGTTTTTCACTATGGGTCTTTTAACTATTTTCAATTTAAGGCTAAGGAATGCTTTCATTCTGGCTTGCCTTGGCAACTTTTGTTATCAAAACATTTTTCTTGAGTCAGCATTTATGAATTACTTTTCACTGTGTTCAGTGATCAAGAGCCTTTTAAATAGAACAGTTGGCATAATCATTTTAGTAAAAGGCACATTTCTGGATGACAAGTGACCCTGAAACATTTACAAGCTGAAGAGACTCATGCAGGAAGAGACAATCTAATGCAGTTTTTTAATATAATCAAGGAGAAACTGTTCTATATTATTGTAGCCTGGATGTCCTCAGGCCTCCTCGATGTAGGGCTGAAAAATGTGGCCATTGAGAGACAAATTTTGTCTTCACCTATCTATAAACACCAGTTCCCTACAAGGCTTCTCATCATCCCCTTTTTATTCAAATCCCTACTCACAGCCCCTTGAGGGTCATCTTGGCAAGTGCATTTTTAACTCCTCTGAACAATCTTCCCATGACAACAGCAGGAAGATCTTGTACATTCTGCTATCTGTAGATTCCGCTAAGCTCTGCCTTGCTATTAGCTATGGCCATTTCACCAGGCAGCATGGACCCTACTAGTAGGTGTTTTAACTCCCCACTGAGCACCCTTGACTTTGCTAGGTATTCACAGAATACTTTTTCTTTGGGGACTGCATTAGTTTCCCAGGCTGCCATAATAAAGCCCTATGTACTGGGTGCCCTAATAAAACAGAAACATATTCTCTTATAGTTCTGGAGACTAGAAATCTGAAGTGCGAGTGTTGGCAGGATTGTGCGCTCTCTGAGTAGTCCGGGAAGAATCATTCCACATGTCTTCCTAGCTTTTCACCGTTGCTGGCAATCTTAGGCATCCCTTGCTTGTAGAAGGACACATTACTGCAATCTTCACCTTCATTGCCACTGTTTATTGCCACTTCGCTGCCACTTTATATGCCACTTCACCTTCCTTCCTCTGTTTATGCATCTGTATCCAAATCTCCTTTTTTTCTTTTCTTTTTTTTTTGATGGAGTCTCGCTCTGTCACCCAGGCTGGAGTGCAGTGGCACAATCTCAACTTACTGCAAGCCAAATCTCCTTCTTTTAAAGACATCAGTCATTGAATTAACTTGACTATATCAGCAACACCGTACTTAAAAAAATTACATTCCAATTACTGATGCTTAGTAGTTATAGTAATCTTTTTTAGGGACAAAATTCAACCCAATGCAGGAACCAGGAAGTCTTAAATAAGTATTTCTTGAGGGCTTGCTATGTGTCTGGCACTCTTAGCTCTCCAAATGGGCATTGTCACTGCCACTCCTATTCCTGTCTACCTCTCCCTACCAAGCACCAGAGCCCCTCTGCCATCTTCTTGGGGAGCAGCTAGACCACTAATACAGGGGTGCCTTTCAGATTCCAGGGGTACGTGGGGTCAACGGGAAACAGACAAAACTATGTCTCTCTCTCTTTTGTAATCGGTTCAGTAAAGAAAGTACAGAAGCAGTGCTGTTTGTGCCCAAGAATCTTACAGAATCTTTCATAACCTAGCTACTTCCTTTTTTACCTCTAGTCTTCATTCACCTGAGGGCATAAATGTGATTGAATGGGTGGGACCTGGGGCAAGGACAAAGTTAAATGAAACACTTAGGATATATTCAGGGATGAAAACAAATAAAAAGGCAGCAACAAAAAAGCATTCTCTGACCTTGTGGTTTTAAAATTGGCTTGAACTTGTTTTCCCAGTGTCTTCTCTTGGGAAAGAGCATCAGGCTCTCTTTTCAATGGACTCTTCTTGCTCTGTGCCTGTGTTCCGTTTGTACTCACTATTATGTAATTAGTAACATTCAGCCTTCTGGACAATCAGCTTCACCTCAGACTATCAGCACTATCTCTCCTGTGTGACGTGCCCGTGGATTTCAATATTGAGCAAATGCCTAATACCATATTTTGAAACTGCAAGTCCCAATGAAGACAGCACTCAATTTTAACATAACAGCTTCTAAAAAAGGACTGAAAATGATAATGATTATTGAGAGCTAACTGCTTGCTAGACGCTATAGTGAGTTATATATATACATTATCTGATTAGATCCTCATGAAAATATATATATACTTTATATATATATACTTTATATATATATATATATATATATAGCGTTGTTATGTCCAATGCACAGCTTAGCAAACTGATGTAACTTCCATGAAAAACTGATAAAACTTACATGAAAAAAGGCTTGATAGGCCGGGCACTCACGCCTGTAATCCCAGCACTTTGGGAGGCCAAGGCAGGTGGATCATGAGGTCAGGAAATTGAGACCATTCTGGCTAACACGGTGAAAACCCATCTCTACTAAAAATACAAAAAATTAGCCAGGCGTGGTGGCAAGTGCCTGTAGTCCCAGCTACTTGGCAGGCTGAGGCAGGAGAATCACTTGAACCTGGGAGGCGGAAGTTGCAGTGAGCCGAGACCATGCCACTGTACTCCAGCCTGGGCGACAGAGTGAGACTCCATCACAAAAAAAAAAAAAAAAAAAAAAAAAAAAAGTTAGATAAATGTCCAAGGTCACATAGCTAGAATACTGACCTATCGTCTTGGTTCTTAACAAGTTTTGCATTTTGCTTTCATCATTATCATTCATGTAACACAGTCTATAGGGTGCTTAAAACTATATGCTGTAAATACCTTGTATGATATTTATTTTTAAAGTTGATTAACAACTACTAAATAAAATATACCTTTGATTCCTTAAGATGCTATATGTGGAAATGAACCAGATGTGGAAACCTGTGCTGGCAAAGAGCAAGAGTTCCATATTCATGTTTACTGCTGAATTTAAAGGTGCATCATCCTAGAATGTGTCACTTTCATAATCAGCAGTTGAATTGTTTTACACACAAATTGAATCTCCCAATGTAATGTATACATTGTTATCCTCACAACTAAGGTTCATGCTCTGTTGACTTCTCCATCTGGGGATGTATGCAAATAGTTTTTATATGCACACATAAATTTTCCAAACTCAGATCCAATTTATTGGTATTAGCATGTGTTTTCATCCTTCAATATGCTGAAAGAGACAATTTATGCTGAATAGTTTGTAAAAAGCAAATTAGATGGAGATTCAGAGCTAGAAATGCCTCTGTGGGTTAATGTATTTCCTCATTCTGCCTCCTCTTTTTCTCTTTTTAATTTTTTGAAAAGGGTCAAATGAGGCTAAAGCATAACACTGGGCAGCTTTATTTGTTTGACATAATTACTAATTTGTTAGCAATCTGTTTTATTTATGATGTACTTTTTTCTTTATTTAATTTTTTTTTTTTTTACCATTTTGAAGTAACATCATTTGTCTTAGGCAGCATCTAAAAGAAAGCGCATGCCCTCAGTTTCCAAATTGATGATCCTCCCCACCAGTTAAGGAGCTCTGCCTTCAGCAAATACATCATGTGACAATGATTCATAGCAGTTCTTTTGAAGAGCTTTTATTATAATGCATTCATTCAACACTCAACTACACCTTAAGCACTGGGCATTGATTATGTGTCAGGCACTCTGGTAAATATTAGGTGATATTTAGGTGATTCAAAATCATTCAGACCAGTAGACTTTCCAGTTCTTACTGTGTAACTGAGACTCGAACTCTGTGAGAATAGAGATATTCCTAAGTTTGAGATTAATTATAGGGCAAGAGATACATGTTTGCCTAAAATAATATGAGTATTTGACAGTGGACAAGCCATTCCCTTTGGTCCCTTGGGACCCATTTTCTTCATTTGTAAAATAAGATTGAGACATGATCTCTGAAGCTGCTTCTAAATCAGGCATTGTATGATTCAAATGAATCAATAGTTCACACAATTTCACCAATCTGCTTATGTTTTTAACTTCCTATCTAAAGTTTTTTTTAATTAACTAAACTCAGTCAAATTATTGGTTATTCTGAAAATTTTAGTTACTACCAATGCCCACAAAATGGGAAACTAGCAGTTACCAATAATAGTACATTCCAGAGTTGGTTAGTCAACAATTCAGTCTTTTGCCCTCACCCCTTGTTCTGTAATTTTATGAGAAATAAAATGTAATAAGAAATGTTTATAATAAAATAACAAAATACTTTTGTTTTTTGGCTGTACTAATATCTCTGTCTGGCCCTCAAGTTTGTGTAGTGGTTTTTAATTTTTTTTCTGCATTTCTCTAGAAGTTCTTGGCATCCTTTCAGGTTCTGCCTTTGGGTGAAAAGAGTAGAAGGAAAAACACAAGCTGTCAGATCACAGGGTGAATGAGATCTTCCCACCACATTCAAGGGAGATCTGGAATACAGGGTTATATGAGTAATAAATACAATACTGACAGATAATAAAGATTAATTCCATGACTACTATCTGGGGATCTTTAGGAAAAGACCATTTCACATTCCAGGATGAGAAAATTGACAGGAAATATCTTGGGAAAAAATGTTCCTGTTGAGCTCATTTGTACACTTACTGATTTTGGCTGTCTGAGTTGATCGGAAGTCAGGGAAGCACCATTTATGCAACAGTGACTTCTAGGAAAATGACTCACAATGAAAATAAATGAAGGTCTGTGTTCAGGCCAAGAGAAACATTTGCTCAGTTGGAAAGTCAGTCAGGTAGAATATATACCTGCTCACCTCGGAATTCTGTCCTCTAATCATCATATATTTAATTGTATGATAACAGTGCGTATATTGATGCATACCCAGCTTTGGTACAACTTTATCACTTTTAAACCTTCCCTTAACTTAGAAAACTCTTCCTGCTTTTGATGAGTACTCTTTTCTTAATTTTATGAAACGTTACTGTTTTGAATTTCTATTTTATTTCATGTTGTTGTGTTTTGTTCCCATTTTGTTTTGAAGACAGGGTCATGCTCTGTTGCCCAGGCTGTAATGCAGTGGCGTGATCTCAGCTCACAGCAGCCTCAACCTCCCAGGCTCAAGTTATCCTGCCATCTCAGCTTCCCAAGTAGCTGGAACTACAGGCATGCACCACCATGCCTGGATAAATTTCTTTTATTTTTCATAGAGACAGGGTCTCACTATATTGCCTAGGCTGGTCTCAAACTCCTGGCCTCAACTGAACCTCTCACCTCATCCTGCCAAAGTGCTGTGATTAAAGGTGTGAGCCACTGTACCAGGCCTATTTGTACTGTTTTGAACTTGCCCTTCCTTTGCCTTCATCCATGAACAAAATATAATTGTAAAGTATATATAGACAGGCATTCTCTCTAAGAAAGGTAAATGATAGTCATGGAAGATGTTTTAAGGGATGCAAAGGGAAAGATTACTCCTTTGAACCATTATTTTGGCTTTTCCTTCTGGCCAAAAGAAAATGCTGCCACATTTTTCTATCAATCCAGATGTTTTAGAGCTGCCATTAGTTATTGATGAGAGTGCTCTCTCTCTATTTGCATGTGTGTTTGTGTGTGTGTATGTGTCTTGACCTAAGAAACTCTATATCTATAAGCAACATTTTTTTCATTCCTATAAATGGTTGAATACAAATCATTCCTCTTAAGAATTAAAATAAAGAAAGAAAGAAAGAAAGAATAACACGCTGCCCGTAGTATTTGACGATACTTAAAATCATTCCCTCTCCAAACCACTTTTACTTGGCTTCATCCTCCACCACTTCACTGAAGCTTTCTTTTAAAAGGTGCAAAAGTCTCTTTTCTATCCTCAGCCTGCTACGCTTCTTTGCCACTTTTGAAACTGATGATGACTTTCTTCTTCTTTAAGCACTCTTCACTCAAGTTCTGGGAAGTTTGTCCCTTCCATGCTTCCTCTTATCTGTCAGGAAGCTTCTTATTCCCTTTGCTTTCCCTTTCTATAACCAACACTGTTTAACCAATTTTTGTGGCAGATGGAGCATTGTCAAGAAAATTGCATGGCCATAACGTCTACTCAAGAATTTCAGAAGGATAAGTCGATATTTATATAAGCAAAGTTTTTAATGGTAGTGAATAAACAACTCTGAACTGTTCACCAAAATATATTTACATTTCATGGTAAAAATCTAATTGTCTTCTACAGTGTATTCTAAAGCTTCAGAAGAATTGAAGATTCCTCATGACTCTGCCCCCAGACCTGTTTTCTTCTCACTCTATAGTATCTCCTCAATTAACATCATGGGTTCAACTAGAAGTTTTTTCTTAACTTTAAATGTTCTATATTTCATGGGCTAATTTTAGGTATTTTTATTTTTATCTATTTACTTATATATGTATGTATTTATTTATTTCTGAGACAGGGTCTCACTCTATCACCCAGGCTGGAATGCAGTGGCATGATCATGGCTCACCACAGCCTCCACCTCCTGGGCTCAAGTGATCCTCCCATGTCCACCTTCCAAGCAACTAAGACTAAAAGTGCGTGCCACCATGCCTAGCTAATATTGTCTTGTTTGTAGTGACTTAGTCTCACTGTGTTGCCCAGGCTGGTCCTCAACTCCTAGGCTCAAACAATCCTCTTTCCTCGGCCTCCTAAAGTGCTGAGGCTACAGGTGTGAGAAACTGTGCCCAGCTTCAGGTGCTCATTTTAAAATACTAGTTGACTTTCCTCTAATATCTGGACAAGGATGTCCACTTTCACCAGTTATTCAACATAGTATTAGAAGTCTCAGTTAATGCAATCATACAAGAGAAAGCAATAAAGGACATCCAAATTGGAAAGGAAGAAGTCAAATTATCCTTGTTTGCAGATGATATAATCTTATATTTGGAAAAACCTAAAGACTCCACCATGAAATTATTATAAATGATAAACACATTCAGGAAAGTCACAGTATACAAAATCAACATGCAAAAATCAGTGGCATTCCTATATGCCAACACTGAACAATCTGAAAAAGAAATAAAAAATAGTAATCCTATTTACAGTAGCTACAAGTAAAATTAGATACCCAAGGATTAACTTAACTAAGGAAGTGAAAGCTCTCTACGATGAAAACTACAAAACATTAATGAAAGAAATTAAAGAGGACACAAAAAGTGGAATAATATTCCATGTTAATGAATTGGAAGAATCAATATTGTTAAGATGTCCATACTACCCAATGCAATCTACAAGTCCAATGCATGTCTATCAAATACCAGTAATATTCTTCAGAAAAATAGAGAAAAAAATCCCTTAAAATTTATATGGAACTGCAAAAGACTCAGAATACCCAAAGCTATCCTGAGTCAAAACAACAAAACTGAAAGAATCACATTACCTGACTTCAAATTATACTGCGGAGCTATAGTAACCAAAACAGCATGGTCCTGGCATAAAAACAGACACATAGCCCAATGGAATGGAATAGAGAACCTAAAAACAAATCCATACACCTACAGTGACTTTGTTTTTGACCAAGATACCAAGAACATACTTTGGGAAAAACACAGTCTCTTCAATAAATGGTGCCAAGAAAACTGGATATCTATATGCAACAGAATGAAGCTAGACCCCTATCTCTTGCCATACACACACACACACAAAAAAAAAAATCAAAATGGATTAAAGACTTAACTCTAAGACCTCAGACTATAAAACTACTACAAGAAAATGTTGGGGAAACTTTCCAGCACATTGATCTGGGCAAAAATTTCTTAAGCAATACCTCACAGGCAACCAAAGCAAAAATTTACAAATGTGATCACATCAAGTTAAAAAATTTGTACAACAAAGAAAACAATCAACAAAATGAAGAGACAACTTACAGAATGGGAGAAAATATTTTCAAACCACCCATCTGTATTAGTTCATTTTCACATTGGTATGAAGAAATACCTAAGACTGAGTAATTTACAAAGGAAAGAGGTTTAATTGATTCACAGTTTTGCAGGGCTGGGGAGGCCTCAGAAAACTTACAATCATGGTAGAAGGGGAAGCAAACACATCCTTCTTTATGTGGCAGCAGTACAGAGAAAAATGAGAGAAGTGCAGAGAAAAGGGAGTAAAAAGCTCCTCACAAAACCATCAGATATCATAAGAACTCACTCACTATTATGAAAACAGCATAAGGAACTGCCCTCATGATTCAATCACCTCCCACAAGGTCTCTCCCCCAACATGTGGGGATTGCAATTTGGATTACAATTCAAGATGAGATTTTAATGAGGACAAAGAGCCAGACTATATTATTTCACCCCGGCCCCTACCAGATCTCATGCCCTCACATTTGGAAACACAATCATGTCCTTTTAACAGTTCCCCAAAGTCTTAACTCATTCCAGCATTAACCCAAAAATCCAAGTTCAAAGTCTCATGTAAGGCAAAGCAAGTCTCTTCTGCCTATGAGCCTGTAAAATAAAAAGCAAGTCAGTTACTTCCTAGATACAATAGGGATACAGGCATTAGGTAAATACACCCAATCCAGATGGAAGAAACTGGCCAAAACAAAGGGGTAATAGGCCCTGTGTAAGTCCAAAATCCAATAGGGTAGTCATTAAACCTTAAAGTTGCAAAATGATCTCACATCCAGGTCACACTGATGCAAGAGGTGGACCCTGATGGTCTTGGGCAGCTCCAGCCCAGCTCTCATGTATGGCTTTGAGTGTCTGTGGCTTTTCCACCTGGAAACTGTGCAGACTGTCAGTGGATCTACTGCTCTGGGGTCTGGAGGACTGTGGTCCTCTTTTCACAGCTCCACTAGGCAGTGCCCCAGGGGGGACCCTATGTGGGGGCTCTGAACCCACATTTTCCTTCTGCACTGCCCTAGTGGAGGTTCTCCATGAGGGCTCTGCCCCTGCAGCTGACTTCTGCCTGGACATCCAGGCATTTCCATACATCCTCTAAAATCTAGACGGAGGTTCCCAAACCTCAATTCTTATCTTCTGTGCACACGTAAGACCAATGCCACATGGAAGCTGTCAAGGCTAGGGGCTTGTAGCTTCTGAAACAACATCCTGAGCTACACCTTGGCCCCTTTTAGTAATGGCTAGAGCAGCTGAGACCAGTCCCAAGGCTGCACACAGCAGGGGGTCCCTGGACACTGCCCAGGAAACTATTTTTCTCTCCTAGGCGTCTGGGCCTGTGATGGGAGAGAATGCTGTGGAGGTCTTTGACATGCCCTGGAGACATTTCCCCATTGTCTTGGTGATTAACATTTGGCTCCTTGTTAAGTATGTGAATTTCTGCAGCTGGCTTGAATTTCTCCCCAGAAAATGAGTTTTTCTTTTCTGTGGCATTATCAGGCTTCACATTTTCTAAGATTTTATGCTTTGCATCCTCGAAAAACTTTGCTGCTTAGAAATTTCTTCTACCAGATATCCCAAAGCATCTCCCTCAAGTTCAAAGTTCCACAGATCTCTAAGGCAGGGGCAAAAAGCCACCAGTCTCTTTGCTAAAGTGAGTCACCTTTGCTCCAGGTCTCAAAAAACTCCTCATCTCCATCTGAGGCCACGTTGGCCTAGATTTCATTGTCCATATCGCTATGAGGATTTTGGTCAAAGCCATTCAATAAGTCTCTAGGAAGTTCCAGACTTTCCCACATTTTCCTGTCTCCTGAGCCCTCCAAGTGTCTAGGAAGTTCCAAAATTTCCCACATTTTCTTGTCTTTTTCTAAGTCCTCTAAACTGTTCCAAAGTTGCTTCCACATTTTGGGGTATCCTTATATCAGCACCCCACTCTACCAGTACCAATTTACTGTATTAGCCCATTCTTATGCTGCTATGAAGAAATATCCAAGACTAGGTAATTAACAAAGGAAAGAGGTTTAATTGACTCACAGTTCTGCAGAACAGAGAGGCCTCAGAAAACTTACAATCATCATGGAAGGGGAAGCAAACACGTCCTTCTTCACATGGAAGTAAGAAGGAGAAGAATGAAAGAAGTGCAGAGCAAAGTGGGGAAAAACCCCTCACAAAACCATTAGATCTCATGAGAACTCACTCACTATCACAAGAACAGCACAGGTGAACTGCCTCCATGATTCAGTCACCTCCCACAAGGTCCCTCCCCCAACATGTGGGGATTACAATTCGGATTACAATTCAAGAAGAGATTTGAGTAGGGACACAGAGCCAGAAAAATGGACAAATGGGATTATATCAAGTTAAAAAACTTCTGCACAGCAAAGGAAACAATTAACAAAAGGAAGAGACAACCGACAGAATGGGAAAAATATTTTCAAACTACTACTATCTGACAAGGAATTAAGAACCAGAATATATAAGGAGCTCAAACTCTACAGGAAAATTTTTAAAGGTCTGATTAAAAGGCAGGCAAAAGTGCCAGCCTTCATGGTTTATACCTATATTCTCTGCACTTTGGGAGGCTGAAACAGGCAGATCACTTGAGGTCAAAAGTTTGAGGCCGAGGCAGGCAGATCACTTGAGGTCAAAAGTTTGAGGCCGAGGCAGGCAGATCACTTGAGGTCAAAAGTTTGAGACCAGCCTGGCCAACATGGTGAAACCCTGTCTCTACTGAAGATACAAAAGTTAGCTGGACATGGTGGTGCATATCTGCAATCTCAGCTACTCAGGAGGCTGAGGCACAAGAATCTCTTGAACCCAGGAGGCGGAGGTTGCAGTGAGCTGAGATCACACTACTGCACTCCATCCTGGGTTATAGAGTGAGAGTGAGATTCTGTCTCAAGAAAAAAAAAATAAAGTAGGTGATATATTTGAGTAGACCTTTCTCAAAAGAAAAAAAATACAAGTGGCAAACAGGCATATGAAAAGGTGCTCAACATAATTGATTGTCACAGAAATGCAAATCAAGACCACGGTGAGATATTATCTTACTCCAGTTAAAATGGCTTTTATTCAAAAGACAGGCAATAACAAATGTGGAAAGGGAACCTATGTATGCTATTGATGGGAATGTAAATGAGTACAACCACTATGAAGAACAAGTTGAAGGTTTCTCAAAACACTAAAAATTGAGCCTCTGTATTGTCAGGCCTCTGAGCCCAAGCCAAGCCATCACATCCCCTGTGACTTGCACGTATATGCCCAGATGGCCTGAAGTAACTGAAGAATCACAAAAGAAGTGAATATGCCCTGCCCCACCTTAACTGATGACATTCCACCACAAAAGAAGTGTAAATGGCCGGTCCTTGCCTTAAGTGATGACATTACCTTGTGAAAGTCCTTTTCCTGGCTCATCCTGGCTCAAAAATCACCCCCACTGAGCACCTTGCAACCCCCACTCCTGCCTGCCAGAGAACAAATCCCCTTTGACTGTAATTTTCCTTTACCTACCCAAATACTATAAAATGGCCCCACCCTTATCTCCCTTCACTGACTCTCTTTTCGGACTCAGCCCACCTGCACCCAGGTGAAATAAACAGCTTTATTGCTCACACAAAGCCTGTTTGGTGGTCTCTTCACACGGACGCGCATGAAACGTATGATTCAGCAATCCTAATGCAGGGTATATGCCCCAAAGAAAGGAAGTCATTATATTGAAGAGATCTGCACTGCTATGTTTATTGCAGCACTATTCACAATAGCCAAGATTTGGAAGCAATCTAAGTGTCCATCAACAGATGACTGGTTAAAGAAAATGTGGTACCTTCAGCACCAGAAGACAGAGTGAGAAATAAATAAAAAATGTTTAAAATGAAACTGTGCTACTTATACACAATGAAGTACTATTTAGGCATAATAATAATAATAATAATGAGATCCTATCATTTACAACAATATAGATGGAACTGGAGGGCATTATGTTAAGTGCAGTAAGTCAGGCACTGAAAGATAAACTTACACTTTCACTTATTTGTCAGAGCTAAAAATTAAAACAATTGTACTCATGGAGATAGAGAGTAGAAGGATAGTCATCAGAGACTGGGAAGAGTAGTGGGGAAGTAGAGGGGAGGTGTAAATGGTTAATGGGTACAAAGGAAAAAGAAATAATAAGTAATACTTAGTAGTTGATAGCTCAACAGGGTGATTGTAGTCAATAATTATTTAATTGCACATTTAAAAATAACCAAAAGAGTATAATTAGATGATGTGTAATACAAATGATAAATGCTTGATGGAATGGATATCCAATTTTCCATGATGTGATTATTACACATTATGTGCCTATACCAAAATATCTCATGTACCTCATAAATATTTGTACCTATTACATATCCACAAAAATTAAAAATAAAAATTGAACTAGAATAAAATAAAATACTTGCTGTGTTACATTTTCACTACATCCACACCAACATCTATTATCTTTTGATTTTTTCATTATGGCCATTCTTGCAGGAGTAAGGTGGTATCACATTGCAGTTTTGATTTGCATTTCCCTGATCATTAGTAATGTTGAGCATTTTTTCATATGTTTGTTGGCCATTTGCATATCTTCTTTTGAAAATTGTCTATTCACATCCTTAGCCCACAATTTGATTGGGTTGTTTGTCTTTTTCTTGCTAATTTGTTTGAGTTCCTTGTAGATTCCGTTGTCGAATGTATAGATTGTGAAGATTTTCTCCCCCTCTGTGGGTTGTCTGTTTACTCTGCTGACTATTCCTTTTGCCATGCAAAAGCTCTTTCTTTTAGTTAAGTCCCACCTACTTATTGTTGTTTTTGTTGCATTTGCTCTTGGCTCTTAGTCATGAAATCTATGCCTAAGCCAATGTCTAGAAAAACTTTTCTGATGTTACCTTCTAAAATTTTTATAGTTTCAGGTCTTAGATTTAAGTCCATGATCCATCTTGAGCTGATTTTTTATAAGGTGAGAGATGAGGATACAGTTTCATTCTCCTACATATGGCTTGCTAATTATCCCAGCACCATTTGATGAATAGGGTGTCCTTTCCCTACTTTATGTTTTTGTTTGCTTTGTCAAAGATAAGTTGGTTGTAAGTGTTTGAGTTTATTTCTGGGTTCTCTATTCTGTTCCACTGCTGTGTGCTGTGGTGCCTCGAGATTTGTTCTTTTTTCTTAGTCTTGCTTTGGCTATGCTGTCTCTTTTTTGGTTTCATATGAATTTTAGGATTTTGTTTTCTAGTTCTTTGAAGAATGATGCTGGTATTTTGGTGAGAATTGCCTTGAATTTGTAGATTGCTTTTGGTAGTATGGTCATTTTTGAACACTTCTACACTGCTATTGGGAATGTAAACTAGTAAAACCTGTATGAAAAACAGTGTGGAGATTCCTTAAAGAACTAAAAGTAGAACTACCATTTGATCCAGGAATCCCACTAATGAGTATCTATGCAGAGGAAAAGAAGTCATTATATGAAAATGATACTTACACATGCATGTTTATAACAGCACAATTCACAATTGTAAAAATATGGAACCAGCCCAAAAGCCCATCAATCAACAAGTGGATAAAGAAACTATGGCATATATATATATGTCATATATATATGCCATATAAACTATGGCACATATATATATATATACACCATATAAACTATGGAATATATATATATGTGTATATATATATATATATATATGGAATACTACTTAGCAATAAAAAGGAATGAAATAATGGCATTCACAGCAACTTGGATGGGATTGGAGACTATTATTTTATGTGAAGTAACTCAGGAATGGAAAACCAAACATCATATTTTCTCACTCATAAGTGGGAGCTAAGCTATCAGGATGCAAAGGCATAAGAATGGACTTTGGGGACTCTGGGAAAAAGAGGTGGGAAGTGGGTGAGAGACAAAAGGCTACAAATTGGGTTCAGTGTATACTACTTGGGTGACGGGTGCACCGAAATCTCACAAATCACCACAGAAGAGATTATTCATGTAACCAAATACCTCCTGTTCCCCAAAAACCTATGGAAATAAAAATTTTAAAAAGTTATGCACAATTGATAAAAGAAAAATAAAATACTTGCTGTGTATGTGATGAGTATAAGTACATGACTGCTTCATTAGTAGACTAGAAACCCACTGCAGAAAATGAATCTATACCTACTTCTAAGGTTTGTGTAATGGATACAAGAGATGATACCTCTAATACACAAAGAACAATGCCAGACACCTGCCATTAGTATGTCACTAACAGTATTCATGATTAATTAATTCTGGACTGATTATTTTCTAGATTCCTTATATGTAGTCAGCCATCTTCTTAGAAACAATTGGAAATAATAAGCAGAGAATGCTTTTATTTTATTCCACTTTGAGTGTCCTTATTTTCCCAGGGAGTCGATCACCAGAAATCGCCTTACCTACACTCAAAAATACTCTTGGGAGCCTAATATATATAAAACAAAGTCTCTGGCCTGTAACTCCTCAGCTAGTGCCTTTTTTGCTCAGAAAAGGAGCCAAAAAATACTCTTGGGAGCCTAGTATATATAAAACAAAGTCTATGGCCTGTAACTCCTTAGGTAGTGCCCTTTTTTTGCCCTCTGTTTCTATCAAGTCCTTGTTACTAAATGTCTCACACCGGTTTACAATTTACTAGGCCTTGTCATCTCATAATTTATGGAGCAGACGGATGTTTCATCTTCCTAAAAATAGGGGCCAGTTGAGACCTCTGGGGGGATTCATTACTGGCCGATTCATTACTGATCAAAACGTTGTTGGACACTCTTCTTACCTGGCTTTTATATGACAACTATGCTATTCAGTCTTTCTCGATCTTAGTATAATTTCTATTTTATTCAAGGCTATCTGGTTTATTTACAATTCCTTGCATTCATCTTTCCCAAATTTTACTGATCAAAATGCTTGAGTATACTTTATAGATACATATATATTTATTTACTATAATAAATATTATCCTGCTATTATTATACTCACTCAACTTCATCCAACAGATACCCTTTCCATATTCCTTGTTTGACCCTTTCCTCCCAGTTACATGGTTTTGAAATATTTGATATCATTGCAGATTCCAATGCCCTATCACACCTTAAATGTCACTGTAGCATCAACTTTCTCAAGCCATTTTCGGAGAGCAGATCCTCATCATCTCTTTTCTTGATTTGTGAAATAATGGCTGAAATATTTCTCACAGTTCCTTTTTCTCCTGTCATTTATAAAGCCACCAGAGTTACCGCTCTCTAATATAAAGATAATTTATATGTAGTTATGTAAGGGGTATTGAGAGGCTTTTCTTAGATCTTGATTACCTGCAGGAAAGTATCAGATTTGCAAGGTTTCCAAAAGCCTCCACAATCTTCCTCATTATAGTTACAGCCACATCTAACCCTACATCTTTCTGTAGTAACCATTTTATTCATATTCCATACTTCTGCTAATTCTATTCCCTCTGATTAGGCTGTTCTTTACAAGTTCTCAGTTATCCTTCAAGGTGTAGTTCAAATACGATTTTTTTTCCCTTACATTGTTCTGTATGATTAAAACAGAGCAGAATGTATATTTTTCTTACATTTGCTCAGGTAGCACTACACCTATGTCTCTATTATGGCAATTTTGTATAGAAAGGCATGTAAATAGAGGGCTTCCTAAACAGATTGAGACAAACTTAATCGTTGCACCCTCCAGAGTGCCTAGTGTAGTGTTATGTCCATAGAAGTACACAGTAAATATCTGCAGAATTCATTAAATGAAATCAGTTGCATCATGCTCTTTTAACTCGTACAAATAACTAATCCACATTACACTGACTAATTCTGTATCTTTCTAGGGATTTCCTAGGGATTCCCTAGTTGTGTAATAAGGCAAGGTAAATTCTATATTCCTTGTTCTTAGGGTTGTTTATCATACACATTAGTGGATCTAGAAGCATGAACTCACTTTCTTATTCTCATTTATAAAATGGGGATATATTGGTACCTCCCTGATAGGGTTATTGTAAAGATTCATTCAGTCAACACATGTAAAATACATTATCTGTCACACAGGGCACCATATATATTAGATATCATTACTTACACATGTTGAAATCTAAATATAAAATACTTGGTAACAACATCAAAGTTATTTTTCTAACTTACTTATTAGATAACAGTTTACCAATTGAGATTAACAAATCAATATTAGCTACTTCATGGGACAGCAACGTAAATACTGAAACATATATTAAACTGTAACTTTTTGAAAAACTTCACAATGCAAAAATATATATTGAAAATAATAATAATAGATATACCAGGAATTTTATATGTATCTTCTCATTGTCCTTAAAACAAACCATAATAAAAGCATTATTATTATTGTATCAATTTCTGCAGATGAGCAGAGTAAATAATTGATCCAGCATGATACAGCTTGTAAATTGAGAAAGGATATTGAATCTTGATCCAACCGGCTCAACAAGGTATTTATTTAACCACAAGTGATGTATTTCCATAGAGTGCTCTGATTTTAAAAATGTCTTTGCTCTTACTATTCACTCTCTGTAGTATATTTTCTTCTGCTCACCATGTATCAACATAATACTTATTTGAGGGCCACAGTAAATGAGACTCGGTGTAGGAAACCTCCTGCAGCCCTCTACAAAAATAAATTTTTTCATCTCAGAAAGTAGATACTAGTTTACCTTTACCTTTTACAGCACTTATAATTTTCAACCTTAACTTATAATTATTAATATATGGATTTTTTCTTGTCCATCTAATCTCTTAGGTTGCTTGAGAAAAAAATCTATATTCTCTGAAGTCTAAAACGCCTAAAAATACTTAGCACACTTTATTGCACACAGTAGGTGTATAACTTTGAGGTTTTCTATTTTTTGTTTCTCATGTCCATTTTATTATGATACGTGCCTAATATCAATTTTCTTAGTTTATTGGGGAGGAAAAGGGAGTGTACTGAGCAGTTGTTTTCATTATATAACCATGTACATATAGATCTGATCAGAAGGCTAAATGTTTTTGAAGACAGTTAAACACTAAACAGTTTTTGGACTAATCCCATTTTCTTTTGATGTGCATGACTATCCTAATGCTGAGTGCTAAGAAATAAAATTTGGTTTCCGGAAATTTTGGTTCCAGCAAATTGAGAATTTACTGTTGTGGATGCTACTAGGAAATGAGTTTTAATTCCTGATGGAAACGATGCAATTTTTCTATTTTAGAGTTGTATACATTTTAAATACATATTGAAAGGCAATCATTAAGTGTTAAATTATTTTATCATTGGCCTGATTTTCTGGACCAACACTTCTTAAACACACAATATGAAACCACCAAATTGAATCAGCAAACTCAAAAAGTATCAATGGTCCCCTAGAGTTGTACCCTATATCCACTGATTTCTCCTGAATTTATAACTTGTAAAGTTTAAATAATCTGTTTGACAGTTTTCTTCAGCCATTCAAATAACCTTCAAAGTTCCCGAGTATAACAGATCTGTAAAGAGCGCTTTCTATATGCCCAAACACATTTCTTCTTGATGGCTGCAAACTTGAAACCTATTTTCAGGAGTGGTTCCTTAAAAATGGAAACACAGTTCTCACAAATCTTTTATGGTATTGGCTATTCAAATGTGCTTTAGTTAGCAGTCTTTTAAGCTACATATTTCTTATAAGGTAATACTCTGCTTTTAAAATTAGGGAAAAGTTCTTGCAGAATTCTTAATTAATAACGTCATTTCTACAGTTTAAGTAAAACACCAAGAAATAATTTCACTCTAGAGATGACATCATTGTGCAACCCTCTGATTTGTCTCATTGTGCTACTCATTGTAATCATTTCATGCTCTATTTTAACGTTTTTTGTCTGTGAAAACGTTGGTCTTAAACCAAATGTCTTGAGCTAACAGATACATACTGTAATGAAGGAGCAAATCATTCCTACTAACGCTAGCACCATCAATTATTTATTTAATCACTGATGTTGTTAACATTGTGATATGCTTACATATAGAAGAATTAATATATTTCAGTTGGTAAACTCTTTATGGTAAATTATAGTCCTTTCAGTCAGTATGATTACTAATTGTGCAAATTAATCTAGAATCTGAAAATATGAGACAAAGTGCATATTTAGTCTGGGGAGGTTTTATGAAGTCATCTTCCATATGGAAAAGCTCCGACTCTACGGAACTATATGTAGGCAGTTTTGCCAACAGTTTCATATTGTACCATATAGCATTGCCAAAATTTCAGATATTCTTGGTTATTTTAAAGGTAATAACTAGAATGCACAAAACCTTAAAGGTCAAGTAAATCTTGTAAAAATGTTATTTGTAATGTAATGTAAATTCAGTGCATTAGTAATAATAATTGAGAATGTTTTCTTTCATTTTTAATTGCTATCTGCTTATCATTATTATAATCATCCAAGAATAAATGAAGTCTGTGTATTATTTTCAGCCAAAAATGGTAGTAAAGAGACAAATTCAAGAAGCTTAACTTAATGTAAGTAAATAGAATTTCATGCATACAAAGGCAAAAATGCAACCAAAATCACAGATAGAGATGATACATATTTTTTGAGAAGCTCACTGAGCTATTTGATTGAAAATAAAAGTTTTTTTAGAAGAGGTTTCTTTTAAATAACTTACTTAATTTTTCAGTTTTGGATTGCAGAAAGCATTCATTTATTTTTTTTATCATGATTCCTATCTTTAATAGGTAATAATTCAGTTACTTTAAGGTTAGAAAAAATTTTAGTTAATTTATTAACTTTTGATCAGTGTGGTATGTCTTCTTTCTAAAGTTATTTACATTCTTTGCAGAAATCAAGATGAATCAAAGGTTAATACTTTTCAGGACTTGAGATTTGGAACAGTCAGTGTGCAAATAACTGAAATATTTATGTATCTGTCTGAAGTTAAAACCCAGAAAGATTTATATAGGAACACTAGCCATGTATCAATTAATTACTAAATTTAAATATAAGTTTTAACCTCTGATTATTTTATAAAGTATATTTGAATTAGCTTTAATTAATTGCAGTCACTAACAAATCTATTCAAGAAGTTGATTTACAGCTTTTAGGCTTAACAATGTAGTTACAATCAAAACTAAATGAGTGATAAATCAAGTTTATGTTTCCCAAATTCAATTGTTATGAAGACTGAGATGTTCTATTTGTCTCCTTATTATGCAAACATATGCTTTTTCCTTCTCGTTAAATTCAGTGGGTTGAAACTCTATATTGATAAATCATATTCCTGAAGTCTGAAATTGCCCCTTAACCAGCCAGTTTCCTGTAATCTCAGCTCTTCCACTTAGCCAAACCTGCTGTTACAGTCATCCCTGACCTCTAATCACTGAGCTCATCTTAATCTATTAGAATATAGAACTTATCTGACTTCATTTCCCTCCCAGGCTATCCTGGACCAATCTCATGGTTAATCATCTCAGTGACTTTCTCCCTACTACTTTCCATCTATTCAGTCCCCTTCACCTTCTGCCGATGACCTCTCCTTGGCAATGCCAAAATGTTGACCAATCTAATCATCTCACTTTTCCCTGGGCTGAGAAGTGCTGCTGGAAAAACCTCATGTTCTCTTTAATTATATCTATTATACATTTATGATAGCAGCTTTGCTTAAGCACTGAAGCAACTCAGCAATTTTTCTTTGTTTGACATTTCTTTCTCAGCCCCATTTCCTTATTCACGTGGCAGCTATTCTAAACTTTCAAAACTAACTTCAAATCTTCAACCATATCTTCAACCCAGGTAATTCTCTCTCACCACGGCACACAATATAATCTATTTTATTGAGACAATACTGGTCAGCAAAGATGGACTTTTTAGAACCTATAGGACTTTCATTACAAGCAGTGAAACTTAAAGTATGGAATTTAAAAATATATGCAGGAGCTTAGTGTAATCCCAGGATGGAATGTTGACTGACAAAATGATCTAACTATATTACAAATTTATGACACAACCTCACTGAAGGAGGTAGAGGGAAAAGGTGCTGACTTAAGTAACTTTATAAATGAGAGGAGTCTAAAAGGCCAGAAACAAAAGAAATTGTACATAGGCACTGTAATATACTTGATAAAGTAGCTTACCAAAGATTTACATGTTGTAAGTCTGTTACAGCTATACATATATACAGAATATGAACAATTCAGTAAATTGATTATAGATTGCATGAGATATGTCTCTCACTATTTGAGTGGAAGGTTACAGATAAGAGAGAGGAGAAGGGTGGAATGAACTATGAGGTAATGTATTGCAGATTGAGACATCAGTATGAGCTTTTGTCTAGATTAATCTAGATATACATGGTTACATACAAGTGAAATATACATATGTGTATACAAATACATATACATATATACATGTGTATGTATACACACACATACACATATATACAAACACACACATACACACGTATACATATATCAGGGACACGTATATTCTTCACTCCATTTTCCTCTGAGTTTTGATATGAGTAAAACTTTCCTAGGAAGAGCAATAGGAGAAGCATATTCTAGAAAGAAAGAACCAATATTATTGAAAATTGACATCATAACCTTCATTTATTCACCTCCCATCATCTCATCCAACTGTCATAATCTAATTTCTAGAAACACTGTTCTAATAAACGTTTTCTTTCAATGATCACTTATTATTTAGTAATTACCAGATTTCATGAATTATTTTTAATCCTAAATCTACCTGACCTCTTAACTTCATTTGGCAGTATTGATTATCCCTGTGTGTATGCGTGTGTGCCTGTGTGTGTGTGTGTCTGTGTGTGTGGAAATCCTAGTTTATCCATTGTTAACAATTTTGCTTATTTTTCTTTGCTGTAAATAAGAATGTTTGCAAAATTTTGAGTATATTTTATCCTTGAAAAATATTATCTTATTTTCTGGACTCTGAAAATCACCCATTTTCTTATCATTTCCTGTTTAGGTGGAAAAAGTTCTTATGGTGAGAGAGGGTTTTCTAATTTCTCCAAATTTAAGGAGACTTTTTCTTTAATCAACAAATTATCAAATATATTAAATAAAATCAGAATGTCTTAAGTTATAAAAGAGTTGGTGTAACTTTGTTATAGTGTAATAATTTTAATATGTGCAGAAATCATATATTTGAATTATAAGATTTTTATTGGCATTTGCTAACATAATTTGGAAGAATTAGTGTATCATATAAGGTGTAGAGGGATGCTATCCCACTTTCAGCAATGTCATAACAACATTCATTTAACTTCATAAAAAGGAAGGTCCATTTGCCCTCTCTTTACAACTGTCTGATAAAATGAGCCCGATACTTAAGTTCTCTATTTTGCTCTTTTGTAGACTAGAAATTATCGCATAGAAATATGGCAGAATTTCTCTGAATCCCTGAACTAATCAATGCAAATAATTTTCTCAACGACCTGTAGGCTGATGGGATTACATACTTACTTTCTTTGCCATAAGTGTGTCCTGTACTCTTTCTGGAATGATAAAACCTGACACCCTTAATCTCCATTAGATTATTCCTACTCTTTGTCACTATCGCTAGACAAGGTGGGAAAGGAAAGGATATTTCTAATGCTTTCATTTTAATTCTCTATGGTGAGTTTTTATCCTTTGTGTAGTGTCTATTTGGCTGGAGTAAAAACAATGTTGATTTTTACTTCGAAATTAAGAAAACAGTCTTTGGAGAGATAAATATTTCTATCTATGCTTCAACTCATTTATTTTTTTGCATACCTCTCCTGATTATTTGATCTTTTTTTCTAATATTAAATATAATGTCTTCTTTCATTCTGTCATATAGCACTTGCAAACTCAATATGTCCAAAACCAAATATTTTATTTCTATTCTTCCCACCCCAGCAAAACAAAATTAAACCATTCAAAACACTCTTTTGTCTCATCTATTCCTATTACAACTAATTGCTACACCATGTTGAGCAAATTTGTTGCTTTGATATAAGATATGTTTAAGGACAGGGTATGGTACTAAGTCACCACTTAGCAAACATGACCCTTTTGGGTTTACTGGTGTAATAAGTGAAAACAGACAGTGAGTATCACAGAGAATATTATATAAGCCTTGAAAGGCACTTCATGTCTCAGGAATAGGTGGTGCAATGTTTTAAATATAGTTCACAGGAGCAAGTTTTTTTTTTCTTTTTCCTTTTCTTATTTTTTTTTTTTTTTAGAGACGGGGTCCCACTATGTTGACCAAGCTGGTCTGGAACTCCTGGACTCAAGTGATGCTCTCATCTCAGCCTCCCAAAGTGCTGGAATTATGGGCATGAGCCACCACACCCAGCCCACAGGAGTAAGTTTTAACAAAAATCTATATATTTCCAATTCTCCACACATTGCTACATCATTGACAATCATGACTCATTTAAACCCATGTCCTATTACTATATTATCCTATATAGCATTGCGGTACGTTGATTATCATTCTGATTCTTCTTGCCTTCTCTAAGTGATCTTCCAGTGCCTTGTAATAAAGTGGGTTAAGTCTATATCCCTATCCCCATTAATTTTGAGCTTCAGTTAGGCACTATAATAAACAGTAGCAGATATTATATGAACAGAGTCTACACATGTGTTTGCGTAGTTTGTCCTGACTTCTTGGATATCTGCCACCTGTGAGGAGAATAGCATGACTTGGGTAACTGCTAGTCCAAGGAAAATGAAGATGCATTGAGAAAACCTGAATCTAACTCAGCCTGCAGCTCATCCCAACTACCTGATAAGCCTGAGGCAGAGATGCCCCAGATAAACTGCAAATCTGTGGACATTATATATGTGTGTGTGTGTGTGTGTGTGTGTGTGTGTGTGTGTGTGCGCGCTATATTACTTTATTTTTCTGAATTTTTTACATAATTGGGGGAAAATGATTGATACTATTGATACTATGATATATAGATAATATACTATGCTATATTATATATATAACATATGAGCTAGATTATTACTTTTCTGAATTTTTCACATAATTGTCAAACTTTATTCAACTGTTTAATTCTAATTGAAAGTTTTCCGTTTGTCATGCATATACAGGAAATTGAGCAAAGCTAAAGTGTACAGATAAAATTTTCATAAAGTGAACATATCCATGTAGCTCTGTAATTGAAATTTGACATAAGAACATGAGGGAAAATAAGCCTGTATGTGCACGATTCTTAAAGATTCTCAAGTTTCTTAAGGTCTGAGCCTGGAAATGAGCAGAGTGTAATTTCTAACATTTTTTAACCTTTATGTTAGTTTCAGGGGTACATGTGCAGGTTTGTTATATAGGTAAATTGCCTGTCATGGAGGTTTGGTGTACAGATTATTTCATCACCCAGGTAATTAGCATAGTACCCAATAGGTAATTTTTCAATCTTCAGTCTCCTTCCATCCTTCACCCTCCAGAAGGCCCCAGTGTCTATGGTTGGCTTCTGCTGTATTTGGTTTTCTGCTCTTGTGTTAGCTCACTTAGGATAATGGCCTGTGGCTCCATCCATGTTGCTGTAAAGGTCATGATCACTTCCTTTTTTATGGCTGTGTAGTATTCCATGGTCTTATATGCACCATATTTTCTTTATCTAGTCTACCATTGATGGGCATTTAGGTTGATTCCATGTCTTTGCTATTGTGAACAGTGCTGTGATTAAAATACATTTGCATGTGATCATAGCAAAGCAATATATATGCTTCTGTGTATACACCCAATTATGAGATTCCTGGGTTGAATGGTAGTTCTGTTTTAAGTTCTTTGAGAAATCACCAAACTGCTTTCCACAGTGGCTGAACCAATTTCCATTTCCACCAGCAGTATATAAACATTCTTTTTTTCAGCAATCCTCCAGTATATGTTACTTTTGACATTTTAATAACATTCATTCTGAATGGTGTGAGATGGTATTTCACTGTGGTTTTGATTTCCATTTCTCTAAAAATTAGTGGTGTTGAGCAGTTTTTCATAAGTTGTTGGTGTATGAAAAAATAAAGAAATAAAAAATGATTGATACTATGTATAGAAAATAACTTTGGGTGTGCAGACAATCAGTTGGGACTGATTGGAAGAAAACAGACTAGTCAGCATGTCTTTTGAGAAGTGTCTGTTCTTGTCTTTTGCCCACTACATAATAGGATTTTTTTGTTGTTAATTTGTTTAAATTTCTTATAGATTCCAAATATTAGGACTTTGTTAGATGGACAGTTTGCAAATATTTTCTCCCATTCTGTAGGCTGTCTCTTTACTCTGTTGATAGTTGATTTTGCTGTGGAGAAACTCTTTAGTTTAATTAGGTCCCACTTGTTTTTGTTGCAATTGCATCTGGCATCTTTGTCATGAAACATTCGTCAAGACTTGTGTCCAGAATGGTATTTCCTAGGTTTTCTTCAAGGGCTTTTATCCTCTTAGATTTTAAATTTAACTCTTTAATTCAGCTTGAGTTGATTTTTGTATATGATGTAAGGAAGGGGCACAGTTTCAATCTTCTACATATGACTAGCCAGTTATGCCAGCACCATCTACTGAACAGGGAGTCGTTTCCCCATTGCATGTTTTTGTTGACTTTGTCGAAGATCAGATGGTTGTGTATATGCAGTCTTTTTTGTTTGGTTGGTTGGTTGGTTGGTTTCTCTAACCTGTTGCATTTGTCTATGTGTCAGTTTTTGTACCAGTATCATCCTTGTTGTTTTGGTTATTATAGCCTTGTAGTATGGTTTGAAGTCAAGTCACGTGTTGCCTCCAAGTTTTTTTTGTTTGTTTTGTTTTTGTTTTTGTTTTGTTTTGTTTTTAGCGTAGAATTGCTTTGGCTATTTAGGCTCTTTTTTGATTCCATATATAAATTTTATAATTTTTTTTCTAATTCTGTGAAGAATGTCATTGGTAGTTTGTTAGAAATAGCATTGAAATTGCTTTGGACAGTATAGCCATTTTGGCAATATTGATTCTTCCTATCCATGAGCATAGAATGTTTTTCCATTTGTCTATGTCATCTCTGATTTCTTTCATCAATGTTTTGTAATTCTCATTGTAGAGATCTTTCACCTCCCCAGTTAACTGTATTCCTAGGTATTTTATTCTTTTTTTGGCTATTGTGAGTGGGATTGCGTTCTTGATTTGGTACTCAGCTTGGATGCTGTTGGTATATAGAAATGCTACTGATTTTTGTACATTTATTTTGTATCCTGAAACCTTGCTGAAGTTGTTTATCAGATCTAGGAGCTTTTGGGCAGAGACTATGGAGTTTTCTAGGTATAAAATCATGTTGGCTCACGCCTGTAATCTCAGCACATTGGGAGGCCGAGGCCGGTGGATCACAAGGTCAGGAGATCGAGACCATCCTGGCTAACATGATGAAACCCTGTCTACTAAAAATACAAAAATTAGCCGGGCGTGGTGGTGGGCACCTGTAGTCCCAACTACTTCAGAGGCTGAGGCAGGAGAATGGCATGAACCTGGGAGGTGGAGCTTGCTGTGAACAGAGATCATGCCACTGCACTCCAGCCTGTGAGACTCCATCTCAAAAAAAAAAAAAAAAATTCATGTTACCTACAAACAGGCATAATTTGACTTCCTCTCTTCCTATTTGGATACCTTTTATTTTTTTGTCTTAGCTGATTGCTCTGGCTAGGACTTCCAGTACTATGTTAAATAGGAGAGGTAAGAGTGGACATCCCTGCTTTGTTTGGGTTCCCAAGGGGAATGCTTCCCACTTTAGCCTATTCATACAATTGGCTGTGGGTTTGTCATAGATGGCTCTCATTAATTTTAGGTATATTCCTTCAATGCCTAGTTTGTTGAGGGTTTTTATCACAAAGGGATGTTGAATTTTTTCAAAGCCCTTTTCTGCATCTATTGATTTGATCATTATTTTTTGTTTGTTTGTTTGTTTCTTCAGTCAGTTCTGTTTATGTGATGAGTCAGTTATTAATTTGCTTACATTGAACCAACATTCCATAATAATAATATTCTGTCAATGTGAACCAAAGCCTCTCTTCAAAATGAATGATTTAATAAATGAATGAATGAACAAAAGAAACAAACAAAAAACTTCCATGTTCTGTGTGATGGTTAACACTGAGTGTCAACTTGATTGGATTGAAGGATACAAAGTATTGATCCCGGGTGTGTCTGTGAGGGTGTTGCCAAAAGAGATTCACATGAGTCAGTGAGCTGGGGAAGGCAGATCCACCCTTAATGTGGTGGACACAATCTAATCAACTGTCAGCGAATATAAAGCAGACAGAAAAATGTGAAAAGGCGAGATGGGCCTCACCTCCCAACCTACATCTTTCTCCGATGCTGGGTGCTTCCTGCCGTCAAACATCAGACTCCACGTTCTTCAGTTTTGGGATTCGGACAGGCTTTCCTTTCTCCTCAGCTTGCAGATAGCCTATTATGGGATCTTGTGATCATGTAAGTTAATACTTAATAAACTCCCCTTCATTTTATATATATATACGTATATATACGTATATACGTATATATACGTATATATACACATATATACACACATATATACACATATATACATATATATATACACACACATACACACACACACACACACACACACACACGTCTCCTATTAGTTCTGTCCTCAGTCTTGTTCTTATAAACATGTGGCCCTCTCCCAAGGTGTGCATACTCCCTATGCCAACTTTCGATATGGTCAATAAGGTCAATTTTCACAGAAAATCCTCTCAGCGGATGGAGCATAAAGCAAAGAGAACAGTAAACAATGAAGACAAAGACATGCCTGTTAGCATAATTAAGGTCTATTAATGAAATATCTTCAACCCAGGGTAGAAGATAATCACAATAAATGGCCAGCAGAATTTGATTGCCTGTGACTCCACTGCATCTTCCTCTTTGGTTTTCCAAATATTTAAATATTCTGAGTTCTTGTCATAATAAGTTGACCCTACCCACAACAATTGTGTGCTTGTGTGTGTGTGTGTGTGTGTGTATGTGTGTGTGTGTCTGTGTATGGTGAGGGGGGATGGGTGTGTGTGAGGGGACAGGGGATAGGGGTGTATGTGTGTGGGGTGGGGGAGAGAGTGTTTGTGTTTTGGTATGGTGCGGGAATATACTGTATTTCCTTCCAAAACAACAATTTATTATTAATTAAGTCCTTATCATGTATCAGAAACCATGTTAGATTGGAAATAAAACGATAGAAGAGATGCCAGATCTAGTCTTGGCATGGTGGCTCATGCCTGTAATCCCAGTACTTTGAGACACTGAGGTAGGAGGATTGTTTGACATCGAAAGTTTGAGATCAACCTGTGCAAAATTGCAAGGCCCCATCTCTAAAAAAAGAATAAATAAACAAAATTAAAAGATTACCCAGGTATGGTGGTACATCTACAGTCTTAGCTACTTGGGAAGCTGAAGTGGAAGGATCACTTGATCCCAGGTTTTTTGGTCTGCAGTGAGATATAATTGTGCCACCGCACTGCAGCCTGGACAGCAGAGTGAGACTTTGTCTCAACAAAAGGATGCAAATTTTGAGAGAGGTAAAGGAGCAATTGAAGATGACATGTGCAGCTTTTCCTGACGTCTCTTTGAACTCCTCATCAAATTCCTTCTCTTATAAGCAGTATTCTAGAATCACTGGGTTTAAGAAGAGTTTTGTTTTTTCTTTAGTATTGCTTTAACCTTCCATGAATATCATTTTCTTCATGCTCTGCTACGTGTGTCAGTGGAAGAAGGCTGAAACTCATGAAACGTGGTAGTGCACTGCTCAGAGTGCTTAAATAACCCTAGGGTACCAATATTGTTGGTGGTGTAGTACGCTAGAGACTGATATCTTGATTATGTAAAGGATCAGTTCTAAGTGGCTACTGTTCTTTATTTGTATACTCAAGATCTGCTCATTTACTCCCTTTGTGTTCACCTGTGGGTAGAAACCAGCTACAGGAGTTAGGGAGCAGTGGGTAGGTGGGTCACACACTGCTACCTTGTTTGCTGCATCAAAGACCAGGCAGATAAAGACCTGGAACTCCTGTTTTATCTGTTGGTGAGTGCAGCAGGTCATGCACTAGCAAAAAGAAAGGGAACTGTAACTCATTTGCAACCATCTTGTGGAGTCAAATTAAGAAAGCCATGTTTACTAATAGTTTAGCAAGAAAGTGAAGGGATAGAGTAATACCACTCATTGTAGCTGATGTAAAGTAGATGGCAAACTTGCACATTGGTGTGGTCAGTTTTGGGTTTAAGAGGCAGAGGTCGGCCGGGCGCGGTGGCTCATGCCTGTAATCCCAGCACTTTGGGAGGCCGAGGCGGGCGGATCAGGAGGTCAGGAGATCGAGATCATCCTGGCTAACACGGTGAAACCCCGTCTCTACTAAAAATACAAAAAATTAGCTGGGCATGGTGGCGGACACCTGTAGTCCCAGCTACTCAGAAGGCTGAGGCAGGAGAATGGCGTGAACCCGGGAGGTGGAGCTTGCAGTGAGCTGAGATCGCGCCACTGCACTCCAGCCTGGGCGACAGAGCCAGACTCCGTCTCAAAAAAAAAAAAAAAAAAGAGGCAGAGGTCACACAGAACGTTATGGGCAGGCTGTATAATAGGTCTCATCTGGGTTCTATAGGTAAATAAAGAGGGTGGTCTTGGAAACTCTGATCATGGTATTGAATACTTCGCTTGATGAAACCACTCTGAAGGTGTTTATGAAGTGTTCATAGCTCTCTTCATAAATCTTGCTAATAAGTAAGGTACTGCATTGTAGCTGGTGTCCCTGGACTGAGCCTGACTCTGTGTTCCCACCCAAATCTCATCTCAAATTGTAATCTCAACGTGTAGAGGAAGGGGGCTCGGTTGGAGGTGACTGGATCATGTGGATGATTTTCCCTGTGTGGTTCTCCTGATAGTGAGAGGGTTCTCCCTAGATCTCATGGTTTTAAAAGTGGAGTTTCCCCTGCGGTCTTTCTCTCCCCTGCTAATATGTGAAGAAGGCCCTTGCTTCATCTTCGCCTTCCACCATGACTGTAAGTTTCCTGAGTTTTCCCCAGCCATGCAGAACTGTGAGTTAATTAAACCTCTTTTCTGTTTACAAATAACCTGGTCTCAGGTAGTATCTTTATAGCAGTGTGAAAATGGACTAATACATACATGCTGTTAGGTTTCCATTTTCTTTATTGTCTTCCTTCCATTCCAGGATACTCATCATTACAAATTTATTTTTTTGTTTCAGAATTGGATTTGTTATTCATATGTTTTCATTGATTTAAATATATTATGTACAATTTCTACAGTGCATCAGAAAAACAACACAGGGGGAAGTAGCACTCTCACAGCCCAACCTCCACTCCCTGATGCTGGCTGGCAGAGGGACCATGCCATTCCATGAAGTGCCGCCCAGAAGCCTTCTGTGGCACTCTGGACCACTGGCTCTTCTAGCATCCACATTCAATGCAACGTAAGCACAGGCTTCTAGGCAGAATGGAAACAGGCCAGGAAAAGACACCCCACATTCTTTTGCCTGCTAGGCCCAGGGCTAGCTCCCTCTTACATAGGGCCCAATTTCCTTCTTATCACAGAGCTGCTCTGGATTAAGACAATGTGCAGATCTGGCATGGAGGATGTGGCCAGGTAAGGCAGCCAGGTTCCTTGTTAGACTCCCAAGGTTCTCTTGAGCACCAAGTGGGGAGCATTACCAACAGATTTGTGTAAAGATGTCTACAGATAGCTATGCACACCTGGATCCCCTACTGGCTCCTACAGTCAGGTCACGGGTATTCTCTCAAACATTGTTCCCAAGGCCAGGGTCCAAGTCAGCTGCATGGGATTGTCAAGGCTGAGGAAGGCAGGTGAGCTGTGCCTTTGTCCATAGGGCATGCACAGAAACTCTTCTTGTCAGATGGGTGGCACTCATGGAATGGCCTTCTCTCTGCCAGGCACCTCAATAATCACAGGTGACAAGCAGACTCCTGGAGGCTGGACTGGAAGGAGGCCAACCTGGACCAGCTGACACATCTCTGCTCCAAAGCTGGGTAAGCAGAAGATACACAGCCCTAGTCCTTGCTCCCTTTCTTTGGTTGTTCTTCAAACCTTCAAGATAGTTTCTTTTTGAGTTGATTAACCAATCTCAAGGTGCCAGAACTGTGAAGTGTTCAGTAGTACAGGGCATATGAACACAGCTGCCCTTCATCCACAGATGGCACCCTTTTTACTTCCTCCTCAGGCCGTTCTTTGGTTTGGTGTAGAAAGGGCTCAAACACCTGGCAGTGGGGTTGGGTAGCCGGGGAAAAAGTTACAAGGAAGCAAGAAGATGTGCACTGGGCTGGGCAGGAACTGGGGACAGTTTGTAGACCTCTCTCCTTTGGGCCCTGTCTTTCTCAAGAAGCCATGAAGAAACTGGCCTGAGACAAGTCAGAGAGTAAAGGGAATCTGCCAATTAGGAGGCAGGGCACAGAATACAAGTCTTGTTACTTCCACCAATCAGCAGTGGTAGCATAGAAGGAAATCCACTAATAATATCTTGTCCTCTTGTAAACCAAGACTCACCCCAGAACCCTCACAGACACATACTCAGAAGAAACTGAACTCTTAAGTCAAAAGAGTTGGAGGAAAAAATTAAAACAAAAGGAACAAATTAGATGGTTGGGACCAAGGACTCAGGAAGCAAGGCGGGATAATTTCACCCATAGAGCACTTACGGCTCCCAGCATACATTTAAGCCATGTGGATCACTTTTACATGCTGGGAGTCAACTTCTTATTAAAATATAAATGCTAAGACTAGCTCTTTCTGCCTCTGCTTGAGAGACAGACAAGCTGCAGCACGGCAGGGAGCAGAGAGGTTCCCCATGATTGTGTGCAGAACTGCTGGGAGGTGTAGAGCAAAAACCTCCCTTTTGGGAGAACTGTTTAGAGGTTTGCAGGCACCCTACAGCACTGGTGGGAGAAGGGGAAGAAGGCTTGGCAAAAACCCAAAGGAAAGGTGTGGCTTCTGTCTGTTCCAGCACTGTGAGCCATCCAGTTGCCCTCTGACACAGTCTTGGTTCGTGGGAGTAAGCAACAGCAAGGCAGCTGAGTGTCTGGATCTATGCTAATTTAGGCCTGGATTAAAGGTTTCTGACATGAGGGGATCTGGGCTGTGCTACAAGCATTGGTTTTCTTGTTTGTCTGCTTTTGCTGATGCAGAATAGAGAATTACAATAGAGCAAGGTGTCAGGGAAGGAAGGGACTGTCCCATCCTGCCACCAGCAGATGCTGAAAGGGAGATGCTTCTTCCCAGGCATCCCTGGCACTAAGAAGGGCCAAGGAGCACTCACTCTTCCTGTGCTTCTCCTTGTGGGTAGGGAAGACCCAAGGGTGGTGGCAAGCAGAATGGGAGGGATTTTAAAGGTTCTGCTCTCCACTGGCTTCTCTGGCTTTTCCTGCACCCCACTCCACAGGCTTCCTCCCACAAGTTTCAGACAGTGCTTCCTTTGCCTTCCTCTGACTTTTGAAACTCAAATCTCTGTGTGTAGGATTCGCTAGAAAACCGCTGGTGGGAATGGGCCATCTCATCTCAACAACCACAGGTGGCATCTGGACAAGGTGCAGGGGACTCTTGTCTTTCAAGGCCTGAGTCAGATTTAGGATCTGACCCAGCATGACAGTAATCTGCTTATCAAACTGGTCCTTGTCAAAACCAGATTTTTTTTTTTTTTAAGAGACAAGGTCTCAGTCTGTTTCCCAGGCTAGAGTGCAGTTGCCTGATCTTGGCTCACTGCAACCTCCACTTCCTGGGCTCAAGCAATCCTTCCTCCTCAGCCTCCCAAGTAGCCGGGATTACAGGCATGCACCATGACACCGGGATAATTTTTACTTTTTTTTTTTTTTTTTTTTGTAGAGACAGGGTTTCCCCATTTGCCCAGGCTGGTCTCCAACTCCTGAGCTCAAGTGATCTGCCTCTCAAAGTGCTGGGATTACAGGCATGAGCCACCAGACCCAACCCAGGAGCTTTCCTGAAGAGTTCACATAGGTCCTCTTCCAAGTCCTTGAAGTTGGGTTGGATATCTTTGGAAGGATCAGATCTTTGAACTCCTAAGAGAATGGGACTTTTGTCCGGGGCAACCAGGCCCGGTGCAAAGGATATTCCCTCTAGGAGTCAGGCTGCTTTTGTGGGAAGGCCAGCCCATTGTCTATGGCAGACACCTTGATAACAGGCTCCTTCACCATCACCCAGTCTGTGTGCTGAAAGCTAGAGCTATCCTTTGGACAGTCACATTTACCAGTTGTCATTGTCTCTGTCAGTGTCGCAGATGATGTGATCCAGCACCACCAGCGGCTGGAACTGCAGGATCAGTTGCTGGTTAATGTTCTCAGGAAGCA
This sequence comes from Homo sapiens, assembly GCF_000001405.40. NCBI lineage: Eukaryota > Metazoa > Chordata > Mammalia > Primates > Hominidae > Homo > Homo sapiens. Next base: position 53,434,953 of record NC_000017.11, on the reverse strand, counting down.
GTTCTGCTTCAAAACGCCACACCCAATAGTCTGCACCTTTATAGCCTTCAACAAAAAGCTGGAATGAGCCAAGCTTTGGTGGGTTGCCTGATGGGGTTAAACCACTGCCCAACTTTTGACACTTTCTCTAGCATAAGCTGCTTGCCCCTGGACATCACTCTGTCAATGGCTCTATAGTTGAATGTCTTATTGGCCAGGTATACTACCTTTGTGAGGAGTACAATGTTGCATTCTAGTTTTCAGTCCACCAGGTCACCCTCTGCCTCTGAGAGGTAACCCTGGTTGAGGACAAGGTATGCACCATGGCCAAAACAGCAGGGATGGCACAGCTTCTGCAACCACTTGATCCACTTAGGATTAAGTTGCCCATAGGGGCTCTTCATTGTTGGATTTGAAGACAACAGTGATCTTTTATTTACTGGCAAAAAAAGCAAAATGCATATATTAATATTGTCAAGTCTTCAGAATTATTTTCTTATCCAAAGCAGCTAGCAAGAGGCCTCAGTTATCAGTCTTCTCTGTCTCTGCTCCCCTGGAACCCCAGCCTCTGAACAACAAAGAAGCAATAGCAATGGGCTCACAACTCAGAGAATGATGGATGAGTCCATTGTAACCCTCCAGAACCCCGTGAGGGTCCTTGACAAGTAGCTTCTGCTGGAGCCCTGGTAGATGGGGCTTGGGAAAGATGACGTGCTTAATGGCCAGTTCTGCCTGCTGCACCGCAGCCTCGAACTCAAGGTCCTCCAGGAATTCATTCAGCTCCTGGTGGGCCTGAGCATTGCGTGCTGCCACAGCAAACCCTGGACCTGCGCCACCACAGTTTGGATGTGGAAACATTCTTCCTGCAGAAATACTGCTCATGTTTTTGGCTTCTGATGACATTATTTTTTTCTTGCAACAATCCATTTTGTACTACAGTACCACGTTAAAACAAAATGAGTCCACATGTACACCTGTATAACACATCCTTTATAACATTAATGTAACATTTATCATATTGTTGTTCATAAATTCAAAAATTCTCTGAAAGTTTTTAAGCTATTTTAAGTTCCCTGTTATTAATGCTGTGTCCCTATTTTCTTCTCCAGTGGTTATCTGTAATAAAGCCATAATTATTTTCAATTGGATGGAATTAATTCCCTTCTAGTAAATTTTTAATTTAAGTTTTTTAGATTAGAAAATACTAATTTTTATCTTTAACAATTGCATTTTAGGGTGAAAAACAATTACTAAGTAAGAAGACTAAAAAGATTGTTAGGGAGAAGATGAAAAAACATATCCTACTAAGAAACAAACAAAATTACAAACAGTCATTTCTGTATTAATAATAACCAAGTACAAAATATCCTTATTCATTGATTAAAACAAATTAAAAAATTCTCATGATGGTACTGTTAGCATAATCAGTTATTGTTTCTCTTTCAGTATAATGAAATGATAAAACCAACTTCACAAATTCAAAGTTGTATTTTCCCCATTGTTTTAAATAATGCCATTACTCTGTACATAAAATTATTTTGGCATTTTAAATAAATCCTAGAAGAATATGCAATAATAGTCCAAAAGACGCCCAATTTTAATTAATGTGGGGAAAATTTGATATGTAAGCAAACCCAAATATGTACATAAAACTAATAGTTTTCAAAATGTGCTGTATTGAAACTTCAAAAGAATGCGTTTTTTAAACTTTTATTAAAGACCCATATGTTCAGAGTATGAAGCATTTTTATTTCAGTAAGTATAACCACTAGGTATTTTTTTGTTTTCTCCAGTATTTTTATTTTCTTTGGACAGTGATGCTATTTACCAGAGTCTTTTAAAACACCAAGACAGTGGAGAAAATTTAGTACGCATGCACATAGAATTTTATAAAATTGGTTAAAAAGCTTTAGGTTAAAACACTTCCTGTATGAAGCTATGCAATGTATCATAGGGACTCTGTGCTATTGATCTTTATTGTTAAATACTGTAGCCTAGATGGTTTCCTTAAGCTCTACAGAAATTCATGAAGATTGTGAAGCAGTGTTGTACCACATCTCCATCTCTCCATCTACCTCTTCCCTGTTAAAAGACAAAGACACACTGACATTCTATTTATTACTAGACCATTATACTAAACACTTTTTGTATATAAAACTTAAATCAGGTACACAATAATGAAAACAATACATTATTTTCTATCTCTTTATGTCAGTTTCTAGTGGAGAAGATGTCACTCTAAGGAGGAGCCTGAACATAGATTACAAGAGCACCTCTGCTAAGCCAGGATGGTATGTCTAATGCATTTGATGAGGAGTATAACAGGGTTTGCTCGTATCAAAAGCGCAATTCAGAAATAAAATGCTTTCTTTTTCTACATATCTTTAGGTACCATTTTTACAGAAAGTAAAACCCTTTTGGTAAACACTTTTTGTACACTGTAAACACTTTCTGTACTGTGATTACAGAAAGAAAATAGATAAAGATATAGGAAAGGAGACGTAGTGATGGTTTGGCAACAAAAACAATAGAAAGACTGACAACTTTAATATAACAAAATATTCCATGAATCAGTATACACTTTTTGCAGATGAATACAAATTATTTTTGAGTGAATTGAAAAGAAGCAAGCTGTGTGTGTGTGTTTGGCTATTGCAGTTCTAGACTCTTGCTTTGATAACTGACAACTGTTTTTCACCATGGTGAGATTAGGAATCTACTGTGACGCTGAATAGCTTAATTGGTATAAAAGGGATTGCCAAGCTTTTCAAAATTTCTTTATCCTCTTCTTGACTTCATGTGTCATGTAAGATGCAAAATAAGTATAGTGAATATGAAGCTTTGTCAGAACCTGGCAAGAAAATAAAATGTCACTTACCCTTTGTAGGGTAAATTAAAACGGACTCAGAATGCCTAATCATCAGTGTAATCAACAGCGTTAATCTCTGTGGAAACCTTCCCTCTCCCTAAGTTCACATAAGAAACGTAGAATCACCTGGTTTGAAAAACTTGGTTGGGGGGAAAGGTCTGTTCTTTATTCATGATGGGAATTGACTCTACCATTACTATTATCAGGAGATGACTTTCACTTTCTGATGAAACACAACATTTTCCAGTGGCTCAGAGATGTCTTTCATGGAAGCATTCTCCACTTAGATTTAGATTTTTTACATTGAGATGTAAGGAATCCCGGTGAAACCCTCAAGGCCGCAGCATTAGTGTTCGGTCTTCTCAGGCAGGTCACTGGCATTGCTTGATCCATCTGTAAATTGTGAGCAATCTGTTTCTAGTTCTTCATCAGTTTCAGAAACTCATAAACTAAAATTCTCTTTCATCATTAAGTTAGCTTGTTTTCTATTTATTTCATCTTCATGTGTTTGCATTTTCTCCAATGTTTGAGTTCTCTTTAAAGATCCTCTAGATCTTGCTTAAAGCTAATGGACCTTGATTGCCAAGTATACCCTGGATGGAACATGTGTTCAAGTACTTCAAAACTTCTGTTTATAGCCTTGAAACTCACAAATCATTAGAAAACACCTTCAGCAAAGGAAGCCGGGGTTCCACACCTCTGAAACTTAGCCGTCTTATCTGTAAGGGTCTGTGTAGCAGTGGAGAAAACCATCCTCTGTGGTGAAAACAAGCCATAAATTAAGAGACCTGACAATTACACTATCTCATAAGTATTGTAAAATCCACAGGATGTATACCAGGAAAAATGAAACATGCTTAATGCAGACAAGATAACTGCTATTGTTCTTTCTTTTTTTTTCAGTTTTAATGTAATATATTCTTATTGATATAAACCTGAGTTAATTACAAATCAGCTAGATTTATCTTCTAAGATTGTAGCACCGGATTTCTCTGAATTAACATACAAGCTGTGTTATTAAATGTAAATGAATTGTTTGTTCATCATATGAAATTATTACAGAGTATTTTTGTTTTGATGCATATCAACAGAGGTTTTTATAGAGTTGCTATGCACAGGTTGAACAATTACACAGATGTTCTGCAATCAGAGTGGCAAAGACTATACATTATGGAAATGTCTGTTTTCCTTTTCCTGTTTTTCCACCTCTTTCTCCTTTATTTATTTATACTCCTCATTATCCCTTTAGTCCTCCTTCTAAATTGGTAATACTGACCACCGGCAACAAACTAAATTATCTGATGGAAAAGACAATATAAAGGAGACACGCTAACAAACAATCCATCACTTCAGCAAAAATATGCAAGTGCAACTAAGTGCTAAGGTTAAAGTAACTATAGCATGCTGTGATAAATCCATTGCAGTATCAAATTCAAGCTATTCATTGTAAAAAAAAAAAAAGACACACAAGCACCACTTTAATTTTTATATTAAGGCAAATGTTTATATAATATCAGATTAATATAATTTAAAATACTAAGAGGAATGTAATGACAACTTCAGTCTTTCTGTTTGATCCCTCTACCCTGTCAGTGTACTTTGATGTTGAGAGAAATGTGTTAAGAAATACTTGAGACACATTGATGTAAGATTTTCTAAAAGATAAGATTAGAATTCTATGAATGGCATTCAATCTTATTAGGGACATGAAAAAGTACAGGATGATTGTGTAACAGGCATAAAGTCAAGAAGCATAGAGAAAATGGGCATAAAGAACTAAAAAACATGGTTTGATATAGATGTGCAAATACATCTGTGAGATTAAATACTGGTACATAAATGAAGGTAAGATAAATAAGAACCATGTCACCTGAGCAGTAAAGGCCAAAATTCAAGTTGACAATCTATCTGAAAGGAACCATCAAAAATAAGAAAAAATATATAAATTCTGCAATCTTACCACTGAAGAGATCCTGATCGTAACTCCCATTTCAATCACAGCAGTGAGAGCATTAGTGTAAGAATCAACTCCAACGGCATTTTGGGACCATGATACTAAAAAAAGTATTAATACCAGAGTAGGAAGAGGAATTAATTAGCTTTCAACATCCTGTTTGTTCTCTGAATTCTCTCATGATAGCTTCCTTCTGTGGGATATCATTCTCTATTTATTCAAAAAGTCAAAGTTGAGTGGATAAAACTAGATATATTATCAGCCTTATGAAGAAACCATTTTACCTTCCTTCATTTTTCTCTTAATATGCTTCCTTTAGTTTTAACTTTCTTTGCTGTTGTCCCTCCTCCCTGCCCAAAACAACAAACTTGAAGTATGGGTCATAAAGAAAAAGAATCAAGTGTACTTTGGGTAAATCTTCAGATAGGTTCACATAAGCTTTTGTGACGCATACTTTGCCTTATCTAGCTCATTGGGAGACAATATTGGGTTTATATCAAAGCCTCAGCTAGTGTTAGTCTGTTCTCACATTGCTGTAAAGGAATGCCTGAGACTGGGTAAATTATAAGAAAAGAGGTTTAATTGGCTCATGGTTCTGCAGGCTGTACAGGAAGCATAGTGGCTGCTGCTTCTGGGGAAGCCTTGGAAAACTTACAGTCATGGTAGAAGGTGAAGGAGAAGCAACCATGTCTTACATGGCTAGAGCAGGAGCAAGAGAGAGTGAGGGGAGAGGTGTTACACACTTTTAAACAACCAGATCTCAGAATAACTCACTCACTATCATGAGAACAAAACTGAGGACATGGTGCTAACTCATTCCTGAGAACTCCACCCCCATGATCCAATCACCTCCCACCAGACCCCACCCCCAACTTTGGGGATTACAATTAAACCTGAGATTTGGGTGGGGACAAATTTCCAAACCATATTATTCCACCCCTGGGACCTTCCAAATTTTATGTCCTCCTCACATTTCAAAACACAATTGTGCTTTCCCAATAGTCCTCCAAAGTCTTAACTCATTTCAATATTAACTCAAAAGTCCAAAGTCCAAAGTCTCATCTGATACAAGGCAAGTCCCTTCCACCTATCAGCCTGTAAAATCAAAAGCAAGCTAGTTATTCCCAAGATACACTGGGGGTACAGGCACTGGGTAAATACTCCCATTCTGAAAGGGATATATAGCCCAAAGGAAAGGGGCTGCAGCCCCGTGCAAGTCTAAAACCCAGCAGGGAAGTTATTCAATCTTAAAGCTCCAAAATAATCTCCTTTGACTCTTTGTCTCACATACAGGGCACACTAGTGCAAAGGGTGGGCTCCCAAAGCCAAGGGCAGCTCTGCCTCTGTGGCTCTCTAGGTTTCAGCCCCTACAATTGCTCCCAGTGGCTGGGGTTGAGTTCATGCAGCTTTTCCAGGTGCAAGGTGCAAGCTGCTGCTGTATCTATCATTCCAGGGTCTGGAATATGGTGGCCTTCTTCTTGTAGCTCCACTAGGAAGTGCCCCAGTGGGGACTCTGTGTGGGGGCTGTAACCTCACATTCTCCCTTTGCTCTGCCCTAGTATAGGTTCTCCATGAGGGCTCCCTCCTTCAGCAAGCTTCTTCCTGGACAGCCAGGCTTTTCCAAACATTCTCTGAAATCTAGGCAGAGGATCCCAAGCCTCAACTCTTGCACTCTGTGTACCTACAGGCCTTATACCACATGAAAGCTGCCAAGGCTTATGGCTTACACTCTCTGAAGCAGTAGCCTGAGCTATATCTGGTTCCCTTTGAGCCATAACTGGATCTGGAGAAGCTGGGATATGGGGAGCAGTGTCCTGAGGTGTGCAGAGCAGCAGACCCTAGGCCTGGCCCATGAAACTATACTTTCCTCCTAGGCCTTTAGGCCTGTGATGGGAGAGGGTGCAAGGAACTTCTCTAAAATGCCATCTTGGCCTTTTTTCCCATTGTCTTGGCTATCAGTGCTTACCTTCCTTTTAGCTATGCAAATTTCTGCAGCTTGCTTGAATTCCTTCCAAGAAAACAGGCTTTTCTTTACTATCACAGAGCCAGTCTGCAATTTTTTTAAATGTAAATTCCCGTTTAAGGTCATTTCTTTGTTCACACACATGAGCATTTGCTGTTAGAAGCAGCAGGGCCAAATCTTGAATGTTTTGCTGCTTAGATATTTTCTCTACCACGTACCCTAAATCATCATTCTCAAGTTCAATGTTCCACAGACCTGACGGGCAGGGGCACAGTCTAACCAAGCTCCATGCTAAAGCATAGCAAAAGTGAACAATCCAGCCATTTCTGTAACCACTTCCATTTTTTGCTCATCACTTTCGTTTTTCTGTCCATAAATAATCTTCTACTATGAAGCTTCAGGGTAACCTCTCTGAACCTCTTCTGGTTCAGGCTATCTGATTTACCAAATGTTCTTTGCTCAGCTAAACTCTGTTAAATTACATTTGTCTAAGGCTTTTCTTTTAACAAGAATTACAGCTAGTATAGTAATAAATCAGTATTGGTGTTTTGTGTTGTTTAAGAGAAAAAGAAGCATAAGCAGGTGTTTTAACCCCTAGTACAGAGAATTCAGGTCACCAGATTAAATGCCCCCTTGCAGGAAACTTTTTCTCATATTTCTAGAGGTTTCGGTCATTTATTTTATTTTGTTTATCCCCAGTGGCTTTTCCAGTTTTAAATGAAGAACCAAATACATTGTGAGGGCGGAGAAGATTTTGGAGGTTCTATGCTTTATATTTATAAGAAATGTATTGTAGAATGAACATCTCCCACTTTCAAATCAACTGTGTTAGAATTAAGGCTTTCAAGGCCCTATGACTTTATCTAGATGGCTTGAACAGTTTACTTTCAGTTCTTTAGTACTTACTGTAGCAAATTATTTAAAGTTCTACCAAATCAATTGCACTTTTATTCTAAATAGGGCTGCATATCAAACCTAAATAACTGATTTCTAATCTCTGACTTGTGTAGTCTCTCTCACTAATTATTTCTCTATAAATAGCCATCTGACTGGCTTTTTAACCCAAGCTATTTGAAAGTCTTTCCATATGTTCTGTGAAATATGACTATGTTCCTTAATCTTTTTAATGACTATTTATTTCCTGGGGTTGTCTATGCTTTCAATCTAGGAAGCTCATTCCTTAATCCTCTTGACCATTTGCTGTCCATATCTGATGGTATCCTATAGAACTTCGCTCTCTATCAAAATCACAATGACGTTTTTTTAAACACCATAATTATGCTTTCGGTACTCTAGTCTGTGTTCCTCCTCACCAGGTGTTTCAGTTCTTATGCACCTAACCCTATGCCAGCTATTTTTCTGTGTATTTCCCCTTCCTCCTCCTATATTACTATTAGAAATCTTGGTCTATTTCAGGGATTCCTAAACTGATGCACGTTAGAATCAGCTGGAATGAACTTGTGAAACAAACTTGCCTGGGACTCATCCAAGACATATTTAATCTGAGATGAGGCAAGATTAAGCAATGGTAAATTCAAAAGCTTTCCCATGTGGGAGGGGTGGAGGTGGGGGTGAGGAGGATCTGGAATGCACAGCTATGATGGAGAATCACCGCTTGATTACTGCTTCCATTCTCATCTGCTTACTCTTATATTTATCACCTGAGGTGCACAGGAAATCTTAGGAAAAAAATTAAAATGTCTGATCTTTGTAAAATCTATAACAGCATGAGACATTAAAAGTGTGACTCATGATAGAATTAAGGATTTCAGTGGTATTTAAATTGAAATATAATAATTGAGAAATACATGTCTAATATGTAGATTCAGTTTTGTTTTATGTTACATTAATAAGTTACAGAGCACAAAATGGATATTATACAAAAGTGTCTAATTAAAAAGGGCCACATGCAAATTTTAAAAATCCTTAAGGAAGTATAAAAATTATAATAAATTATTTTGTATATCTACAAACTAGAGCAAAGTCAGAGCTTTGGGATTAGATGCTACAAAGTGGTTGTGAACCAATTAAAGGCCAGGAACATTCTTCTGTCTTTATTCTCCTAGCCAAAAAGAAGTCTTGAATCTGCTTTGTCAAAGAAAGCATTTCCTGGATGATCGTTCTATTCAGTGTATTTCTGGGAAGGTCTTTGCCCGCATCGGCGTTTTATTAAAAGTGATTGATTGAGCCAAGATGGAAAAGAGGCATGTTTTAAGGATGTTTCATATTAGGCAGAGATAAAGTTCTATGTTTCCTTAAAATTGGGAAAGTAGGCTTGGAAATAGAAATCAGATTCAAATATCAAAAAACTAAGCCTTACTTTTTAAGAATAATCTTGTTCTCTAATAGGAGGCATAAAATAACAGAGAGTCACTAGGTACAAATTTTGGTATACAAATTATATAAAGCCTATTACTAATAAAAAGGAAACAGTATAGGCATACAGGCAACTTCATGAACTGCTTTTTGTTTGTGGGATCTGAAACTGGCTAATAACATGGGCTGTGCCACTGACAGCACCTTTCAATCACTCCCAGAAATTTTGGCTTAATAAACCTGGGATGGGGAGTGGATATGACTTACAAAAAAAATCTTTTCTGTGATTTTAATATAAAACAAGAGTTGAGAGCAATAGGGGTCAAATAATATAATGTAAGAAATAATATTGAATATTTGTGTTTTAAGGTTACACACAAAATACCTAGTTTTTTCTTACATGTGTCTTATAATTTCAGTACTGTTTTCTAGTACCTGTTTGGAGACTATTTTTACAATATATCTCTCATGATTTTTAAAATAATCACACATCGAAATAACAATTATCTAGGCCATCATCATGCTACCTTATTCTTAAAATAACGTAATTAGGATGCATTATAATGACTGTTATTCAATTAGCTAACTTTCCCAAGGTCACTCAATTACCATGAGAACAGAAAGTCTGGTGGTTCTTAAAGTCGGCATGTAAAAACCTTAAACCAATATTTATACTAAGAAACTATTTTTACATCAGAAGTCAACCACTAAAAGCAATATTGGGTATTTGCATTTCATTGTCCCTATAAGTACTTTAAATTCAATGTATTCATGTCTGAATTAATATAATATTTTCATAACCCTACTTTTCCTACTGAGTTTACTCTATTCCATAGAAATTGGTTAATGACATGTACACGCATTAACACATCTCAACTAAAAATCATAGAATCATCTTCAGCTTCATATTCTTCAACACCTCTTTCCCAATATCAAATAATATGCCAGAACCTTCCAAGTGTGGCTAATAAATGTGTTTTGATCATCGCTGACACTCAACCATCACTGCATTTGCCTTTGTTCCAGCCTTTAAACTCCAAGAACCATGTTTTTTTTTTTTCCTACTACATGACAATTTATTTTATTCCTTTGTTAAGCCTCTTAGGGTTGTAAGAACTAAATAATTAATGTACATAATGGGCTAAGAATGAGTCCATAGTGCTAAATAAATGTAAGCTATTTTTTCATTAAAGGGATTTCATATAAATGTAAGAAGTTGAAGGATATGTGAGGAAGTTAGAAAAGTTTTTCCTCATTACCTAGGAGAGTACACTCTACTAGGAAGCTAAATCTTTTGTGGTTTGTTTCCTCCACAAAAAACAAAAACTCCACAAAAAACAAAAAAACTGGCTACAGTTACTGAAGGACTGATTCTGTGAAGTGCTCTGTGAAGTGCTGGTGGAGATGTTCCCTGTCACGTCTGGCTTCTTATCAATATTTAAGTATTCAAGCCTCATCTCCCCCCCACCACACAATTCTTGGACCTGTTTCTGCCCCTTTTCATTTTTTTTTTCCCCTGTCTGTATAAATCAAGACGTAATTTCCCTCTTCCCTTACCTAGAAACTGCCTTTTATATCTGGGGCTAGGGTCTCATATTTGGGAATACAGAATCTATTTCAGTGAGACTTGCTACTCCGTCATGCTTCAATTCTTACCCCAGATTATTCCCACTCCACCCTACAATAGAAATGGCAAGGCATTTTCATGCTGATTGTTTTTTACAGGTGGCTATGAAAGATATAAAGATCATAATACCATCAGCAGCATGATCAAAGTAAGTTAATATGTATTAAGCATTTACTAAATGTCCGTCGATGTTCTCAGTATTTATTGAAAAACATCCCACTAAAGCTTCCTAAGAACATTAAAATACAGACAGGCTCATTGGCTCATTTTATAGTTCAAGAAACTGAAGCTCAACAATGTTAATTTACCTAAACCCACAGATACAAGATGATAGAATGTATGGCAAACCAGAGCACAGAATTAGCAAATATCAGGATCCATTTGAGGTTGAAGAGGATCTCCCGAAGAGCAGTGGTTAGAAATTCAAATGAATGGACCAGACGTTTTATTTTAGCTTCAACTAGATGATAATGCACTTAAGAGCATGGATGTGACTTTTGGCCGTAATGATCAGAGATGAAGTGAGTGGTGGATAGTAGTGAGCAGTAGTGCTGAGTACAGTGAGTTGTACAGTGCATGTACCACGTAGATAGGGCAGAAGCAATTCAATTTTATTTCAAAAAGCGACGTCTTCTAATTTTCCAAAAGAAAGCCAGAGGTTCAGATGTACTTCAAAATCTGAAAATGTTAAAAATAGGAAACTGATTTAAACATTTAAGATCAGTTAGATTAAAACTGCAGAGATTCATAGATAGACCTGACGCAGTCACTTGTCAGCACATAACTTCTGGTGTAGACAGAAATAGAAAACATAGAATGGGCCCATTTTTGTTGATGTGAATTCTTGAAAAATAAATTTTTGAGTTAATTTTGTTTATTGGTAGGATCCACTTGACTTGTTCGTTGATGTATTTTTGCCTTTGTTTTACTTTGTGTGAGCCTATCACTAACAGAAAAAATGAAAAATGAACACATTCAAGAGAGATTGAGAAGACACCGTCATCAGGATTGGTGTACTAAAGGAATGGTTGCAGTGAGGATTTAACAGTAGCTGTCATTCATTCATACGTTCTTTCAACAGAGCTTTATAGAGCACTTGCTATATTCCATGTGATCAAAAAGGATGTTTTGATCTTAATCCCTGTCCTCAAGGAGCTTAAAGTTTAATAACTGAGCTCTCTTAATATGAATGATAGTTTCATAGTATGTTGCTTATAGGATGTTTTCATTAGTTCCCCGAACAAAATATTCTGCATTTAACTCCCAAAAATATGGCTATAACTAACATTTCATCAATACTCTTCTTCATGCTTAATACAGTATTAGTCACAAATGAGCACTTGATAAATTTTTGTTCAACATTTTGAATATAGATTGTTTTCATGAGCCTTGGCTTTGCAATGTGAGACTTCCCAAAGATATAAAAGGAATTGAGATGGTATAAAAAACCTGGATCTCGAATTTTGTTAGCCTGGAACTTTGAGTTAGTCTAACTCTAAATAAGGTCACTCCTCTGTAAAGTGGGTAAATTAGTGTCTACCTTGAGGCATAGTTTGCATAAATGTATGTAATTAACTGATTGATAAGTTAATATTATAAAGAAAAGGTAATATTGTCATCATCATTATCATTATCATCATTATAATCTACATCTTTGTGTGCTCATCATCTACCATTAACAGGACACAGAGAAAACAAACTCAAAATAGGATCAGAAACACATAAAACTTATCTAAATTTAAAAATATGCATTACTCCTAGTGTATAGTGCCAACATTCAGAAGAGAATTCTGAATTATGCAAAGCTCTTTGAAGGAGGATCTGCAAATCTATTACTCACACTACTTGATATTCTAAAAGTAAATGACCCTTACGGTTGGTCTCAGCTAATTTTAAATCTATGTGTATTTAATAGCTCTCATTGTTCCCCAAGGTTTCTGATGGAAGGTACCAATCACAGACCAGACTTTGGCTAAAATCGAGCTAGTTTTGTGCATCAAGGGTGGGTAGCGTTTGACCTTGAGCATATTTATTGGGGTAATCTCGGTATTAACTTGAATCTATGGTTATGTATTAGGTACTCTATGGCTGCAGTGTGGAAAGTGACACTTCAGATACCATTTCTGACCTTTGGTGAAGAAAATTAATCAAAAACACATGATTTTTTTTTTAAAAAAAACTTTTTAATAAGGCCTACTACTAATAGAGAGGGGGAATCATTGTGTGCAATTGTGCAAATCAAAATGAATGAAAATGTTGTACGATTTTGAAAGGCATTTGTCAGGCATTTGGCTTTGGAAATAAAATTGATAGGAGAAAGGATGGAGAAATACAGCAGAACAGCTTTACAAATAGCTGGCTGCAGTTCCTTATTGCTGTTACCCAAAGTCAGAGGTACCAGGCCAAGTTTTAAAATGACCCTACATTTTTTTTTTCATTTGAGGTGGGCAATTTGTCAAAATTGAATGTATAAATGAACCAGGCTCAGCACATGATTTATATGAAAGTATGTGTGCATACATTGTATGTTTTTAAACTTTCAAGTTTATGCTTTTAAGAAGTTAGGTTGGTAGTCAGCATGCTCTAATATAGCAGTCACCAACCTTTTTCGCACTGGGGACTGACCAGTTTTGTGGAAGACAATTTTTTCCACAGACTGGGGGAGGGTGGGAAGGTTTTGAAATGATTCAAGTGCATTACATTTATTGCACACTTTATTTCCATTATTCTTATATTACAATATATAATGAAATGATTATACAACTCACCATGATGTAGAATCAGTGGGAACCCTGAGTTTGTTTTCTGAACTAGATGGTCCTATCTGGAGTGATGGGAGGCAGTGACGGCTGAAGCATGTGCTTATGACTAGTCTACTCCATAATGTCTTTTTGGTTGCTGCCACTGCAGAGAACCTTAATTTACAAAGATAGAGGTTGTTGGAAATGGAAGCAGGCTTTTCACTGCTTTTGTGGCAGTCTCAGGATATTGCACCTTTTCTTTAGCCTAGAATGCATGGATATTTGAAGTTGTCTCAAACATACTTTTAAAGCTACCAGCATTTGTGATCTCGTGCAGGTGATCTTCTTCTAGCATAGACAAAGTTGATTAACCTGGCTTATTCACAAATGGGTCCTGGATCCATTCCTTCCCAGTTTGGGTGTCTTTTGTGGTTGCGAAGTAATTTGAAAGCTGAGATGGCTGATCATGCACCAGCTGGAAGAAAGAAGGCCCTGGCTCAGTCTCTTTCAAAATCTCTGCTAATGTTTGAAACGTCAGAAATCCCAGTATTCACTCGTCACCCCCCATAATTCCAGTTTGGCTTTGAATGCAGCCACTTCATCTGCCAATTTGAACACAGCTGTCATTCTTCCCTGAAGTGATAGATTGAGTTTGCTGAGCAGGTTGAATATGTCATACAGGTAAGCAAGTTTTGTGATCCATTTTGTGTCACTGAAATGTGAGGCCAGTGGTGACTGTTTTTCTAAAAGAAATCATTGAGGTGGTTCCTGTAACTCAAAAACTCCGGCCAGTGATCCACCTTCAGAAAGCCATCTTACTTCTGTGTATAAGAGAAGATGTGTATGTTCTGTGTCCATCTCCTCACAGAGCTGCATGAATGGACATGTTAAGGGCATGCACTTTAATGTATTTGATAATTTTAATCACATCCTGAAAAATGTTATTAAGCTCAGATGACATTTTTCGGCTAGCCAGCATTTCTCTGTGGATGACACAGTGGGTAGACTCACATTCAGAAGTGACCTTTTGACCTGTGTAGTGAAACCAAAAAGCCATCCAGTCATGGCAGCTGCTCCATCATGAATACGCCAACAAAAAGTGACCAGTTCAGTTTTCCTTACATGTAATAATTCAAAGACTTGAACAGTTCTGCAGCTGTGGTGTTGGCTGGCAACAAAAGTGGACTTAACATATACTCATGGACATTCTCTTGAAAAACATATTGCACAACAACAAACATTGTTGCCTTGTTGTAAAGATTGGTAGACTCATTGACCTGGATTGCGTACCACAGTGACTCATTAATCCTCTCTAACAATCGTGGCTCAATATCCTCTGCTATTTCACCAATTAGTTTAGTTATGGTGCTAGCCAAAAGATGTACCATCTTTTGAACTGCAGCCTCTCCTAAAAGTTCATGACAAATATCCTTAGCAGCAGGCAGGATTAACTCTTCACCAGTAGTAATGGTCGACTTAACTTTAGCAATACAGTTAGCCACTAAGAATGATGCTCTCAGTGCAGACGTATTTGATGCAGCGGTGACCTTCAATAATTGCTTTTGTTGTTCGTGGTCACATTCATTTTCTTTTGAAAAACTCCAAAGGTTTGTTTTTTAATGCAGGATACTTGGTCCCCATATGGCCAAGCTGTTTTGAAGATTTCATGGCTTTGTTGAACTGCCACGTATTATACAAGGCAGACCTGGAGAATGTGAATCCCTTGCTGCAATGAACCCATAATTTTAACAGAACTTTTGATATTTTCTTTTAAATGCAACTTTAATTTTGTTGGCCGTCTCAGAGTTTTCTGCTGTCTCATCATTGCGTCTTTCCCCCTTTTCAAAGAAGCTATCCAAGGATGTTTGTTTTTTTCTCATTTTGGCTAGGGTTAGCTTGTGAGCTAAACCAAAACTGTGACTGAGACAAACGCACAGCATGGGAAAGAGGC
Organism: Homo sapiens; assembly: GCF_000001405.40. Taxonomy (NCBI): domain Eukaryota; kingdom Metazoa; phylum Chordata; class Mammalia; order Primates; family Hominidae; genus Homo; species Homo sapiens. The sequence continues at coordinate 53,419,553 of NC_000017.11, read as the reverse complement.
ACAAGTGGCAGTGGTAAATAAAATAATGGGCTGGCCATGCATGGACTAAAATATGTGTCAGATTCTGACTTAAACCCTGCTACCAGATGCAGCTGCACAGTTGAAGTACATCAACTCACTTGCCACCATAAAGCCTATGACCAGATGCAGCTTGTCACTTGCCACTCATTGTAGGGTTTTGATATGAGTCTGCAAGCAATTGATTGATTATGGTCTGTGTGCAGTCAAAGCTCTCTGCTAATGTTAATCTGTATTTACAGCTGCTCCCCAGCTCACTGCCTCAGCTCCACCTCAGATCGTCAGGCATTAGATTCTCATAAGGAGTGCATAACTTAGATTCTTCACATGTGCAGTTCATGGTAGGATTCACACTCCTGTGAAAATCTAATGGCACCACTGATTTGCTAGAAGGGAGACCTCAGGCGGTAATGCACACAAAGGACAGCAGCTGTAAATATGGATGAAGCTTTGCTCACTTTCCCTGTGCTCACCTCCTGCTGTGCAGCCTGGTTTCTAACAGGCCACAGGCCTCTATTAGATTGGGGACCCCTCTTCTGATAAATTTTAAAAAAGTATTTTTTGCTGGGCGCAGTAGCTCATGCCTGTAATCCCAGCACTTTGGGAGGCTGAGGCAGGCGGATCACGAGGTCAGGAGTTCAAGACCAGCCTGGCCAACATGGTGAAACCCCATCTCTACTCAAAATACAAAAATTAGCCAGCTGTGGTGGCATACGCCTGTAGTCCCAGCTACTCGGGAGGCTAAGACAGGAGAATCACTTGAAGTCAGGAGGTGGAGTTTGCAGTGAGCCAAGACTGTGCCACCGCACTCCAGCCTGGGCAACAGAGAGAGACTCCATCTCCAAAAAAAGAAAAAAAGTATTTTTATTGTTAAAGAGTGTCAAATGTGTCAAATATATAGTGGCTTATAAGAAGAAAAAGTAAAGGAAGATATGCTTAATGTTGGCTGATCATTTTTTAAATCCATTGATATACAGAAAATTTGAAAATTAGTAATAGAGATGTGTATTAGGAGAATTGTCTGTTTATACCTACACTAGTGGGACAGTTTTACACACTTAGGTAGACCCTACCTGTTTTTATTTTAAATACTTAATATTATCATTTAAGAATTTTATCAAATAGTTGCATGCAAGTTCATGTTGAATTCAGTAATCGTGCATGTACTAAGTAAAATGTATAAGAAAGAAAACAGCTCTCATAATTTGTAAGCCTTTTTTTTTATTAGAGAGGTGTCTCAGTAGTTATTTACTTTTCAAGATGTACTACTGTAAGTCACACTGACGAAAAGAAACAAGGCTCTATAAAAAGCATTAAGGGGGAATCAATTCTCTGCCAGAACATCTTGGATGCTGGATAGTTCACTATGTCAATAAAAATATAACTACATTTCAAAGGATTTTCTTTTGTTATCATGGTCCACAAATCTATGTGAAAGGCTTACATAGAGAACAGAAAACATGCCTGCTGTGTTTCTGTATTACCAAACTGTGAGCTCTAAAAATGTTTTTTACTCTAATTACTATAGAACAATAGGCAGTGTTAGGCTTAAGTTTAACTTCTACGAGTGTGATTTTCATTGTTATTTTGACCCTGAAATGTCCATTATGCCATGTGGAAACAGATTTGAGAGAATAAGGACTTTACAGCTGTAGGGTGCCTAATCTTTAAATCTTCTCTCTTCACCCTGTTTATTGCTGTTGTAAATTCACATTCTATGGCTATAACTGATTTCACAGCATTTGAAAAGAGGAAAATGCTCATATGAGATGTCAGTTTGATTCTCCCCCAATCTGGGCTGGGGATAATAAGACTTGTTTAAATACACTTTGAGAGAACCTAAGAGTTATGTATAAGCAATAGTAATGGAAAAAGCTGTTTTGAGTTTATACCAATAGCTAAATTTTGTGCTGTCAGACTCTTAAGAGAAACACTCTCATTGAATACACTGGCACAGACTAATAGAAAAAGGAAGGGAGCACCATGAGGGGATTAGATATGTAGTCAAGAGACTACATGAGAAACTTTATGTGTACAGCATATCTTGAATAAATTATCATATCCCAGAATATCATTTTATTTCCCAAATGTAAAATGAGGAATGACTATTTTGACTACCAAGTTCATCTCAGGTTTGTGTTGGGAACAGACCCCCAAATCTGGCCATAAACTGGCCCCAAAACTAGCCATAAACAAAAATCTCTGCAGCACTGTGACATGCTCGTGATGACCATGATGCCCACGCTGAAGGTTGTTGGTTTATTGGAAGGAGGGCAAGGAACACCTGGCCCACCCAGGGTGGAAAACCGCTTAAAGGTGTTTCTGAACCACAAACAATAGCATGAGCGATCTGCACCTTAAGGACATGCTCCTGCTGCAGATAACTAGCTGACTCCATCCCTTTATTTTGGCCCATCCCTTTGTTTCCTGTAAGGAATACTTTTAGTTAATCTATAATCTATAAAAATAATGCTTATCACTGGCTTGCTGTCAATAAATATGTGCGTCAAACTCTGTTGGGGGCTCTCAGCTCTGAAGGCTGTCAGCCCCCTGATTTCCCACTCCACACTCTGTATTTCTGTGTGTGTGTGTCTTTAATTCCTCTAGCGCCACTGGGTTAGGGTCTCCATGACCGAGCTGGTCTCGGCAGGTTTGTAGCGAACATTAACTTTTTTAAAAAATTCAAAATGGATTTATTATTGCTAGCCTTCAAATACTACCTGTGTTTCTGTTGTTACAATTATACCTCAGGGAAAATATCTTCACAAATTTTGTGGGATGATAAAAATTACCACTTATTGATTAAAATATAATTATGATAGTTCTAGTATATATTAATCCCAGAAAAAATTGACCATTGCACTCAGTGTTCTCTATTTGCCTCTCTCTTTCATTCTCTTTTGCTCTCTTCTTACCTCTCTCTCCTTCTTTGTTAATAAAACTTTGCTAAGCTCTTGACTCATCAGATTTTTAACAGGATGTTAGAAGAACATGAAATTAGAAAATTTGTGTATTGACCATTTATGACACACCAGGATAACATCTAAACATTTGCAAGAATAATCTCATTTAATTTTGAATGGAACCTATATGCAAGGGACCTATATGGAACCTATATGCAAGGGAAAATTAGTTCAATTTTCCAGGTGAGAAAGCTGAGGTTTAAAGAGGTCACATAATTCACTCAAAGTTGTACAGCTAATGTATACAGCAGATTTTTTTAATATATAATTGGGCTAAGAGATGCATAGTATGAGAAAAACCCTAAATTGTACTTTAGTCTATAGTGTTTTTAAGTTTATATTCGTTTGAGGTGAGGTACTTGAGTAAGAGGGCAAAATAGAATAAGTCAACATATAATGCATCATTACTTAAAAAATTAAGTGATATAATTCATATTAGATTGAAATTTCAGTTGTTGAAGACTGCAATAAACAAGTGAACTAGTTAAACAGTACAGAAATTGATAGGCAACATTTCTCAAATGCAAAGATTTGAAACTTGATTTACTACTACAAACATAAACATATTGTACAAATAATATTATTGAAGTAAAATTTATTTAGTTTCCTTAATTATTTATATTATTATATATATAATATAATATATATTATATATATATATTAATTATATATATACTTCTATATAATATAGTAATTACACAATCTGAAAAAATTAAAAATTAGAATATCAAAAACATGATTTGAAAAGTAAACGTTAAAAATACAAAAATAGTATGAGTGCTTAAAGTGTTAAAATACAAAAATGAATAGGTGAAAAGTTATGTTCCTTTTTCTTCTCACCACATAACTAAAACAAAATGTTAACAATTTAATATTTGTTATGCCAAAGCATCAAATATGCACATTGAAATATTTTATATACATAATTATTTTTACAAACAGTGAAGTATAGTATACCATATCTCTAATTTTAAATGAAAACAATCATAGATATTTTTCCTTTTCAGTGCATATGAACACAGATTATTCTTTTTCATAGTTCATAGTGTTTCAGGAAATGGTTGTGTTAAAATCAATTTAGCTATTCTTGCATTGATAGCTGTTTAGGTAGTTTGTAATGCTATAATGGACATCCTTGAACATGTTTTACTTTGTAATCTTTGCCAAAGAAATGGATTTGCTCAATCAAAAATAAATAAATAATTAATTAACAGGTACATGACACAGACCTTGAAAATCTTTGGCTGATTTATATCTATTAGTATTGTTGGAGAATATCATGTTCCCCACATATTTATTAATGCTAAATGTAAATCATTTTGTATTTTACAGTCTTATAAGCTACAAATGCTATCCCATTGTTTTAGTTTGAACTTTTCTATTCACTATGGACTTTATGAACTTATATCCATTCTTCAGAGTCATTTGTATCCTTTTCTCAAGAACTTCCTTTCGATAACTTTAATCTACTTTTCTCTTTGTTTATTTGCATTTTTCTTATTTATATGGGATATTTTAATATGGGAAATATTGACCTTTGTTTGTTTTTATAATTTTACCCTATTGGACCTTTAGTCTTTTGTTACTTACTTTAATTTTTGTGTACAAATTATATTGAATTTATATATATATATTTTTTTCTGTTCACACTTGGTAATTTTTAAATGATTTTTATTCTTGTCATAATAAACAAAACCTTCCACAGTTCTAGATAATAAAGACCAACTTTTCTATTTATCTTCACATACATTAATAATTTTATATATTTATATTTTGATGTTGAATACATTTGTATTTTTGTACATCAAACCTCTCTAAATACCCAACTGACCCTGTTCCATTTATTGAAGGCTCTATTTATTAAAATATTGAAATTATTATTTTACAATATACTTTTTATATATGTGTGTATATACATACATACACACATATGTATAGTAAGTTTATTTGACTGATATAGGTATATATGTACCTTTATCTGTATTTATTTATTTTTATTTATTTTTGAGACAGAGCCTCTCTCTGTCACCCAGGTTGGAATGCAGTGGCACAATCTCGGCTCACTACAACATTTGCCTTTGGGGTTAAAGCAATTCTCCTGCCTCAGCCTACCCAGTAGCTGGGATTACAGGCACCCACCACCAAGACAGGCTAATTTTTGTATTTTTAGTAGAGATGAGTTTCCCCCATGTTGGCCAGGCTGGTCTCGAACTCCTGACCTCAAGTGCTCTGCCTGCCTCCGCATTCCAAAGTGCTGCAATTACAAGCATGAGCCACCATGCCCAGCCTTTTCCTGTATTAAAAAAATATATATATTTTTATACCATTGTATCTGCTAAAAATCTCACTACAAAATTTTCCTTTTCTTCTCCCAACATAGTTCAGTAAACTTACACCATTACTATTCTAAATGACATCAGCTTAACAAATATAAATTCTTTTTAAAAATGCTGCTTTTTTTACTACAAGAGAATTTAATTCATAAATAAATTTGGGAGAATACTGACTCTTTCCATTCAATAATATGAAAGAGAGTTCCCCTATTTCTGTTCATGTTTAGCCAAAATTATTTTTCTTCATTTTTATACTGCTATACAATATAGGAATATTTTGTTTAGTTTAGCATTTGCACATGAAAAAGAATTACTTTGAAATACTTATCTTGTAACTGGATATTTTTCAAGTTGTTTTACTAGTTGTAAAAATATTTGTTCTCCTGGGATATCATTATATGCTTTTATGCTATTTTAATAATAAATAATATTTCCCTTTTCAATATTTATAATTTTTATTTCTTAATTCTTATTATATTGAATAGATTCTTCAAACATTGGTGAATATTGCTAAACACTATTATGTTTCTTGGTTAAATAAAATTTTCTTTTATTTTTGTTTTATATTTCTTTAATTTCTAGCAAATTCATTCAGTAGTAATTTCTGAATTATGATCTTATATTTTTCTTCTAAATGTACTAACACAGTAAATCAAAGTAATAGATTGTCAAATTTCAAACTATCCTCCATTTTCTAAAATAAATTCTAGCTTAATAATGGCATATTTTTATATATGTGTGTGTATATATATATATATATATACATATATATCTGCATTTTTTGCATATGTTATTCTTCAAATTTGCAATGTATAATTAAACTGCATTACCTTCATAAATTTTCCAGGTCATAATTTTCTTATTTTGAAATTAGCATTATACTACCATTGCAGAATATATTTTAAATGTTCTACCTTTATTGATGCTATGAAATATTTTATACAATAGAAAATATTAGCCCTTGAATATTTTATATCCCATTCTTCTTAAGTGAATTTCTATTCACTTTTGTCTCTATGTTATTTATTTATTTATTTATTTATTTATTTATTTTTATTATCCTTTAAGTTCTAGGGTACATGTGCACAACGTGCAGGTTTGTTACCTAGGTATACATGTGCCATGTTGGTTTGCTGCACCAATTAGCTCGTCATTTACATTAGGCATTTCTCCTAATGCTATTCCTCCTGTCCCCCAGCCCATGACAGGCCCCAGTGTGTGATGTTCCCCGCCCTGTTACCAAGTGTTCTCATTGTTCAATTCCCACCTATGAGTGAGAACATGTGGTGTTTGCTTTTCTGTCCTTGCAATAGTTTGGTCGGAATGATGGTTTCCAGCTTCATCCATGTCCCTGCAAAGGACATGAACTCATCCTTTTTTATGGCTGCATAATATTCCATAGTGTATATGTGCCACATTTTCTTAATCCAGTCTATCATTGATGGACATTTGGGTTGATTCCAAGTCTTTGCTATTGTGAATAGTGCCGCAATAAACATATGTGTGCATGCGTCTTTATAGTAGCATGATTTATAATCCTTTGGGTACATACCCAGTAATGGGATCTCTGGGTCAAATGGTATTTCTAGTTCTAGATCCTTGAGGAATTGCCACACTGTCTTCCGCAATGGTTGAACTAGTTTACACTCCCACCAACAGTGTAAAAGCCTTCCTATTTCTCCACATCCTCTCCAGCATCTGTTGTTTCCTGACTTTTTAATGATCGCCATTCTAACTGATGTGAGATGGTATCTCATTGTGGTTTTGATTTGCATTTCTCTGATGGCCAGTGATGATGAGCATTTTTTCATGTGTCTTTTGGCTGCATAAATGTCTTCTTTTGAGAAGTGTCTGTTCATATCCTGTGCCCACTTGTTGATGGGATTGTTTGCTTTTTTCTTGTAAATATGTTTGAGTTCTTTGTAGATTCTGGATATTAGCCCTTTGTCAGATGGGTAGATTGCAATAATTTTCTCCCATTCTGTAGGTTGTCTGTTCACTCTGATGGTAGTTTCCTTTGCTGTGCAGAAGCTCTTTAGTTTAACTAGATCCCATTTGTCTATTTTGGCTTTTGTTGCCATTGAATCCTCCCTAACTTATTTTATGAGGCCAGCATCATCCTAATATCAAAGCCTGACAGAGACACAGCAAAAAACGAGAATTTTACACTAATATCCCTGATGAACATCGATGCGAAAATCCTCAATAAAATACTGGCAAACCGAATCCAGCAGCACATCAAAAAGCTTACCCACCACAATCAAGTCAGCTTCATCCCTGGGATGCAAGGCTGGTTCAACACATGCAAATCAATAAACATAATCCATCACATAAACAGAACCAATGACAAAAACCACATGATTATCTCAATAGATGCAGAAAAGGCCTTTGACAAAATTCAACAGCCCTTCATGCTAAAAACTCTCAATAAACTAGGTATTGATGGAACGTATCTCAAAATAGTAAGAGCTATTTATGACAAACCCACAGCCAATATCATACTGAATGGGCAAAAACTGGGAGCATTCCCTTTGAAAACTGGCACAAGACAGGGATGCCCTATCTCACCACACCTATACAATATAATGTTGGAAGTTCTGGCCAGGGCAATCAGGGAAGAGAAAGAAATAAAGGGTATTCAATTAGGAAAAGAGGAAGTCAAATTGTCCCTGTTTGCAGATGACATGATTGTATTATTTAGAAAACTCCATCGTCTCAGACCAAAATCTCCTTAAGCTGATAAGCAACTTCAGCAAAGTCTCAGGATACAAAATCAATATGCAAAAATCACAAGCATTCCTATACACCAATAACAGACAAACAGTGAGCCAAATTGTGAGTGAACTCCCATTCACAATTGCTACACAGAGAATAAAATACCTAGGAATCCAACTTACAAGGGATATGAAGGACCTCTTCAAGGAGAACTACAAACCACTGCTCAATGAAATAAAAGAGGACACAAACAAATGGAAGAACATTCCATGCTCATGGATAGGAAGCATCCTTATTGTCAAAATGGCCTTAGTGCCCAAGATAATTTATATATTCAATGTCATCCCCATCAATCTACCAATGACTTTCTTCACAGAATTGGAAAAAAACTACTTTAAAGTTCATATGGAACCAAAAAAGAGCCCACATTGCCAAGACAACCCTAAGCAAAAAGAAAAAAGCTGGAGACATCATGCTACCTGACTTCAAACTATACTACAAGGCTACAGTAATCAAAACAGCATGGTTCTGGTACCAAAACAGAGATATAGACCAATGGAACAGAACAGAGGCCTCAGGAATAACACCACACATCTGCCACCATCTGATCTTTGACAAACCTGACAAAAACAAGAACTGGGGAAAAGATTCCCTATTTAATAAATGGTGCTGGGAAAACTGGCTAGCCATATGTAGAAAGCTAAAACTGGATCCCTTCCTTACACCTTATACAAAAATTAATTCAAGATGGATTAAAGACTTAAATGTTAGACCTAAAACCATAAAAACCCTAGAAGAAAACCTAAGAAATGCCATTCAGGACATAGGCATAGGCAAGGACTTCTCTTTCCTTTTTAAAGTTCCTTTATGGTTTCTTGGGCTGATTTCTGGGGTCTGTTCTACTCTTCTCAACTATTTTTTAAAAGATGATTTTACCTAGACCACATTGCTTAAATTTTTATAAGCCCTATTCATCAGATATATCTATGTGCTTTGTTTTAAATTATAGAAAATCCAATTCAAAATGGCTTAAAGAATAAGAGATTTATTGTTTTGATGGAATGATTAGGGACTGGCCCAATTTCTCACCTTAATGCTACCCTGTTCTTTGTGTTAACTTCATTATAGACTCACTTCCCTTTCAGCTGCCTGAGAGCTCTACACCCCCAGGCTTTCTGTCACAAAACTAAATACCAGAATATACTAATACCAATAACACAACAGATTACTGGTTGACTTGGGGCCATTTTAATCAGTCCAACAATATGGATGCCTCACTTTGGGATAGAGAAAGTGATAAAATGGCAAAAGAATAGAAAAATTAAATGATTGAAAGAAGTGACCAAAATATAACATTTATGTTTGAAGTATATTTTGATAGCTGGTAGAGCATGAGGGCTCCCTTTGCTGTTGTATAACATTTTAATTTAAAAAGTCTTTATACATTCTTGTGAATTTTGTTTCAACTTGTTATAAAAAATTATTTTAAAATGGTTGGAAAATTGACTTAGTAATTATAGTAATTAAGTGATAAGACCTGGACATCACAATCATAGCTTTGCTGAAATATCTCAGTTCTAGATTCCTGCACATAACTACATTAAGCATCTCTCACAAGAAACATTTGGGAAGTAAATAGGCATTTCTGAAGCATATAATTAACTAGTTTTGAATATTGTACCCTTTGTAGTATTTAATAAAGAAAGCAAAAATTATAAGTAATTGAGAATTGCTGATTTAGTAGTTTTTTTAATAACAAAGATCCTATGAGGGTTTTGATGCTTGTTTCATTCTGAAGGCTTAGAAAATTATAACTAGTAGTAAGAATGGTAACAGAATTTCGGACACACTCAAAATTGCATATGATTTGACTATTTATTGGCCTTCTGAATAATATGCGTGTGTGTGTTTTATACAAATTAATGATTTATTGCCTTAACAGGTACTGCAGATATAAAGAAATCTATAGATGATAGTAATGCCCTTAAATTTTGCCTCATAGATGAAAGCCTATCAGTATCTACTTAGAGCTCAGAGCATAATTGTTTTGCTTTGTTTTTCTTTTATTTAAAAATAGGAAGTATAGGGCCAAAAACTTGTAAATAATATTCCAGATGGTAGCAGCTTATTTTTATATTTTCAAAAGTATTTCACTGTGGTTTCCTTATACTGATCCTATTTTTAAGGACGTAATTATGTGATCAAATTCTGTTTGGGAATATCTTAGTCTGAAATTAAAGTCAATGACCATAAAAGTGTCTCTCTGTACCATCACTCAGCCCACCTTCCACCCAGCAAAAGAATGATTCTCATAAGACAACGTTAAACTCTAAATCTAATAAGAATATTCAGCCAATTTTTCTGCCAAATAAGTCAGAAAAAATACTGATTTATGAATTCATTCATAAGACATTTATTGTGAGAAGGTGGTAAACAAGGGACTCTTTAATGACAACAAAAAACCTTCAGGCATGCTAAGCAAAGAGCTAGCAGTCTGTGGTGATGGGCATGCATGTCTGACACTTTAATAAATGGTATGCAACAAGAAAAATGTGTGGTGGATCAGATTAGCTATACTTTTTCTCTTGCTAGTACTTTCAAGTGCTAAAAATTTATCCCAAGATGTTTTCAGGGAGTGGTGTTGGATGTTAGGATTAGACAATGAATCAGATTAGATCAATCAATGTCTTCATCCACTTAGACTCACAGACTAATTTAAGTCAGACTAATTAGAGCCCCTAGTGGGTCATTTACTCTGGTAGCAGGGAACATGGTTTCTTTCTATTGTTGCTAAGCTGATTGAATGTAAGTCTAGATCTGCTAGAAACCATATTTTCTACCTATAAAAAATTTTCCTGAAAATAAGATGACTCAATGGGAAGCAGAACTGAAAGTTGAAGAGAAAAGCAGTAATTCTGGTATCCTGATGCTATTTTAAATACTTGTTTCTGCCATTTCTGAAGGTTAGTCCGTGGGTGTTTATTGCATGTGTTAATATCTCTTCTAGTTTTAATTTGTGTTGGGTTTCTTTTCCTTGCAATCAGGGCCCAGCAATTTTATTATTACTTAGAGAAGAGACTTAATTGGCTCACGCCTGTAATCCCTGCACTTTGGGAGGCCGAGGTGGCAGATCACGAGGTCAGGAGATCGAGACCATCCTGGCTAACATGGTGAAGCCCCGTCTCTACTAAAAAGTACAAAAAATTAGCCGGGTGTGGTGGCGGGTGCCTGTAGTCCCAGCTACTTGGGAGGCTGAGGCAGGAGAATGGCGTGAACCCAGGAGGCGAAGCTTGCAGTGAGCCGAGATCGTGCCACTGCACTCCAGCCTGGGCAACAGAGCAAGACTCCGTCTCAAAAAAGGAAAAAAAAAATAAGAAAGAAAGGGTAATTCTACAATAAAGGATCAAAGGATACTCCATGAAATATATATATTTTAATGTACTTATGTATGTGAGAAATATTAATTGAGCATCTCCTCTGTGCCTGGCAATGTCTTACTTGCTAAATATGGAACATGCAAGAGGTAGGATTTGCCTACATCTACTTATAGTTGTGGCAGGAAAAAGTCATAAAGACACATTTTTTTAAGTAACATATTCAGACATGAGCCTTGAAGGAAACAAACAAGAAGCTGAGATGGAGAATAAGCAGGGCAAAACTTTCTCGATAAGGTAATGGAGAAAGGCTTCTCAGAAAAGGTGGCATTTATACTCAACCTGAAGGATGAAAAGGGACTGTCCATGTGGAGATTATGGTGAAAAGAGAGAGCGCGTATGTGAATTCATATGGGGAAGATTTGCAGATAATTATGTCAAACAAGATGCAAGAGATGTTTATTGCAACAGGGTCAAATTTTATGGGATCGTGTTTCTGAAAAAAAAAATGTTTACTGGAGGCCATAGTTAGTTTTCCAGAACGCTGGGCAATTTGCCTCTGCTTGGAGATTTTAGGTTAGTTACATTAGAATGTTCTCAGCTGTATCTGAACTAATCTGTTGACACACTTCAGTAAGTTCTCATTGTTTATGGGATTAAGATTTTTGTGGTGGATAAAGGCTATTTCTGGTGGGGGGTACTTTGATAGTCAAAGTCTTGAGGGATTCTCTTTAATATAGACAACTATGTAGTTTTAAATTTCAAGTAGCTGTAATACTCTCCTACCTAACTTGGCAGCTTAGAGCCATTCCAGGCAAATTTTGGTAAAATGATTTCACTTAGCCATTTCACACTTTACCTGATTTCTCTGGGTCACTATATTCTGTCAAATTTGTTGCTGACTGCATTGTTTGTGCTCTGCAACAATGGCTGAAGAAAATTATTGGGGAAAGAGAATGACAAAGCAAACCTGATACATTTGAAGCACATCCTTGGTCAAACGTCTACCAACGTTTTGTCTCTTACGTGTTTCTGCAGAGTAAGCAAGTTAACTCCTGCCTTGAAATAATTTTGTGAGAGGTTTACATCTTGACAGCTGCTGAGTCATAAAGTTAAAATGATCTTTCCATGTTGATTGTAAGATAAATCAGGTACACTCTTTGGTAGTGGTATTGATTCTGCATTAATCATTCAATTCCCTCGACATCATAGCAACTTTTCTAAGTTGTATGAGCCTATTATTTCTTCCAGAAATATGAAATAGAGATGTGTGCTTATGTAGATACAAATATAAATCTAAGTTATCTCTAAATTACAAATTTAATGCATAATATATTGTTATTTTTGTTGGTTGGTTTGCTTTTTTTTAATTTGCACTGATTGATCTAGTCTTTAAAATGCTAGAAAATTTATTTGTTGAAATACAACACATCACACATTACTAAATACCTGCAACTCTCAGTTGATTCTCCAAGTTAATTATGTATATGGAGGTGAAAATATCCTCTTTCGGCCGTTGTGTTTTTACACACTGTTGTTTCTTTAGAGTTTCAAACATCATCGAGGAGGATAAACCCAGAATTTTATTGTAAATTTGGCACTTATCAAAGTAAAAAGAGGCAAAATAATAGAATACATTTGTGTTCAACAAGTAAACTATCTCTTAATATAAAGAAAGTGCCATTTCTTTTAAGGCCTAACATTTAATGTTATATTCCTTTGAGGAAGGGGGAACACCTGATTATTTTTACCCTATTTACTTACTCTATTATTATAAATAAAGCAGTATATGCTAATTTGGAATAATATTTGAAAATAAAGTGCAAGACATAACTTCTTACTAGGATGTGCAACATCACAAGAGAATGTTTCTTTTTCCATAAAAACTAAAACAAGCAAAATATACTACAAAACCATTGTTTTTCTGAGACTCTCAGAAAGTGCTATATGCAAATAAACGATGATCTAAATTCTAGAAAGTTGAGTCTTTTTTCAAGCGAGAATTTGGATGTACCTTTGATAGAATGATCAGAGCATGAATAATTTGCTATTTGCTATTAATGGGAGTAGAAAGAAACAAGGGGAAATGATGAAATACTTTTAAGAACCTCATCATGGCTTATATGACAAATTAGAATTCCATGGAACTTCATACATAAAACAATTCTAGACTCATTCACTGATTATTCCATGAGTCTTCACCAATTGCATTGGGGTAATATTACACAGGCTGGGATGCAGAACAGGAAAGCTAAAAAAGATATCTCCAGGTTTTCATGGCCTCCCACAACTACAAAGAAACTGCCTTTCTGAAGATGTGGACAGAGCTGGATTCCTGAGATAATAAATCCAACCACACTGAAATAGGCACACTGAAATTAACCTGGCAAGGACTAGAGCTAAAACTACTTTTTCCTAGTTTGGAAAGTTTGAAGGAGGCTTTGAGACCAAATAAAATTTCCCAGAAACTGAAAAACCCATTTGTCTTGGTAGAAGGCAGAGAGAAGTATTCCACAAATTGGAAAGCTGATAGCTCAGCTATAAAGCACAAAGGTGTCTCTAGAACCTCACAAGTTCTCAGAGGTGAAGCTTCACAGAACAGAGATACCTGAGCTCAATCTCTAAATATATAAAACCAGTAATGAACTGAGAGAAATTAAAGCCACTCTAACAATGCATGCTACAAATCCCAGGCCTACATCAATACGGATCAGATTTAATGGGCTCCCAGTTATAGCAGCCTATTACAAAATGCCATATTCTTTATTCTAAGTGTAAATATAATTTATTTTTGCCTATACTATTACACAAATGATCAGCATATAATAAATTGATAAAACACATAAAAAGGAAAAAGAGAGAAAGTGTGTGTGAGAGAGAGAGAAAACAAGGTGAGCACTAAGTCAACAGAGAACACAGTTGATAGAAGTAGATACAGAGATGCCTCAAAGATTAGAATTATTATTATAATTATAAAACTATAATATTATTTAAAGTAACTGATAAAAATGCCAAAGTACCTAGTTCAAAATGTGTACAACATATATAAATATATGAAAAATTTTAGCAGAGACATGGAAACTTCAGTAATTTATAAAGAAAAGAAGTTTAATTTACTCACAGTTCAGCATTGCTCGGAGGACCTCAGGAAACTTACACATGGTGGAAGGCAAAGGGAAAGTAGGTGCCTTCTTCACAGGGCAGCAGGATGGAGTGAGTGCAAGCAGGAAAAATGCCAAACACTTATAAAACCATCAGATGTTATGAAAACTCAAACACTATCATGAGAATAGGATTGGGGAAACCACCCCCATGATTCAATTACCTCTCATGGGGTCCCTCCCATGACGATATGCGGGGATGATGAGGATTACAATTCAGGATGAGATTTGGGTGGGGACACAGCCAAACCATATCACTAAGCATATAAAATAATTACAGAATTTGAATACAGAGCAATACAAACTATCAAATAACAGCTAAAAGAAAAAATATGAAAAAATAGAACAGAAAGTCTAAGGTCTGTGGGAAATCAAATAGTCTCACATGTATGTAATTGAATCCTCAGAAGGAAAGTACAATGAAAATGGAGCACACACACATTCCAACAAATAATGTCCATAAACTTTCCAAGTTACTGTAATTGACACTAAGGATAAATTCCCAAGTCATTTTCTTCATATAAAAAGGATATTGATTATTGGTTCTGGAGAGAAGGCTGTAGTAACTTGCTGTTATGTTGTGAATTAATGGTTTCCCAATATCTACATGATTTGATGTGAAACTTTGTATTCTCCATCCATACCCTGACTCAGATGGTCTTTCAACCTGTTTTGGCTAATGGAACATAGCAGATATGACTGTGTATGAGTTCTGAGCCTAAGGGTCAAAAGCATTTGCCTGCTTAGCATGTCTTCTTATATCTTTAGACTGCCTTGCATTTACATTGAAGCCTGGCCATGAGAACATGCCAAGGTAGGCTCCTGGAAGGATCTAAGCGACACTCAGAAATAAGATGAAGGAATGAGAAGCAAGATGATCCAGTGGATAGCCAGCCATCCCAGAAAGCGAACTGCCTATCTGACTCACGACTCATTAAAGTTTTATGAGGGAGTCAAGCCAAACCAAGAAGCACCTAATCTGCTGACCCTAAAGAATCAAGCACTAAAACATGGATATTGTTTGAGGATATTAAATTCTTGTATGGTTGATTATTCACAATCCTCATAGAGATTGCCCCAAATTCTTCCTTATTATATTTTACCTTTCATTTACAGAAGCCATAGCTCACTGGCATAGTTACTTCATATCCCAATTTAAAATTACCAAAGATACAAATATTACTGATTTTCTTTTATCCATTAATTAGTTCACGTTGATTGAGATGTCCATCTATTGAAATGTAGGATATGCTGGGTGCGGCACATCAGGTAGTAAACACTACATGACTGCCTTTTAAACTGTAGGAAAATTGTGTTCCACAAAAGGGCAGATAATTGAGGGAAAAATGTATGCTCATTTTTTTCAACAATATTATATTAAAACTACCCTCTCACTGTTTTCCTACCAAAAAGTAAAGCTAACAATTTCAAAATTATTTAATAGCTCATATTCTTTGAGCACAATGCAAAAGCTAAATAAGCAAGCTATATTATAAGAATATTTCAGTTAAAAATATTTAGTTGCATAGACTATAATGTGGAAAATGCTACTATATCATTATTTTGTTAAACACAAATTCAAACTGTAATAAGATACTTTGAAAAGGGAATAATAATAAGACAGTACCTCCAAATGAATAGAATATAGATCATTTCTCATGGGCACTTGTTAGTGTTAAATATTTAGCTATTTAAGAAAATGAATTAAAAATAAAGTAAGCATTGAAATTTAAAAGATCAAAAAAAAAAAAAAACCTAACCTAACGGAACTGAATTTATGGAGAAAATAATGAAGATAAAATATCAGAAGTCATTAAATGTAAAGTGGTGAGGAGTCAGGGTTCAACAGTGTACAGGAAAACATACAAATATTTCTAAAACCTGGAACATTGCAAAACAACAGATATGTCTTTAACAACTATAATATAAAAAGGGGGAAATACAAAGATACTAAAATAGAAATAGGAAAGAAGCGTAAAATAAATAGATACTGATGAAGCTATTCAATGGATTATATAGACCTGCAGGTGTAAGTTCGCAGAGTGAACATTCCCCTTCTCAGTTCTGAAAGCAAAAAGAAAGAAAAAAGCAAAAATAGATTGAAATTTCATCTTCAATGGTAATAGAAAACACTCGAAAACAAAATCTACACGAAGCATAAAGTGTAGCAAACTGTAGTAAAAGACTGGGGAAAACAAAGAAAGCAGTACAATGAAACATTTAAAGTGATGAAGGGAGCCACAAAGATGGCACTTGTTCAAGGGAACAGAGATCTCCAAAGTGGGTAGTACATAAAGGCAGGGTCCCTCGGTGCTTATGCAGGCCCAGTGTGAGTTACCCAGGTGTGGAGGCTCCTGTTCCCTGTTTGACCCCACAGTCAGCCAAGGGAGGTCATGCTGAAGGATAAATGGCCTCGGAGGAAGACCTTTACACATGTTATCTGGGCAAATGTGTCACACACGTCACATAGAAACTTTGTGAGTGGAAAGTGGCACTGCAGATAGGGTTGTCAGAAAAAATACAGAATTTCCAGTTACATTTGAATTTCAAATTTAGATTTACACTTGTTTCAACGTAAGTACATTCAAAATATTGCATGAGACATATGCATACCAAAATGCTGTTTGTTGTTTATCTGAAATTCAAATATAACTGGGTTTTGTGTATTTTTATTTGATAAATCTGGCAACCCTACGTATAGCTACTCACCTTTGTCAAAGGAAACATTGAGTAACCTGTCTAATACTTATGCAGGAGCCCCTGAATCAAAAAAGAATTTGTTTGTGAGCCAGAAAGACTTTTCACTAGGGGGGGATATTGTCTTGGCTCTTCCTTAATACAATATATTCACAAATACCACTTATTTGGGAAAAAATCATCTTATTTAAAAATAGGCCAGGGGTAGTGGCTCATGCCTGTAATTCCTGAACTTTGGGAGGCCCAGGAGGGAGCATAGCTTGATCCTAGGAATTTGAGACCTGCCAGGGCAACATGATGAAACCCTTTTTCTATAAAAAATAAAAGAGAAATTAGCCAGGTGTGATGGCACCTGCCTGTAGTCCCAGCTACTCTGGAGGCTGAAATATGAGAATCACTTGAATCAAGGGAATGTCGAGGCTGCAGTGAGCCATGGTCTCACTACTGCACTCCAGCCTGGGTGACAGAGGGAGATCCTTACTAAAAAAAAAAAAAAAAAAAAAAAGAAAGAAAGAAAGAAAAGAAAAGAGAAAAGAAGAAAAAAACATGAAATAGTAATATATACGCACAAAAAACTTGGCTCTCCACAAAAATACAATTAGAAAAAGTACAAAAGGAACATAAGGACAATAGGAAATAAAGGTTACATAGCAATAAGATTTTACCAGAATGTTAAAAAGCAGGAAATATTTTTCCAACTCATTTAAAGAGGCCATCTCACCAGACAGAAACCTATTAACAAAAGAAATGGAAAACTGATATGTCTTATAAATACTGGTGAAAAATATCTAAACAAAATTTTAGTTAATCAAAACCAACAAGATGCAAAATGAGTATTACATCATGACAAAATGACGTTTATCTCAAAAGTGCAAAGTTAGTTTAGCATACATAAATCAATAATGTAATTCACCTTAGTAAGAAGTTAAAAATTATCATTTAAATAAACACCCACAAAACGCATTGTCAAAATCCAGCATCCATTTCTCACGATATCTTTCCGGAAACTAGGTATACAGGATACTTCTTCAATCTGATTGAAGTTTATCTATGAAAAACTTACAGCTGTCATCTTACTTATTGGTGACAGACTGGATGCTTTGCCTAAGAGTTAGAGTAAGTCTGGGAATCTCTTTCTACCATTTATTCAGTATTGTACTAAAAGATCTAGTCAGTGCAATAAGGCAAGAACAGAAATAAAAACATATATTGGAAAAGACGAAGTGAATGAGTTTTTAGTTTTAGCTTCTAATTTTATTTGCAGATTGCATAATCATCTATATACAAACGTTAAATAAATGTATAGATCTGTAAACATTTATGTCATTACATCATGGCAAATTTAATACATCACTCATATTTTAATTGATTAAAAATGAGACTTATTAATTCAAAAAGATTTACTAAGCACCTACAATGCATTAGATGCTCTTCTAAACATTGTGCCTTTTGAAAAACAGATGATAAAATTCTTGCTGTCTTGGAAGATACATTCTTTGGGTTTGGGGGAAGGAAGGACGAAAGGCAAATTACATATGTAAAAGTAAAATAGAAGAGGATAGCATAAAGTAGACAAGAGGGCTAGATTACGAGGAGTGGAGATAGTTGTAACTTCATAGTGTGACTAGAGATACCCTTCCTGAGCAGACAGAAAGGAGTTTAGGGAACAGATCTGCATCTGCTTGGTGGAAGTGTGGCTATCTCCTCTCTGCTGTTCTCCTTCAGTTTAAAAGCTGCTGGGCAGGAATTGGTTGGGAGAGAAGTTGAATATTACGTATGTGGAATTTCTCCATTATCTTTCATTTTTGGTTTTTATTCACTGGAGATCATTGAGAAGTTGAATTATGGTTAAGGTGGGAAAAATTTTGAAGCTCAATTTTCATTATGTAAGAATATGGATATTGTCAGGAGTTTATTCAGTTCCCTCTCTGTGTTCTCTCTCATGCTTACTAACCTCAAAAACTGCTGCCAATTTTTTTAAAAAAAAGAAAGAAAGTAAAGCAAAAAACGCTTTTCAGGAGTAAAAAACTAGTTTATTTCCTAAATCATAAAGACTACAAGGTAAGCATGCAGGCAAGTAAGTTGTTTTGTTTGTTTGTTTATTTCTTTTACAACAGCTAATTGAAAAATTCATCATCTGTTCTGTCAAGCTGGGCTCGATCCACAAGTATGTCAGTCTCGGAAATAACAACAAACCACGCTCTTCAACCTCTGGCCCTAAACAGATCATCAGTGCTCTTGTTAACTGTACCATGATGTTTTTTGTAGAAGTCCAGTGGGGATGATAGAATATTCTTGCTTCCTGAATGGCTCCAGACAGACTGAAGCATCACACTATTATTATTATTATTATTATTATTAATTTTTTTTGGAGACAGAGTCTCTCTGTCACCCAGGCTGGAGTGCAGTGGTGCAATCTCGGCTCCCTGCAACCTCCACCTCCCAGGTTCAAGCTATTCTCCTGCCTCAGCCTCCCAAGTAGCTGGGATTACAGGTGTGTGCCCACACCCAGCTAATTTTTGTATTTTTAGTAGAGACAGGGTTTCACCGTGATGGCCAGGCTGGTCTCGAACTCCTGACCTCAGGTGATACACTCACCTCAGCCTCCCAAAGTGCTGGGATTACAGGCGTGAGACACCATGCCAGACAGCATCACATTATTTATGTGACCTGCGGCACAGGATAACCAACTCCTTCAGGGACAAAGGAGACATTTCAGGAAAGCAAAACAAAGTATTTCTGATATCTGGAATGTATAATACAATATAAACTTTGCTTTATTGCTCCAGCTCCATAAATCTAAGTTATATTTGATTACCATTCAGTTCAAGTTTAAGCTCCTTTTTGTAGTTTATAAGATTCTACAATAGGGGGTAAAAAATGACTAGAATGAGAAAATTGTGAATAGTGGAGCTTTTGGAGGTTTGAAAATATGTGTACTTGGTTTTATTCCTTTCCACATTACTGTGTTGTGCAGACTTTCAATAGCAATTATGTATTACTTTTGTAATGGAAGTATTATTTATTAACATATTTTACATTCACATAACACTCCCATCTTGTTCAAATTATGAATACAAATTTTATCAATCATTTCTATCCAGTCACCTTGAATGGTTGATGACTGTAATTCCTGGCACTTCTGTTTTGTAATATTATTTTAATTGTTTCACAATGCCTGCTAACCATCTTCAACTCCTACTACCTTGCCCTTATTACTGAAAGTGAACACTATAGATCACCACTGAGACCTCACACAGAAGTTGTGTAAGAATGATGAATCTTGGTTCCCACACCAACACTGCTAAATTGGTCTCTGAATTGAGCAAAATTTCCAGGTGGTTCATGTGCACATTAACATTTTGGTGGGGCCTGACGTTCTGCCTTTCTCAGGAGCTCCCAGGTGGTACTGACGTTGCTTGTCTGTAGATCACGACATCCTCCTGTGGTGTCTCAGCTAACCTCTGACTGTAATTCTTTCCCTGTCCCAAACCATTTCGTACATTATTACCAATTGTCATATTAAAACAACGCATCTGTTAGTAAATATCAAACATATAAAAACAATTTTGTGGGCTCCATATCCTTCATGATAAAAAAATCTCAACTTCTCTACATATAATCTAAGGCCCTTCACAAGTTAGCCTCCAAATATCTATCCAGCTATACCTTTAACTGTTCCTCTTCCACGGCTTCTAATCACCCTAAATTTTTAGCTGTTCTCAAATATGTCTTTGAGCCCCTTCCTGTTACATATGATGAACTTCATGCTTAAAATTTCTTTCTTCTTATCTTTTTGATGAGCTCCTATTCATATCTTAAAGCTGTACTTCTGTGAAGGCTTTTGTTATTAATTTCCACCACTGACACTAGTAATTGAATACTTCCTTGTATATTCTCCCATGGTAATCTATATTTGTCTTATGTATTATACACATACATACATATATAACACACACGTATGTGTCTGCATATATATACACATGTATATCAGCATATATGTGTGTATGTGTATATACTGATATGTATATTTATTGAGTCTTTATCTCTGACAAAGTATGAGCTCTTACAAGATATGGACTTAGAAGCCATAGCTATTTTTGTAACTGAATTTGTTATTTGAACAGAAGTAACTCATACCAGAAACCCAGCCAGTGTTTCTCACCACCTCCTCCTCATGACACATATGCACACACTTATACACACAATTTTTATTTTTTTTTTTGTGAAAGAAAAATGAATTTAAAGTCACACAAAAATTTTGGCTTCAGCCATTCACATTACTTGTGTAAATCCACCACTGCTACAATTATTACAACTATTTATAAATGTTTGAGACTCGTTTTATAGCTTAAAATCCAGTCTATCTTTGTGAATGTTTTGTGTGGCCTTAAAAAGAATGTGTATTTTACTGTTGGATGGACTGTTCCATAATTGTCTTTTAGGTTGGTAAAATAATTTGGTTAATATTGTTACTCACGTTTTCTATAACTTTACTGATTTTCTATTTGTTCTACCAATTAATAAGTATTAAAATTCTCAGAAATAATTGTAGAGTCTATTTTTTTCTAGGAGTTCTTTTAGCTACCATATAAATAGGTAGCTATAAATAAATATTGCAGTAATAAAATGCCTCTAATTTCACTGCTCATGCTAGATTTGGTAATTCTCAATTTCAGCACTACAGAATATAAAATATTATAGCATCTTTGAATCAGTGTAATCACATCACAGCAGTGGTAATCTACCCGTGCTGCCAAGGTCATATGTAAGACCTACATAAGGTCTGATGTGGGATGTAATGGTTAGGATTCATTCAAATAATCAGAACTATTATCATCAATATGAAATAAGAGATTTATTGTGGAGATTAGCCCTTATGCAATTGTGCGAACTGGTGAAGAAATTTAGGGAAAGCTGTTGCATCTTTGTCTAATGGAGGGTCTGACGTTTCTAAAGGTCAAGAAAATCAGTCACAGGAAGAAATGGTGTACATGAGCCACAGAAGTGTGAGGACAAACTGATTGGTGTGAGGATAAACTCAAAGCCTCATTTGTCTTCATGGTCTCCCCTGCAGATACTGGTGGTGATGAACAGAAGCTAGTACCCTTGGCTGTAGAGGTACACATGAGCCTATCCTAGGTTCCTAAAAGTTAAATGGGATATCTTGGAATGTGAGGAGCTACAGGGACAGTTGCTGCACTATCCCTAGAAAGCAAACCAACAGTGGAGAACTTATTCTCTGTAAGCTGCAATAGTGTATGGTTCCCCATTCTGACCTTCAGTGTATAAGGGGTTCTGCTGCACTTTAGCCATAAAAAGGCTCATGCTAATTTCGCATGAACCAATCGTAACCTGGAATCAAATAGAGAAGGAATTTCTAGGAAACAGTTCCAGCTTAGATAAGTTCACTTAGTTGAAGACTACCTCTGATATATGGAGGATAATGGATTTTAAACAATGAATGTGGAAACAACTTTAAAAAATAAGATTAATGACTCAAATGTATACTAGTATCAATATTTATTTTTTATTAAAATAAAATTTTGAAAAACTTTTGGAGCTCAACATTTAGGCATCAATCAATTCATGGAATGCTATTATTCAATATGGACAATTTGAATAATTTCACATCAGGTTTTTTTTTTAATGCAGTTACTCCAAAAAGTCATTAATCTGAAATTTCTAAGTCCATTTATTCATAGACTTATCATTCATTCAACTCATCAAGGACCTACTTGAATAAATTACTCTAGCTGTATTTCCAAATATTCTTTCATTTTATGCTTCTTTTACTAGAAAAAAAGCCTAGCACAATATCTGGCACCTTGTAATTCCTTGGTAATGGAATCTCTTTGAAACTCTACATAAGATGATAAATTTAAGATGTGGAACATTAAGCAACCATATTCCTGTGGAATATTCAAAAGTAGATGCAGAAGACAGAATTCAAAATGCAAGTTTACATGATCTGTATCTTACTTGACCTCAATTAAAATAACTATTTTGTCAAAGATAGAGAGATGAAAAAGAAACCTAGAAGAATGTCCTTAGTCAATGTGGAACATTTGAGAAAGATATAGTGATGACAACAACAGTAAAAAACTATCATTTATTAAGAGGGAGACAGAGAGAATTGGTAAATTTTAACAATCAGAAAAGCTATGAATAGAATAATTTATCTTAATTTAAGATTTTAATATTAATGGCTATCTATTTCAGACAGAGTATTTTTGGAGTTTCCCTTAGAGATTTATGAATTTATGGAATTATCCTTTGAAAATTTTAGTCAGAGTTAGCTGTACTGAAAGACAACATGTCAAAAAACGTGAAACTTTATGTTAGTTATTGCTTATTTTCTTCAGATTTCAACTGGGATTCAGAGTCCAGATGATTGCCAGCATGCCTAGAATGCCAATATATTACTGACAGTGACAATCTCCAGTGAAGAAATATCTCTTTGCATCTTTTTACATGTCCATTAATTTACAGAATAAGTGTAGATGGGGGCCTATCTTGTTCTAGACCCCAGACAGGTGTTGGATACAAAAAGCCAGGTACAGTAGGGCTCCTGTCCTTAAGGGGCTTACAATTTAGCAGAAGCATGCAAATTGATCAGTAATCACCGACTGGTAAATGTTAAGGTAGACAAAGTCATAGCATATGGTAGAAAAAGATGTCTCTAACCCAGGCTGTGGGATCAATAACTATTTTCTAAGTGAAGTCATCATGAAACTGAGATTTGAAGTATCAGCAGGCTGAAGATGGCAACCCTAGACAGAGTATCCAGCATGTAGGAAGAATAAACTGTGAAACAATAAACAGAAGGTGTGGTGAGGTTAAAGGGGCTAAATAAGCAGTGGTGGTGGCAGTGGTGTCTAGGGCAAGATTCTAAAAGCTACTCTACACTAAAACCCGTGGAGCATTTGTTGACATGCAATAATTTTGGATTTAATAAATGCTTCATGAGGACATGTATCCCTGACTGAGAAACACAATTTAATTAATGTCACCAATGAAGTGTACACTGTGGCTATTATTCCTGTTTTTCTGTCCCTATTCTTCCCCATAACAGGTACAATAGCTTTAAAAGCATCTAAAATGATATAATGGGCAGAGAAGATAAAATTACTGTCCTGAAGGGCCTTATAATCCAGTCTGGAAGATAAAGCATATATGAAAATTACCTGAAGACAAGAAGACTAGATCAGAGGGAGAAGTGGTGTTGATGGTGTCATTGGTTCTCTGTAAGCCCCAAAGTGTTTTCTAATGAAATGTCTCCTGAAGACATTTTCCAGCAGTAAAGGACAGTGGCCCCTTATTTCTTTATCCTCTACAATCTTAGGGAGATACACTGTGTGGCAATTAGTCTATTTTTTAAGATAGGTTAAAGATTATGTTCATGGTAAGGAACTGAATGTAAATCACACAAGGATTACTCTGTCGACATGTCACCCCCTGCTTTTACTTCATTACCGGTGTGGACTTAATGTTATTTCTTAAGGGCTTCTCAAGTGCAGTAGGGCATAAGGGTGGGCTACATTTCTCCAAGAAAATAAAGTAATGATCATCAAATAGGGTGCTTAAAATGGGCCAGTTTTTAAGTACTTTTACACAGCTGAGTCTTTAGAGGCTACAAGGCATTTGTAAGTTGGCAGCAAACTTCACGAAGTAGAGACTTGGAAATTCTATTGTTTCAAGCCTCATCATGCATTGAAGAAGCCTCAAATAAAAATCTTGGAAAGAAGCTACAAAGAATCTGTAAACTAAAAATCCAGTGAGAGACTACAGGCCTCTTGGCAATGTTCACTTTATTCTCTGCTGAGAAACATTGCATTGAGTTTAAAATTGGGGGACCTAAAAAAAGCAAATAACAACAACAACAAAAACAACCCTAAAAACTATCTCCCTCCCTGCCTCTTGTTTACATTTTACCCCTGCGTGAATGATACTGGTTAAAAGATAAAACCAAGAACATAATTTCTTTATGTATAAAGTTAAATTAGAATGAAATAAGGCAAAGCAGATGAAAACTCTAAAATGATACTCAGAATAGGAGATGGTGTCGTAGTTTAGAAGTATTTTGAGCAAACCTTCCATCCTGCTCGCTTACCTCCATAGAAGTATACTTCCCCATCTTTGACTTGGAGAGAAGTCAATAGAATATTAGTAGACAGGATGAGAACAGAGGACTGATACATACTTGCATTCTTGGGCTGTGCCAAAGCCAGCTAACACTGAAGGATAAGTTTTCAGAGATTTTGCAAGCCAGTTGTCAAAAAAGCCATATTAAAAAATCAATAAAAATAAAAACAAAGGTAATACTCAAAACATATCACTTCTAACTATTTTACTACCTTTTACCAGTCTACTCTTAAGGTTACTTACATGTATTAAATCTATATCAGTGTATCTCTTCCTAATTCTGCCTTTGGACACATAACTTGCATTATCAAGATGAAAATCATTTTAAGTGATATGGCAGATATACAAATAATTTCGAAGAAGTTATACCTAAGGTAGCAGCAGAAAAGAGCAACATCAAAAGTCCTGCTTATAAGATTGGCCCTTGGCTAGTATCTAGGAACTTGGATTCCAGGAAACTTCTCACCATTTCTAGAAATTGAGACTAGTGGCTCACTATGCCTGAACTGTACAGTGTGGTTTATGCTGAACACCAGCTTTCCCTCTGGGAATTTGGAATTTTGGTACGTGCTAGGCAGAAGTTATGTGCATGAATTGCCTCCAATAAACACCTTGGCACTGAGTCTCAAATAAGCTTTCCTGGTAGACAACACTTCACATGTGTTATCACTATTTAATGCTGGATAAATTAAGTGCTGTACATTCTACGTGTGACTCCACTGGAAAAAGACTCTTGGAAGCTTGTGTCTGGTTTCTCTGGACTTCTCTCCTTGCACCTTTACTCTTTGATAAATTTACTTTGTATTTTTTACTTTCTGCTGTAATAAATCTCATGCTGATTCTTGTGAGTTTTTATAGCCAATGGCTGAACCTAGCAGTGGTCGTGAGCTTCCCAAAACAGCATTACATAAACTTAGTGAGAAAAGAATGTACAAACATAAAAGGGACTTTGTCTTCAGTAAACTCTTACCTTGAATTTCTTGATTCTGGTTCTGAAGATCTAAGACTGCTTTCCTATTTCATACGTGCAATGTTTAAACTTTATGAATTTAGTCCATAGATCCTAAACTAATTTACAGTGTTTGGGGGCTATATATACTGGAGATTTCAGTAAATCTTTTGATTATGTCATTGACTTTTGATGGTGAGTCACCATTGGGAGATTTTGGTTACATACTAATGCATGTAAATATGACCCTCCTCAGGACTTTTTTGTTATTTTCAATCAAGGACACAATCTACTTCTTTTAATATATTTACAGTGTAATGAGTTTATGAGAATCCCGCTATAAATATGCTTAAAGGCTAAACATAAAAATAGGGTGAGTATAGAAACTGACATGCATAATTCATTGGGTAAGGTATTATGCAAGTTTCAAGCTCTAGAGAATGGTTACATAAAATTTTAATGAAGGTTTTGCCAACCCAAAATTCATCTATGCTCTTGAATAGCACAGGGGAATATTACTTTTCTCAAAGGTAGATCTAGGCAGTTAAACCATAAACTGTCAAGAAGATGAGTTCATTAAAGTTCTTATAGACCTGCCCAAAAATTGGACTAAGTTTCCATGTTCTTGTTGTTCCAGCTATCTTTTTTAATACCTGTGTTGTTTAAAAGAATACAAACACCATTTCCCAAAGAGGCCAATTGAATGTATTATATTAATATTATTGCCAAAATTATTATTAATAATAATACAATACAAAGTATCTGACACTGGCTGGATTCTATGTATAAACCATCTAGGCTGAAGGCAACAAATTATGAGTTTAGGGTGATTATTCTTTAAATGGTGCCTAAGAGCTTGGCACATGCCATTAGCAAGCATAGGTAGGAGTCAATAATAGTTCATTAGCAACAAGGCTTACTGGTGAGACTTATCCTTTAACATCCACAACTGAAAAATATAGTTTTTAAATTAATAGAAGACAAAGATTGCATATGGAACTCAATACACAGCTGCCCGAATATTATACGTATGAAATGCATATATATTTAATACATTTTGATTTTCAAATAAATATTTTGTTTATTTTCTTATATTTGGATGGGTTTGGAGTTTGAGTGGCAAAGATCTGAAAAGTCGTAGGACACCATAAGATTCACACCATTGATGAGTTACTCTAGGCAGAGCTGCAGCTGCTGCAAACATAGGTTCAGTGAGAAACAAGGATATCAAGCCAAAGGTAAAAGTAAAAAAGTACAGTTTCTTTTTTTTGCCTTCTCCCCCTTGCTTTTATCCGAAAACTTAATTTTAAAGTGAAAAGTTTTTTGATCCCGATATTTTTCTTTGATGTGAATTGGTTAGCTGAAGGTTGACTGATTAAGATCACAAACTATGAGATTTTCAGAGATATTGGAAAGAGAGAAAAATGCCTTCATAGGCTAAAAAATGAAACTTTCTTGCATAGAGACTGAAATTCTATTATGTACGTAAGAAACCACTGGTTATGTTAAGTGAGAAAAGTGACCAACTTATTCTATAAGGCATGCTCTACCATTGTAAAACAGTATGCACCTGAAGGAAGAGAAGCCTTATAATTACAAACAATGACCACCTCTGGGTGTCGAGAGTCCATAGTCTTCAGAGTTCAGCAAATTTTAGCAAAGGAACATGTATTATTTTATAATCTGAAACAATATATTCCTTATATACCAAAACGCGTGGCAGTGTCTTTGTCTAGAACAAATATGCAGATAGGCATACCTCAGGGCATGCTCACTCCTACCATACTGCTCTTTCTGACTTGTCTGTCTTGTGGTTGAAACTAATGAGCTCCTACTGTTGACATCTGACCGCCACTTGTACAACTAACTTTAGCTTTAGACCCTACTTAACTATAAGGCTCTTGTTTTTGATTTTGCTGACCTTTTATAGAAAACGTTTGTTGAAGATTTTAAAACATCTCTGCATTCACCGTACCAATTGACTCTGGAATTATTTGGGGGTAATTACCTGGTCTCCCATGCACTAAAGCACATCTTCATTACCCCTTCATTATCCCAAGTCATGCTTATACAAACACATTTTTTTGTGAACATCCTTGAACTCCTTCTTTCCCAGACTTTAGAATTACTTCTTAGTAGGGGGCCTATCGGCCGTCTCCTCAGTCCTCAATTTAAACTGGAAGGTTGCTGTCTCCATGCATCCACCTTGATCTCTACTATCTAGTACATGTTAGGTTGTCATTAAATGTTAAAATTAAGGAATAAATAAAAGAATCATTTAGTACTTCAGAGAAGCCCAGCAGAAATATATCTGCCTTCTTGGGTTAGTACTTTCTTTCACTTGACTAAATGCTTCCCAATTTTTAACTCCTGGTTACTCAGAACAAGGATTTACTGTCTAAGGCAGCCCAGGGCCACGTCTCTGGGGAAGGCCTGCATCCATCTCAGATAACATCTTTAGTGTGCAAGCTGTTACAACTGCTCAAGGAAAATAATGAAAGTCAGGTTTTATGTTTTAATTTTCCAGTGAAGGGGGCTCAGTCCTAGAAACTCTCATTTTTAATTTGTACTTTCCCAAACCTGTTCGTGGATTCCTTATCCCCTGCTATTATGTAAAAATCATCAATAGCAGGGTAAATCTTGAGATCAGTTTGGATTTTAAGTTATTAAAGGATTACCCTTACAATTTGAGGATATAGGACCCCAGTGAACTATGGTAGATTTAGTGGTGAGGATGGAAATAGTAACTTTCTGATAATCTAAAATTATATCATATATGTTGCTTTCCAGGAGGCCTAAAATATTATTTAGGGTTCAACATATATATTAGTCTTCTAATAAGCTATAAATGTTAAAGAAGTAGACAGATAAACCAGGTTATTTCAAGTACAATATTTTATTAACTGTTCACTGAAGAATACACTGAGCAGTCAAATATGTGTAATCCAAAAGCAGGAAATTCTATTTTAATTTTCCTGTTGAGGGTCATAAAGAGTAAGATAATTGCTCTAAATTACAGAAGCAGGCTGTGTTTCACTTGCTTTGCTTTATTTTTCTGTTGAAATCAAACCATGTCTTTGGAACCTCGGCAGTTTTCAACCAAAAAAACTTAAATATATAATGTTTAGGCAAGTGTCTAAGAGGGATAGAGGCTGCACAAAGAGCAGCTTTTCCCAAAAACTGTGGAAGACAAGGTTTTTTTGTAATAAACTTTAGTTTAATTCTTGATCCCTACAGATTGATGGAATTGTAGAATGTTCAACTGTATTGTTGCCTTTTGCATTGAACCTGAGACTGTACTCTTGGTCCTTCTGAAATAATACTGGCTGTATGTGCTCCCAAAAGTTATTGACATTTTGGCCTGCCTGTGTTAGTCCTGGTCAAAGTGAACCCAGAACTCATTTGAAAATGAAGTGTCAAAAAACAATATGCATTTTTATGGAACATGGTTAGTTGTTTTTTAAGGGCACGCCTGCCATCAAAAGAAGCAGAAACTGTTCTTAGAATTGCACAAATGCAATATATTTTTATCCAAATGTGAATGTTTTGGCACTATTCTGGAACAATTCAGGTTATAAAATATCAGTATACTACACATTACAAGATTAATATTTAAAATATTTATGCTTAACTAAGACAATTGAAGCATAAGGAAGGTCATGCTGCAGACTTCTGAAAAGAGAAATTAAACTGACACGTCAGATTTGGTGACAGATTACTCACCATTCCAATTACATATACATTATTTTGGCAGTTTACTCTCTTGTGTGCCACTGGGTATTTTTTCTTCTTAATGGTAGTTTTGAGGCAGTGCTCTTTGCAGTAACAAAGTATATTGAAATGAAAACACTGACTACTACAAAGCAAACAAGTGTCTAATGGCCAGGGGATCCTGACTAGGGCAAAGCTGACAGTTCAATTATCCAAACAGGTTACAAATGATTGCATTGAAGACAAATGCCTGTGGATTTTGCTCTCTGAGTACTGCTCAATAAGATTGAAAATATGTCAAAGATAAGATGTCTTCTCTCCAAATAACTATATATTTGTGAAATGTGATAAAGATGTATATAGTGCGTGTATGTGTGTGTGTATGTGTAAGTCTGTGTGTGTGCATGTGTTTAAACAATTAAGAGGATCCAGAGTTTGGGACATTTTTAAAAGGCAAAGTTAGTAAGAGCAGATTACTAAAATTTTAAAATCTAAAAGAAAACAAAACAAAAAAAATCAGGGCGGGGTGCGGTGGCTCACGCCTGTAATCCCAGCACTTTGGGAGGCTGAGGCATGCGGATCAAAAGGTCAGGAGTTCAAGACCAGCCTGGCCAATATGGTGAAACCCTGTCCCTACTAAAAATACAAAAATTAGTCAGGCATGGTGGCCCGTGCCTGTAATCCCAGCTACTTGGGAGACTGAGGCAGAAGAATCGCTTGAACCCGGGAGGCGGAGGTTGCAGTGAGCTGAGATTGAGCCACTGCACTCCAGCCTGGGTGACAGAGCAAGACTCCATCTCAAAAAAAAAAAAAAAAAATCAGTTTACCTGTCACCTCTATGACTTTGCAACAGAAAGTATTGTCACTGTGGATACCCTAAAGTATTACAAGATTCAGATGAACCTTTAGAATCACCACATACAAATTATTCTCTGTCTAGTATCTAGTGTGAGTTGGGCATACAGTGATTCCATTTTTCCATAACTAGAAATCTACCAATGACTTTTAGGCTGATCACTACCCAAAATATCTTCTTAACAAAATACATTATTTTACTATTTGAAATGCTATTTTGCTAAAAATAAAAAGCAGAGCAAATGAAATATGTGGTTGAAGTCCTTCTCTTGTTTTTTCTGCAATTTTGTTGTTGTTGTTTGAATTGGAGTTGGACTCCATCTTAAAAAATCATTATATGAGTCAAAACAGAAGAAAACTATTGTTTCTTTCCTGTTTTATAAGTATGTGGGATGCTTAAATTAAACACATAGAATTTATAGAGCTTCAATTAAATGAGGAAACCACCATGGCATTATAGCAACAGCACACATTTTGGAACAAAGTTACCTTGAGGTCCAAACAGTAGTGCAGTCTTGGGCAACTTATTTAATATTGCTAAACTTAATTTTATTTGTCTTTAATGTAACACTGAAAATATTAGCCTTACTCGGCCCATAGGAATAAATAAAGAATGCTCATAAATTACTGGGCACAATGACAAAACATCATAGGTAATTTGTTGATGTTAGCTTTTATCATAGTGAATCATTCAGAGAGACATATAGTTGCCTGCTTAGGGTCTGAGTAACATGAACTCCTTATCTTCTTTCTTTAAATTATCATTCCATTCGTTCAACAGACACTTATTGAACAACCACCCTGTCAGATGCTGACTGATACCTGTAACAATGCATAAAAAGGCAGCGTTAAAAAGGATCACAGTCTAGTGTGAGATATAGGCAAAAAAAAGAGTATTTCAATCAAGGTAGAGGTAAAAAGCAGAGGCTAAGGGAGCAGTGATGACAGACGCACAAAATCTAGATTGGAACATTCACTAAAGAAAGACCTCCTGGTGATGATGGTGGAGTAGAACCTTTGAAGTGAGTAAGGATATTCAGGCAAAAGTGCTGGGACAGTAAATGAGATATGAAAACATTTGCTAACTCATTTGCGTTTGGGGAAGAAACCATAAAAATATGCTTCCTAGGGATACACCTGCAGACATCTAGTGTAGTAAAGGAACAATGGATCATTATAGACACTCAAAGCAGAATTGGAAAATATGTGAACAACATTTTTAAAATTCTATAAGTTCTTTTGTGTCTATTTCTCTACATAGGATTCTTTATACATTCTACTTGCCTAATCTAAGCCATATCCATTCAGAACAGCAAAATAGTATTACGGTTTGAGTATCCCCTATTCAAAATGCTTGGGACCAGAAGCGTTTCATATTTCAGACTTTTTCACATTTCAGAATGTTTGCACATAACATAATAAGATATCTTGGGGATGGGACCCAAGGCTAAACACAAAATTCATGTATGTTTTATATATACCATTATATGTAGAGCCTGAAGGTAATGCAATCTTTCTAATAATTTTGGGCAAGAAACAAAATTTTGACTATAACCTATTTCATGAGGTCGGGTGTGTAATTTTCAATTTGTGATGTCCTATTGGCACTTAAAAAGTGTCAGATTTTGGGGGTATTTTTGATTTTCAGATGAGGGATATCAATCTGTATTGCATTTTATGATAAACACTATCAGGATTAAACCAACAGATTTACAACATAATACCTAAGCAAATAGAAGCCATTACACCATTCTTGTGTAGACGAAGGAGTTTTTTAATGATGCTCTTGCTTATCCTAGCTTTATTGAGTTATAGTTGATGAATCAAAATTGCATATGTTTAAGGGGTATCAAATGAATGTTTTGATGTATGTATACATTGTGAGAAGATCAGCACAATCAAGCTAATTAGCATATCCATTATGTCCTAAAGTTACCATTTTTGTTCTGTGTGTGTGTGTAATGAGAACATTTAAGATCTACTCTCAGCAAATTTTGAGTATACAATACATTATTAACAACTATGGTCATGTTACTGTACATTAGAACTTGTTTATCTTATAACTAAAGGTTTGTACTCTTTGACCAATATTTACTCCACCCCCCAGGTCCTGCTAACCATTCTACTCTTTGTTACCATGAGTCTGATGTTTTTTAGATTCCAAATATAGGAGATGTTATGCAGCATTTTTCTTTCTGTGTCTGATTTATTTCACTTAGCATAATGTCCTCCAGGTTCATCTGTGTTGTTGCAAATGGCAGAATTACCTTCTTTATTAAGGCTGAATAATATTCCATCCTGTGTGTGTGTGTGTGTGTGTGTGTGTGTGTGTATATATATGATGGAATATTATATATATGTGTGTATATATATGATGGAATAATATATATGTGTGTATATATATGATGGAATATTACATATATGTATACATACATAATTTTTTAGATTCCAAATATAGGAGATATTATGCAGCATTTATCTTTCTGTGTCTGATTTATTTCACTTAGCATAATGTCCTCCAGGTTCATCTGTGTTGTTGCGAATGGCAGAATTACCTTCTTTATTAAGGCTGAATAATATTCCATCCTGTGTGTGTGTATATATATATATGTATACATACATATATATATGATGGAATATTATATATATGTGTGTATATATATGATGGAATATTATATATATGTATATATATGATGGAATATTATATATATGTATATATATGATGGGTGTACACATATTATGTGTGTGTGTATATATTATATATACACACACACAATACATTTTCCTTATCTATCATCTGTTGGTGAAAACTAAGGTTGGGCTCTTACTTTGGCTATTGTGAAGCATGCTATAGTAAATATGGGAATTGGATAACTCCCAATAGAAAGATACTGCTTTCAATTTGTTTGTATATATATCCACAAGTGAGATTACTGGATCCCACTGGTAGTTACATTTTTAAATTTTTGAGGAACCTCCAAACTCTTTTCCATAATGGCTATAACAATTTACCTTCCCACCAACAGTGTAAAATGGTTGCCTTTTCTTTACCTCCTCACCAAAATTTATCTATTGTCTTTTTGATAATAGCCATTTTTACAGGTGTGAGGTGATATCTCACTGTGGTTTTGATATGCATTTCCCTGAGGATTAGTGATGTTGAGCATCTTTTCATATACATGGCCATTTCTGTCTTCTTTGAAAACTGTTCAGGTTCTTTGTCAATTTTGTAATCAAGTTTTTTTTGTTATTTAATTGTATGCATTCTTTATATATTTTGGATATAAACCCCTTATCAGATATGCTCTGCAAATATTTTTCCAGTATGTAGATTGCCTTTTTATTTTGACTGTTTCCTTTGATGTGCAGAAACATTTTAGTTTGAGGTAGTCTCACTTGCTTATTTTTGCTTTTGTTGTCTGTGCTTTTGGTGTCAACTTCAATAAATCGTTGCCAAGTTCAAGGTCAGGGAGCCTTTCCCCTGTGTTTTCTTCCAGGAGTTTTATGATTTTAGATTTTTTTTGTTATAGCTAGTTCCTTTTATTTTCTTTTACTGTTTCAATCATGCAGGCATGTGGATATTAGTACTAAAAAGCAGTTTTATACATATCTGTATATACTGTAATCTTAAGCCTTATAAAAGGATAATTATATATAATTATATATGTATATATAAATAATTATGTGTGTGTATATATATATATAGGTCTTGCCTATAAAACATGAAATAAATGTGTCAGTATGTAGTATTGACTATGTATAATGTGTCAGGCAAATAACTAACCACACTGTATTTTAATTTTCAATTTTATAACTATGGCTTATAATTTTAAGCCATATTTCAAGATTGGAAACATTAAAATGCTATCTCAATTTTAAGACTGTAAACATTAAAACCCAAAGAGGATGAAATACTTGTCTAAAGTCATGTAGTTTCTTAGAGACATAATTCCGCAGCTCATGTCTTTTTCGACTACTCCAAGATCTAAGAGCAATTAATTATAAAAAAAAATAAATAAATTGAAAACTAAAGTTAAATTTTAATTAACTTTTATGTGAAGATTTTTAAATAAAAAACAGACACCAAATAATACTACAGTAATATTTAGAACTCATGGGAACATACCTCTCTTGGTTTAGTTCTTAGGTTGATAGTAACTGCAGTGACTAATATGTGTATAAATTACATTTATATCTAGCCCTTTCCTCCATATTTTTCTGTGCTTTCCATATACAAATTTATTTTTTCTGTTTGTCATTCCGTGAAAGCTTTCATTATTCCTTAAAGCCACAATATTATTATTACATTAGTCCTATAGTGGTATGATTAATAAATCTGCATCAAAACAAAATAAAATATCACCCATCACACCTGTTATAACATTTTGTAATCTATTACAGAATAGCAGCTGAAACATCTAAGAAGCTTGTTCACTGTGTCTTTGTTTTGTAATTCACAGATTTAAATAATAATTCCATTTAGCAAGACTTGTAGTGATCTCAAAGTGACAGTAATAGGTAGTGAAATCATGAGAAAACATTAAATTGATGTTCCTCAGATATTATCTGGTGCTATAATTACATGGATGAGTTTCCTGTAGTCTCTCTTCACCATTTACAAGTCATTTATAGACTTATGTTATTAGCGTATAAGCACATTAAGACCTATCTCATGCTCATTTTAGTTACATAAATGTAGTACTTTATTAAAAATACTAAGAATCATTTTGAAGAATGAATTCATTTTAAGCAAAAGTTCATATTTAATTCATTAATATCACTCCTACTTCCACTCAAAATGCTTAAATAAGTCCATTAAATTACTTTTTATAGTAATGAAAAAGTCACATTAGAAGTATAATTTAATTTGAATGCTGTAGAGACTAAATTTGTTTGCATTTCTAAATTGTTAAAGTTTAGTTCCTGAATTTTGCCCTTGTCTTCCTTTCTCATTTCCAATACATCCTTCTTTGCCTTCTTTGACTTGATGAGACTGGAAAAACTGTCATTATATTAGAAGGGTTCCCAAATTTCAATAAGAAAATTATGAGTGGGAGTAAAGAAGTGTAGACAAAATGGAAGGCTGGAATTGCAAAAGCCTATAATAAGCCTGTATAAAGGAGGCTTTGTTTTTAAAATAGAGTCATCCTCTATAGCGCCAGTGAAAAAATATTCCAGACTGGAATCTCCAGGTAGAAAAGAGAGATTGGATCAGATGTCTCTGACTTTGTTTCGGAATGTTACTGTCCTCCCTGAGTCTCTGCATTACTTACAATACCTAGGTCCATAATGCTTTTTAAAATTCTGGCCTAAGTGCAGGCAAAAACTCTTTTCCTTAGTTTCTCTTATCATAGAGGCTGACAGTTATGTCAAAGATTTTTGTAAAGATGAAAGTTAGAAAAATGGCAGCCAATTAAACACAATCCATTTGTTCATGGTTCAGATACTAAACATCTCAGTATAGAAATACAAACTCACACAGAATAAATTCCCCAGACTTCTGTGGTCCTCCTGTAACTTGCAGTTTGTACTCTAAGAAACGTGAGTATGAAATCCCCTAATATCTTCCATGGTCACAATTTATCATGAAAAGTGCACTGGATTTAGACAATTTAGTTCTGATTTTATCTTATAAACTGACGTTGTAGTACAACTTTAGCAAAAATCACTTAACTTCCCTGAATGCAATTCTTCTCTTAAAAATGGCAAAATTAAATGCATTCTGTATAAG
The DNA here is from genome assembly GCF_000001405.40 of Homo sapiens. Classification (NCBI taxonomy): domain Eukaryota; kingdom Metazoa; phylum Chordata; class Mammalia; order Primates; family Hominidae; genus Homo; species Homo sapiens. Next base: position 53,382,901 of record NC_000017.11, on the reverse strand, counting down.
ATTGTCATTACTTTCAAATGAGATGCAGTATGAAAATAAAGCTCAATAAATGTTTGTTTAAAGAGCAAAAGCCATGACCTACCCTCAAGAAACATTTCCTTAATTTCTTCTCTTCAATTTTGTCCATACAGCAGACTCTATTAACACTGTACTAGAGAAACTTACCTTCCAGGATAAAACATTCCTCAGAACTCTCTAGAATTCTTCCAATTATCTTCTGATCCTTACAACATTTATTTTACAGTTTCTTTCTATGCCTGTGCTAAAACACATTCTTTAAGGCATAATTAAAATTAAAGTTTTTATCGCCTTAGTTATTACCTCAGTTCTTCTCTAGAGCATTTTATGATTATATATACAAGAGAATCGTGTTTCTCTCAGTCAGCTATTGACATACAGTATACCATCTTTCAATATTCAGGACATTATAAAAATCAATTAGATTATTCACTTATTAACTATAATTCAGATAATTATACTGTATTGGGAGACATTTTCAACTCAGTGAATTATCACTTAGGTATTATAGAAACAGTGCTTTCTTAGCCCTAAATATATGTTTTTCAAATTCTCATAGAGGTCTACAGAGAAACAATATGACCTTTTATGTAGTTATCAACAAATATTGCCTTAAATTTCATAGGCTTTGCTTAACCTGCTGTATTCCAGTGATAATCTACTTCCATTTAACTACTTAGCTGCCTATTTTTCAGCTACAACAGAACTTGGCATCCCTTGGACAATCATTTAGATTCACTTGATCAAGGAGATAAACTATTTTTTTAAAAATGCCTAACAATCCCATGTCTGCTGACATCAACTACTAAAGTCCTATGAGGACCTTAATCTCCCTACATCCTATTGTCCAGACACCTCTATACATCATCCCCTTTGAAGTTATGTGAGCTTGCATTTATCTTCAGGTGTATAGAAAAGTTCTAGAGCATTGTTGTGTAACATATAGTATTTTAGGATTAAGCAGATAATCAGTATGGCTAGACTATACGTTGTGAGGTAGGAAGTGGTAAGATTATATCAGTGATATAAGCTGAGGTCATAACACAAAAATTCCTGCTAAGAGTTTGGACATTTTTTCTCAGGGCAATGGGAAATTATCAAAGAGTTTTAACCATAGAAGAGATATAATCATATTTGGGTTTTAGTGAAGCAGCTCTGACTGCTCTATGGGAGATTTTTAGAGGGGCATCATGCATTTGGAGTACCATTTGACCTAGATCAGCAGCCTGTCTCACCCCATTCCCCCTGTGCACAGATCCTGGTGCAGGGTGTTCCTCTCAGCTCCATTCCCAGGAAGATGTCCAGGCATCTGGAGCAACCACTCTCCTGGATTGAGTTTAGGCTTCCCTCCATACTTATGCAGAAAACTTGGGGCTAAAAAGGTTTTTCAGTTCCATCTATACGCACTTTGGTGCTTGGTGGCTGCCTACTCAATTCTTCTTTAGCACTGGTGCTTGTGAATGGCACTGGGGGATCTGTAGGCACACCTACCCAAACTGGCCCAGCCCATCATGGCCCCCATGCCCCCAGGACTGAGCAGGGAGCTCAGACCACTGTGCATTCCACAAATCATTCTACAGCCTGATGCAGCAGAGAGCTTCTGCCAGTAAACAGGATCAGGAATATACCCAACTCTATTGGTCACAGCCAGTTCTTACCTGTAAGCAGTATCTATTGACTTATAGTTCAAATTGAACAACCCAATATAAAGCCTGCTGAAAGAAGTGCATAAGGCTATAGAAGCAAAACCAAAGACCCTACCCAGCATTCTGTACAGTCACACCTCCTAGGGACGGCGTAAAGGGAAAGAGAAAGGGAAAGAGAAAAAAATAATATTACAGGGAAGAAAGAAAAACAAAAACTCCTACATGCACAAAACCAATTATAGAAAGGAAAAGTGCTAGCATCTCCAGATGGGAAGGAACCAACATAAAAATGCTGGCACCATGAAAAATTTGAATGTAGTGACACCAACAAAGAATCATACTCTTAAGCAATGGTCCCTAACCAAAATGGAAACTGAGAAATGACAGACAAAAAAATTTGAAAATCAACACAACCCAGGAAATTAAAGAAGAGACAAAAATCTTAAAAAAAAATCAGCTTCAGGAATTAAACTCACTTAAGGAATTTCAAAACACAATTGAAAGCTTTATCAATAGACTGGAAAAAGGAAGAGAAAGAATTTCAGAGCTTAAAGACTGGTCTTTTGAAGTAATCCAGCCAGACAAAAATAAAGAAAAAATAATTTTATAAAATGAACACATTTTTTGAAAAATATAGAGTTATGTAAAGATACCAAACCTATGAATTATTTGCATTCCTGAGAGAGAAGGAGAAAAAGGAAACAACCTGGAACACAGATTTAGACAAATAATTCAAGAAAATTTAATCTTACTAGAGATAGATGATAGATAGATAGATAGATAGATAGATAGATAGATAGATAGATAGATACAAGAAATCCAGAGAACACCTGCAAGATGCTATATAAGGCAATTATCCCAAAGGTATTTAGTCACCAGGCTGTGCAAGATCAATGCTAAAGAAAAAAAATAATAAAGGCAGCTGGACAAACAGGTCAGATAACATTAAAAGGTTAACAGTGGACATGTAAGCATAAACCTTACAAGTCAGAAGAGATTGGGGGCCTATTTTTAGCATTCTTAAATACAATAAATTCTAACCAAGAATTTCATTTTTCCCAAACTAAACTGCATAAGCAAAAGGGAAATAAACCATTTTCCAGACAAGCAAGCACTAAGGAAAATCATTACAACTAGACCAGCCTAATATGAAATCCTTACGGGAGTTCTAAACATGGAAATAAAAGAATGATACATGCTATCACAAAACACACTTAAGTACACAGCCTACAGACACTATAAAGCAGCCACATAATAGAAACTACAAAGCAACCAGCTAACAATTTCATGATAGGATCAAAACCTCACATATCAATATTAACTTTGAATCCAAATGGTCTAAATGCCCCCATTTAAAAGGTACAAAAGGGGGGGCACGGTGGCTCACACCTGTATCCAGCACGTTGGGAAGATGAGGCAGGCAGATCACCTGAGGTCAGGCCTGGCCAACATGCCAAAAACCCGTCTCTTCTAAAAATACAAAAATTAGCTGAGTGTGGTCGTGGGCTCCTGTGATCCCAGCTACTCGGGAGGCTGAGGCAGGAGAATTGCTTGAACCTGGGAGGCTAAGTTTGCAGTGAACCGAGATCACGCCACTGCACTCCAGCCTGGGTGACAGAGTGAGATTCTGTCTCAAAAAATAAAAAATAAAATAAATACATAAATAAAAGCACAGAACAGAAAGTTGGAATAAAAAAATAACACCCATCCGTCTGCTGCCTTTAAGAGATGCATCTCACATGTAATAACACCCATAGGCTCAAAGTAAAGGGTTTTAGAAAGATATACTATGCAAACAGAAAATGGAAAAAGAGCAGAGGTTGCTATTCTTTTACCAGATAAAACAGACTTTAACCCAACAACAGTAAAAAAGAACAAAGGAGAGCATTACATAATGATAAAAGGTTCATTCAAAAGGAAGACTCAATAAAATATAAATGCACCCAAAATTGGAGCATTCTGATTCATAAAACCAGTACTTCTAGGTCTACAAAAAGATTTAGACAGACACACAATAATAGTGGGAGAGTTCAATAGCCCATTGACAGCATTAGACACATCATCAAGGCAGAAAACTAACAAATAAATTCTGGACTGAAGCTCAACACATGACCAGTTGGACCTAATAGATATCTACAGAATACTCTACACGTAAACCACAGAATATTCGTCTTATCTGCACATGAAATGTACTCCGAGATTAACCACATGCTTGGCCCCAAAGCAAGTTTCAGTAAATTCAAAAAAATTGAAATCTTGTAAACCACATACTCATATCACAATGGAATAAAAATATAAATCAATACCAAGAAGATCTCTCAAAACTACTCAATTACATGGAAATTAAACAACTTGTTTCTGAATAATTTTAGGTAAAAAACAAAATTAAGGCAAAAATTTTAAAAAGTTTGAACTAAATGAAAACCGAGACAAAACATACCCAAATCACTGAGATACAGCAAAAGCAGTGTTAGGAGAAAAGTTCATGTTTTTTCAATGCCTACCTCAAAAAGTTAGAAAGATCTCAAATTAATAATCAAACAACACACATAGAGAAACCAGAAAAACAAGAACAAATTAACACCAAAGCTACGAGAAAAAAAATTAAATAACTAAAATCAGATTGGAACCAAATGAAATTGAGATGCGACCATCCATAAATGAATCAACAAAACCAAAAGAGGAATTATTTGAAAGGATAAACAAAATTGATAGACTGCCACCAAGATTCACAGAGAAAAAAATAGAAGATCCAAATAAGCACAATCAAAAATGACAAAAGTGACATAACAACTAATCCCACAGAAATAGAAAAGATTCTCAGAGACTATTATGAACACCTCTATGTACATAAATTAGAAAATCTAGAAGAAATGAAATAATTTTTTAAAATACACAATATCTCAAGAATGAATCAGGAATATATTGAAACCATGAACAGATCAATATCAAGTTCTGAATTTGAATCAGTAACAAAAAACCTACCCACCAAAAAAAAGCCTTGGACCAGATGAGTTCACAGCTAAATCTGCCAGTCGTACAAAGAGAAGCTGGTACCACTTCTACTGAAACTATTCCAAAAAAATCATGAAGCAGGGATTTTTTTTGCTTAACTCATTCTATGAAGCCAGCAGCACTCTGATACCAAAACTTGGCAAAGGTACAATGAAAAAAGAAAACTACAGACCAATATACCTTATGAACATAGATAAAAAAAATCCTCAACAAAATGCCAGCAAACTAAATCCAACAGCACATCAAAAAGTTAATTACCATCATCAAGAGGCTTCATTCCTGGAATACAAGGTTAGTTCAACATATACAACTCAATAAATCGGACTCATCACATAAACAGTATTAAAAACAAAAACATGATAATCTCAGTACATGCAGAAAAAGCTTTCAGTAAAGTCCAACATCCTTATATGATGACAACCCTCAATAAACTAGCTGTCAAAGAATCATACATCAAAATAATAAGAGCCGTCTATGACAGACACACAGCCAACATCATAGTGAATGGGCAAAAGCTGGAAGCATTTCCCTGAGAATTGGCACAAGACAAGAATGCCCATTCTCACCACTCGTATTCAACATACCACTGGAAATATTAGCCACAACAATCAGGCAAGATAAAGTAATAACAGTCATCCAGATATGAAAAGAAGTAGTCGAACTATCTCTCATCATGGACAGTATGATCCTATACCTAGAAATCCCTAAAGGCTCCATCAAAAGGCTCCTGGAACTGATAAATGACACAAGTAAATTTTCGGGATACAAGATCAATGTATAAAAATCAGTAGCATTTCTATGGACCAATAATATTCAAGCTGAGAGTCAAATCAAGAACACAATCCCATTTACACCATTTACAGTAGACACAAAAAAATAAAATACTTAGGAATTTGGCTAACCCAGGAGATGAAAGATTTATGCAATGAGAATTACAAAACCTTGCTAAAAGAAACCAGAAACAGCAAAAACAAATGGAAAAATATTGTATGCTCATGGATAGGAAGAAACAATATTGTTAAAATAGCCCTACTGCCCAAAGAAATTTAAACACTCAATCTTATTTCTATCAAACTACCAAAGTCATTTTTTACAGGACTAGAGAAAATTATTATAAAATTCATATGGAACCAAAAAAGCACATGAATAGCCAAAGCAATCTTAAGCAAAAAGAACAAAGCCAGAGACAGCACATTACCTGATTTTAAGCTATATTATAAGGGTACGGTAACCAAAACATCAATGTACTGGCACAAAAACAGACATGTAAATAATGGAACAGAATAGAAATCCCAGCAATAAAGCTGCACAATTACAGCCATTGATCTTCAACAAAGTCAACAAAAATAAGCAATGAAGAAAGGACTCCCTATTCAATAAATAGTGCTGGGATAACTGGATAGTCATGTGCAGAAGAGTGAAACTGGACCCCTACCTTTCACCATATACAAAAATTAACTCAAGGAGGATTAAGCATTTAAATGTAAGACCTAAAACCATAAGAATCACTGAAGAAAAACCATGAAACTCTATTCTGGACATTAGCCTTTAGAAAGAATTTTTGACTAAGTCCCCAAAAGCAATTGCAACAAAAACAAAAATTGGCAAGTGGGATCTAATTAAAGAGTTTCTGCACAGCAAAATAAACTATCAACTGAGTAAACAGACAACCTACAGAATGAGAGGAAATATTTGCAAATTACACATCTGACAAAGGTCTAATATGCAAAATCTATACAGAATTTACAAAATTGAAAAAGCAAAAATTAAATAACCCCATTAAAAATGGGCAAAAAAACATGAACAGACCCTTCTCAAGAGAAGACATATAAGTAGCCAACAAACACATAAAAAACATTACACAGCACTAATTCTCAGAGGAATGCATTTCAAAACCACGATGAGATACCATTTCACACCATTCAGAATGGCTATTACTAAACAGTCAACAAACAACAGATGCTGGTGAGGCTGCAGAGAAAAGAGAACATTTATACACTGTTGGCAGGAATGTAAATTAGTTCAGCCACTGTGGAAAATAGTTGAAGATTTCTCAGAGAACTTTATACAGAACTGCTATTTGATCCAGCAATTCCATTACTAGGTATATATATCCAAAAGAAAACAAACTATTCAATCAAGACACACACATTTGCATGTTCTTTGTAACAGTATTTGCAATAGCAAAGACATGGATTCAACCTAGGTGCCTATCAATGGTGGATTGAATAAAGAAAATGTTACATATATACACCATAGAATACTATCCAGCCATGAAAAAGAACAAATTCATATCCTTTGCAGTTACATCAATGTAGCTGGAGGCCATCACTCTAAGCGAACTAATGCAGGAACAGAAAACCAAATACTCCATGTTCTCACTTATAAGTGGGAGCTAAAAATTGGGTACTCATGGACATAAGGACAGGAAAAATAGGAATTGGGGAGTACTAGAGGGAAGGAGGAGGAAGGGGGCAAGGGTTGAAAAGTATTGGGTTCTGTGCTCCGTACCTGGGTGATGGGATCAGTTGTACCCCAAGCCTCAGTATCATGTAATATACCAAGGTAACAAACTTTCACATTTACCTCCTGAATCTAAAATAAAGATTGAAAACGAAGATAAAAACAAAAGGACCAGATTATTCATTGACCATTAGTATTAAAGAAATTGTGAATCAAAAATGGTTGCTAGGTTACCCACCTGTGCAAACTTCCTGAAGAAAACAAAACCCTGAGGTCTCCCAGTTGGAACCCCAGGAACACTTTTTCGGAATGCCTAGGTTTTTCTGTGCCTTCTGTATAAACCATCCTTACCCTTTACGTTGTGGTCAAGCATCACTTTTCCTAGGATGCCTCCCTAGAGTCCTTCATGCTACAGAGACCATGGGGATAACTCCACAATTGCATTAATCAAAATGCATTGTAATGGTTAGCTTAATCACCTTTACTCAATATGACCTTGCAAGTTGCTTAAAGAAAGGGACTGAATCTCTCATCTCTGTGTCTCTGATCCATTGCATAATGCATGATATAGGGTATTCAATAAAGATTAGTTTAAAGGTGAGAGAAAGGAATATTATTAAGTTGGTAATTTTCTATAGTAAAAATAAACAACAACAACAATAACAAAATCTCATTGTCTTAAATCAAAAAAGTTTATTTATCATTCACTTTGTAGTCCTAGGCAGCTTGTCAAGCTATTCTGGGCAACTGTCCTGAGTATCTCTCTTTCAACTGGTGAATAAATAATAAGACTGCTTTCATCATGTGGACCCATCATCTTCTGGATTCAAGGAAATTCAATTAGCAGTTGGAGGAAGAAAGCATGGAGAAGCCAACCAGACACCCCCTGATCTGAAAATGCAACATATCACTGCTACCCACAATTCATCACAAGAACTAGACACATCTTAGAGCAAAGCTGCTTGGAAAATTTAAAAAAGTCATGAATAATGTTGAGCACTAACAGTCTTTAATACAGAAGGATATAAAGAAGGAGTAAGAGAGAGAGAAACTAAGTGATTGAATATGACTAGAGTACAGAAAATAAGAGTAACTATAACATTAAGAGAGCAACATTCAGTTATGTAATATGTAACTGGTGACTTAATAACCATTGTGGCAAGTGTGCTAATATACCTACAAAACAGACCCAGAATCAAGATCATGCACTGTAAAGTGAGCATATATGGTGACAAACTAATGTTTTATATCACTGTATGTGTAGGATGCTAAAATATGAATGTATTCATGGCTTTATATATTTCTGCAAATATTTCCTTTCTTAAACATGCTATTTCATGCATAATAAGTTTGAATTATATTGCTTGAGTTTTTCTTCTCTTTCAGGGAAAGGTTAAAGATTAAGAACTCAGAACAGACAATATTTTTGGTGACATAATATCAGATTAGCTATTATTCAGAAATGTAACATTGGTGTATGCAGAGCAGAGATTAATGTACATATACTTAAAACTCATAACCCGATCTTCTTTTTGCAGTTACTTAATGCAGTATGGTACCTAGAATTTATAGTATGAATTTTATAAGGATATGAACCTCAGTCTCGGGAGGTATCCTTGCTGGGCAAAATATTCCGCTAGTTATCCAGTTGTATTTATGCGTTTCAACAGATTTGTTTTGTGTATTTATTTTAAAAGATAAAATTAGGTTTTCTTGCTTGATTTTTTTACAGCAAAATTACCATATTCATAACATTGAAGGTATAATGTTCTTATTATTGAAACTCTGCCTCTAGAATTGCACTTTAGCAAATATGTATTAATGTGTATTCATGAAACTGTAACTGGCAGTGACATCGCATAATCTGAAACCACCCAAGATATGAATGGATGAGTATGCTAAGGGGAAAAAGTAGATCTAAAATCTAAATCCAGCATTTCAAGATCATTCTGCTACTTAAGAGGTTTTGGTAATTCACACAGAGGAGCTCATTAAAACCATTTTTTTCTTTTCAATTAATTTTCCTGATTCTCAGTTTCATCATTTTATTTACTATACAGATTGTTTTGAGGAAAATTTAAAAATGTAGAGGGACGCTTTAAAAAGTTATTGAATAATATTGTATAATAATTAAAACTAGTCTCTATAGCCAAACCCTTCCAAATTGTGACTACACGGGAAGTAATTCATAGCATCATGTAAAAAGTAAGTTCAAAACTAACATATCTGTTTATAATATTTCTTTCATGTGGTAGATGGGGAACAGAATTCTAGGCATTATAGTAGAACTAACACATTCTTATATCCTAGAATAACTTGCATTATTGTGACTTAACTAGATAAAATTTTGTGTGGAGTATTGACATCTCATTTGTAAGTAAAATTGATCTATAATGTTACTTTCTTTTATTATTTATGTCTTCCTTTTATATAAAATTATGCTAATCGGATAAAGTAATGTGAGGAGAATATTCCTTCTATTTTTATCCTCTGGAACAATTGTGTAAGATAAGGGTTATCAGATTCTTCAGGCTTTGGATAAAATTATCTGTAAAACAATTTGTGCCTGATGCTTGTGTATGTATGAAGGGGTAAGTTGTACCAAATTTTAGTTTATTTATTTAATTCCTTTAATTATTATACCTTTTTGGTTTTCTTTTTCTTCTTGAGTCATGTTTGCACGTTCGTTATCTTTCTAAGGTATTACTCATTTTATTTAAGTGGGTCTGTATGCTGTTAATTCTAATAAAACTTCTATGTGCCTTTGAATTGAATGGAATGTATATGTAGATATAAAGATAGAGATTTAAACATAGATATAAATATAAGCTTTAATTGTTGAATATGAGTCTATATATTTACAAAATCAAACTATTATTCATTATTACAATTTATGTTAATTTCTGAGGGACAGATGTTTAAATCCCTGTCTCTGGCTATAGATTTATAAAAATCGATTTGTAATTTTGTCTTTGTTTTTAGTTTTGAGTTTTAGCTGTTAGATAAAGATTAGATCTGAATTGTGATATTCTTCTGGTAAGTAGTTTATTTTATAATTATGTCCCTTATAAGAATACTTCATCCTTAATTATGTCTTTAAAGATGTATTTGTATAAGCACAGCAGCTAACCTTCGTTTGTATTTGCCCAGTGTATCTTGTCTTATCCATTATTTTTAAAGTTTTTGAGCCATTATATATTTTGAGTTACTACATTTACAAATATTTTAGAATTGATTACTTTATATCCCATTTGAGACTATTTGTTTTTCAATGTGTAGCCTTAGTCCATGCATATTTATTGATTACTGACATACTCAGTTTTTAGAATCATTTAATATTATGACTTCCAATTACTATTCTTTTCCTTGTGGTTTTGTTTTTGTTTTTACTGAACCATACCCCATTGCCCTTTATTCTTGTTATTGGTTTAGATATTATACATCCTAATTCTTTTATGTTTGAAGGTTACGTTTAAATTTTAATTCACATAGATAATAAAGCAGAAAATTAGTCATCTTTATCAGCGGTCCCCAACCTTTTTGGCACGAGGGTCCTGTTTTGTGGAAGACAGTTTTTCCACAGACCCAGAAGTGCAGCTGAGATGCAGGAGGTGGTTTTGGGGTGAAACTGTTCCACCACAGATCATCAGGCACTAGTTAGATTCTCACAAGGAACGCACAACGTAGACTCCTCGCATGCACAGTTCATAATAGGGTTTATTCTCCTATGAGAATCTAATGCTGCTTCTGATCTGACAGGAGGCAGAGCTCAGGCAGTAGTGCCACTGGCCTTACACTCACCTCCTGCTGTGTGACTCAGTTTCGAACAGGTCACGAACGGATACTGGTCCACAACCTGGGGGTATGGCGACCCTGATCTATATGATACCAAAAGATAAATAGATCTTAGCTCTAATTCTGATTTCCTTGCTCCACTTTCTACATGATTTTTTGTCTGGTATTTTATATATGTCTTGACTTCATATCAATAAGTTGCTCCTATTTCATATTATTCATGTCTAGTACATATTTTGAATTACACACGTATTTGCCAATTTATTTGCACGAGTCTAATTGTGAAATATAATTATTTTGACACTTCTCTCCAACCATCTGGGTTCAGAATATTTGTAACTTAAAAAAATCATTTAGGAGTTATTTCAGAAATAATCACTATTAAAATCTGTCAGTCATTCTCTATATGAAAATGTATTTACCTCTCTTTCAGTCTTAAGTAATAATTAAACCAATTTTCATATGTTAGCCTCACTTTTTTAATACACTGAAAATGCCATTCTACTGTTCTGGCTCTAGAACAGACTAGTTAGGTCCAACTCGTCTGTCCTAATTCTAGTTACACAAAACATATTTCTTTCTGGTGGATTTTTTGAGATTAATATATGTTAACTTTATAATTAAGAAAGGATTATAAAAATATAGTAGTAACATATTTATAAAGAAAACATACGAAGGTCATATTTACATTCTGATATCTGGACTTGAGTTTGCTCTATTAGTGTGATTGGTTGTGTGAACCTGTGAAACAGCTTCCTTTCCATCATATTTTAAAGAGTATTTATTGATTGACTACTTAGGTCCTGGCAGTCTGTGAGTTTCTATGAGAGCAAAGTTTAAAGACGTGAAATCTGCACGTAAGGAATCATTTACACTGACTTACAGATAATTGATAGTTATTTCTATTCCAGAGTAGGCATGCAAAACCAGGGGTTAAGTTTCCTAAGCTGTGAGGACTTCATTGTATGTAGTGAATTTCAGATTTGGCAAAGATTTCCTCCTCAGTTATGCCTCCTTTGAGCCATCATGTCTCCTTTCCATTCTCAATATTATCACTTTATTGATGTATAAATTATCTATTACTACCATACTGCTGTGTAACCAACTGCCAAGAAATTTAGTGGCTGAAAGCAAACATCATTTATTATTTATTACACGTCTATGGATTGGCAGGAAGTTCCCCTAGTTTTGGCTGGGCTCCCTCACGCATCTGTGGTCAGTTGAGTCTTGAAGGTGGCCCTGCTGATATTGGCTGAGTTTTCTCATATGCCTGTGGTTGGCTGGCTGTGGGCTGGTCTAGGTTGGCTTTGTTTTTCTCCATGTATCTTTCTCACATTTCTCCTGTAGGCTATTCTGTACATGTTCATGGAAATGCAAAGAGTACAAGAATGAAAACAGAAATACGCAGGTCATTTTCAAACTTCTTCTCGTGTTAAATTTGCTAATAACCCACTGGGTAAATAATGGAGAACAAGCTTCCCGTTAGTATAGGAGCATATTACCAAAAGGCAAGGATATGGAAAGATGGGTAAAATTAAGGCCATTTTTGGAATTCATCACTAAACTTGTTTACTGGAGTTTCTATACCTTCACAACCTGTCTTTGTAAACTCAATATGGTAGTGGCTAATCTCTTGGCAATCGCCTTTCAAACAGGTAGCAATGCTAAAAATTCGTTTTGAATCCAGGTCCTTCTGATTCAAACTGTCATATTCTTTTCTACTTACAATTCTTCATCTTTTGAAAATTTGGCATGTGTGTTATTTGTGTTTTTGTTTCCATTTTTTAAGCTAGTAAGATTCTTGTGATTATAATGAAACTTAAATATCAGTCAAAAGCATAAATCAATAATATTTCTGAGCATAAATTAAGCACAAATTCTACAAAAATATTTATTGGTTTTGCTTTAGTTTCTGTTTTTTGTTTTTTCGATTTTTTCTGCAGGGCAGTACACCAATAGTACTTCTCTTGTAGCACTCTGGTTCATTGTTTTGTCTGCTGTATCACATTGGAACAGCCGGTGGTATGGGTCAAGTATTTCTCAACTTTGCATCTTACTCTGCGTAACGTAAGATCTTTTAGACAGCTTTTTTATCTTTATGCGTATCAATAAAAATTTACAGAAAGAGTTCATACCTTCACATTAGAAAAAAATATGGAAGCTAATTCTTCTTCGCATTTTTATATTTATTTACATAGTAAACACGGCTTGAAAATATAAATAAAACTTATTGCTTAGAAGGTCATGGCCAGGTGAGATCTACTATTAAAGCAGTTATTCTTCTGTACTGCTTCTAGCATAGCTTGCATTTTAGATAAAAATAACCTTATTTTATTGCATAGAGTCATTGTTGCTTGTATTTAGTTACCTGAAGCTTATCAACTCATGCCTGAACTACTATAAGAATCCCAGAAGTAACTCTCCCTCATGCCCTTGCCCGTATCCCCACCTCTCAGGTACATACAACCTTTAGTCTATATCCTCTTTCTTCAATCCTTCATATTACACAATAAATATTATTTATAAACTTTTATTTTTCTCTTTTTTTATCTAGTTCATAACTCACCTAAAATACCCACAGGCTCATTTGTAAGCTGGCAAACGTTCTCCATGTACATTGATTGCAACATTAAGTAAAATTCATTTTCGTCCTCTACCTTAGACCACGAATTGCCTTTCTATAAACTTGGTGCCATCATTTTCTCATTTCCCTAAGCCAAAGTCATATCTAATCTCCCCATTGATTTCCCTTTCCTATCTCATCAATATTTATATTTACATATTTTATATCCTTAATCTCTTACATCACTACATCTTCAATCTAACTATTCTTCCCTATTTTAGTGCCTCATTGGCTCCCTCTTGCTAAATTATAATAGTCATTTGCCTAGTTTTCTGACTTTTCATCTTAACTAGCTTTAGCTTATATGCATCTTTCCCAGGCTGCCAGAATTTCTTTGTAAAATGCACAACTCATCATTTGGTTTCCATTTTCAGTGGCTTTTACAAACCACTAAAATTTAAGCATTTAATATTTTAACAATGTTGATAGTCCCTCCGTATCTTTGCATCTTTGTCTTTTATAACTTTCACCTTCTCCTGTATTAGCTCTAGGACTGCTGTAAGAAATACCACAAACTGAGTAACTTAAACAACAGGATTTGTTGTTGTTGTTGTTGTTGTTGTTTCACAGTTCTGGAGGCTGGATATCTGAAATCAAGGTGTCTGCAGGGGTTTTTTCCCCTCCCTGCTGAGTACTGTGGAGGAGAACCTTTTCCATGCCTTTCTCCTAACTTCTGGTGATTTACCAACAATCTTTGGTGGTGTTCTTTGACTTGTAAAGGCAGCACTACGATCTGCCTTCATCTCCATATGGCATTCTCCCTGTGAATATGTCTGTGTGCAAAATTCCTTTTGAATAAGGACACCAGTCGTATTGGATTAGGTTCCATCCAAATCTCATTTTTATTTGGTTATCTATGGAAAGAATCTGTCTCCAAATAAAAGCACATTCTGAAGTAACTGGGTTAGTTAGAAGTCTAATACATCTTTTCAGGAGGACACAATTCAATCTGCAACACCTCTTGTGTTTTTGCCCTAATGTGATGGTGATATGGTTTGGCTGTGTCCGCATCCAAATCTCGAATTGTAGCTCCCATAATTCCCACGTGTCATGTGAGGGACCCAGTGGGATGTCATTGAATCATGGGGGCAGGTCTTTCTCATGCTGTTCTCATGGATACTGAATAAGTCTCATGAGATTTGATGGTTTTATAAATGGGAGTTCCCCTGCACATGCTCTCTTGCCTGTCGCCATGTAAGAGATGACTTGGCTCCTCCTTTGCCTTCTGCCCTGAGTGTGAGGCCTCCCCAGCTATGTGGAACTGTGAGTCAATTAAACCTCTTTCCTTGATAAATAACCCAGTCTCAGTTATGTCTCTATTAGCAGGATGAGAACAGACTAATAACAGATGGATTACTTGTTCTGAAATATGTCATACACTCTCACACCTTAATTTACTTTTACATGCTATTCTTTCTACATAAATCTATTTTTCACTTAAGGTGAGATTTAAAATTCTAATATCAAGGTTAATTATCACCACCTATTATAAGATTCCATCTAAAACAACAACAAAATATTTCTACTGTCTATACTTTTAAAGAACTTCCTATATGATTGTATATTACATTGAAATTGCTTTTTATACATCCCACAAATGAATATGAGCCCTGTTAGTATAGGGCCTGTGTGATACTTATTTTTGTATCCAGAGTCTAGCACAGCATTAAGTAATACATCAGATCCTAAATGTATATTTTAGATGAATTAATGAGTGAATGTGTAGATGAATGGATGAACTCCTACCAGTGAACTTTTGTCACAAGAATCTACTCCTTAAAACAGTTAACTCTAAATGTTTTGCAGGAGGATGTTCAGGTTCCTTAATATAATTCCAATTACACTATAAAATATGATGGATTAAACTCCAGTACTTTCCAAAATAAATTGCCTGGTTGTGCCATTACCGTTTTATTACTCCTTGACCTAGTTACATACTTTTTCAAACCATTCTGCATGTTCTGTATTCAGCAGACAAATACAATTTTTGCTGTGCAAAGTAAAGGAACATAGAATTCTCTTCTTTGGTAGTACAGTAATGGGTCCTCTCTGCATCTGTTCCATCTCCATACCCATTTTCCAAAACTCACTTTATTCTTCATTCCAAGCACCTTTAAGTATGTTCTCCATTTTGCCCTTTCATTCTACAAAAGATTCTCATTTAACTCTAAGCAAAACTATACTTTGGCCATAACTGTCTCATTTCTCAATCCCAGTACCATGGTCTATCCACTTTTGTTTTTGGAATTCATTTCTTTTTATGATTATTAAGTGGTCATTTTTACCTCCTGTAGCTAACTGAAAGCCTACATAGGCCAGGTACCATTATAAGCATTTGAAATACACTCATAAATAAAATAGACAAGTATTTTTGCCTTCATCTAGCTTATATTCTACAAGGCAGACACAAAAATAAACAATAAGCACCCAAAATAAAATAAAATAAAATAAAACATGAGATTTTAGAAAGTGATAGGTGATTTAAAAACAAATAGAAAAATAAATCACAGTAAGGGAGATAAGAGTAACTGAAATATAAATGGTGGTTAGAATGGAGCTTGTTGGGAAGATGACACATAAGGAAAGATATGGATGTGAGGGAGTATCTGTCAGTGAAAAGAGTCAAACTCAGTAAAATATTTTGAAGAGATTCATTCTGAATCAAATATGAGTGACCATGGCCTGTGAAACAGCCCTCAGGAGGTCCTGAGAACATGTACCCAAGGTGGTCAGTGGCAGGCAGACATGAGACGTCGATCAAATACATTTAAGAAATACATTGGTTTGGTTTAGAAAGGTGGGACAACTCAAAGCATGGGGCTTCCAGGCTATAGGTAAATTTAAACATTTTCCAGTTGACATTTGGTTGAGTTTATCTGAAGACCTGGGATCAATGGAAAGGAACATTCAGGTTAAGATAAAGGATTTCAGAGAACAAGTTTTATTGTGCAGAGGAATCTCTCACATAGCAGACTTCAGAGGGAGCAGGCTGTGTATTTTTTTTTTCTTATGGGACCTAAAAGGGTGCCTGGATCTTAGTTGAATATCTCTCGGATCTGGAAATGAAGTTAAGGAAAACAAAAGGGGAAGGGAATTCACTATAGAATGTGAATTTTTCCCACAAGAGACTTTGCAGGGCAATTTCAAGGTATGGCAAGGAAATATATTTTGGGGTTAAATATTTTTTTTTTCCTTGTCTCATAATGTTATGCCAGAGTCAGATTGAAAAGTAAGTCGCAATATATAGGGTTAAATAAAACCCATCTGATGATAATTTATGGCTTGTGGAACATGAATCCCTAGATTCTTTGGGTAGAAATTCGGGCAAGATAAAAATTCAGAGCTTCGTCCTCATATCAAATATGAGTGAGAAGACTTCCAAGAAAAGGGGACAGTCAGTGCACAACCCTAATTGAGGAGATACCTGGCATGTTTGAGGGATAGAAAGGAGCCCTGTGGGTGGAGATAAGAGAAGAGGTGGGTGGGAAGGAAAAGTAGAAAATGCAACCAAACATAACTTGCAGATCATGTGCGACACTGGAAATCTTATGTGTAATGCCATGCCTAACTACATAATCATCACTTTCTATTTCTTTGGCCTGTTATGTTGTCTTGAGAGCACATATTACTATCTATATTTATTCAATTTATTTGATTGTTAAGGATCCCTAATTTTACTCTTCTCCTAGAATGGAAGATCCTTGGAACCAAGACCTTAACTCATACCTAGATTGATGCCTTAGACATGGTAATGTTCCAGTGTGTTTGTTGAAATATTAATGTTGCTTGATATCTTCTTACACTTGCTAACTGCCACTTCGCTAGTTAGGCCTATTTTGCCAGTCATTGATATTTGCACTCAAAATATATGTGCTGATTTGAACTACAACAATGGGAAATGAAAACAGCATAGTAGCATAGTAGGGATGTACTCCAAGTCTGTCAGCACAAAAGCTTTCACTGTGTTTATTTATTTATTTATTTATTTATTTTTCTACAATCTGTATGCCTGGATACACTGCAGCTACTAATTGGTAAGGATAAGCCTCTGGCCATGCTTATAATACACACAAACAAATAATAAACAAGCTGTTCTTAGTTTCTATAAAGATGTAAAGTTAAGACCAGTACTCTATTGTCCATATCCTCAGAAATTGGAACTCTATTCAGCTTAGAAATATCTTCTTAATGGAGAAAAATCAGAAATAAAGAAAGAAAAGAAAAAGAAAGAAAGAAGAGAGAGAAAGAAAGAAAGAAAGAAAGAAAGAAAGAAAGAAAGAAAGAAAGAAAGAAAGAAACTAGCCCTCTTTAATATTTGTAGATTTTGTAGATTTGTACGTTTGTAGTATTTATGGATAAAGTACTTGTTTAATATATGAATAAATAATAAAATAATGCTATATAAAATCAAAAATAAGCAGAATCATCCGCATATGTTGCTTATGTCATAGTTCAATTATTTTCTTTTTTCTGTTTTATTTAATTTATTTACTTATAATTATTATTTTTTAGATGGGGTCTTCCTGAGTACAGTGGCCATTTATAGACACAATCATGGCACACTACAGTCTCTAACTCCTGGACTCAAATAATCTCTCTGCCTTGGGTTCGCAAAGTGCTGGGATTACAGACATCTAATTTTCATACCATACATCCCAGCTTGTGAGTGTCACATGAACAATAGGAAGGATAGAGATAAGGCCAGTCAGGAACTATATGTTCAACCCAGAAATCCAGCAGAGAAAACTTATGCTACCATTGCTTCAGGATGTTAGAGAAAAGTACACCTTATTATGGGACTTTTGGAAGATAATATCTATTGGAAATAACTCAAATGGAGCTCTATGGAAAAAAATAGTAAGATTTTTAAATTGAACATACAGAATTAATTAGTGATAGTCCATTCAATTATTTCTGTAAATAAATTATTCAAAGAGAAATATAATGGGAACTAACATAATTTGAGAAGCAGCAAGGCATAGGGTTTAATTTCATGAACACAAAAGCGACACTGTGACTCAAACACTAGCAAAGCTGCTTCAAAAATCTGAGACCTTGGGCCAGTTACTTTAATTTCTCTGTATGTCAGTTTCTTTACGTTTAAAATGATGCTAAAAATAGTACCTCTCTCATGGGGTTGGAATTAACACACATGGAATGCTTAGAATACTGCCTAGTAGATAATAAGTACTATTTAAAAGTTTTAACTATTTTGAATAGATATAATAAATATGTGCCAAGATGTACTCATTATACCATTCAATTCTCATACAAATAATGCAAAATAGTATCACCATTTCTATTTTTAAAGGTTAGGAAACTGAGGCTCAACAAACTTACTAGCTCTGCCCAAATCCACACATATAGTAGATTCTGAAGCCAACGTTTAAAAAAAGCTCATCACATTTGGCAACTTATATGTAAAACTCTTTCATGCCACTTCCAAGTTAATTATAGGTCAATAATTGCTAATATCTAATTTATTGGTACTCTGTAGGTTCTTATGTCAAGCCCACATAAGCTTTTCTTTTCTTGATCTTTTTTTCCTTAATTTTTGAAATTGGCCTTATTTTCTGTGTGATGCTTCTTTGGATTCCTGTTTGCTCTTCCATAAATTCAGATTCCCTCCCTTTCCCCCACCCCGCATTTATTTTCATAATAAATTTACTTTATTGTATATGCGTCCATTCTTTGGAAAGAATTAATAACTGCCTCTCGGGAATTCCTCACTTTTTCAAAAAGAAAACATTTTTGGTAAGAGAACAAGTAATAAGATTTTTCTTGTAAACAAACAAATGAACAATATGGTCCTTTTTTTCTTCTCCTTTATCTGTAGCCGCTGTTAAATGCAAAGTATATTCAAAAAGGCTTTAGTGATTGTCTCACCTGATGGACACACATTGGGGATATATGATGATACAAAAGGCAGACATTCTGCCTCAAAACATTTTATTATGCATGGATTATAGGTAGCTGGTGCCCAAAATTCAGATAATTGGTAACATCAAGATGTTTAAATGGATTTTGAAGAATAGCTGATTCATTTAAATGTAGCACAAATTATTTGAAAATGACAAATTATCTACTTCTTAAAATGAAAATGAGAAATGTACCTGTGCATGCTTTCAATTCTAACATTTAAATGACATTGTAGGGTGATTTTTCTAAATGCAATGCTGAATTTTTATTTTATGTTGTTTATTCACTAAAATAAGCACTTAAAATATTTCAGCCACACATAAAACAAATTTAAGCTTCATTACATCTGGTAATACGTTGCAAAATAAAAGTTCGTTGTAGAATATGTTTGGGAATAAATTATAAAAGCTTAATAAAATAAAGATATAAATAAATGCATGTTACATAATAAATTGGATAATAAATTATTAAAGTTTTCAAGTAAATTTCACAATGATCAATTATAACCTGGAAAAATATTAGAAATTTAGAAGTATTCAAAAAATTTGAAATATGAAAGGATAAGCATAGCATTCCAAGTGCTGAAAATCTCATAAACAAAAGTTTAAATTTGGTAATGTGTCTGATACATGCTGTGATATGGTATAATGCCCATGATGATCAATAGATACAGTTTATGATAATGCCCTATGAAATGAAACTTTTTTGTTACCCTTCCCTTTTTCTACATGTAACACATGGGACTCCTCCTTCATTTGCTTAAATTACTGTAGCGATGATAAATTTTTGGTGTGAAGGTCCAAACAGGGCCCCCCTTTTTAAAAGCAACTATTATGTAATTTCATGTTTGCCTTTATGAAATTTAATTAATACTTTTCCTACCGTAACCTCTTCCATGAAAGCAAGGTCTTACTATTGATGATCGTTAGATGTATATATTGGACATTATATAGTCAAACCATATATTATAGGGCATATATATTGTAGAGCATACTTTATATATATACACAATATTATATATACTATATATATATACACATAGTACAGTAAAGTTTTGCTGAAGTTGTTTGAATTAGCAAACACATAACTAATATGAAGAACCCCCCCAAAAAAGTCAAGGAAGTCTGGGAAAAAGAGTGTTCCTGGCAAAAGAAACATGAGTTGAAAGGCTTTGAGTCTTGGAGGGTTGGAGAAATGAGAATATGGCAATGGTGACTGAAAAGGAATGCAGTTGGAAGAATTACAGTAGATGGGCTGGGAAAGGTACAGAGCACAGGTTCTATAAGACATTGTAGGATAAAGTAAGAGTCTGGATTATTTTCAAAGAGTAGTGAAACATTATTACATTGTCTTCAAAAAAAGAATTATGTGATATAATGTACATATTTAAAGGTAACTGTGTAGAGTGTTCTATTGTGTAGAGAATAGACTGTTAGGAGTAAAAGTAGAAATTTTGCCCAGTGACAGACACTGGTGTCCCAGACAAGGGTAGAGACAGAGTTATATTTTGGAGCTACAGAGACTGTGCTTGCTGATAAATTAGAAAGAGGGATAACTTATTCTATTTTATGGAATAAAGAGTTGCTTGATTCTAAAAAAAAAAAGGCGGGGGAGAAGGAAGAGGTGTAGGAGGGGTAGACACAGAGAACAAGAAGAATCTAATAAAAACTATCTAGTCATTTGGCTTGAGTAACTGGGTGACTATCTGAGGAATTACACCAAAGGGCAAGAGATGGCTGACTAATACACGGTTTGGGCACATGTAAATCACACGTATTATTTTGGGCATGTAATTGAGATTGTCAACTAGATGATTATACTTGAGCTTGAAATATGACGTTGATTATTAAAGATTATCTTAAATATCTGCAAAAATATTTTATATGATTGATAGTATATTAAATACAGAACACTTAAGTAACATAGTTATGGTTTTAATTATTAATTAAAATAATCATAGTTCAAACCCCAAGCTGACTCTCAAGGTAAGTTTGGTTGGTTTGTACCACTCTGCACTATGCGTAACCTGCAACGAAAGATCCAACATATATTCAGAAAGCAGTAACTTAAGAGAGAGTGTGACCAGTAAAATTTATAACTGAGAAGAAAGACTTTTTTTTTGGCTGGTGGAATGCATGAAGTCATTCTAAGAGAAATAGTTTGTGGGTTGAAGAGGTAGAGTTTCAATAGGTAAAGTTGGTAGCAAAGAGAGAATGTGGGGATGGGCACGGCAAAGGAGAAAGTGGAATGTTGATGCTAGATATTGGCTGTTATGGTAAATAAATTACATTTTCTTCTGAAAAGAAAAAGCTCTGTAAGTTTTTGAGTAGGGTGAGATGGCTGGCCATATGAAAGTATTAATAATGCACAGCATATGTCCCTGTTATAGAAAACCATTAAAGGTCTAAGCCAAATGGACCAAAATTCACCTATTTTTCATGTGATAAACTTGAAACTAAGATGAAAGTTTACTCACAAAAGATTATATAAATAGCTAATGGTTAATCTAGAATTAGAACTGAAGTGTCATGGTATATTGATTAAATATTTCTTGTATTCCTGGAGTGTAGTGACTATTCACAGGCAAAATCATTATAGCACACTGTAGCCTCAAAGTCCCAGTCTCAAGTGATCCTCTCACTTCAGCCTCCAGAGTAGCAGTGACTACAGAGTGCACCACTGTACCCAGCTATGGCACGGATTATTCATAATTGTCAAATTCTCTTAGGAAGGATCCTCCCTCCCTAACTTATGTGGAATATTTAACTTGATTACTATTAATATGTGAAAGTTTTATGTTATACTCATGTATTAGTTTGTTGCCACACTGCTATAAAGAAATATCTGAGACTGAGTAATTTATAAAGGAAAGAGGTTTAATTGACTCACAGTTCCTCATGGCTAGGAAAGGCTCAGGAAACATAAAATCATGGTGGAAGGGGAAGCAGGCATGCCTTACAAGGCAGCAGGAGGGAGAGAGCAAGTAAAAGCAGGGAGAACTGCCTTATAAAGCAATGAGATCTTGTGATAACTCACTATCATGAAAACAGCACAGAGGAAACCACCCCTATGATCCAATCACTGCCCCCTTGGTCCCTCCCTCCACACTTGGGTATTATGTGGATTACAATTCAAGATAAGATTTGCATGGAGACATGGAGCCAAACCATATCATTCCATCCCTGGCCCCTCCCAAATCTCACATCTTCACATTTATAAACACAATCATGCCTTTTCAACAGTCCCCCAAAGTCTTATCTCATTCCAGCATTAATCCAAAAATCCATAGTCCAAAGTCACATCTGAGACAAGGCAAATCCCTTCTGCATATAAGCCTGTAAAATTAAAAGCAAGTTAGGTACTTTCTAGATACAATGGGGGTAAAGGCATTGGATAAACACTCCTATTTCAAAAGAGAGTAATTGGCTAAAACAAAGAGTTTATAGGCCCCATGCAAGCCCAAAATACAGGAGACAGTCATTAAATCTTAAAGCTCCTAATTAATCTCCTTTGACTCCATGTCTTACATCCAAGTCATGCTGAGGTGGGCTCCCATGATCTTGGGCAGCTCTGCTCCTATGGCTTTGTAAGGTACAGCCCCCCTCTCGGCTGCTTTCATGGGCTGGTGTTGAGTGTCTGTGGCTTTTCTAGGCATGCAGTGCAGGCTCTTGGTGGATCTACCATTCTGGGATCTGGAGAAGAGTGGCCGTCTTCTCACAGCTCCACTAGGCAGTGCCCCTGTGGGGGCTCCAATCCCACATTTCCCTTCCTCACTGCCCTAGCAGAAGTTCTTCATGAAGGCTCTGCCTCTGCAGCAAACTTCTGCCCGGACATCCAGGTGACTCCATACATCCTCTGAAATCTAGTTGGAGGTTCCCTAACCTCAATTCTTGACTTCTGTGCACCTGCAAGCCCAACACCACATGTAAGCTGCCAAGATTTGAGACTTGCACCTTCTGAAGCCATGGCCCAAGCTATACACTGGCACCTTTTAGCCATGCCTGGGCCACAGTGTGCCAAGTCCAGAAGGCACACAGCACAGCAGTGGGGCCCAGCCCAGGAAACCATTTTTCCCACCTAACCCTCTGGTTCTATGATGGGAGGGGTTGCCATCAAGATCTCTGACATATCCTGGAGATATTTTTCCCATTGTCTTGGTAATTAACATTTGGCTTCTTGTTACTTATGCAAATCTCTGTGCTGGCTTGATTTCCTCTCCAGAAAATGGGTTTTTCTTTTCTGTCGTATCATCAGGCTGCAAACTTTCCAAACATTTATGCTCTGCTTCTCTTTTAAATATAAGTTCCAATTTCAGATCATCTCTCTCAAGTTCAAAGATCCACAGATCTCTAGGGCAGGGGCAAAATGCCACCAGTCTCTTTGCTAAAGCATAGCCAAGAGTGACCTTTGCTCCAACTCCCAAAAAGTTCCTCATCTCCCTCTGAGGCCACCACATCCTGTACCTTATTGTCCGTATCACTGTCAGCATTTTGGTCAAAGCCATTCAACAAGGACCTAGGAAGCTCCAAATTTTCGCACATCTTCCTGTCTTCTTCTGAGCCCTCCAAACTGTTGCAATCTCTGCCTGTTATGCGGTTCCAAAGTAGCCTCCACATTGTTGGGTATCTTTATAGCAGTAACCCACTCTACAGCCACCAATTTATGGTATTATTCCATTCTTGCACTGCTTAAAGAAATACCCCAGACTGGGTAAATTGTAAAGGAAAGAGGTTTAATTGACTCACAGTTCCACATGGCTAGGGTGGCCTCAGGAAATAGAAGCAATGCATGCATTACATGGTGGCAGGAAAGAGACAGCAAGCAAAAGCATGGAAAACTGCCTTATAAAACCATCGGATCTCATGGGCACTCACTCAATATCATGGAAACAGCATATGGGAAACCACCCCCATGATCCAATCACTTCCCACCTCGGCCCCTCCCTTGACACGTGAGGATTATGAGGATTACAATTCAAGATGAGATTGATGTGGGGACACAGAGCCAAACCATATCAATCCCCATTATGAAATCTAATAATATTATTTATCAACAGATTTTAATCTAATAAAATGAGATATTTATTGTTAAAAGATAATTATTAATGTATATTATATACATAAAATGTTGGTTTGTTACTAGAAATGCCACTTCAAAAGAGTAAGAAGAATCAATTACTAATCTGACTTGGACTAAAATTTCACATATCTTTGTCATAGCATTTAAACAATGTATGATATTTATTTGCCCATCTTGGAGATGTTACTTTTATATCTGCATTCCCTAGTTTAATACTTGATACGTTATATTTTCTGAAAAAGTACTACAAATTATTTGGATTATCCAAAAATACCTGATTATCATTACCAGCACCACTATTACCGGGCTATGCTGTGACTTGTCTGAGGCTTGCCTCTTTCATTTGTTTTATTTGAAAGTGACTGAAACCCAAAAGTAATCAGTCTACCCAAAAGGAAGATTTATGATTAACACACTGGGACACATCTGAATGACCCAAGGCAATAAGGGGCCTAAATGGGGCATTAGCTTCTTAATATGGTCCAAGTATCCAGAGTCCTCAGAAAGTCACTAATTTGTCCAGCTTGAATGGAGTGTCTAGCCACAAACAAATTTTATCTGCTAAGGGTCATGGACATGTTTTGATATGGGATGCCTATTACCATAATCATTCAAATAACTGAAGTTTGGAGATAAATTTGATAAGTTGTCAATTCAAACAAAATTAAGTGCTGAAAGCCACTTTCCTAAGTAATCAATTTTCCAGTTGATTAATATGTTAAAATTTCCAGTTGTTAAATATGTAAAATTCACCAAATATACTAGATATCAAAAATGTTTCCAACAGGTTTGATGGGTCAGTTTACAGCTTTAACAAGGATGTATACATTTCATCACTCCTGACACATAATTTAATACATGCACACAGAGACACATCTATACATACACATGTATCTTCATAAATATTAACTTTCTTTTTTTTCTTTTTTTATTTTTATTTTATTATTATTATACTTTAAGTTTTAGGGTACATGTGCACAATGTGCAGGTCAGTTACATATGTATACATGTGCCATGCTGGTGTGCTGCACCCATTAACTCGTCATTTAGCATTAGGTATATCTCCTAATGCTATCCCTCCCCCATCCCCCCACCCCACAACAGTCCCCAGAGTGTGATGTTCCCCTTCCTGTGTCCATGTGTTCTCATTGTTCAATTCCCACCTATGAGTGAGAACATGCAGTGTTTGGTTTTTCGTCCTTGCGATAGTTTACTGAGAATGATGATTTCCAATTTCATCCATGTCCCTACAAAGGACATGAACTCATCATTCTTTATAGCTGCATAGTATTCCATGGTGTATATGTGCCACATTTTCTTAATCCAGTCTATCATTGTTGGACATTTGGGTTGGTTCCAAGTCTTTGCTATTGTGAATAGTGCCGCAATAAACATACGTGTGCATGTGCCTTCATAGCAGCATGATTTATAGACCTTTGGGTACATACCCAGTAATGGGATGGCTGGGTCAAATGGTATTTCTAGTTCTAGATCCCTGAGGAATCGCCACACTGACTTCCACAATGGTTGAACTAGTTTACAGTCCCACCAACAGTGTAAAAGTGGTCCTATTTCTCCACATCCTCTCCAGCACCTGTTGTTTCCTGACTTTTTAATGATCGCCATTCTTACTGGTGTGAGATGGTATCTCACTGTGGTTTTGATTTGCATTTCTCTGATGGCCAGTGATGATGAGCATTTTTTCATGTGTTTTTTGGCTGCATAAATGTCTGCTTTTGAGAAGTCTCTGTTCATGTCCTTCGCCCACTTTTTGATGGGGTTGTTTGTTTTTTTCTTGTAAATTTGTTTGAGTTCATTGTAGATTCTGCATATTAGCCCTTTGTCAGATAAGTAGGTTGTGAAAATTTTCTCCCATTTTATAGGTTGCCTGTTCACTCTGATGGTAGTTTCTTTTGCTGTGCAGAAGCTCTTTAGTTTAATTAGATCTCATTTGTCAATTTTGGCTTTTGTTGCCATTGCTTTTGGTGTTTTAGACATGAAGTCCTTGCCCATGCCTATGTCCTGAATGGTAATGCCTAGGTTTTCTTCTAGGGTTTTTATTGTTTCAGGTCTAACGTTTAAGTCTTTAATCCATCTTGAATTAATTTTTGTATAAGGTGTAAGGAAGGGATCCAGTTTCAGCTTTCTACATATGGCTAGCCAGTTTTCCTAGCACCATTTATTAAATAGGGAATCCTTTCCCTATTGCTTGTTTTTGTCAGGTTTGTCAAAGATCAGATAGTTGTAGATATGCGGCATTATTTCTGAGGACTCTGTTCTGTTCCATTGATCTATATCTCTGTTTTGGTACCAGTACCATGCTGTTTTGGTTACTGTAGCCTTGTAGTATAGTTTGTAGTCAGGTAGCATGATGCCTCCAGCTTTGTTCTTTTGGCTTAGGATTGACTTGGTGATGCGGGCTCTTTTTTGGTTCCACATGAACTTTAAAGTAGTTTTTTACAGACAAACAGAGAGACAAATCATGAGTGAACTCCCATTCCACAATTGCTTCAAAGAGAATAAAATACCTAGGAATCCAACTTACAAGGGATGTGAAGGACCTCTTCAAGGAGAACTACAAACCACTGCTCAATGAAATAAAAGAGGATATAAAAAAATGGAAGAACACTCCATGCTCATGGGTAGGAATATCCTACCCATGAGGATATTCCTCATGGATATCCATGAGGATATCATGAAAATGGCCATACCGCCCAAGGTAATTTATAGATTCAATGCCATCCCCATCAAGCTACCAATGACTTTCTTCACAGAATTGGAAAAAACTATTAACTTTCTAATGACAATTTTAAATATAAACTGAACTTAATTAATATTATAGTTTGTTCCCAAAGATAACACATTATACCTGACATACTTTAAACTTGGAAAGTTAAAAAAAATCAAAAAGCCTCTAAAATATATCTAAAGTAGCTGAAAGAATCACATTATTTATTAAATGCTGGAAGTTTGGTTTTTAACAAGAAGCAATTGGAAACATTGACTTGCTGGCTGTGAAAAGAAAGATTCAATATCAAAGAATAAAAGTGTCCAAGTAGGGAAACAAGGCATGGATGCCCTGGAGGGATAACTATAATGGACCCCATGATAGAAAGGGACTAGAAAGTCACAGGAGCAACCACATCACATAATAAATTGTTGCAACTAATTTCTAAATGAAACAAGTGAAATTTAAAATGCTACCCAAAATTTCCAGATGAATCCTAAAGCCCTGAAAACTACAAAACTAAAATAAAGTGTAGTTGAGTTTGGTTTTTTAATTATATGAACCTGAAAATTTCCCATATAAAATAATGATGCTTTGGTTTTAGAACATACCATTTGCATTTTGAAAGAAATATATACACATATTTAGAATTTTAATATGAGTACTTTGAGTTGTAATGTTCATAAAGTTTTATTTCAGTAGTGGCAACATAAATTGTATATTCCTGTTAAGCTCTTAAAATGTTCCTGTTAAAGCATTTAAATTATTGTGTTAATTTGATAAAATCATAACCAAATTTCACAAATGTGTTAAATTGGTCATTTAGCAAAATATTCGTCAGAAAGATTGGTTTTTGGCAGAATTACTATGTGGCAAACTGAATTTCAGTAATTTGGTTTGGTAAATTTATCTTCAGCAAATTGGCTTGATTTCATGCATGGTTGGGGGATAATGTTTATTCTTGTGGATGTCTCCTACACAAAGATCTCAAATCATGCCAGTGGTAGAATACAAACAAATGACACTCCTCATACCCCTATCTCTAGTTGAGCAGATAGCCTTTCTCTTTTTTGTGGTAGAAAAATTATTGACGTGCCAGTAAGCTAAAAATGTCATGCTCCCTGGTGGGATTGCTAAAGGAGTTAAAACAAATTGAGTATTTAAATAATGCCTTTGGGGCACCTTTATTTATTTCCCCTGCAGTCAATCCAGTTTTTAGCTTCATGCCCATTATGATTCAAGTACTAACTCTGCCAGAAGGCTTGCCATCACATGGAAATAACCATGGCCTTTGTTAAATCCCTTTGCTTCTGTAGCTTGCTTTAAAACTTGGCAGAACAGAGGAGGAAGCTGCAAGCTGCTGATGCTGGTGTTCTCGCACTGCTGATCAGTTAGGCTACGTCTGATTCTTCAGTGCCCAGTTCTCTAGGATCTGGGGTCAATTCTAAACCCTGCTGTGAGCTCAGATCTTACTGGGGAAAATGTCTGACAAAATTTTGGCAGATGCATTATCTGAACACTCCCTGCCAAAACCTCTGCTGTGAGCAATGCAAAACCTGGCCAGCCTTGAGAAGGGTTGGCCAAGTTCCAACCCTTGTAATAACCCACATGTTCTACCTACTGTGCCATTTGGACTGCTCCCAAATGCAACATCATCTGCCAAGAGCAATGTATGCCTCTGTGCCTCCCAGCGGACTGCCTCCAGGAATCAGGACATCGTTTTCTTCCTCTATATTTGCATGCCCTGCATCCTGTGGTCCCTATTAAGCTCCAACTGTGCCATGCCCCACAAGACCATATTCTACATCATATATGTCCCTTCCAAAGGTACCTAGACTACAGGGTGAACCCACAGATCGAGCTCTAGCTGCTCTTTAGGTCCATAGGGATCCATGTCTTATGAATCTTGACTACCAGGAATGGGAGGGCATTATCTCACCCCTAATATGCCATATCCCTCTCCAGGGCCACATCCTGTTCCTCCTCCTACCCAAGCACCAGGGCCAGCACCACCTGTTTCACAGGATACTGTTTTGCCAGGAGCCTGTAGATTACCCTCACCATATTCTGACCATGCAGAAGCATATCCTACACCAGGACTCTATCTTATTCCCAATAATCTTTTCCAAGTGCCCCCAGGACCTTCTAGATCTCCACCGATGCCTGGTGGCCCTCATTCTTACTATTAGGTTAACAATAGATGAAGACATGATCTTTGCTTTTTTAACTAGATGTATATAAGCACAAATGCATATATAAAAATTGCTGGCTTCACTCTTCTTAAAGGGTATTCCATAAAGAACAACCCTTGTACCTCTCAGAGAAGATACCTGTCTCTTATACTTGGATATGTAGTATATTTGATGGATATAATCAGATAATGTAGAAGTAAATAATTCAAATGTGATTTTTATTTAGTTTTCATTGAAAGTTATACATCATTAAGTATTGAATAGCTCTTTTATACAAATTGTTTAAATTATAAAACTATGCACAAATCTAAACTGATGTGGATTATTGTTACAAACTGAAACTTTATTGGCAAATTATTTCAAGTATTTTTGTATAATTATCCCCCCAATAAATAAACTTTGAACACATTCACATTATGTCTTAACCAAATTATGCCTTTCAACATTTTGGACTGCTTTATTTATAGGATAAACAAACCTGTTTTTTTTGAGGTTATATTTTGGGTACATATTTAATATTGTCAGTAATTATTGTCAGATGCTGAGTTCATTAGCCAGCCAGTATTCATTTTTATCCTTGATCTTTCAGTAAAATCTTTTTTTGTATTTGTTTTATTTTTAGCCATATGGGTCATACAGCACTCAAATCTGCCATTTAAGGAAATAAACTTCTTTTCTTTTTAATCCAGGCCAACATGTATGGAAATTATATTCTTAGAGAATTGATGATCTCTTCGCATTGCTTTGGAATAGATTATGAAATGTTCAGATTGCTTTGGGAAGAATTCAAGTAAGGAAATAATTCTCTCTTTTGTTTTAAAGCTCACACTATATAAACTGTAGGAAATGGTTTATTGGAAGAAGTAATTTTAATGCCCAAAAAACCTGAGGAGGCATTTATTCTGCTTGGACTATTCCCTGTAGTCCCTCTCCTCCCCAGTTCTTTTTTTTTTTTTTTTTTTTTTTTTTTTTTTTTTTTTTTTTTTTGAGACGGAGTCTCGCTCTGTGGCCCAGGCGGGAGTGCAGTGGCGCAATCTCGGCTCACTGCAAGCTCCGCCTCCCGGGTTCACGCCATTCTCCTGCCTCAGCCTCCCGAGTAGCTGGGACTACAGGCGCCCACCATCACGCCCGGCTAATTTTTTTTGTATTTTTAGTAGAGACGGGGTTTCACCGTGTTAGCCAGGATGGTCTCGATCTCCTGACCTCGTGATCCGCCCGCCTCGGCCTCCCAAAGTGCTGGGATTACAAGCGTGAGCCACCGCGCCCGGCCTCCTCCCCAGTTCTTTAGAAGAAGTATTTCTCTTGATTCCTCTCTGATACAGAAAACTGGCACATTCTAGAGGTCTATCATAAAAACATATAGCAGTTATGTCTAGAGAGCCTTAAGTCATATGGACATGACTCTTCTCTTTGGTACAGGTGTGAATCAAAATATGCATCTATCTTTCAGAGTCTGGTTAAACTGTGTCATTTTCTCTTATGCAGTTGCCTGGATCTGCTTATAAAGTGCTTATGATTAACAGTTCAGTTCTATAGTTGGTGACAGGTAAATAAGTAGACTTGAATGTCGTCTTTGAAAAAAAAATCCTCTAGCTTTAGCACTGAAAATAATAACAAATTGTAGATCTTTGCAGCTGAGTTTAAAACTTTAAAATGGTGGAGCAAAGTGTCTACTTAGGTTTAACATTAAGGCAGGTGATTAATACAACTTCAGAAAATCATAAAGGCAATGATGCATATTTCAATGCTATAGATAAAAATCCATGTTTGGTACTAACAGATAACCTTAAGATGAGGGGGCGCCTTTTGTGTGTGAATGTGTATGTGTGTGTCCATGTATATGCATATGCATGCAGGCACGCATGTGTGTAGGCAAGTGATTGTGTTTTTAAGTTACAGATGTGATATTTGGTCATCCAAAATAAAAATAACGAAGTCAGAGGTCACCCAAAATTTGAGAAAACAGCATTCTTTTAAAATGAGGCCACCATTCACTGACTCAGCTGATCTAGAAATTAATTTATTAAACTAAATTAGTGTTTGCACATGCTCTCATAGACACCAAAACTGCAGCAGTGAGCAAAATAGACAGAAATCACATCTTAACAAGCTTGCATTAGAGTGGGAAAAATAATAACGCAGAAAAAAACTAATTATATAGTTTTTTTATATGTATAGCATGTCAAGTGGTGTTAAGAGCTAAGAAAAGAACTATGCAGGCAAGTGGATAGGCAGTGCCCAGTTGGGTAGAGGTGTGTGTTTGTGTGTGTGTGTACAATTGTGGCTATGTGATCAATGTTAGCCTTACTCAGAAAGTAAGACCTGGAAGACTTGAGAACTTCAAACATGGAGAGTTCATGGAGAAAAGTACTCCAGGGAAAAGGAAGAGTAAGTACAAATGCTCTAAAACAGGGGCTTGTCTGACACATTCCAGGAAGAGTAATGAGGTCAGTGCAGTTGGAGGGTAAGGGGAATATAAGATGAGATCAGGGAGATGAGTAGGGGCCAGATTGTATGGGAGCTTGAAGTCCTTATAAGGAATCCACTGTAGGGAATCATCACAAGGACTTGCAGGCCTCTTTGACAGTTTTCTCTCCTGCATCCCTGACATTCAATAAATCAATAAATTCTATAGATCTACTCCAGGAATGTCCGAATAATTCCTTTGCTTCTCTTGCTTTCTACCATCACTGCACTAGATCAGCTTTCATCATTTCTTGCTTGGGCAATTTCAGTAGCAGTCATGTTGGGCAACCTGATTTTTCTGTCCTCCCCATTGGCATTAGAGAAGTCTTCCTTAATCCCTTTAAAATCACAAATCTCATCACATGAAAACTTAAACACGTTTTCATTGCAACACGATAAGCCCAGAGGCTAACATGATATTCACAAACATGGTGGACAATCCTGTCTTAACTTTTCAGTTTTATCCCCAGTTGGTACATTCACCCCCAACCTCTCTATACCTACAACAATCCACTCATATTTAATTTGAATTAGATAACTGTTTCTCCACAATACCAGGCCTCAGTACTTTTGATCTCAAATGTATTTTGCACTTTCTTGTATTTCTTAATAATCTTTAGGCATCGGACTCCATGTGTTGTTTCTGTCTGTGTTACAAAGATGTTTTCTGCATGTGGCTTTATGCTGCATATTCAACCTAATAGACTATTTCTGGGTATCTATGGAGGGCAAGAGTGGTGAGATCACCTGGATACTCCTAGCAGAATCATTAAACTGCTTGATAATATAGAATAATCAGTGGGCACCTGTGATGACAGCAAATTTATAGGTACGTAACATATTTAAGAATGTGGGCTCTGGAGTCAGATTATTTGATATTGGGAAAGAGACTGAAATTCCTCTGTGTAAACTAAAATTAATAACAATGCCAAACTGGTTGGCTTATTACAAAGATTATCACAGTGCCTGTCACATCACATATTCTCAATAAATACTTGCTACAGTAGTCTTCCCTTATCCACAGGGAATACATTCCAAATCCCCTAGTGGATGCCTGAAACCATGGATAATACCAAACTTTATGTGTAGTGTACGCCAATTTGTTTTCCTTCTTTACTTCAGTGGAAAGAAGATTTGTTCTTATGATAGAGCTTAGCAATCTCATCCTACATTTTATTCCTTTGCTTATTAATTAAATGAAGAACTTTATTGTTTTCACTTAAAGGAAACATTTTACAGCTTCTCTTTGGCATGTTTGGATTGCCAGCATTACTACTCTTGTCCTTTGAGATCACTATTGAGTAAAATAAGGGTTACTTCAACACAGGCACTGCAATACCATGAAAGTCGATCTGATAATGCAGATGGCTACAGGTGACCAACAGGCAGGTAGCATATACAGCTCAGATATTCTGGACAAAGGGATGATTTACATCCAGCCAGGGTGGAGCAGAGTGTGAGATTTCATCAAACTACTCAGAATGGCACAGAATTTAAAACTAGTGAGTCGTTTATTTCTGGAATTTTTTTTTAATGGAGTCTCGCTCTGTCACCAGGCTGGAGTATAGTGGTGCGATCTCAGCTCACTGCAACCTCCGCCTCGCGGGTTCAAATGATTCTCCTGTCCCAGCCTCCCAGAATTTTTCATTTTATATTTTCACATCACAGCTGACCACGGGTAACAAACCACAGAAGGCAAAACGGGAGATAAGTGAGGACTAATGTATAGTGAATATTATAAGCCAGGTTTACCATTAAAAAGGTAGGGAATGAATTCACCCTGCTAAGATAGAGTCTTGCGAAGGGAAAACTTATGGGGTCAAGTGAAAGGTGTTAGATGGTTCAGAGAAAGATGAATACTGTTTCTGTAATGAGAGACTCCCAGAATAGGTATAGGCACAACATTGACTCACTTGATACACCCATGAGTTTATAAATTATCTGGGCAGTTTCAGGGCTTCTGGGCACGCCATTCAGAGATGGCCATAGCATACTAAACCAGCAACCACATACCTGCCACATGAGATCCATTTTTGATATACTGGGGGAGTTCTTACTACTTGGAAACAAAGTTAGTCAAAGAAGAGAATTTATCTTGTGGGTTTAGAGCCATAAAATGACATTTTGCACTATTTTATAATTCAATTCTATTCCAATGTTTGTGCAGCCAAGATAATGACTTGCTATTATATATATTCCTGGAGCCTATTTCAAGGAATGATATATAATAGGACTCAATAAGTTTTTGCTCAATGAATTAATGCTGAATCTTCACTTCCTCTTGGCAATCAATATTTTAATTACATTAGTGGCAGTTATGGTTAATTCATGAAGCACTAATGGGAAACAAGCACATTCCGCAGGAAGAAAATATAGAGCAGAATGCAACAAACAGCATTAGGATACCATTAGGTAAATATATTAGTCTCTTCCCACCCTGCCCCATCGCCTGTGTAGTATAATCTAAATCCCATACGGCATAAAACAGCAGTGCTAAACACCTTCTGTTAGTGTCATTTCTATTCATTTTACAAATCTTCTAGCAGTCATTGAAGCTCAAAATCATGTTCAAAACTTTGACTCCCTATGTACCCTCCCTGTTATTTTAATCAACTTACTGAGTTAAAGTTATGAGTTAAAGTATCAATGATAAAGGAGAAAGTTCATGTTCTCAGTGTGCTCAAGTTTTGCTGTGAGGAGAGACAAGTGAGCAGAAAAAATAAATGCTTGAGAAATACATAGAGAACTCTGCAGATGTAGGATATGAAACCTGGGCTGGATCTTAAAGGATGAACCAGGCCAAATTACCTTCATAATACATCTTTCTGAAATATTTGGTGTCAATACACTTTTTCCTGGCAATCTGTTTCAGATGTTATTTTTAAAGTAAGTTTTATTTATCTTCACAGATATATTACATCTCATGATACCTTTATGCTGCACTCCATGTTGTATGAAAATGGCATGAAGATGTGACAGGTGGAATAACCATCCATCTGGGTTTGATGAGAAAGTCCTGATCTACACCTATTATCCAGTTTAATTAATAATAATATCCTTTCCATCCCTAGAGTATTTTGGCTTAAGCAATAAATTATATGGTCACCCTAAAAAAGACTGACCAAAATGGTCTCAATGTTTTCTTGAGCTTGAACTAGACTAAGTTATAGACAGGCCTTACCCTGCTTCTTGGTCCCTGACTTCTCTCTTATCACTGACTCCCACCCTTAACTACAGCACCTTAGCCAAACTACAGCAGCTTCCTCTCCGTTTTCTTTTTTTTTATTATTTTTTATTATACTTTAAGTTTTAGGGTACATGTGCACAACGTGCAGGTTTGTTACATACGTATACATGTGCCATGTTGGTGTGCTGCACCCATTAACTCATCATTTACATTAGATATATCTCCCAATGCTATCCCTCCCCCCTCCCCCCACCCCACAACAGGCCCCAGTGTGTGATGTTCCCCTTCCTGTGTCCAAGGGTTCTCATTGTTCAATTCCCACCTATGAGTGAGAACATGCGGTGTTTGTTTTTTGTCGTTGCGATAGTTTGCTGAAAATGATGGTTTCCAGCTTCATCCATGTCCCCACAAAGGACATGAACTCATCCTTTTTTATGGCTGCATAGTATTCCATGGTGTATATGTGCCACATTTTCTTAATCCAGTCTATCATTGTTGGACATTTGGCTTGGTTCCAAGTCTTTGCTATTGTGAATAGTGCCGCAATAAACATAAGTGTGCATTTGTCTTTATAGCAGCATGATTTATAATCCTTTGGGTATATACCCAGTAATGGGATGGCTGGGTCAAATGGTATTTCTAGTTCTAGATCTCTGAGGAATCACCACACTGACTTCCACAATGGTTGAACTAGTTTACAGTCCCACCAACAGCATAAAAGTGTTCCTATTTCTCCACATCCTCTCCAGCACCTGTTGTTTCCTGACTTTTTAATGATCGCCATTCTAACTGGTGTGAGATGGTATCTCATTGAGGTTTTGATTTGCATTTCTCTGATGGCCAGTGATGATGAGCATTTTTTCATGTGTTTTTTGGCTGCATAAATGTCTTCTTTTGAGAAGTGTCTGTTCATATCCTTTGCCCACTTTTTGATGGGGTTGTTTGTTTTTTCTTGTAAATTTGTTTGAGTTCATTGTAGATTCTGGATATTAGCCCTTTGTCAGATGAGTAGGTTGCAAAAATTTTCTCCCATTCTGTAGGTTGCCTCTTCACTCTGATGGTAGTTTGTTTTGCTGTGCAGAAGCTCTTTAGTTTAATTAGATCCCATTTGTCAATTTTGGCTTTTGTTGCCATTGCTTTTGGTGTTTTAGACATGAAGTCCTTGCCCATGCCTATGTCCTGAATGGTATTGCCTAGGTTTTCTTCTAGGGTTTTTATGGTTTTAGGTCTAACATTTAAGTCTTTAACCCATCTTGAATTAATTTTCATGTAAGGTGTAAGGAAGGAATCCAGTTTCAGCTTTCTACATATGGCTAGCCAGTTTTCCCAGCACCATTTATTAAATAGGGAATCCTTTCCCCATTTCTGGTTTTTCTCAGGTTTGTCAAAGATCAGATAGTTGTAGATGTGTGGCATTATTTCTGAGGGCTCTGTTCTGTTCCATTGGTCTATATCTCTGTTTTGGTACCAGTACCATGCTGTTTTGGTTACTGTAGCCTTGTAGTTGAGTTTGAAGTCAGGTAGCGTGATGCCTCCAGCTTTGTTCTTTTGGGTTAGGATTGACTTGGCAATGCGGCCTCTTTTTTGGTTCCATATGAACTTTAAAGTAGTTTTTTCCAATTCTGTGAAGAAAGTCATTGGTAGCTTGATGGGGATGGCATTGAATCTATAAATTACCTTGGGCAGTATGGCCATTTTCACGATATTGATTCTTCCTACCCATGAGCATGGAATGTACTTCCATTTGTTTGTATCCTCTTTTATTTCATTGAGCAATGGTTTGTAGTGCTCCTTGAAGAGGTCCTTCACATCCCTTGTAAGTTGGATTCCTAGGTATTTTATGCTCTTTGAAGCAATTGTGAATGGGAGTTCACTCATGATTTGGCTCACTGTTTGTTACTGGTGTATAAGAATGCTTGTGATTTTTGCACATTGATTTTGTATCCTGAGACTTTGCTGAAGTTGCTTATCAGCTTAAGGAGATTTTGGGCTGAGACGATGGGGTTTTCTAGATATACAATCATGTCATCTGCAAACAGGGACAATTTGACTTCCTCTTTTCCTAATTGAATACCCTTTATTTCCTTCTCCTGCCTGATTGCCCTGGCCAGAACTCTTCCAACACTATGTTGAATAGGAGTGGTGAGAGAGGGCATCCCTGTCTTGTGCCCATTTTCAAAGGGAATGCTTCCAGTTTTTGCCCATTCAGTATGATATTGCTGTGGGTTTGTCATAAATAGCCTCTGTTTTCTTAGAACGCTTGTCATTGTAAATTCTGTCTCTGCCACTTTGAGATGTACATCTTTTGAAGGATTTTTGACAGTTTTAAAAGCCAGGAATGTCTTTCTCAAGGAAATAGGAGCCATTCTTATGAAAGATAATCATCAAACTTCGAAGATAGTACCTGTATTAATCCATTATTGCATTGCTATAAGGAACTACCTGAGACTGGATAATTTATGAAGAAAAGATGTTTAATTGACTTACAGTTCTGCAGGCTGTACAGAAAGCATGGCTGGGGTGGCCGCAGAAAACTTACAATCATGGCATAAGGCAAAAGGGAAGCAGGCACATCTTCACATGGTAGGGCAGGAGAGAGAGAGTGAAGTGGGAAGTGCCACACACTTTTAAACAACCAAATCTCTCATGAGAACTCACTCACTATCATGAGAACAGTAAAGCGGAAGTACACCTGCATGATTCAAACACTTCTCACCAGGGCCCCTCTTGTAACACTGGGGATTGCAGTTCAACATGAGATTTGGGTGTGGACACACAGCCAAACCATATCAGTACCTGGATGACCCAGTCTCTGTGGGGGGTAGGTATTTAATTTCTTCTCAGTGGCCACTTCATTCCAAGTTATCAAACTACCTCCTATCATAAAGATATGAGAAAGTTGACTTTTCCTTGGGCAAACACAAAATAATGGCCTAAGGTCCCTCCCCATCCCAGCTCTTAAAACACCTCTTTCCTTTTGTTCCTGTGGAGTTCAGTTCTGGTCTCTCTTTCTTATAGCAACAGCCTTGAGTAAAATCTCCCTGGCTTGTTCCACTTTGTCCAGTGCAATTTTTGCTCTGATGAGATGATGTTATGTGGATGTGGAGGTAAAAATCAAAGTGAAAATTCTGGCATCTTCCATGAACTGCCGATTCATGTATCTAACTCTCCACTGAATATCTTCTTTTGGATATCTGAGAGGCTTCTCAAACTTAGCATATCTGATATATCACTCTGGAAATTCACTAATCCATCCACTGCTATCACCAGATGCACAGAAGCAGTACGCACTGACTGATTCCTCATGTCAATGAATGAAAACTTTATTGTTATGGTTGTTCAGGCAATAATTCTTGAAGTCGTCTTTAACTTCTGTCTTTTTTCTCTTACATGTGATCTGCCAGAAAATCTCCCTGGGTTTAAATGCAAAATATATCCAAGATATATTTTTCACCACATAAACACCCACCATCCTAGTTCAAGTCACCATTTTCTCTTATTTGGGTTATTAAAAATTTATTCTTAACTTTATAACTTGCTTATAAACTTGATCTCCTCCCTCTACCACTCCCAAGAAAGACAATTTTTAACCAACAACAGGGTTATCCTTAAAAGGAATCTTCTGTTCAAAACTTGTTTTGGCTTTCAATGTCAATCAGATGAAAAGTCAGAAACCTTCTAATGTCTCTATGGTAGATTGTATGATACAAACTGAAGCTTGGGGTACAATAATTCAAAGATGTAGCTGAAGATCTTTATTAAGACCTCAAAAAAAAACTAAAAAGGCTGCCTAATTTCCCTTTTTAGTATCATTATTGCTTTCAGGGGCTTGAAAGCTACAGCATTTTATGAGGTTGTTTCAATTCTCATGTTTTCTCATTTTAGTATTGGATAGTTCATTTTCTGCACAGTTTTGTTTTAATCCTCTAAAGAAGGGCATAGTTTTGTATTTAAAAGATTATACAGATTTTTTTGTGTAATAGAGAAAAAGCTTCATCATAGTCCATCTCGTTCTTGATGCAAAGCACTTCTTCATTTTATATTGTCAACTGACATACTCTCATGCCTCCACTGTTGCATGTTTGATTAAAATAGAGTCCTATCAAATGGTATTG
Organism: Homo sapiens; assembly: GCF_000001405.40. Lineage (NCBI taxonomy): Eukaryota > Metazoa > Chordata > Mammalia > Primates > Hominidae > Homo > Homo sapiens. The sequence continues at coordinate 53,343,655 of NC_000017.11, read as the reverse complement.
CAATTATTTTTTTTTTTTATTTTTTTTTGAGATGGAGTTTCACTCTTGACACCCAGGCTGGAGTGCATTGGCATGATCTCAGCTCAATGCAACCTCCGCCTCCCAGGTTCAAGCAATTCTCCTGCCTCAGCTCCCTGAGTAGCTGGGATTACAGGTGTGTGCCACCACGCCTGGCTAATTTTTGTATTTTTAAAAGAGACAGACTTTCACCATGTTGGCAGGATGGTCTCAAACTCCTGACCTCAGGTGATATGCCCACCTTAGCCTCCCAAAGTGCTGGGATTACAGGTGTGAACAACCGCACCCGGCCTGGTATTCCAGTTTTAATCACCCTCCCAATCCCTCTTTCCCTACCTTCTCAACTCTATCACTTATCTCTAGAATACAGACTTCTGAGTTGAAAAATGCTAGAGCGGAAGCTCTTCTCTGACTAATCACTGTAGATAAATGCTGGCAAGAGGCCTCTAACATTTCATGCAACTTGACTTTAAACAATAAAGACTAAATAGTAATTATAGGAAAGGTAGCAGGCAAAGATTGTTCCTTTTCATTACCTGGTACACCATAGACTCTTTAAACATAGCCCAATAGTTACCTAGAGGAAATGACACTAATAACTTATATGTAGTTGGCTCAAGGATTAAATGTATTTTTTTAAAAATAATAAAGGTTAAAATTAAACAAGTCATAAAGTTTACCAGAAGCTTTAGGAACAGATTAATAACAGGTATTGTTAATAGGAATAAGTGTGCTTGACAGAGAGTTATTTTTAGTGAAAAAAAAAAAAGAAAATATTCTGATTGAATTTAATAGTGAAAAGTCAATATCTTCAAAGCAGGTTGTTATAGTTTGCTCCTCAGCTCTGTCTTCCCCTCCTTTTCAGATATATCAATAAAAGTGAGATGAAGTACTGGAATGCCAATTCAGGAACATCTTCTCAGGAATGATTGAGGTGCTTTGTGGGTAAGATCTGACTACTTAGGAAACAGAGCCAAGCAGGACAATCATGATCATTATAAAAGTGTCTTAAAACAGTACTTACATGAAGGAAAGGGCAATTTTGAGAATAGCATACTGTCTAGCACACAAATTTACCTCCCAACATGTGCACTTATGGAGATTGTAGTGGGAAAGGGAAGAGTGATAAGTAAAGCATTGAGCTTCAAAGTTCAAATAACTAGCATCACTAGTCATTAGTTAAGGTTATTCTGTCTCCTCAATATTAACTAGCTTGGCATCTTCAACTTTCCATTTTTGCTTACTGGTGTAGGCCAACCCTCTTCCATTGTCAAAATTAATTAAGTTATGTATTTATTTATTAGGCTTTTATTTTAGGTTTAAGGGTACAGGTGCAAGTTGTTATATAGGTAAATTGACTGTCAGGGGGGTTGTGTGCACAGATTATTTTGTCACCCAAGTGATAAGCATAGTACAGTACATAGTTCTTTGTTTCTCATGCTCGTCCTACCCTCCAACCTCAAGTAGGCCCTGGTATCTATTGTTTCCTTCTTTGTGTCCATATGAACTCAATGTTTAGCTCCTACTTATAAATGAGAACATGCAGTATTTGCTTTTTTCTCCCTGCATTATTTCACTTGGAATAATGACTTCCAATTCCTCATTATTGCTGTAAAGGATAAGGATATGATCACATTCCTTTTTATGGGTGTGTAGTATTCCATGGTGCATATGTACCATATTTTCTTTATCCAATCTACCTTTGATGGGCATTTATGTTGATTCCATGTCTTCACTATTGTGAATAGTGCTGCAATGAACATATGATTGCATGTGTCTTTATGGGAGAAAGGCTTATACTCTTTAGAGTATATACCCAATAATGGGATAGCTGGATTGAATGTTCAATTGTTAAGTTCTTTGAGAAATCAGAAAACTGCTTTCCACAATAGATGAATTAATTTCCATTCCCACCAGCTGTTTATAAACATTGCCTTCTCTCAGCAGCCTTGCCAGTATCTCTTATTTTTCGACTTTTTAGACAACAGCCATTCCAACTGGTGTGAGATGGTATCTCAATGTGGTTTTAATTCGTATTTCTCTGACGATTAGTGACAATTATGTGTCTTGGGGTTGCTCTTCTCGAGTAGTAACTTTGTGGTGTTCTCTGTATTTCCTGAATTTGAATGTTGGCCTGCCTTGCTATGTTGGGGAAGTTCTCCTGGATAATATCCTGCAGAGTGTTTTCCAACTTGGTTCCATTCTCCCCGTCACTTTCAGGTATACCAATCAAATGTAGATTTGGTCTTTTCACATTGTCCCATATTTCTTGGATGCTTTGTTAGTTTCTTTTTACTCTGTTTTCTCTAAACTTGTCTTCTCACTTTATTTCACTAATTTGATCTTTAATCACTGATACCCTTTCTTCCACTTGATCGAATTGGCTACTGAAGCTTGTGCATGCGTCACGAAGTTCTCGTGCCATGTTTTTCAGCTCCATCAGGTCATTTAATGTCTTCTCTGCACTGTTTATTTTAGTTAGCCTTTCATCTAACCTTTTTTCGAGGTTTTTAGCTTCCTTGCGATGGGTTAGAACATGCTCCTTTAGCTCGGAGAAGTTTGTTATTACCGACCTTCTGAAGCATACTTCTGTCAACTCGTCAAAGTCATTCTCCGTCCAGCTTTGTTCCATTGCTGGCGAAGAGCTGTGATCCTTTGGAGAAGAAGAGGCACTCTGGTTTTTATAATTTTCAGCTTTTCTGCTCTGGTTTCTCCCCATCTTCGTTGCTTTATCTACCGTCGGTCTTTGATGTTGGTGACCTACTGATGGGGTTTTGGTGTGGATATCCTTTTTGTTGATGTTGATGCTATTCCTTTCTGTTTGTTAGTTTTCCTTCTAATAGTCAGGTCCTTCAGCTGCAGGTCTGTTGGTGTTTGCTGGAGGTCCACTCCAGACCCTGTTTGCCTAGGTATCACCAGCAGAGGCTGCGGAACCGCAAATATTGCAGAACAGCAAATATTGCTGCCTGATCCTTGTCTGGAAGCTTCATCCCAGAGGGGCAACCACCTGCATGAGGTGTCTGTCAGCCCCTACTAGATGTCTCCCAGTTAGTTTACACGGGGGTCAGGGACCCACTTGAAAAGGCAGTCTGTCCATTCTCAACACTCAAACGTCATGCTGGGAGAACCACTTTTCTCTTCAGAGCTGTCAGACAGGGATGTTTAAGTCTGTAGCTGTTTCTGCTGCCTTTTATTTAGCTATGCCCTGCCCACAGAGGTAGAGTCTATAGAGGCAGTAGGCCTGGCTGAGCTGTGGTGGGCTCTGCCCAGTTCAAGCTTCCTGGCCACTTTGTTTACCTACCCAAGCCCCAGCAGTGGCAGATGCCTCTTCCCCTACCAGCCTGCAGCCTCGCAGGTCAATCTCATACTGCTGCGCTAGCAGTGAGCAAGGCTCTGTGGGCATGGGATCTGCCGAGACAGGCACAGGAGAGAATTTCCTGGTCTTCTGGTTGCTAAGACCATGGAAAAAGCCTGGTATTTGGGCAGGAGTGTCCCATTTTTCCAGGTACAGTCTGTAATGGCTTCCCTTGGTTAGGAAAGGGAAATCCCCCAACCCCTTGCACTTCCCGGGTGAGGTGATGCCCCACCCAGCTTCGGCCCACCCTCCATGGGCTGCACCCACTGCCCAACCAGTCCAAATGAGGTGAACCAGGTAGCTTAGTTGGAAATGCAGAAATCACCCGTCTTCTGTGTCGATCACGCTGGGAGCTGCAGACTGGAGCTGTTCCTATTCGGCCATCTTGGAATGATACATCCCTATCTCTGACAGTTTTTAACATCAGAATGATGTTTGCTCACTGAATGAGATAGAAAGGAATACCTCCTCCTCACTTTTTTGGAATAGTTTCACTAGAAATAGTACCAGATCTGCGTTACACATCTGGCAGAGTTTGGCTGTGAATCCATCTTTTCCAGGGCTTTTTCTGGTTGGTAGGCTTTTTATTACTGATTAATTTCAGAACACATTATTTGTCTTTTCATTTTTTCAAATTCTTTGTAATTCAACCTTTAGAAGTGGTGTATTTCCAGGAAATTATTAATTTCTTCTAGGTTGTCTAGTTTGTGTGCATAGAGGTGTTCATAATAGTCTCTGAGGGTTTTTTGTATTTTGGGGGGCCAGTGGTAATGTCCCCTTTGTTATTTATCAGTGTGTTTATTTGAATCATCTCTCTTTTTTCTTTGTTAGTCTAGCTAGCAGTCTATAAAAATTATCTTTTCTCAAAGAAGTAATTTTTGATTTTGTAGATCTTTTGTATTTTTTGCTTCTCAATTTCATTCACTTCAGCTCCAATTTTGGTTAATTTTTTTCTTTTGCTAACTTTGATATTAATTTACTCTTGTTTTTCTAGATTTTCTAGGTTGATGTTATGTTGTTAATTTGATATCGTTCTAACTTTTCAATGTATGCATTTAGCACTATAAACTTTTCCTTTAACGCTGTTCCAGAGATTCTGATATGTTGTCTCTGTTTTCATTAGTTTCAAAAAATTTTGTGATTTCTCCTTTAATTTTATTATATATCCAAGAGTCACGCAGGATCAGGTTGTTTAATTTCCATATAAGGGCATAATTTTGAGAAATATTTTAATATTGATTTCTATATTTATTGTGCTGTGGACTGAGAGTTTGGTTGGTATGATTTTGGTTTTATGAATTTGCTGAAAATTTTCTATTAGTTTTTATATGGTTTATTTTATTGTATGTGCCATGTGCAGATGAGAAGAATGTATCTTTTGTTGTTTTGGAGTGGAGAGTTCTGTAGATATCTGTTAGATCCGTTTGGTCAAGTGTCAAATTCAAGTACTGAATTTTTGTCAGTTTTCTGCCTTGATGACCTGTCTAACATTGTAAGTTGGGGTGTGTAATTCTCCCACTATAATTTTGTGGTTATTTAAGTGTCTTCACAGGTCTCTAAGAACTTGTTTTATGAATCTGGATGCTCTAGTGTCAGGTATATATGTATGTATATGTGTATTTAGGATAGAAAACTCTTATTTTTTCATAGTTCTCTTTACCATTATGTAATGCCCCTCTTTGTCTTTTTTGATCATTGTTGGATTAAAGTCTGTTTTGTCTAAAATTAAAATAGCAATCTCTGCTTTTTTTCCATTTGCTTGGTATATATTTTTTCATCCCTTTACTTTGAGCCTATGGATGTCATTGCAGGTCAGGTGGGTCTCTTGAAGACAGCATAGTGTAGAGTCTTGTTTGTTAATTCAACTTGCCACTCGGTGCCTTTTAAGTGGGGCATTTAGCCCATTTACATACTGTTTTATGCAGATTTGATCCTGTCTTTGTGATGCCCGCTGGTTATTATGCAGACTTGATTGCGAAGTTGCTCTATAGTGTCTATGGTCTATGTATTTAAGTGTGTTTTTGTGGTGGCCAGTCTTTTGTTTCCATATTTAGTACTCCCTTACAGACCTCTTATAAGGCAGGTCTGCTGGTAATGAATTCCCATAGCATTTGATTGTCTGAAAAGCATTTTCTCCTTCACTTATGAAGTTTAGTTTGTCTCAATATGAAATTCCTGGTTGAAATTTCTTTTTTCAGACTGCTGAATATGAAACTGCATAGAGGTGTTTTCTTAGAAAACCAGAAATTGACTCTTCTTGTCTTAATGCTTAAAACTTACATTTTTAAAATCTGAGTTCCTTACTCAAGAAAGGATCCACAGACTTCTCAATAATTATCAAAGAACTGAAACTCACAAGATCATCTTAGCCAGACAATGAGACACTAGGTCTCTTATTCATCACAATTGCTTCCTTACCTCTCCTTATCTTTATTTTTCTAACTGATTGTCTGCTTCTTGTAGACCACCTCCTCTTCCTTACTCCCTCTCGGTGTTCCTGTTTTCCTACACATAGTTGTATTTCTTCTTTGCTCTATAAACCCCTAATTTTAGTCAGTCAGGGAGACGGATGTGAGACTGTTCTTCCACATCTCAGCTGCAGCACCTGATTAAACCCTTCTTCACAGGCAACACTTGTTGTGTCAGTGATTGACTTTTTCACAACAAGCAGCAGGAGCTAGGTCAAACCTCTGAAATTTTTGTCACAAATAAGCCCCAATCTCTTCTGGCTTCTAGGTTTTTTGTTGAAAAGTATGCTGTTAGCCTGACAGAGATCTTTCTTTAGGTGACCTGCCCTTTCTCTCTAGATGCTTTAATATTTTTTCTTTCATGTTGACTTTGGGGAATCTGATGACTATGTCTTGGGGTTTGTTGTCTTGCATAGTATCTCACAGGAGTTATCTGCATTTCCTAAGTTTGAATGTTGGTTTCTATAGTGAGGATGAAGAAATTTTCATGGACAATACCCTCAAATATGTTTTCTAAGTTGCTTGCTTTTTCTACTTCTCCCTCAGGGATGCAAATAAGTCTTAGATTTGGTCTCGTTACATAATCCCATGTTTCTCAATCATTTTGTTCATTCTTTTTTTTCTTTGTTTTTCTCTGACTGAATTGACTTAAAAAAAGTAGTCTTTGTGCTCCAAGATTCTTTTCTCAGCTCGATTTACTCTGATGATAATACTTGCAATTGTATTGTGAAATTCTTCTAGTGAGCTTTTCAGCTCTATCAGTTCAGTTTGGTTTCTTCTTGAAATGGCTATTTTATCTTTTATCTCTTGTATCATTTTATTGGATTTTTTAGATTGTTTGGATTAGGGTTCAATGTTCTTCTGAATCTCAATCCTCTGTTCCATTCAGATTCAGAATTTTATGTCTGTCATTTCAGCCATTTCAGCCTAGTTAAGAAACTTTTCTGAGGTAATAGTGCAGCCATTTGTATGTAAGAAGGCATGCTGACTTTTTGAGTTGTCAGAGTTTTTGCCCTGTTTCTTTCTCATCTATGTTGGCTGATTTTCCTTGAATCTTTGAAGTTGCTGTCCTTTGGATTAGGCTTTTTGCTTTTATATTTTTTCATTCCCTTGAGGGTTGGATTGTGGTATGAGGTAGGTTCAGTAAACTCCCTTCATTTCTGGAAGACTTCAGGGAGCCAAGGCTCAGCTCATCACTCTTGGGCTGCATACCACAGACCCCTGGGGGTTTGGTACTACGCCCCTGGATTTGTTTTCTTGCCACTTGAAACATGCTACACTGGGGGAGTCAACGTGTTCCCAGTCTTCTGGCCACAACATTCCAATTGGGTGTGCTGGCCAGTGGTTCATCAGGGCAGTGGCAGCAAGATTTGTGCAAAGGAGCATGTGCCAGCAGGAGCATTAGGGTCCACACATGTCAATGGAGGTGAATCACTGACTGCGGCAGGGTGACAGCAGGGCATGGCAGGGTGCTCATGCATTGACAAGGTCTACCTGGTAGTGTCTATGTGTGTGTGCCTACGTTGGTGGTGGTGGGACAATGGGCTGCACAAATGTGTTGCTGGTGGGAGAAGGGAAGCCTTCCTAACTCATTCTATGAAGTCAGTATCACCCCGATACCAAAGATGAGAGGGATACAATAAAAAGGAAAACTATAGACTGATATCCCTGATGAACATGGATGCAAAAATCCTTAACAAAATCCTAGCAAACTGAATCCAACAGTACCTTAAAAAGATAATATAACAACAATAAAGTGGGTTTTACTCCAGGGATACAGGAATGGTTCAATATATGCAAATAAATAAACATGATTCCTCTCATAAACAGAATTAAATGCAAAAATGACATAATCATCTCATGGAGGCAGAAAAAACATCGATAAAATGTAACATCCCTTCATGATAAAAACTCTCAACATATTAGGCATAGAATAAAATATATTTCAAAATAATAAAATGCATATGACATATATGACAAACACATCCAACATCATACTAAATGATGAAAAGTTGAGAGGAACCCCTCTAAGAACTGAACCAAAACAAGAATGCCCACTTTTACCACTTCTAGTCATCACAGTATTGAAAGTCCTAGGCAGAGAAGTTAGGCAAGAGAAAGAAATAAAGGACTTCTTAATTAGAAAAGAGGAAGTACATCTACCTCTTTTTTGCTGACGATATCATTTTATACATGTATAAACCCTAAAGACACTTCCAAAACAACTTAGATTTGATAAATAAATTCAGTAAAGTTTTAGAATACAAAATCAATATACAAAATCAAATGTCATGTCTATACACCAATAACAATCAAGCTGAGAACCAAATCAAGAAAGAAATCCCTTTTATCATAACTACAATAAAAACCTAGGAATATATTTAACCAAGGTGAAATATCTTTACAAGATGTTTCTTCTTGAAATGCCTATTTTATCTTTTATCTTTTGCATCATTATATTGGATTTTTTAGATTGTTTGGATTGGGGTTCAATGTTCTTCTGAATCTCAATACTCTGTTCCTCTTCAGAACTACACTACAAAGCATATAAAAGAAATCATAGAAATCAATTGCTATTAATCAAAATAGCAACATCACTCTTCATAGAACTAGAAAAAGTAAACCTAAAATTTATATAAAACAACAAAAGAGCCTGAATAGCCAAATCAATCCTGAGCAAAATGAACAAAGCTAGAGGAATCACATCACCATACATCAAAGTATACTACAAGGCTACAGTAAACAACACTGGTATAAAAGTGCTGGTATAAAAATGGACACACAGATCACTGAAACAAAATAGAGAATCCAAAAACAAAGCCACATATCTCCAGCCTGCTGATCTTTGGTAAAGTCAACAAAAACCATATACTGGGGGAAAGGATATACTTTTCGTCAAATGGTGCTGGGAAAATTGGACTGCGATATGCGGAAGAATGAAACTGGACCCCTATCTCTCATATACAAAAATCAGTTCAGGAATAATTAAATACTTAAATGTAAGATCTGAAAGTATAAAAATACTAGAAGAAAACTTAGGTAAAACTATTCTGGACGTTGACCTAGGCAAATAATTTATGACTAAGAACTCAAAAACACAACCAACAAAATCAAAAATTGGCAAATTGGAGTTACTTAAATTACAAAGCATCTGCACACTGAAGAAATAATCAACAGAGTGAACAAAGAACCACCAGAAGGGAAAAAACATATTTTCAAACTCTGCATATGACAGGGGACTGATATCCAGAATTTACAAGAACAACTCAACAACAACAACAACAAAATAACCCCATTAAAGTAGACAAAGGACATGAATAGATATTTTTTAAATAAGACATACAAATGATCAACAAACATGTGAAAAAGTCCTCAACATCACTAATTATCAGAGAAATTCAAGTTAAAACCACAATGAGATATTATTTTACACTAGTCAGAATGGCTATTATTAAAAAGTCAAGAAATAACAGATGTTAGTGAGAATGTGGAGAAAATGAAATGCTTATACACTGATGGTGGGAATGTAAATTAGTACAACCTTTATGGAAAACAGCACGGAGATTTCCCAAGAAACTGAAATATGGAACTACCATTTGATCCAACAATCCCACTACTGCATGTATACCCAAAGGGAAAGAAATCATTATATCAAAAAGATACCTGCACTTGTATGTTTATTGCAACACTGTTCACAATAGCAAAGTTAAGAAATCGACCTAAGTATCCATCAGTGGGTGACTGGATAAAGAAAATGTGGTGTGTGTGTGTGTGTGTGTGTGTGTGTGTGTGTGTAGACATGGGAATACTACTCAGCAATAAAAAAATGAAATAATGTCCTTTGCAATAACATGGATGAATCTGGAGGCTAATATATTAAGTGAAACATCTCAGAAACAGAAAGTCAAATACCACATGCTCTGACTTACAAGATGAAGCTAAATAATGTGAACATATGGACATAGAGTGTGATATAATAGTCATTGGAGATCCCAAAGGGTGGAAGGAGATGATGGATGAGAAATTACTTTGTGGCTCCAAAGTACAATATTTAGGGGATGGTTATACTAAAAGCTCAGACTTCACCACTACAAAATATATCGATGTAACAAAACCTCCTTAAATGTATACAAATTAAAAAACACAAAAACCTGGAAACCACTATGCTACATGAAAGAAGCCATCATAAAAGACTATAAATTGCATGATTGCTTTTATATAAAATGTTTTGAATAGGTAAGCCTGTAAAGACTGAAAGCAGATTAGCAATTACTTTGGCCTGGGGCCAGGAAGAGAGACTGGGGAGAAAAGCAATGACTGATAATGGTTTTGGGGTATCGACAGTTTTCTAAAATCAGATTTTTGTGACATTTGCACAACTAAATGAGTATACTTATAAAACATAAAACACTTTAAATAAGTGTTTTTTATGTTATGTGAAATTGACCTCAATAGAGTTTAAATGGTAGAGCTAGAATATATACCCAGTCTGACTGTAGTCCTGAACTTGTAACTAATACACTCATCAATCTTTTTCTACTCACATATGGGAATTGTCACCATTAGTTGGCCACTATAAACTGCAAAAGACACAGTTTCCATATCTTCTCTTATATCTTAACTTCATCTAAATGGTAGTTTGTCCAGTGTTCTACCAATCAAATTAATTCTTCTCAGATTCACAATAAGAAACCCCATTTTCTCATTTTCTTTTGTGGAGACAACATCCTTTATCTTTGCTAAAGGAAACTGCTTCACTTAAGTTCCTTGGTTTATTCTCTTTTTTTTTTTTTTTTAACAGAAAACCTTTGCTCCATTATTGGCTTTTCTGTAGAAATTCTTTTTCTTTCTATTGATTGTTTTCTTGCCCAAAATATTCTCAGGTGACCTTTATGCTTCAAAGTAACACACAACAAAACAAGAATCATTTCTGTGCCCTTCCTTTCCTCCTCAACTATCACCTTACATTTTATTGTATGGCTGCTAAATTTCTTGTAAGAGGTCACTTGATATTTCCATTTCTCCAGCTTCTACCTAGGCAAAACCCAAAATGTGCAATTACAATGTGGCTTTCACCCTTATTGATTACCTACTCTCTAATTTTACCCTCTAGTTATTATTTTTTCATTAATTTTTACTGAGATAAAATATACATATATAATTTACCATCCTTACCATTTAAAAATGTACACTTCAGTAGTCCTAATATTTTTATATCTTTTTTTTCTTCTTTTACCCCTTCAACCCTCCTCTGATTACCTTCTAATGGCAAAATCCAATAGACTTCCTAGACTCCAAAACTGGATGCAAAGTAGAGTCTTACAATGATACACATTTAGGCCTCGGTACTAAAATCCAAAGTCTACCCCTCTCTGAATCTAAATTTTATTACTTTAATTAGTATAGAAAAAGGCATTGAAAATGTTGTGTGTCAGAAACACTCATCAACCTTACAAAGTGTTCAACATACACTGACACATATGTTTAACAATTTGAGTTAACACTTGTGAATTTCAGAGAATGAAGAAACAAATTTCACCTAACTTAATATTTAAGTTATATTGATGTTGGCTTAAATAGAAAAATAAATAAGATGAAGGAAATAATGCTATTTGAGGAAAAAGAAAATGATTTCTATATGTTTCACTTATTTCAGCCTTTAATATGGTATATGACAAAGGATCTTTAACATACTAAATTACAGTATCAATTTAAGTTATAATAATAAATATTTTCTGTTTCTTATCACAATCAAATTCTGGTTATCTTATTTTCACTTGAGCAAAGCATGCTTACTGTTCTTATGGGTTATTTGCGTAAGTTTAAATATACTTGGATAGAGAGAAATTTCAGAGCTCTTACTATATTTTTCTAACCGTATAAAGCCAAGGCTTTTAAAATTAATTTATATTAAAAATATTGCATGAAGTCATTATCAAGTGGGAATAATTACTTCTAAAACCCAGTGATTCAACAGAGGCTGTGGATGATATTTTAACAACTATATGTAAGGTTAATTTTTTAAAATATCCAACCCAGTATCCCCATTTTCATTCTTTATGAGATTAGAGATGTTTTGCTGGAGGTTAGAGGGTGAAGAAATGAGCTAAGGAGAAATCTCAGTACATTTAAGCTTCATTTAGCTTGATTGTTGGTATCAACTCACTACTAGGGCAATACTTTTTTAAAATAATGGAAGGAGAATTTTATGCTCAATATAATTTCTTATACTCATTTCAAGTTAAGAGCCTGTTGTAAGAAGAATTCTGGCACCCATAATCTTGACCTCCTGGTGTTACTCCCGTGAATACACAGAAAAGGGTACTTTGCAGATATAATTAACTAATTACTTGACTTTAAAAATTCAAATATTATCCTGGATTATTCATATGGGCTTAATATAAACATGAGTCCTTAAAAGATTTTTCTTGGCTGGTAGCATAAGGGAAATTGGACATTTGAAGGATAGAGATTCAAATTTTATCCCTATGTTTGTTTGCTTGAAAATGAAAGGAGCTTCATTCCCACAATTTCAAGCAATTGGATTTTTTCAATAACCTGAGTGGTCATGAAAACAGAGTCTTCCCTACGACCTCCAGAAAGGGGGCCAGCCCATCCAACACCTTGATTTAGTTCTGCAAGACGTTGCACAGAGGTTCCAACTGTACTTAGACTTCTAACCAATGGAAATATGAGGTAACAAATGAATCTTGTTTTAAGCCACTAAGATTGTGATAATTTGTTATGGTACCGATAGAAAAGCAACAGAGAGCCTTACCAATAATTTCATAATGATTTGACTATCTTTGATGTGTTTGGCATTGGATGCATTTGACACTGAAAATGACAGAATGTAAGATTTTTAACTTGCAATCTGTTCGTGAATTCATACATATGCTACCTTTCAGAGAGAACTGAAAGACATCATTGCTGGAGTAAGTATTTTTTGTGTTTTATATCCCTGCATGTGACAGAAAAAGTAATATGTCTTTGCTGAATATATAGCATGGTGTTATACTTATGCATAAAATATAAAACCAAACTATCTTTGATTGGAGTATACTCGTGAATCCAATCTCTCAATATATAGCCTTTATGCTTCTCCTGAGAATGAACAAATTAAACTTGGTCTTCAACGTGTTGATTCTGCACATATAGCCAATACAAAACAGCTGAGGTGAAAATAATTCTTCTACCCAGAAGTGATAGGGAAACTATTTGAATGGTTTCAATTGTTTTTCAGTGTGATAAGCCCTAGTTATGTAACTGAGAAATATAGTCTTTGTCACTCTTTAAAAGATCATGTACTGTAGTTGAATCTTAATGGAAAATTCAGTGATGGTTTAAAAATCTGTATGGCTACATTTTAGCTGTAGTTTGATACTGCTTTGTCAGAAAATTTCAGGATCCAAGTCGAAGGGAGAATTCAACCACTGTGAAAACTTAGTACCTGTCACACAGGAAAGTATATAACTATCTTGAACCTATCAAGTGAGTTGCTCTGTAGTAAAAATTGAGAGTTTCAGGATCAAGGGAATTGAATGCAGGTAATCTATTCTCAGGAACAACTTGTTCTATTTCCTCATCCCCAATGTCATCAATATAGTATTATACTTTCAAATTATATTCATTCATTCAGTAAAAATTTAGCTAGTACCTATTATGGACAAAGAGCTCTGCTAGGTGGTGGGGAAACGGTTAAATATTTGGAAAGGTTATCAGCACCACTCTCAAAAATAATTCTCTGTAGAAGGAAAGACATGCACAATATTAACTGAAATATAATGTGACATATGTTAAAATACAGGCAAGTATTAGATAACTGTGTACCAAAATAAAAGTTCTTAATATAATGTCTTGGGGAAAGGAAGTCTTCACAGATGAAGAATGCTTAGAGGATTTTTAAAGACAAGAAGAAATAGACAAAAAGTGCACAATTTCATACGTGTATTTTAAGAAAGTATTTGGAGAAATAATGAACATGTTTGACTTTAATCAGACCATGAAAATACTTCCATTTTCTGCATACAATGGATTTTGGACCATATAGGCAGTGAAAAGGTATAATCAAAGGAATATAAGGCAAAATCTGTGTTTTAGAAATATAATGCTGACCGAATTCAGGGAAATGCAAGGATTTGAGAACAGCATTCCATTAGTTATTGCTGAGTGTGAAGTGATAATGGGATCATAAAATAAAAGGGTCCATTCAGAAAATGGTAATCAGCATGGAGGTGAAGCCTGACACAGGCTCAGCCTTAACAAAGGTCAGTCACATAAGAAAGAAATAGTAGACATTAAAGTACAAAATGAAGAACTTAGCTTTAAGAGAAGTACTTGTTCAGGAGAAGAAAGGGGGAAAAATAAACAATGCAACTGTATGGATAAAGGAAATAAAAAATGTGTAGAACATTATAAATGCAATGGCTTGGAGGCAAGGTAGAGTGAATTTCAGAGTAGACAGCAAAGGGTAGATTTTTACAGAGCTATTTCCTTTAACATCGAAGAGAATGAAGATGGGGATAAATATCAGATATGGGATATGTCATTAAAAATGCTTCATAAAACATACTGAAGGACTATGTTATAATAATTAACAGTCTATGTTCTATTACACAGATCTAAATTCCTATATTGTCTGATAGTAGAAATGTTCAATTAACAGTTTATACTTATTGTTAAAGTTAGCATCAGAATGTTGAACAAAAAAAGAGATCTAAATAAATGTAAATGGTCACTGGTGATGCCAATAAGCATGAATATAGGTTTACTCTTTTATTTTTTATTCTAAAGAAAATTAACATCACAGAGTAAATAGTAATGAAGATATATCCACATGTGTGATGTAAATAACATTCTGGGAGGCATTTTATAGCAAATATTCTACCAAAACTGTTTCCAAGGTAGTGATCATTTTCCCAATGAGAAAATAATGGTTGATGGTCTAATTTTAAAGTAACTGTTGTGGCAGTGGGTTTTGTTCTGATCTCCTAATGTTTTTCTAATGAAACTTACGCATGTTTTAGTATGAAATATGGAATTGCATAAGCATGAGAAATAAAGTATCATTCATCATCTCAATTTCTGTAAATAAAATATATCTTGTCAATTTCTGTGCCTGATATTTCTATTATTTCTTAAACTACACGAACAATACTAGCAAAGTACCCCTTGAGAAAATCTAGATGATGGAGTAGATATTTCTATGATCTACTGGTCTAGTGGCAAAGATTTCAATACGATGTCAGAGGGTTTAAAGTATACTACAACCAGTCTCGGTTACCTCTCAGTTGGCCTTGCTATTGAATACATAGAAGAAAAACATGTGGACTAGTTACAACCATATTTCTTCCATTTGTGAAGATGAAAATCAACTTTGTTCATGGTTTTCAGCATGTATTTATTATTTTATAAAATTTAAAAATTCTTTTGGTGGTGAAACACAACACTCTGACACTCAAATAGTTGAGAAGCAGAAACCTTTGTTACTCTGTGTTCCAAACAAGAGAAGGCTGTTGTCAAGGGTCACACAGGCGATAGCACTCAAGGTTGGGATAAGAGCAAGTTGTTATTGTGAGAGGCAATTCATGTATGCCAAGTGAGGAGAAGTTAGCTAGGTTTCCCAAGATTCCCGTAAAATGAATAATAAGTGATTTCACAAGCTCCAGGTCATAGGGTCTATCCTGTGGTACCTGGTCTCAGGATAGTTAGGCTCGGTGCGTAGTGGCCCCAGAATGCAAGAACCCAACAAAGAAAGTGCAACCAAATTTAATCAGTTGCTTAAGAAGGGGAACTAACCAGCCTCTAGCCAAGGCCACAAATTCAGTCAAGACAGCATTAAATAACAAATAATAATTATTATATAATTATTGGAGAATTATATAAAATTATTATATAATTATTGGAGAATTATATAAAATTATTATATAATTATTGGAGAATTATATAAAATTATTATATAATTATTGGAGAATTATATAAAATTATTATATAATTATTGGAGAATTATATAAAATTATTATAGAATTATTGGAGAATTATATAAAATTATTATATAATTATTGGAGAATTATATAAAATTATTATATAATTATTGGAGAATTATATAAAATTATTATATAATTATTGGAGAATTATATAAAATTATATAATTATTGGAGAATTATATAAAATTATTATATAATTATTGGAGAATTATATAAAATTATTATATATTAGAGAATTATATAAAATTATATAATTATTAAAAATTATCTAAAATTAAAGCTATCTATTGAATATTCACAATAAGCTATGAAATAAGAACTATTGCTAACTTTGTATTATAGTTATAAAAATAAGGCTCAGAGAAAATACGTAAATTGTTCAGGGGTCACAGTAGATGTAACTGACAGGTTAAATTCAGCTCAATTATCTAGTGTCATATTTAATATACGCTCTGGTGTGTAGATCTAAATGGAGCCCTCCTTGGTTCTGAGCTTCTAAGTCCTCTTCCTCACTCATGAATGTATTCTACAACCTGCCAAATCTTCATGACCAGCACCAAGCTAAAACAGGAAGAAAAACTTAAGCAATCTTGTCTCCATATCCTGGGGAAACATATTCACTGAAAAATCTACATTTAATTGTATTTGCACTGTATCAAGTTGCCCAGCTCTGATCATTACATTTTATCTTGGCACGTAGTTCTGCATTTTTCATCCAGCTGACCTGTTTAATAATGGGATGCTACAAAACAGGAATGAGCATAGTGTTATGGAATAGCATTGTAGGTTACAGTTAATTCCTCTTGTTAAGGGCCATGACCATTCACAAGAAGATTCCTTAGAAGAGTTACAGTAAGTTGAAAATGGTTAAAAGATCCTCAGCTTTGGAAAGAGAGTTCTCAAAGACAGACAAGTAAAAGTCACTGATGTATTCAGAGAAATGTTAGCAAATAGGTCTGGTTATATGTCACACATTTAGGGTAGGGACGGTAGAAGAAACTTGACAGGCATATGGAAATGTTACACCATTGAGACTTTTCATACCATGTCAAGGAACTTTGACTTTACTCTTTTTTTTTTTTCTGCACATTGTATTTTATGCATCTAATTATACTTTAAAGCAGCAATATAGTCACTTTTACAGATTAGAAATACTACTCTGTCTATACTGCAAATGAGACATTGGGGCAGAGAGGGAGTACAAGAAAGACCAATTGAGAGGCAGAGAAAAATGAAAACCTATATAGCACCAGTGGAAATGAAGAACAGGGCAAAGACTGACAGAAGGAATAAAATCAGCTTTGAATGGAGAAACACAGTACAGTCTAAGACAAAAGATCAATTTGTTGGAGAACATCTGTGTTTATTAGAAGCCACATCAATTCTGATAATTGAAGGCAGATATGCTTGGGTCACATTATGATGTGTGTGTTTTCTCTGTTGTGGAATGTAGAGTTGTAGGTCTTCTAGCAACTGGTATACCAGGTTTGACTATCCGTGTGCTCTTGAACTGTATCTCTGCAGCACGTATCCCCCGAGAACAAAAGGTCTGTGAGTGCGGTTGAAGTTAATATTTGAAAATATAAGTTATATTTACATCGAAATCGCATTTTAGTGAGGTAGAATAAACTGAAACGTTTTTTGCTGTTCTTAGCAATAATGCTATATTTAGTGTTCATTTGGGAATTTTAAACAGAAAAATATATTGTTAGCAAAAAGAAATTAAGTAGCTCTTGTCTGATATGTTCTTGGCAGTTTATTATTTTTTAATCCAAATTTTATTCTATGTTTGAAGATTCTATGAACAGCAGAAAGAAATGTAGAAAGATGTAGAGAGATCCAATATCCTTCTTCTCATTAGAAATTCCTTACTGATAATATGGCTTTTCCATCAAAAATTATCATCATAAAAAGAGATATAAAAGAATCACTTTCTCTTTTCTTTTCCAAAAGTATTTCTGCTGTTCTTTCATGAAGCACTTCTCTGAGCCAAACCTTACAGTTGAAGATTGCATTTTTAGCCATTTAATATCTTAGTACCATCGTTCACTTAACCTATTATGCTGAGGTGTTTAAATATTTATAATGGGAATATTCAACATGGAAGAACCTATACTTTCCGAAAAAAAAAAATAAGATTTCAGGTATTGAGGCATGTGAAATAGGAGGAGAAAGATAAGGAAGAGATTACCACCAGTAGTCTTCTGATGATGAAGTCTTGAAGGTATTTGAGCTATAATTCCAGATGAAGTCTGTCTAATGTTGGCTAGTTGCCTAGGCTACACCATTAGTACAGCAACTGTTTTAATCCACATTTGTTGAATTATTCTTAATTGTAATATTACCCTTTGTAACTGCTGATGTCTTTTTCTTAAAATTCTATTTGTCTGATTTAATATTGTAATATATTTTGTGGTTTAATTTTATTTACTTTTGCTATCCTGTCTATACTTCCTATTTTTGTTTAAGAATCCTATAAATGTGTGTCCAAGAAGTAACTCCTGCAAGCTGCATGTAGCTAGAATTTTAAAAGTCCAATCTAAGAGGCTGTATTGCCACAAACTTTCTCAGTTATCATTTATTGCTGTTAATATGTTTATATAAATTGATTTTTTCTACTTTTTTTTGCTTTTTTTGAGTAGAATTTTCTGTACCTCCTGCTCTTTTCTAAATGCTTTAAGTGAAAAATTGATTATTATTTTACAGACAATATTGAATTTAATTTACAAATACATTTCAGCATTTTTTTAATTGCACTATCTTTTTGTTTGCACCAGACTTCTGTACTGCTGACTTTTCTTAATGTGGAAGCACCTCCTTTGGTATTTATTTCAAGAAAGTCTATGGGTGATAAACTCCCATTTAATTTTACAGGTCTAATTGATTTTTTTCCTTACTTGCTCCTAAGTCTTGACTGATAGGTTGACTATATAAGCTATAATGATGGTTATTTTCAATCAACATTCTGAAGCTACTAATCTATTCTCTTCTTGCTTATACTGTTGTTAATGAGAAGTCTCCTATTTGTCATCAATATATATGTAATTTGTCTTTTTACTTGCTAGTTTTTCAGATTTTGTCTTTAACCTTAATGTTTTGTAGATTTTACTACAATGTGTATAGTTATAAATCTATTTTGACTTGTCTACTTGGCACTCAGTAAAACATGCCTGTTTTAATCTGTTGACTATTGTCTTTCTTATGTTCTGGAAAATTCTAAGTCATTTTCACTTCTAAATTACTTCTCTTCCATTCTCTCTAGTCTCTTCTTACAGAATGCCTAGTGAATAAATATTGGAGGCTGCTATTGAATTCTCTATAGCTTTGAACAACTTATCTTTTGAAGTATTCTGGTTGCATTCTGGGTGAATTGCTCAGTACTGCTTTTCAGTCTCAGTGACTTCTAATAGTTTCTGCTTATAAATCATTTTTTTAATTTTGTTTGCTTATTTATCAGTATTCTTTATTATTTTTATTAATGCTATTCCTTCATATATGCCTTCAATAAATTTAATATTCTTTTCTTTAAAATTATTTTAGAAAGTTATTTTTGTCAGCTGCCTTTTGAATATGATTGTTTCTCGCTTTTTTATTAAGTTCTGATTTGCAGGATCATCTTAAATGGGATTTTGCTCCTCTTTCTCTCTCTCTCTCTGTATTGTGCTACCTTTACACTCATATTTCTCTTTCGGTTGGTTATGAAGTAACCTTTACACGAGCCATCAAGGTTGCTATAATAACACTGGGTCTCATAGAGTCAGCTCAGGTACCTCATTGACAGATAGAATGAAAACATTGTGAATCCAGTCATGGAGCCATCATGCAGCTGAGCCTAGGCTGTGGCTGGTGAGGTTATGGGGCTAAGCCTTCTTCCTGTTGTCTCCTCAGAAAACAGCTTTATATAATATAAGCTATCATGTCGGCTGGTGAATATCATTTGCGCTTGTATTTTAGCCATCTTTTACCAGTTGGGGAGCTCTCACATATTCCTGATTTTAAAATGTGAGTTTGACTCTTGTCTCCTGTGTGTAAGCACTAGTTATTCTCATATCCTTAAAAACAAAAAGAACAAAAACTGCCTTCATGTGCCTACAGATCTGAGGCCAAGCAGTCTCCCAGTTTTAACACATTTTACCTCCATACCTTCTGCCCTATTTCCTCAAGATACAAACGAGAGGAAATAAGCCCTGAATTGTTGGTGTTATTATTTTTGACTTCCAAACATCTAAGTTGAGGATTCTGGACCTCTTGTGTTCTTATATCTAAAATAACTCTGTTATTTCTTGTATCAATAGACATTCCTAGATTTGGGCTGATATCTTTTTCTGCAAGCAAATGTCTCTTGACCTATTTCTGGTGTCTTCTGACTATAAAAAAGGATAGTGAGTGACTTCATTATATCTGAACTTCATATTTGACCTGATGATTCCCAGCACAAAAAACTCCTGAACACTCTCTGTCTGTCTCTCTCTCTCTCTCTCTCTCACACACACACACACACACACTCACACACATTTGGCAATAAAAGAAAATAAATTTGAAAAAATAGAGAATTGTGGGATGGCTGAGGTCGAATAAGGAACGGTCATAACTATATGCTGTTTTGTTGTTGGTTGTGGCTCTCTGTGTGTGTCTTTTACTTGATAGCAATGCATACTTGCAAAAGTAACATTTCCTTTAATCAGGTCCAATACCTTGGAAGAGAGCCCATGAGAGAATAGTTGATGATTGAATTCCCACAGCTTTCAAAATACTATTTTCCGTAGTTGAGCTGTCAGCCATCAAAAGCAGAAACTGTAGATTGTTAATACATGGCTATAGTCTAAGTAGTATGACATATTCCTCAGTCTTGAGGAAATTGAAAAAGAAATCCCAAGTTGCCCATAGCGTGCAGTGGTTTCATGTTCAAAAATCAAGAGGAATTTCCAACTGGAAAATTTATGGCTGATAGGACCTTAGTAGAGTGACAGAAGCTCATATGGAAAAACTATAAACAAATCTCAAGTGAAGTCCTAACCCAAGCCTATAGATTTTATATCTTGGGCTAAGGGGTCCAGGAGCATATTTCAAAGTTAACAAAATGATACATAAAACTGTTTTTGTGGCAGCACAGGCTTCCTTTCCCAGGTCTATTTAAAGTGCTCTATTTCTGGGAGTGAGTAAAGGTCAATATTAAATATGTCTCTTTCTCTCCTCTCTCTCTCTCTCTCTCTGTGTATGTGTGTGCTTTAGTTTAGTTTTGTTTTTACTTTATATCAAATTTTTTGGATTTTATCTTGGTTCCCCAAACTTTTTTCAATATATTTTATTATTAAGTACTTTTTGGTTTATAGCAAAATTGAGCAGAATTTGTAGAGACTGCTCATATGCCTTCTGCCCCCAATATCCATAGCCTCCTTCACTATCAACATCCCACACAACAGTGGAATATTTGTTACAATCAATGAACCTATACTGACACATCATTATCACTCAAAACCCATAGTTTACATTAGGGATAACTCTTGTACATTTCGTGGGTTTTGACAAATATTTAATGACATATCCACAATTATAGTATCATACTGAATACTTTTACTGCTCTAAAAATCCTCGAATTCTGCCTATTCATCCATACCTGCCATCACCAGTGCCTGACAACTATTGACATTTTTACTGTCTCCATAGTTTTGCCTTTTCCAGAATGTTGTATAATTGGAATTATACAGTATATTGTCTTTTTGGATTAACTTATTTTACTCAGTAATATGCATTTGATATTCCTTCATATATTTTCATGGCTTAATAGTTCATTTTCTTTTAGCCCTGAATAATATTTTGTTGTCTGGATGTACTTATCTATTTACTTATCCACAGTTTGTTTGTTCACCTACTGAAAGACATCTTGGCTGATTCCAAATGTTGGCAATTATGAAAAAGCTGCCACAAACATTCATATGCAGGTTTTTGTGTGGACATATGTTTTCAGCGTTTTTGGATAGATACCAAGGGCTTGAATGCTGGATCACATAATAAGAGTTTAGCTTTGTAAGAAACTGCCAAATGCTTTTCAAACGTGACAATACCATTTTGCATTCCCACTAGTAATGAATGAAGCTTCATGTTGCTCCACATTCTTGCCAGTATTTGTTGTTGTCAGTGTTTTAGATTTGGGCTGTTGTATTAGGTGTGTAGTAGTATGTCATTGTTGCTTTAATTTTCAATTATCTAAAGACATATGATGTTGAACATATTTTCATATGCTTATTTACCATCTCTATATTTTTCTTTCATGAGGCACCTGTTCAGGTCTTTTGTCTATTTTTAAATAAGGTTGTTAAATTTCTTATTGTTCAGTTTTAAGGATTCTTTGTATATTTTATATAACAATCCTTTATCAGATATGTCTTTTCTAAATATTTTCTTCCAGTTTATGACTTGTCTTATTTTTTGACAGTGTCTTTTCCAGAGCAGAAGTTTCTAATTGTAATGAAGACCGTATTATCAATTATTTCTTTCATGTATTGTGCTTTGGTGTTGTATGTAAAAAGTCATCACCATATCCAAGGCCAAACCAATTTTCTCCTGTTACCTTATGGAGTTTCATAGATCAGCATTTTATATATAAGTCTATTATTCATTTTGAGTTAATTTTTGTGAAAGGTACACAGTCTGTGTCCAGATTGTTTTTTGCATATACATGTCCAGTTGTTCGAGCACCTTTTGTTGAAAGAACTATCTTGTATTCCACATATTGCATTTGAACTTAAATCAAAGATTAGTTGAGTATATTTATGTAGGTCTATTTCTATGCTCTCTGATCTTTTCCATGTATCCATTTGTCTATTTTTTTTTTACCAGTACAAAATCGTCTTGATTACTATATCTTTACGGGAACTCTTGAAGTCAGATAGTGTCAGTACTCCAACTTGATTCATCTCCTTCAGTATTAGGTTGGCTATTCTGTGTCTTCTGCCTCTTCATATAACTTGTGGAGATTATAATTGGGATAGCGTTTAATCTGTAGATCAAGTTGATAAAAACTGACATGTTGACAAATTTGAGTCTTCCTATCTATGAACATAGAATATCTCTCCATTCATTTGCTTCTTTTTGATTCATTTTATGAATTTTATCATTTCCCTCATATAGATTTGTATTTTGTTAGATTTGTACCTAAGTATTTTATTTTTTAGATACTACTGTAAATGGTATTTTGTTTTAGTTTCAAATTTTATTTGTTTATCGATGGTATATAGAAAAATAATAGACTTTTATATGTTAACATTATATTCTGAAATCTTACTATAATTGCTTTTCAATTTCAAGACTTTTTTGTCAGTTATTTTTCATTTGCTACATCAATAACCATGCTAAATTTGAACATGACAGTTTTGTTTCTTCCTTTCCAATCTGTATAACTTTTTATTCTCTTGTCTTATTGCACGAGCTAGGACTTTTAGTACAATATTAAAAATATGTTGCTAAGAGTGAACATTCTTGCCTTATTTCTAATCCTAGAAGGAAAGCCTCCAGTTTCTCATCAATAAGTATGATGTTAGCTGTAGGTTTTTTGTAGATATTCTTTATCAAGTTATAAAAATACTCCTCTATTCCTAGTGTGCTGATAGCTTTTATCACAAATAAATGTTGGATTTTCTTCAAATGTTCAGTCTACATCTGTTTATATGGTCACGTGATTTATCTTCCTTAACCCGTTTATTCAATAGAATACATTAAGTTTCTAATGTAGGACCAACTTTGCATATTCATATTCAGAAGAGATCCCACTTGGTCAGAATATATTATTATTTGTGTACATTGTTGGATTTGGTTTGCTAAAATTTTGTTGAGGGTTTTTACGTCTATATTTATTAGATTTATTGCCTATATTTTTCTTTTCCTGTAATGTATTCATCTGGTGTTGATATTAGGACAATTCTGGATTCAGAATGAGTTACAAAGTATTTATCTTCTGGAAGAGATTGTAGAGAATTGGTATTTTTTTCTTAAATGTTTGCTAGAATACACCACTGAACATATCTGGGCCTCCAATTTTTAAATACATTTAAATTAAAAAATATTTTTTCACTTGATTTCACTTAGCACCACCATCTTATTCATGATATCTAATGTTAATTTTTTTCTTGCATGTCACTTTGACTTAAAAGAACAATAAAATAAACATTATATGACTCTAGAAGAGATTAGATATAATATTAATAAGTATTGAAATACTTTTAGCTTTTAGCTAGGTACATAGCTAGTGGATCACACTACTTATAAATTAAATCTCAAATTTGATCCAATTATGTGTTAACTAATTTTATTGTATTATATAATCTTAGTAGAATGCATGCTAAAGGTGTATGTTGCTGTGTATTAGAGCAACATAAAAATGTGTTAAGATTGATAAATACAAACCCCTAAGAACCAATTAAGACCCAGTGAAAAGCACATAATGTGTTTCACAGTAGCATCTTCCTGCATGTAAAAGTCACAGATATGTTAAGTTTGAGTAATACCAAGTCTCAAATAATTCTGGCTTGAGTAATCTTTTAGAGTCTCAGGTAAATAGGTTTTACTACATTGCTTCCATATAGCTGTGCTACATAAATCTAATCTTAATTTTATAATTATCAGGTACATTCACTTCCACAAAGTTTTTTTCAGTTTCCACCATGACTAAGATATTGTTTTAGTTGCTGGGAGAAATACAAAGATATATATGTTATTGATCTTTTCTGCAAGAAGCTTTGGATCTAGTGAGGAGGTAAGATACATATTAATAAATAAATGAAAAGAAAATTATGATAGGCATTTTAATAAACACTTGATAAAATGCTAAAGGCTCATAGGGGAATGAGAAATTAATTTAGATTGGAGATAATAGCCGAAGGTTTGCTTCAAGAAATAAAATTTAATATGCTATATGTAATAAATGAATTTCCTAATAGGAAATACCTGAAAACTTGAATATTATAATGTTTGAAGAGATATTTATTCAGGAGCCTCAAATACTGCTCTAGATTGATTTTCAAATTAAATCTGTCAACATGTGCTATGTTGTTAAGAGGCAGAACAATACTTAAAATGATGACATTTTAATGCATTTTATTACATTATTAAACTTCCTTTGTATTTTCTGGATTTCATCTTAATCTAGTCCTATCATCAAGAATATGTTATTCTTATATCTCACATAATGAAGGTAATAAAGGGGAGAATAATAGAAATAGCTGTGAATAGTTAGTAAGTGTTTAATGGTTATATAGGTTTTAAACAGTATGCTAAGCACTATATATAAAATGTATATATGTTAATTCTACAACAATTCTATGAAGCATATATTATTATCTCTTCCTTATGGATATGAAAACTTAAAGAAATATTACCTTGCCTACAGGTAAGTTCTACTTTAAAAACTTTAATGTATGAATGCTGATATCTGCATATAAAAATTAGTTTAAATAAATTAGTTGGACATCATGTCACATGCCTGTAGTCCTAGCTATTTGGTTGGTAGGATGATTGCTTAAGCCTAGGAATTCCAGGTTACAGTGAACTATGATCATGCCACCACACTACATACTGAGTGACAGAGTGAGACCCTAACTTGAAAAATAAATGAATAAATAAATAAATAAATAAATAAATATAAATGAGCAGCAATTGTTTGCACTGAAAAATTTTATAGGCACTATTTTACAACTAATTTTCCAGGCACTGAGGTGGGGGCTGGGTTAGGAAGAAAGTTTTAAAAAATTACTTTTCCTCAAGAAGATTACTTTCTAAAAAATCTGAAAAATAATAACAATGTGAAAATATAATAATATAAAATTATAAATAACAAAATTGTATAAATATTGTCATGAAGTAGCACTTCCACTCTCAGTAGTCTCCTATAACTCTCTTTGGAGTTTGGACTTTGCAGTCAAACTAATATGCCATTGATATTTATCAACAAAAAGTTGTATAGGAAATAAAATATTAATCATTATATACTACTTGGCAAAACAGTACACAGTATTTACATAATGAGAATTAATCTGTAAATGAAAAACCTATTCTTGATATCTTTGTATATCGAATGGTAATAATATTTTCTACCATAAAATATGATTGTAAAAATTAAACTTGATGATGTATATAATTTGCCTAGTATGGTATTTAGCATATAGTAAATATTCAATAAATTATAGATATTAAAAGAAAGAATCACACAGAGAGATGAGAATATATTGCACTCATAATGTAAGAACATTATTGAAGAAAGAAACAAGAAACAGAAAGGTTTTCTGAAATCATTGATCTTATAAATGAGGCTTAACATTTCTAGTAAAACTCTTAGAGTATCTCTGATGAATTAGAACAGCAAATGTGAAAAAAAATGAAAACTGGGAGATAGAATACATGAAAATGAAGAAATCCAGTTAACAAGGACTATAGAATATAAAAAGTGCATATTCTCTGAAAATTAGTATATTCCAGAACTGAAGGATAGGAATCTTTATATTTATGGTTTCATAGAGGGTCCAGTACAATAAATGAAGAAAAGTAAAAGACTCACAATAATGCATATGAGAGTAAAATTTCACTACACCTGGGTAAGGTACTAACAGATTCCAGAAAAAGACAAAACAGGCAAAAGCTCAGAATGACATTACACTTCTGAACAGAAACACTGGGACCTAAGGGACAATGGAACAATTGCTTCGAAATTCAGAAGGACAGAAATTTCTAAATTATAATTCTTGACTGAATATATTGTCAATACATTATATAAAGGGAACAAAGACACTTTGAATATTAGTGGACTCAAAAATTTTGCCTCCCATACACCCTTAATTAAAACATACTATAAAAAAGTGAAGGAATAAACTAAGAAAGAGCCAAACACGGGGTCTAAGAAATAGGTGGCATCACACAGAAAAGCTGTCAAGAGAAAAGTGTGTTTGGTAATAAAAATAATCCATGGTATGCATTTGTGTAGCCATGACCTAGAGAACAGCCCTTTAAATTGGAGCAAAAGTATAGGCCACTATGGGGTCTGGGTATCTCTAAGATACCCAGAAAGGTGGGGAACAAAAATGTACGTATGTAAACATGGATATGAGAAATTTCCAGATGTATTTGAATATTTGGAGTACTCTCCAAATTATTTCCTAATAATTTAAATTTTATTTGAATATTTGGAAAATAATGCTAATATGTGTTTGGAATATACTATTTAAAGATTTAGAAAAATATTAATCTTTACATAAAAACTCAGACAAAAATAAAATAAGAATATATAAAATCTAGCAAGAGCAAAATGTATAGGAAAAGAAAGCTTACTGATATGGGAGGTGGCCAGAGAAGTGCTGGGAGGAGAAGGGCAGGTCCCTGGCAAGGGCTGCACTCCTGGGCCTGTTGACCATGGACCTAGGTGAGGACAGGCACTCCTGCCTTCCTGCCAAATGTTGCATTTTCCAAGACCACCCTGGCCTGCTATGCCCCCATCCTGTGCCTATAAAAACCCCGAGACCCTAGCAGACACAGACACAAGTGGCTGAACGTCAAGAGGAACACACCAGCAGAAGAGCACACTGACAGGCACTGGCAGGCCATTGACTGGTGGAACCACATGGAGTTTGGCCGGAGGTGGTGGGAGGAGAGCCCTGTCACTGAGCTTCCCGACGCCAGGAGAAAACCACCTTCCCACTCCATCTCCCTTCTGACTCCCCTGTCTGCTGAGAGCTACTTCCACTCAATAAAACCTTGCACTAATTCTCCAATGCCACCTGTGATCTGATTCTTCCAGTACACCAAGGCAAGAAACCTCAGGACACAGAAAGCCCTCTGTCCTTGCAATAAGGCATGGGGTCTAATTCAGCTAACATAGCTGCCTGCTGATGGCTAAACAAAAAGAGCACACTATAACACACGCCTACTGGGGCTTCAGCTGTAAACATTCACCCTTAGATACTGCCATGGGGTCGGAGCCCCAAGACATGCCCGTATACAATTACATTGAACTTTTTCTACCTATTGAATAAATATAATGTATTTCCATGAAACAGTAATTATTCAGCAAGTTCACCTGATTAAGTTGTTATATGAGACTCTGTTCAACATTTCCAGAATGTTATCTGTAATGATGAAGTCAGAAAAAGAGAACCCAGCATAACTGGTACTTTACCATGCCAGCTGATCATTAAGCTTTTGTTACAATGGAACTCATTCCTGCTGCATATTAGAATTCACTTGGGCCCTAAAAGAGTGAATGATTTGAATAGATCAGCCCTGAATGCAAAGAAATCAATGCAGTTTTACTCTCACCTGAAACATCTATGAATAATCAGAAGCTATGAAGTAAGAGGTGCAGACTTGGGTATTATTTATGTGGGTAAAGGGCCTAAGTTTTGATATAGTTATTGTGGAGGGTGACTCCCCAAATTTTCAAGAACAGAAAACAAGATTGAACTGAAATGCCGCAGCCCCATTGAGGTTGATGATTGTTTGTGCTTGCTTTATCCCCAACTTTCTCTCAATATGAGGCCTTGGGAAAGTCAATCTGAAATCAAACTCTTTGTTTTAACAATACAATCAAACAAACTTTTTTTTAAATCTGTAAGGTGAAGGAGCTGGTTTGTATTTTAATTATTTCATCCAATGATAGGAATGCTATTCATTAGTAAGTCATTGGATATAATGCTTGAGAGTTGGAAGTAAACTTTCACAAGACAAATTCCTGCTCACAAGCACTTTGATGTCTTTGTAGACAAAATATATATTCTTACCAAAAGCACCAGACACTCTGCCTGCCTGCAAACATCATATTGACTACAATATGTTCTTTCAGGTTAGAAGTCATACTGCTATTATAACTGATGATATATTTTTAGTTCTTAAATCAGTGTTTCTCAGGGCTTTGGGGAGTTTAATGAATGCCGTCTGATATTTTTCTCCTTGTGCTGAATGTTTCCGATCAGATTTCCTGCCACAGTATTTTGATTATTTCTGTTTTGAAGCTTCATCCTCCAAAGTGCTTTTTGGGGCGGGGATCTGCAAGAAGATAAAAGTATGGTTTGTAATCTCACAGAGTGATTCAGGGATTAGAGCCCTGGTGTTGAGTGCCTTGCTTATATACTGCTTAGTTTGCCATATGAAACTCTGTTCAAAATGTTTGCAGTGTCATCTGTGATGATAACACTGGATAACAGAAAACCATCCTTTTGAACTTTGAAATGTCAGCTGTTCTATGTTGCTTTTCCTCTGACTTTAAACTTTTACTATAGGGTTCTTAGCACAGATGAATATCAGTGTTACCCTGGAAGTTTTTATGATGTCAAAGCCTTATCCTTACAGATTCAGTTGGTGTTGA
Organism: Homo sapiens; assembly: GCF_000001405.40. Classification (NCBI taxonomy): domain Eukaryota; kingdom Metazoa; phylum Chordata; class Mammalia; order Primates; family Hominidae; genus Homo; species Homo sapiens. The sequence goes on along the minus strand of NC_000017.11, from coordinate 53,314,483 downwards.
ATATGTCCAAAGCATTATTTTTTCTTCTTAAGATTTCCAGGTGGTTTTCATGTGCAGTAAGGATTGAGATGCATTGTTTTAGTAATAGAGAAAGGGTAAGGTAAGTGAGTAAGTTATAGAGCACCTTGGAAAGTATACAAAACATCTGTAATCCAAAATTCTTTGAAAACATTCTCTAAGACTTGCTAAATAAAAAATATCCAGTGATATAAAGAGTAGAAAAGGAGATGTTCAAGAGAATGTGGGTTAATAATACTTAGGGTTTGGAGCCAAGTAGGAGGGAGGATGGAGAGTTTGGGTGAATTTCTTTAGAATCTGAAATTTCTCCAGAGCATAGATATTATATGCACAATTTCTGCATGAAGCTATCCATAACAAGGCTTGAGCAAAACTAGGTTTATTTAAACATACTCCTGATATTTTGCAGTACACCTTCCCATGGCACTTGGTATAAGTATGATTCAACTAAGGGCCTGTGTACCAGTGCTAATTTGCATGCTCAGTCCCTTAATAATAACAGAAGTCAAAGCTTTGGAATGCTCCCTCTGTTGGTATGACAAAACTGAAATACCGATGAGTTTTTTTACTTTTCCAATGTAGAGCATATTACTCAGAGTGGCAATACTCTGTTCAGAGCTGGCTGACTCTGATTCTGTACTGAGTCCTTTTTATTTTATCAGAGAGCTGTCAGTGGTTCAAAGAAGGTAAAATCGTCTTTATAGGACACTGTCTTTTCCTAATGTTTCCCTTCTGGAATTACTCTTTCCCTATGTGTTTAATCTTGCTCTCTTTGTCATCCCAACGTGAATGATTTCTCTATCTCTTTGTTTCTGGATCTGCCACAACTTTGAAGATTTCTGACATAAGAGTCACAAATTCAGCATTGGAGACTTAGGAACTGTGTAAAGTTGAAGCAGGAGTTTAGATTGAGGCAAATATCCCTTGTGAGCAGGCAAGAATGCCATTTATTTCTAATTCTTGTTTCTCTAAACCCACAGGAAATAAATATGAGTAATATAATGAAAGGATAGAGCTCCGAATTCTAAATGGTGGTTCCCTGATGTGGGAAGTCACCCTGTCTTTTCCCACCTGATGGAATTAGCCATTTTAATTTATATCTGAGGCAGAATTGGGGGTGAACAACTTCTTTTATTTTATTTTTTGCTGTTGGAAAGGGAAGAGAGAAGGCCTCCAGAGTCCATTTTCCCCACAGAAAGGCTTTAGCTAAAGTGAAAACCCTGCTCGTAGTATACTTAATGTATATATATTGTAAAGACTACTTCCTTCTGCTGCTAATTGTTGTGTGGTCCATTGATGTTGTGAGCCTGGGAGCAGCCTCACTCCTGGCCACTCACTTAGAGATGCATAGCCTGGAGAAACACAAATTTCCATCCAGCTCTGTAGAGTAATGAAACTGTCTGAAGAGTTGTGAACTGAGGACTTGTACATACACAGTTGTTCAAATGAATTTTAACTTAGTTTCTGATTCATAATATCATTTAATGTTTTCTTCTTTCAGTTCAGTTTTCTGTAAGATTTTAAATGAATTATTTTGTTTTACAATAGGGTTAATACACTACGAACGTTTTCCTGGATTTTTTCCTTCTTTTGGTGTATCTGTAATTTTATTTTTATTTTTTAAACAAATATTTCTAAAAGCTGGAGCATTGTCCTGAAATCCTGAAGGACATCTAATCTTCTTTTTGATGATGGGGCTGTCCTGAACGATATGAGGTACTTTAGTGACTGTAATCCTAAACCTCTCTGAACTAGTCCCCGAGTGTGCAGGGCACTTCAGGATTATATATCCCCAGGTATTTAGAGGTCTCCAGTCTTTGTCAATGTCAGCTTTGCATTATTTGACATTTCAATTACTTTACAGACTTTTTTCCCACAGTATCTTAGGTTCAAGTTTATTTTTGACATTGTTTTCAGTTTTCAGATATAATCGGCAAATTAAAATCATGTATATAATTGACAAATTAAAATTGTTTTCATATTGTATACATTGTAAAATAATCATTATAATAAAGCTAATTAAGATATTGATTATATCATATGATTACCATTTTTTTGTAGTAAGGGCACTTCAGATGTACCTAAAAAACATTTTTAATTATAATCAAACTGATGTATATTAGATTTCCAGAACCTACTCATTTTGCATCACTAAAACTTTGTTTGTTTTGACCAACATCTCATTTCCCTCTTCCCCAAGGTCCTGGCAAACACCATTCTATTTTCTTCCTTTTGGAGTTTGACTTTCTCAAGTTCCCCATATAAATGAGATAATGAAGTATTTGTCTTTCTGTGCCTGGCTTATTTCACTTAGCAGGATCTTCTCCAGGTTCATCTATGTTGCTCTGTTGCAAACAGCAGGATTTTCCTGTTTTTGTGTCTGAAAATATTTCATCTTATATTAAATAAATACTATTTTTATGGGTCTTATGGTTATGGGTCTTATGTTTAAGTCTGTTAAGTCCGTAATTCATTTTGAGTTGATTTTTGTATAGGGAGTGAGAAAAGGGTCTAATTTAATTCTTCTGCTATGGATAGTTGGTTTTCCGAGCATCTTTTATCGAAGGTCCTATGCTTTCCTCATTGTGTTTTTGTCATCCTTGTCAAAGATCACTTGACTGTCTTTTCTTTATCAATTCATCTATTGATTGGCATTAAGAATGTTTCTATGTCTTGGCTATTGTGAATAATGCTGCAATGAACATTTGGGTGCAAATATATCTTGAACATACTGATTGCATATCCTTTGGATATATACTCAGAAACAGGAATGCTGGGTCATATGGTAGTTATATTTTTAATTTCTTTAGAAACTTCCATACTAGTTTCCCTAATGATTGTGCTAATTTACATTCTCACCAGCAGTGTACAAGGGTTCTCTCCACATCCTTGACAAGACTTGTCTTTTGTATTTTTGATAATAGCAATTCTAACAGGTATGAGCTAGTGTCTCATTGTGGTTTTAATTTGCATTTCATTGATGATTAATGAACATTTTAAAATATACCTGTTCATCATTTGTATATCTTTTGAGAAATGTCTATTCAAACTGTTTTCCTTTTTGTTTTTTTTTTAAGTTCACAAGAGTTTGTAGACAAGGCTTTATTTTCAAGGTCCTATACTTTTTTTTTTTTTTTTTTTTTAGTTTTTACTTTTTTCCATCTTTCTTTTATTTATTTATTTTTAAATTTTACTTTAAGTTCTGGGATACATGTGCAGAATGTGCAGTTTTGTTACATAGCTATACATATGTCATGGTGGTTTGCTGCACCTATCAACCTGTCATCTAGGTTTTAAGCCCTGCATGCTTTAGGTATTTGTCCTAATGCTCTCCCTCCCCTTGCCCCCCACCCTCCGACAGGCCCTGATGTGTAATGTTCCCCACCCTGTGTCTATGTGTTCTTCTTGTTCAACTCCCACATGTGAGTGAGAACATGCGGTGTTTAGTTTTCTGTTCCTGTGTTAGTTTGCTGAGAATGATGCTTTCCAGCTTCATCCATGTCCCTGCAAAGGACATGAACTCATGCTTTTTCCTGACTGCATAGTATTCCATGGTGTATATGTGCCACATTTTCTTTATCCAGTCTATCAGTGATGGGTATTTGGGTTGGTTCCAAGTGTTTGCTATTGTAAATAAATAGTGCTGCAATAAAGATATGTGTGCATGTGTCTTTATAGTGGAATGATTTATAATCCTTTGGGTATATACCCAGTAATGGGATTGCTGGGTCTAATGGTATTTCAGGTTCTAGATCCTTGAGGAATTGCCACACTGTCTTCCACAAATTTCTTTGACATACTGATTTTATTTTCTTTGGATTTCACCCATATAGAGGAATTGCTAGATAACATTATAGTTCTATTTTAATTTTTTGAGGAAACTCCATACTGTTTTTTGTAATGGTAATATATTTTAAAGTTAGGCAGTGTGATGCTTCCAGCTTTGTCTCTGTATTTTTTTGTTTCTTTGTTTGTTTGGCTCAAAGTGCTTCAATTAGTCAAGGTCTTTTGTATTCCCATAAAAATTTTAGGATTTTTTTTAATTCTGTGAAAAATTACATTGGAATTTTGAAATAGATTGCTTAGAATCTGTAGATCAGCTTGGTAAGTATGAACATTTAACAATATTAATTCTTCTAATTTATGAACATGAAATATGTGTATGTTGAACCAACCTTGCATCCCAGGGATACAGCTTACTTGATTGTGGTAGATTATCTTTTGAATGTGCTGCTGGATTCTGTTAGCTACTATTTTGTAAGAATTTTTGCATCTATGTTCATTGAGTATATCAGTCAGAAGTTTTCTTTTTTTGTTTTGTCGGTGCCAGGTTTGTTTTTAATTATTATACTTTAAGTTCCAGAGTACATGTGCACAAGGTGCAGGTTTGTTACATAGGTATACATGTGCCATGTTGGTTTGCTATGCCCATCAACGCATCATTTACATTAGGTATTTATCCTAATGCTATCCCTACCCCAGCCCCCCACTCCATGACAAGCCCCGGTGTGTGGTGTTCCCCGCCCTGTGTCCAAGTGTTCTCATGGTTCAATTTCCACCTATGAGTGAGAACATGCGGTGTGTGGTTTTCTGTCCTTGTGATAGTTTGCTGCAAATGATGGTTTCTAGCTTCATCCATGTCCCTGCAAAAGGACATGAACTCATCCTTTTTTATGGCTGCAGAGTATTCCATGGTATATATGTGCCACATTTTCTTAATCCAGTCTATCATTGATGGACATTTGGGTTGGTTCCAAGTCTTTGCTATTGTGAATAGTGCAGCAATAAACATACATGTGAATGTGTCTTTATAGTAGAATGATTTATAATCCTTTGGGTATATACCCAGTAATAAGATCGCTGGATCAAATGGTATTTCTAGTTCTAGATTCTTGAGAATCGCCACACTGTCTTCCACAATGGTTGAACTAATTTTCAATCCCACCAACACTGTAAAAGTGTTCCTATTTCTCCACATCCTCTCCAGCATCTGTTGTTTCCTGACTTTTTAATGATACCATTCTAACTGGCATGAGATGGTATCTCATTGTGGTTTTGATTTCCATTTCTCTGATGACCAGTAATGATGAGCATTTTTCCTGTGTCTGTTGACTGCATAAATGTCTTCTTTTGAGAAGTGTCTGTTCATATCCTTTGCCCAATTTTGATGGGGATGTTTGTATTTTTCTTGTAAATTTGTTTAATTTCCTTGTAGATTTTGGATATTAGCCCTCTGTGAGATGGGTAGATTGCAAAAATTGTCTGCCATTCTGTAGGTTGCCTGTTCACTCTGATGGTAGTTTCTTTTGCTGTGCAGAAGCTCTTTAGTTTAATTAGATCCTATTTGTCGATTTTGGCTTTTGTTGCAATTGGTTTTGGCGTTTTAGTCATGAAGTCTTTGAGCACACTTATGTCCTGAATGGTACTGGCTAGGTTTTCTTCTAGCATTTTTATGGTTTTGGGTTTGAATTACTGACAAAGTTGGAATATAAACCACCTATCAGATATAGGCTTTGCAAATATTTTCTCTCATTCTGTATATTGTTTTTTCACTCTGTTGATGGCTTCCTTTGTTGTGCAGAAGACTTTTTAGTTTGATGCATTTCTACTCACCTTTTTTTTTCTTTTCTTGCGTTTGCTTTTAGGGGCAAAACAAAATAAAAGTGTAGCCTAGAACAATATCAATAGTGTTTCTTCTATATCCCTGTGTTTTCTTCCAGTAGTTTTATGGTTATGGGTCTTATGTTTAAGTCTGTAATTCATTTTGAGTTGATTTTTGTATACGGAGTGAGAAAAGGGCCTAATTTAATTCTTCTGCTTATGGATAGCTGGTTTTCCCAGCATCTTTTATCAAAGATCCTATGCTTTCTCATTGTGTTTTTGTCATCCTTGTCAAAGATCAGTTGACTGTGGAAGCATGGATTTATTTCTGTGTGCTCTGTTATGTTTCATTTATTTATGTCTGTTTGTATGCCAGTACTATTCTGTTTTGATTACTGTAGCTTTGTCATATATTTTAAAAGCAAAAAGTCTGATCATGATGCTTCTGGCTTTTATTTTTTTCAAGATTTCTTTGGCAATTTGTTGTCTTTTGTGGTTCCATATGAATTTTCAAATTTGTTTTCTCTTTCTTTGTGTTATCAATGCCATTGGAATTATAATAGGGATTGTATTGAATCTGTAGATTGCTTTGGATAGAAATATTTTACCTATTAAGTTTTCTAATCTATGAGTATGAAACATTTTTCCATTTATCTTTATCCTCTTTAATGTCTTTCCTCAATTTGTTATAATTTCCAGGATACAAATATTGCCCTAGTGTGGTTAAAATATTTTAAGCATGTTCATTTATTGTTGTTACCATTGTGAATAAAATTGTTTGCTTAATTTCATTTTCTGATATTTTGTTTGTATGTAGACTCACAATTGATTTTTGTATTTTGACTTTGAAACTTGCAAATTTCCTGAAGTTTTTTCTTAGTTCTAAAAGTCGTTTTGTTGTAGCATAAGGATTGTCTACATACCTGAACATGTTGTCTGCAAAGAGCTGTAATTTAACTCTTTTTTTCTGATTTAGATGCATTTTGTTTCTTCTTCTGGTCTAGTTACTCTTGCTAGGACTTATAGTACTAAGTTTAATAGAAATGATGATACTGAGCATCTTTGCCTTGTTACTGATCTTAGCAGAAAAGTTTTCAGTTTTTATTCATTGACTATGATATGAGCTGTGGGCCTTCCTCAACACATATAGAAACACACACATATATATATAATATATTATTATATATATAGAGAGAGTTTTTATCATGAATTAACACTGAATGTTATTAAATGCATTTTATATTTCTATGTGTTTTCCTTTTTTTATCTATTCATGTGTGTACCACATTGATTAATTTTTGTATGTCAAAACATCCCTGCACCCTGGGGATAAATCATATTGGTCATGGGTTGTGACCCTTTCAATGTGCTATTAAATTCAGTTTGACTTTATGGTGTTGAGAATCTTTGTATTTATATTTCTCAGGAATATTGGCCTGTAGGTTTTTGTGGCTTATTTGTCTGGCTTTGTTATCAGGGTAATGACAGCCTGATAAGGTGAGTTTAAAGTATTACCTCTTCTATTATTTTAAAGAGTATAACTGATATTAATTATTCTATAATTCACCTATTAAACCATCTGAGTCCTAGGCTTTTCATTTATGGAGGCTTTTGATGACTGATTCAATTTCCTGATTTCTTGGGTTTCCTTTTTATTTTCCACATTTTATTTTAGGTCAGGAAGAACACATTCAGGTTTGTTACATAGTTAAATTGTGTGTTGCAGCTGCTTGGTGTACAAATTATTTTATCATCCCAGGAATGAGCAAGTACTTTTTGATCTTCACATGCCTCCCACCCTCCACATTCAGAGAAGGCCTGGTGTCTATTGTTCCCTTCTTCGTGTTCATGTGGTCAATGTGTAACTCCTCACTTTTAAGAGAGAACATGTGGTATTTGGTTTTCTGTTCCTGACTTAATTCACTCTGGATAATGGCCTTGAGCTCAATCCATGTTGCTGCAAAGGGCATGTTCACTTTATTTTTTATGACTGTATAGCATTCCATGGTGTATATGTACCACGTTTTCTTTTTCCGTGCCACAACTCATGGACATATAGGTTGATTCCAATTCTTTGCTATTGTGAATAGTGTTGCAAAGCACACACATGTTGATGTGTCTCTATGCTAGAATGATTTATATTCCTTTGGGTATATACCCAGTAATGGGATTGTTGGGTGAAATGGTGGTTCTGTTTTAAGATATTTGAGAAATTTCCAAACTGCTTTCCACAATGCCTGAACTAATTTACATTATCACCAGCAGTGTGTTAAGTGTTCACTTTTTGCCACAATCTCACCTGCATCTATTATCATTTGAATTTTTAATAATAGCCACTGTGATAGATGTGGTTTCAATTTGCATTCTCTAATGATTAGTTGATATATTTTGGATGTGTCCCTACCCAAATCTCATCTTGAATTACAGCTCCCATAATTCCCATGTGTTGAGGGAGGGACCTGGTGGGAGATAATTGAATTGTGGAGTCAGTTTCCTCCATACTGTTCTCATGGTGGTGAATAAGTCACACAAGAGCTGATGATTCGATAGGGGGTTTCCCCTTTCCCTTGGCTCTCATTCACTCTTGTCTGCTGCCATGTAAGTTGTGCCTTTCGTCTTTCACCATGATTGTGAGGCCTCTCGAGCCACGTGGAAAATTGAGTCCATTAAACTTCTTTTTCCTTATAAATTAACCAGTCTCAGATATGTCTTTATCAGCAGCATGAGAACAGACTAATACAGTAAATTGGTACCAGCAGTGGGGTGCTGCTGTAAAGATGACCCAAAATATTGACATGACTTTGGAAGTGGGTAACAGGCAGAGGTTGGAAGAGTTTGGAGGGCTCAGAAGAAGACTGAAAAATTGGGAAAAGTTTGGAACTTCCTAGAGACTACTTGAATGTCTTTGTCCAAAACGCTAATAATGATATGGACAATGAAATCTAGGTTGAGGTGGTCTCAGATGGAGATTAGAGACTTTTTGGGAACTGGAGTAAAGGTGATTCTTGCTATGTTTTTGCAAAGAGATTAGCAACATTTTGACCCTGCCCTAGAGACTTGTGGAACTTTGAACTTGAGGGAGATGATGTAGGGTATCTGGTGCAAGAAATTTCTAAGCAGCAAGGCATTCAAGAGGTGCTTTGGGTGCTGTTAAAATATTCATTTTTATGTATTCAGAAAGCTATGGTTTGCAACTGGAACTTATGTTTAAAAGGGAAGCAGACATTAAAAGTTTGGAAAATTTGCAGCTTGATGATGCAATAGAAAAGAAAACAATTTTCTGAGGAGAAATTCAAGCTGGCTGCAGAAATTTGCATAAATAATGAGGAACCAAATGTGAATTGCCAAGACAATGGGGAAAATGTCTCCAGGGCATGTCAGAGACCTTTGTCGCAAGCCCTCCTATCACAGGCCTAGAGGTCTAGAATAAAAAAAAAAAGTAGTTTCATGGGCAGGGCCCAGGGCCTCCCTGCTCTGTGCAGTCTAGGGACTTGGTGTCCTGCATCTCAGCCACTCTACCCATTGCTAAAAGGGGCCAAGGTATAGCTCAGGCCATTGCTTCAGAGGGTGCAAGCCGCAAACCTTGGCAGCTTCCATGTGGTGTTGAGCCTGTGAGTGCACAGAAGTCAATAACTGAGGTTTGGGAACCTCCACCTAGATTTTGAAGGATGTATGGAAATGCCTGGATGTCCAGGCAGAATTTTGCTGCAGGGGCAGAGCCCTCATGGAAAACCTCTGCTAGGGCAGTGTGGAAGGGAAATGTGGGGTTGAAACTCCCACACAGAGTCCCCACTGGGGCATTGCCTAGTGGATCTATGAGAAGAGGGCCAGCATCCTCAAGACCTCAGAATGGTAGGTCCAATGAAAGCTTGTACCATGCACCTGGAAAAACTGCAGACACTCAGCACCAGCCCCTGAAAGCAGCCAGGACGGAGGCTGTACTTTTCATAGCCACAGAGGCAGAGCTGCCCAAGACCTTGGGAACCCACCTCTTTTATCAGCATGACCTGGATGTGAGACAGGGAGTCAAAGGAGATCATTTTGGAGTTTTCAGATTTGACTGTCCTGCTGGATTTTGAACTTGCATAGGTCCTGTGGCCCATTTGGTTTGGCCAATTTCTCTCATTTGGTATGACTGTTTTTACTCAATTCCTGTGCCCCCATTTTATCTAGGAAGTAACTAACTTGCTTTTAATTTTAATGTTATATCCTCATAGGTGGAAGGGAACTGCCTTGTCTCAGATGAGACTTTGGACTTTTGAGTTAATGCTGAAATGAGTTAAGACTTTGGGGATCTGTGGTGAAGACATGATTGGTTTTGAAATATGAGAACATGAGATGTGGGAGGGTCCAGGGGCAGAATGATATGGTTTGGCTGTGTCCACACCAAATCTCACTTTGAATTGTAGCTCCCATAATTCTTTTGTGTTGTGGGAGGGACTCAGTGAAATATAATTGAATCATGGGGTCAATTTCCCCCATACTGTTCTCGTGGTAGTGAATAAATCTCATGAGACCTGAAGACTTGATAAAGGGTTTCCGCCTTCCCTTGTCTCTCACTTGCTCTTGTCTGCCGCCATGTAAGACATGCCTTTTGCCTTTCATTATGATTGTGAAGCCTCCCAGCCACATGTAACTGTGAATCCATTAAACATTTTTTCCTTAATAAATTACCCAGTCTCAAGTATGTCTTTATTAGAGTATGTCTTTATTAGCAGCTTGAGAACAGAGTAATATTTTAGTGATGTTCAACATTTCTTCATATGCTTCTTGGCCATGTATATGTCTTCTTTTAGGAAGTGTCTGTTCATGTACAGAGTGCCCATTTTTAAATACAGTTGCTTGTTTTTTGCTTGTTAATTTCCTTAAGTTCCATATAGACTCCGGATATTAGGCCTTTGTCAGATGCATAGTTTGCAAATATTTTCCTCCAGTCTGTAGGATGTCTATTTATTCTGTTGATATTTCTTTTGCTGTGCAGAAGCTCTTCAATTTAATTAAGTCCCACTTGTGAATTTTTGTTTTTGTTGCAATTGCATCTGGCATCTTCCTCATAAAATATTTGCCAGGACTTATGTTCAAAATGATATTTCCTTGTTTTTATTTTCTAGAGTTTTTTTAGTTTTAGGTTTTACATTTAAATATTTAATCCATCTTGAGTTGATTATTGTATGTGGTGTAATGAAGGGGACCAGGTTCCATCTTCTGCATATGACCAACCAGTTATCCCAGCACCATTTATTGAATCTGGAATCCTTTCTTTAGTGCTGGTTTTTGATGATTTTGTCAAAGATCTGATGGTTATAAGTGTGCAACTTCATTTCTGGGCTCTCTAACCTGTTGCATTTGCTTGGGTTTTGGTTTTTGGACCAGTACAATTCTTCATAGGTTTCTAAGAAATTGCTTTGTAAATGTGGGTGCTCCAGTGTTTGGTGCACACATATGTAGGATAGTTTAATTATCTTGTTGAATTAATCCCTTTATCATTATATAATGCCCTTCTTAGTCAATTTTTCCACTTTGTTATTTTTTTTTGTCTTTTTGATTGTTGTTGGTTTAAAATACCAGCATTGGTGGTATGTTGGTGGCAGTGAGGTCTGCACCTATGTGTGCTGGTGGTGGCCTGATGGCAATGTCCCTATGGGCATGTGCACAGGCAAGGTGGATAGGGAAGTCTGTGTGCGAGCACATGCTGGCATAGTATTGGGTAGTGTCTGGATGGTCTATGTTGGTGGGGTCGGTTTACAGAACATCTCTGTTGGTTAGAAAGAGTTTACTGGGGAAAGAACTCTGGTGCTGGCCACTGGGAAGAGCACTTGTTTTTCATCTGAGGCTGTGCTGCAAGCCGGTGCAGCCAGATAGGGACTCTGGGAAAGGCCAGCAGACGGGATGCTCAGATCAGGCTAGCCCCAATCCATGGGCTAGATAGCTCTTTTCTGTCTAGGTCTGACAGTCTAGATAGGCCAAACCAACCTTCTGGAGCAGGGCAAACCTGGGAGGATTTGCTGTCCTTAGCCATGCTCCACTGCAGCCATTCCTATGCTAAACCAACTGGGCTCTGCACAGGCTGTAATTCTGTCCCTGCCAACTCTCCAAGCAGCTCTCCAAGCCAGTTCAAATGTTTGCATGTGTTGTGGGATTTTCTGCAGATAGACTTCTGGAGGTCTGTGGTAAGGGTGGGCTACTCCATGCCTGTTTAACTCACCCCTTCCGTAGGAGTGCCCTGGGCCAGGGACAAGTCCTGGTGCTGGGCAATCTCATGCAGGGTTTGCAGCTTTCTATCCTTTCAGCTTGGGGTCTGCATCCTTCCTCCATTTGCTCTCAATGCCTTCCTTCTGAAGATCTGCTTAGAGTGCACCAGTCTTCTTAATGGTCTGGTCTTTTGGTGCGAGAAGGTCTTCCTGGCTATGTTTAGTCAGCCCTTCTCCCTTAATTGTTATTAATCTGCTCAATCTTTCTGTTTCTTCTTGATTCAGGTTTTGTTCTTATAGTCAGAGTTTACTTCTTTTTTGTTTCATATCCATTAACAATGTTTATGGTAAATTGTATTGTGTATATTTTAGGTTTACACCATGACATTATAGGATACATATAGAGAGTAAAGTGTTTACTATAGTGAAGCAATTGAACATATCTATCATGTCACGTAGTTACATTATTATAGATGACAAGAAGAGCTAAATTCTACTTATTTAATTAAAATACCATACATTTTATTATCTATAGTCCTCATGTTGTACATTATGTTCCTAGACTTCTTTATCCTACATACATACTACTTTGTATCTTTTGACCTTTTTCTCCCTACTGCCATCCCTCACTGCTACCTTTGGTTAATCACTGTTTTGTTTCCTAGCTTTGCATATTTACATATTTTTAAAAGATTTTACATATTTGTAAGATCATGACATATTTTTCTTTCAATGTCTCACCTATTTCGCTTAGCGTAATGACTCCCAGTTCTATCCATGTTGTAATACATAGCAAGATTTCTTTTTTAAGTTTAATAATATTCCTTTTATACATATGCCACATTTTCTTTGGCCCTTTATCCATTGATGTACACTTAGATCGTTTTCATATGTTGATTATTGTGAATAATGCTGTAATGAATATGGAAGTGCAGATGTCTTTATCAGGTAGTTATTTCATCTTCTTGGGAAGTTTTCACCCAGTGGAGGTATTGCTGGGTCATATAGTATTTCTATTTTTAATTTCTTTAGAAACATCCATACTTTTTTCTATAATGACCGTACCAATGTACATCCCCACTAACAGTTTACTAGGTTTCTTGTTTCTCCAGACCCTGGCCAACCTTTGTGCTCTCTTGTCATTTTGATAATAGCCATCCTAAAGGGTATGAGGTGATAACTCATAATGAGATAATTTATATTTAATTTGCATTTCTCTAATGATTACTGATGTTGAGTACATTTTCATATACCTATTGGCCATTTTTATGTCTTCTTTGGAAAAATAATTTTCAGGTACTTTGTCCATTTTTTATTCAGGTTATTATTTTCTTGCAATTGAGTTGTAAGTTTTTTAAATAAATTTTTGATATTAACCAGTTATCAGATATTAGGTTTGCAAATATTTTTCCCATTCTGTAGGCTGCCATTTTATTTTGTTGATTGTTTCCTTTGATGTGCAGAATCTTTTTAGCTTGACGTGGTTCCGTTTATTTACTTTTGATTTTGTAGCAGGACTTTGGGTGTGATATCGAAAAAAACCATTGCCAAAGCCAATATCAAGGAACATTTTCCTTATATTCTCTTTTAGGAGTTTTATGATTTCAGTTCTCACATTTGGGTCTTTTATTCATTTTGAGCTTTTTGTGTATGGTATAAGATAAGAGTCAAATTTAATTCTTTTGCATGTAGAAATACAGTTTTCCCAGAACTGTTTATTGAAGAGACTGTCTTTTCCCCACCATATCCTCATGGCACCCATGTCAAAAATTTGTTGAGCATATATGTTTGAATTTATTCTGTGCTCTTGCTTCTGTTTCGTTGGTCTTTGTTTCTGTTTTTAGGCCAGCACAATATGAATTTGATTAATATATCTTTGTAATATAATTTTACATCAGAAAGTGTCATGCTTCCAAATTCATTTTTCTTTTTCAGTATTGCTTTGGATATTCAGGATTTTTTTGTAATTCCATAATTACTTTAGGATTATTTTTTGTATTTCTGCAAAGAATAATATAGAAATTTTAATAGTGATTACATTAAATCTCTTTATTGCTTCAGGTAGTATGGACATGTTAATAACATTAATTCTTCCTACCCATGTACATGGAATATCTTTTTATTTATTTTTGTCTTCATTATTTTTTCATTAATGCTTTATAGTTGTACTGTACAAATCTTTCACCTTATTGGTTATATTTATTCCTAAGTACAGTTTGTATCAATGGCGGATTAGTTTCAGGACCCCTGCAGTTAAAAAAATTCACATATATTCAAATCTCCAGTTGGCCCTGCAGAAGCTGTGGAGACAAAATTCAGTCTTTCATATATACACAGGTTTTGCATCCTGTGAATACTACATTTTCAATCCATGTTTGGTGCAGACACATAACCTATGAATACAAAGGGCTGACTATATTTTTAAAAATTCACAGAGAAACTTACCCATGCAGTTTAAACCCAAGTTGTTCAAGAGTCAATTACATACTTTTTAATGATATTGTAAACAGGATAGTTTTGTTGATTTCTTTTTCAGCTAGGTTGCTATTTGTATATAGAAATTATATTGATTTTTGTATGTTGATTTTGTACTCCTGCAATTTTACTTAAAGTTTATTACTTCTAATAGATTTTTGTGGAATATATGTGGTTTTCTATGTATAAGATTATCTCAATTGCAGATAGAGATAATTTTACCTCTTTTTTTTTTTAATTTGGAAGCTTCTTACGTCTTTTTCTTACCTATTTGTTCTTGCTCATACTCCCATTACTATGTTGAGTAGAAATAGTGAGAGTAAGCATCTTTGTCTTGTACCAGATCTTGAAACATTTTCAATTGTTCCCCATCAATAATGATGTTAACGGTGAATATTTCATAAATGGCCTTTATTATATTATGCTAAGGAACTTTTCTTCTATACCTAAGCTGCTTAAAGTTTTTATCAATTAAGGATGCTGAACATTGTCAAATGGTTTTTCTGTGTTAACTGAGATAATAACGCGTTTTTATCTTTTAGTCTGGTAATGTGATGTATCACGTTGATCAACTTGCATATGTTAAACGAAACTTGCATGCCAGGAATAAATCCCACTTGATTATGATGTATAATCTTTTTGTTGTATTGTTGGATTTTATTTGCTAATATTTTACTAGGCTTTTTGCATCAATGTTTATTAGAAGTATTTGGCTTGTAGTTTTATTTTCTTGTGATATCTTTGGCTTAGATATGAAAGTGATACTGACCTCATAAAATGTGTTTGGAAGTATTTTCCATAGCTTTTTTTTTTTTTTTGCAGGAGATTTAGAAGTATTGGAAATAATTTTGTGAATGTTTGGTAGAATTTCTTTCTTTGAGAGAAATTTGGAAGAATTGGTAGAATTTCTAAATTCTACCAAACGTTCAAAGAATTATTACCAATACTTTTTTAAAACTTTTTTTGTTGGAAGTTTTTCAATAACTTCTTTAATCTCTTTATTTGTTATTGTGCTGTTCAAGCCTCCTATTTATTCTTGATTTAATTTTAGTAGATTATATTGTTTTAGGAATTTATTCATTTCCTCTGCTTGTTAGCATATAATTTGTTGGCATATAATTATTTATTTCTTTTATATTCTTTTTATTTCTGAGGCATCTGCTATAATGTTTCCATTTTCATTTCTGATTTTAATTATTTGAGTCTTGAGTCTTTTAGATTTCTTTTAGTTTGCCTGCTGTTTTGGGATAGAAAGTTCTATATATGTCTGTTAGATCCATTTGGTCTAAAGTGCAGTTGAAGACCAGTATTAACGTATTAATTTTTTGTGTGGTTGATCTATCTGTTGTTGAAAGTGGAATATACAATTCTCCTACTATTAGCGTATTTCTCCCTGATTCTTCCTCCATGTCCATTAATATTTGCTTTACATGTTTAGTTGCTCCAATGTTGGGTGCATAAAATTGTTATGTTCTTCTGATGAATTGAGCCCTTAATCATTAAATAATGACCTTTTTGTTGCTTGTAACAGTTTTTGTCTTGAAGTCTATTTTATCTTATGTAAATATAGCCACCCCTGCTCTCTTTTGGTTACTTATTGCATGAAATATTTTCTTCATTCTTTCAGATACAGCCTATATATGTCCTTAAAGCTTAAATGGGTCTCTTGCTGGCACAAAATAGTTGATTATTTTAAAAATCTACTCAGTCACCCTTTGTCTTTTGATTGAAGCATTTAATTCACTTATATTCAAGATTATCATTGATAGGTAAGAAATTCCACTTGACATTTTGCTAACTGTTTTCTGGTTGATTTATAGATCATTTTTCCTTTCTTCTATTCTTGTTGTCTATCTTTGTAATTTGGTGTTTTTCTGCAGTGTCAAGCATTAATTTGCTTCTCTTTCTGTTTTGTGTATCTGCTGTAGTTTTTACTTTCTGGTTATCACGGGGCTTACATTAAATATCTTAGAATTAGGATAGACAACTTTCAACTGATAATAACTTAAATTTTGCTCATATACAAATGCTCTAGACTTTTACCCTCCCCCACAATTTATACATTCTGATCTTGTATATTTCTTAAAAACTTATTGTATCTATAACTATTTTTGATCATTTTAGCTTTTACCCTTCATAGTAAGGATTCGAATGATTTACACACCAATATTACAGTAATGATATACGAATTTGACTATGAATTTACCTCTACCACTTTGTTTTATAGTTTCATTTGTTTTATTTTCCTTTCATTTCTGGTTAAAACATTTCCCTAAGCATTTCTTGCAAGGCCAGTCCAGTGGTGATGAATTCCCTCAGCTTTTGCTCATCTGGAAAAGTCTTTATTTTTTTTGTTTAATTTGAAAGAGCAGCTTTGTTAACTATAGTGTTCTTGGCTGACACTTTTTCTTTTCTTCATTTTAAATAATTATATTCCCATTCTCTTCTGGCCTGCAATGTTTCTGCTGAGAAATCTGTGGATATTCTAATGGAAGTTTCCTCATGTGTGATTTAATGCTTTTTTATTACAGCTTCTAGAATTATCTGTCTTCCAAATTTTTCCTGTTTGATTATGTTGTATCTCAGGAGAATCCTATTGGGTTGAATCTAATTGGCATCTATGAGCTTCCTAAATCTAGATGTTTATATCTTTCCCAAGATCTGGAAATGTTTCAGTTATTATTTTATTAACTAGGTTTTCAGGACATTGTTTGAAATCTTTTTTCCTCTGACATCCCTATATAGTGAATATTCGTTTGCTTTATGGTAACCTGTAAGTCCCATAGGCTTTCTTCATTGTTTCTTCTTATTATTTTTTTCCCTCTAACTGTAATATTTCATAAAACTTGTCTTTAAGTTCAGAAATTTTTTCTTCTGCTTGGTGTTTAAGTTCTCATTTCATTCATTACACTCTTTAGTTCCAATATTTCTTTTTTTTTTTTTTTTTTTTTTCTTGAGACGGAGTCTCGTTCTGCTGCCCAGGCTGGAGTGCAGTGGCACCATCTCGGCTCACTGCAAGCTCCGCCTCCCGGGTTCACGCCATTCTCCTGCCTCAGCCTCCCGAGTAGCTGGGACTACAGGCGCCCACCACCACGCCCGGCTAATTTTTTTTTTGTATTTTTATTAGAGACGGGGTTTCACCGTGTTAGCCAGGATGGTCTCGATCTCCTGACCTCGTGATCCGCCCGCCTCGGCCTCCCAAAGTGCTGGGATTACAGGCGTGAGCCACCGCGCCCAGCCCCAATATTTCTTTTTTTAATGATATCTCTTTGTAGATTTTTTCATTCAGATTATGAATTATTTTTCTGATATCATTGAATTACTTTTTCATATTCTGTTCTATCTCATTGCTTTTTGGGTATCTTTTTAAAATTTCTTTTTAGGCATTTCATAAATATTCTTTTTGGGAATCTGTTACTGGAAGCTTATCGTGTTCTTTGAGAGGATCGTGTTTCCTTTTTGGTTTTTTGTTTGTTTGTTTTTTGTATCCCTACATTGATGTCTGTGCCTCTGGTGAAACAGTTGCTTTTTCTAATTTTCTGGAGTAGCTTTTGTAGCAAGAGACATTTTTCCTGCAGATGGTTCTGACAGAGTCAGTTGGGAACAGTGCATTGGCTTTGGTTCTTGTTGGACTTAGGAGCATGGATTCTGTGAAGTTTCTTCAGTTGTAATGTTTGTCTGTTATGTTTGCAACTACTTCAGTGGTCTGGGCTGAAGGAGTCTGTGATGAAAGTGGCATGGTTTTGGTTAGGGGAGGGGCATTTATCTGGTTTATGGGCCAGACACAGGCAGGCTGAATGTCAATGCCTTCAGGGAGGTGCAGCCATCACTGTACTGGTTGTCAGGCCCATGACCCATGTGGCAGGGCAGTCTCTCTGATGGGAAGGGCCAATGCCAGACTGGCTGTCAGGCCAAGTGCAAGAATACATAGGCACAGTAGACTGGTTAGCTGTGTGGTGGATTTTTCAGTAGGTGGGACTGCCACTGTGTTGGTTGTCATGCTTGATGTTTGTGCACATGGGTGTGGTGGTTTGTCTGCGAGTTCAGCAGCTTCCCCACTGTCCAGTTACACCGATTTTCTGTGGTGTTTCTCTTTGGATTTTGATGCAGTGGTGTCTCAGTTCTTTCATCAGTCCTAGGTTCCATGTCATTTGTTGTAACATAAATGAACTTAGAGGATATCATATTAAGTAAAATAAGGCAGATACATAAAGAGAAATACCACATGATAACACTCACAATTTCTAATCTAAAAACAAAATAGGTTGATATTATAAGTAGAGTGTGGAGGATAGAGAAAGGTTGGCCAATGCGGACAAAGTACATCATAATGGGAGGAATAAGTTCTGGTGTTCTATTGCACAGTGGGATAAATATGGTTAAGAGTAAGATATTACATATTACAAAATAGTCAAAGGAGAGGCGTTTGAATATTCTCACCACAAAAAATTTAAAAGCATGAGGAGATGGATATGGTAATTACCTTCATTTTATCATTATGCAACATACATATTTATTGAAATATTATATTGTACACCATAAATATGTACAATTATAATGTGCCAATTAAAAAACATTTTGAATTCTTTGTCAGGCATTTCAAAGATCTCTATTTCTTTGGAACTTCTTTTCTAGAGACTTTTTTTTCCTTTGGTGTTATTATGCTTTTATATTTCTTATACCCTTGTGCACTTGTCTGTGCACTTGAAAGGGGAGTCACTTCTTCCTGACTTCATGGACTGGCTTTGGTGAGAAAATATCTTGCCTATAGGTAGATGCAGGGGTGCTGGCTAAGAGAGGTGTATAGCAACATCTGGTCCAGGGTTTAGATATACATGTTGGCAGGCAGTGCCAGGGCTCCATCCGAGGATAAAGATTATAGTGGTGGCTCTGGCTCTGGTAGGTGGTACAATGAAAGGTCTGGCTGGTTGGGGGACATATCATCATGGGCTCTGGAACAGCTGTCAGCTGGGTTTAGCATTCACAAAGACTGCAGGGGTCCTCTGTTGTGGCATGTGTGGGTGTCCATGAGATAACAAGGGCTTTTTAGTTCTCAGCATTGAAGGCTATTGAAATTTTTCTACCCTTCTTTTTCTCCATGTAGAGAAATTGCATCTAAAGGATGCATGAGGGTATAGGGCAATGCAGGTAAAATGCTTCCTGCCATTTTCTATGCTACCATTCTTGTTTTGTTGTTGTTCCACTGAGTTGCTGCAGCATTTTATTTGTACTATGGAGCTCCTCCAGAGCTATTTTAATTTCTGACTAGTTGTTAAAATTGTTTGGTTTTAGACAGGAAATGAGCAAGGACTTTTTAGCCCTCCATCTTGCTGATGTCACTTATCAAGCCAATTTTAGAAATGCAGTTATTACCAAACTCCATTGTTTAACTTTACGAAAGTCCACATAACACAAACAATGTCTTTAAGTTTGAAGGTAAATGAAACGCTCTTATGGAGATTGTTATGTTAAGTGAAATAAGCCAGGCACAGAAAGACAAACATCACTTTCTCACTTATTTGTAGAATCTAAAAATCAAAACAATTTAACTCATGAACATAGAGAGTAGGAGGATGGTTTCCAGAGGCTGAGAAGGGTTGTGGGGGGTTGGAGAGGGTGGTGGGGATGGTTAATGGGTACAAAAAAAAATAGAAAGAATGAATAAGACCTACTATTTGGTAGCACAACAGGGTGACCATAGTCAATAATAACTTCCTTGTATATTTAAAATAACTTAGAGAATGTAATTGGATTTTTTCTATTTGCTATTAACAATTTTTGTAACTTGGAGTAAGCTGATTAATATTGATAGTCATTCTTTTATTTGAATATTAGTATTATTAAATAAAATATTTATTTAGAATATCTAGCACAGACATAATCATAGGACAAGAACTGAATAATGAGAGATATTACTATTGCTACGGAAAATATGAAGACTATGAATTGAAGGGTGGTTGGGGGGTGGCTCTTGACTGAAAATGTGTCATAAGATACTTACTGAGATGACAGTTCTGTTCTATGCCTTGATCTAAGCATTTTGGAAATACTTTACACCTTGACTTAAGTCATCTGTATATGTGAAAGTTAATTATATGGTGTACTTATGATGTATGCATCTTACTACGTGTTTCCCTGTGGGGTTTAATGGTCTGGTATCTCAGTTGTTTCATCAGTTCTACATTCCATGTCACTTGTTGTAACATAAATGAACCTGGAGGACATCATATTAAGTAAAAGTAAGCTATACACAAAAAGAGAAATACCACATGATAGCACTCACATGTGGAATCTAAAAAAGAAACGGTTGATATTACATAAGTAGAGGGTGGAGGATAGAGAGAAGTTGGTCAGTGGGCACAAATTACAACATAATGAGAGGAATAAGTTCTAGTGTTCTATTGCACAGTGGGATAAATATGGTTAAGAGTAAGGTAAATATGTAAAGTAAGTATGTAAAATGTGTGCTTTTTGAAAGCAGTGTATTATTTCTTCATTGCTCTGACTTCAGAGTCTTCCTAAACATTGATGTGATTATCTTAATAAAACTGATATATTAGTGGAATGTATAAAAATAAACCAGTGCAGTTAGAATATAATGTATTTGCCTATGTTTGTGAGTGAGAAGTAGCAGTTTTAAAAATTATAACATGTAGTGCGCTTTGATTATAAAGTTTTCTATTTTCATTGTATAAAATTTGCAAAAGGAAAATTTTAAAGCCCACAACAAAAGTAACTCATAATAAGAAGTCATAATGTTATCATCTAAAAATAGTTAATATTTTGTTAAATAAACTTTTTGCACCTATGCACATATATTCATATATATCTCCCATATATTTTAATAATATGTCATACTTGTGTAACTATTTTTATTTAACAATGTATTATATTCTCTGCATTTTAGAAATGTTTACATTATTTTTAATGTCTTCAAAGTTCATAGTAGAAGCATATAACTTATAAATAATATCTTATTCTGGCATTTAGATTGTTTCTTTTCTGATTTTATTTAATTATAGTCATGCCGCAAGAAACTTTTTCTTTAAAATATTGAGCACATCTACCTAGAAGTACAATTGCTGGAATAAAATATATGTACATTTAAAAAATTTTGATAGCTATACCCAAATTACCCTTCGAGAGACTTGCAGTTATTTATATTCCTGTCTAAAGTGAATCAGAAGCCATTTCTCCACATGCTTGTCAATGCTGAATACTAAAAAGACTAAGCTTTGCCAAAGCAATAGGCAAAATACATTTGTTCATATTGTGTTGGCTGGTAATGGTGTTAAAATATATTTTACCTTCTTTCATTACTACATATACTTCTGCCTACTTTATCTGCCACAGTATTCATGTTATTATAACCGAGTTGCTTGAGCTAGTTACATATTTAAGGTTTCAGGATTTTACCTGGACAACAGTATTATATAATAAATACCGTTGCACTAGGATTTGGTCAAAGGACAACAAGTCGTTAAAACTCCACATGAGATCATATTCTTATATTCCCATAATTCCCCTGCATCACAAATTGGAGAGATCTCTCTAATAAGAATAGTGGTTTTTTTTTCTCTTTCAGTGAATACAAGGTGTCAAATCTCCACAAACCCTGGGGTATTCTTTATTGGAAAATATAGTCATTCTCCCATCAGCTTTGTTGGTGATCAAATGGTGAGACCTAAACATAGCAAACAGTCTTTCTTTCTTTGTCTTCTTTCTATTATTCTGGAGATCAGTAGCAACCATTGAGCTATAGACAAAGCCATAATGTACTAAATGTAGTAAAATACTGCCTTAAACATAGGTGTTTTTGGAATCTGTACGAAGAAGTGGGGATAAAAAGGAAAAGAAAGGGTGGCCCCTAGAATTTGTTGGGCCCCACTAAGTATAATTTGTAGCACCCCTTGACTACGTGAACACTTTTATTAAACAACGTATTATAACATTCATGGATCATGTAAAGTATAGGGATTTATTGGCAAAGAGGCAGCAAAATAGATAAAGAATATATGGGCATGTATTCATTTGTTTACTATCTTATTAGTCAGTACCTGTGAAGAATCTTGGTATTTTCCAAGCAAACCCTTTTCATGTTTTGGTCCAGGAACCATCTCTTTCTTTTCTTTATGTTTAGCTACACAGTTTCTGCCTTATTTCTAAT
Source organism: Homo sapiens (assembly GCF_000001405.40). NCBI lineage: Eukaryota > Metazoa > Chordata > Mammalia > Primates > Hominidae > Homo > Homo sapiens. Next base: position 53,292,031 of record NC_000017.11, on the reverse strand, counting down.
CTCCTATCACCAGAAAGGTAGCAACATTATTTCTCATGCACTATTATTGCTTACAATGACATGGCTCTTTGGAATTCCTATTGAAACAATATAGATCTCCTTGCCTCTGCAGTTCCTAGTATCATTTGTTTAATGTTGGTTACACAGTCATGATGCTGTATTATTCATTTTCCCACCATTGACCACTGGCTGCCAGTGGATTTCTCTGTTCTTGTGCTTTGACGTGACCACCAATGCAAGTTTACCCAAAGTATGTAGGAAAACGTGAACAATAATCAATTTTCTGGTCATGTTAAATTTATCACTGGGAATTATATAGCACAAATGTAAAAACATAACTTTTCTTGAACTCTTTAGACCATGACTATTGGATTCCTAGAGTGATTTCTGTTAATGTCGACAGCACCTCTACCTCCTGCACTTGCGTGGAGATAGAAAAGGGACTTGAGGACAGAGCGAGAAAAGCGATCCCATTCATGCAAGGAATGTCTGTCTCTCTACTCATCAGAAAATAAGGCCAGCTCAGGAGAGAACAATATCACCACATTGATGAAACACCAGTGAAGGTAACAGAAGAGCCCTTTTTGTTGCAGTGCGATGGTTTAAAAATCCCTTGAAGGAGATAAGGAGGACTGCTTGACAGTGGGTGCAGAGCTAACAATGTGCGTGGAGTGTCAGACCCGGATTTAGCCATAAAAGGCACATGGAGTTAAGGCATCTGCTCCAACGCCTGCCACAATTGGGTGCTGTAGATTCAGGCATCACCATGGTAAGAAAATAAACCAGTGAGAACCAGCACATACACACAAACGTGTAGATTATGCCAAAGGCCAGCAGTGGACCATCCCATTGGAAGAGTTGATATATGAGATTTCCTATAAACATCTTTTTGAATCTGTTTTCCCTTGAAGTTTAGAGTGAGAGAAGCTACATATATTTCAGGTTTCTAGTTAACATGAAGGATTGGGGTTATTTTAGATGTCTTTCCTGAATTTGTACAACTAAACATGCTATTCTTTACAATTGTTATTTCTTAGCTATTGAATTGACTACCCATCTCCTAGTTTAACAACCATTATGCATTATCTAGGAATACTTTATGGGGCAGAGGGCAAGCCAGCTTTGGTCACTTTGCTAGGGCTTAAGATCTCTAATTACACTATATTTACTTTAAATTAAATTTTTGTTGATTTTTAATTTAGAAAAACAGAATCCCACATCTCTTAGGATGGAGATGACAAAAATTATCATAATTATTTAACTTCTATGGAATAGTTTTTTACCATGTAGAAGTGTCCTTTTCTTACTCTGTTTATCCAATTTCAACTCTCTTTTCAATGCTCTGTCCAAATCTTTCTGTTGCCTTGAGTTTTCTTTTTTATTTTCTTACTTCTCTAAATTCACACAAGTCTTGATCATTTAAAATTTCTTTTTTTCCTTTTTTAAATTTTATTATTATTACACTTTAAGTTTTAGGGTACATGTGCACAATGTGCAGGTTTGTTACATATGTACATACACACACAAACTGGCATGTGTCCAGTTTCTAGTTAAGCTGTACTTAGAAAACCATTAGAAATTTTATATATATAAAATTTTATATATAATTTTAAAATTATATATAATTTTATTTAATTTTATTTAATATATAATTTTAAAATTATATATAATATATAAAATTTTATATATAAAATTTCTAATGGTTTTCTAAGTACAGCTTAACTAGAAACTGGACACATGCCGGTTTGTGTGTGTATGTTTAGATGAGTGGTTATTTAATTGATCATACCATCCTGAGTCTTGAAGCCTTGGTCTAGAACCATGGCAATAACATTTACTAGCTATGGGACTCTGGGCAAGTTACACAACTTCACATTGCTGCATTATTTCTTCTATAAAATAAATTCCTTTTCAATTTTATTTTGTGGCTTATGTCATATACATATAATGTAAAGTGCCTCGTTCTGATAAGCGCTCAGTTTATTTCTAACTTTTTCTCTCGTGGTTGTTGATTATGTTTTGACAAAATAAAGTGTTTGGTTTTTTTTTTTTAAACAAGTGGTATTGGCTACACTTCAAGCGTCTTGTAAAATTAAGCGTCATGTATTTATCACAAAGCAAACTCTTGGTCCAGAGAGAGTTGGGGCTTAGTTTCTAAAAAATATTGCTAAATAAGGTTTGTCATGTTAAATCAGGCTTATTTTCCTGCCTTGCCTTTTGGCTTTAGTGTTCTTTCCCCATCTATACTTATTGTAGTTTGTTGTATTTTTTAAAAAAATATTCAAACTTTGTCTTTGCTCTTCTAGTTCTGTTAAAGACTAAACTTGTTACTATAATATTGTTTTGATGACTTCTAATGAAGCATAATTAAATATTACTCACTTAGTGTTGGATGTTAATTGTTTTTCTTTAGCTAGATGCTACTCAGTTCCCCAACATAACCTAAGACAGTATTTGGGTGAAAAACAAATAAGATTAATTGGAAGTAGTAAATATATATATTTAGTTATTTTTGGGAATTCATTTTGATGCTATTCATAGGAGTTAAGCAATCATAAAGTTTGACTTTCTAAGAGCTAAAATATCCAAGTGGTCAATTCATGCAATAATTATGCTTTTATCAGCATGCTAAACTATTTGTTCTAATTCCAGCTGTGATGATTATGTATTCTGTTGCTCAAGGGCACATTGCCTTGCTTACAGGAGAGAAAGTTTCTCTTTTGAAACTGTGCAGCAGTGGCACACAGCTAAATCTCCTTTGTTATTTGTCTAGAAAGTTTAGTCTTTAAATATTTTATCTCAATCACAAAAGACAATTCCCCAGTGGAGAAATTCAAAATCACAAAATATTCTGAATGCTCCTGGAAATTATTTTATTTTCTCACATGTGAGATAGCTGGTTGAGGTTGTTGATGAAACCATGCCTATAACAGTTTAGTAAATACTGTTATTATTCATTTGGTATTGTACATTCTTTATAAAACACAACATTAATAAAAAAGTAATATTATTGAGTGGAAAATTATAAAACAAATGACAGATAAAGAGATAATGTCTATACTACAAAAAGGTTCTTACAAACTGTTAATAGGTGAAAGATGTAAAAGAAAAATAAGCAAAAAATGGAAATAGGCAATTGACAGAAAATAAAAACTAAATGGTCAGCACAAAAAATAATACGGTTGAATTCAGTATTGATCAGGGGCTTACAAATTAAAGTAACCATGAGATAGTACTTTTACCCAACAGAATGGCAAAATTTTAAAAAAGAGTGTTAAGAACTGTTGCTGGCACAGATATGAAAATAAAGTACACTTCCATTAATTTCTTCTGGATATACAAATGTTAATCTCAGTTTTAGCAACATTAACTAAAATTAAAAATACCTTTAACTTCAGTAATGTCACTCTTGGGAATCTATGCCAAAGAGATAGAAGTCTTAGTCAAATATTTTAAACATAGGCACATTTATTAAGGCAATGTTTATAGTGTATCCTTAGGTAAAGCAGATGATTATCAATAGGAGAACAGCGAAGTGAACTATGTGCACCCACAAAATGAAATATTATGTAACCATTTAAAAATAGAATTATATCAGGTGAAACAACACTTTTCATTATCATCGAATAAGCAATATAAAACACAATAGTTTATAAAAATAATTTCTACAATAAATATGCATATTTACACAGACATTTTGACTTCGTATGTAACTACGAGTATTTGCAAAATGTATCATTTTAAGCCATACTTACATATGATTAAACTAGGAACAATGTATGGAAGAAAACAAAGATGACCACCAGGTTTTTAAAATGAGTACCAGTGACTTGTAGTGGAAAGTGGAAGTGAGTAGGGGAGAGGAAAAGAGGAAAGTGAGAGGTAAGTAAAGAAAAAAAACTATAGCAATAAAATAAAAAGAATGTGTACTATAATGCCAATACTATATAGGTGATAATGCACATACCAGTGTATATATGTTTATAAATATTATAAAAACATATTAACCAATATGTAATGACTTAGGGGGTATATGATATATCATGGAGATAATTAAAACAAGTTGCTCAAAATTCAAGATATTAACTCTCTCTTGAGAGAGGTATAATTTTGAGTAGGATTAAGAGGTGGGGAGTACAATCAAAGAAAAGCACCTAAGGTCTCCAAAGCTATTACCAATGTTATGAGAGTATTAATTTTTATATTTTATATATAAATGCTATATATTGGCTTATATATGTAAAATACAACATAATATTAGCACACATTTTTACATGCAATATAAAAATAGCCAACTAAAGGCCGGGCGCGGTGGCTCACGCCTGTAATCCCAGCACTTTGGGAGGCCGAGGCGGGCGGATCACGAGGTCAGGAGATCGAGACCATCCCGGCTAAAACGGTGAAACCCTGTCTCTACTAAAAATACAAAAAATTAGCCGGGCGTAGTGGCGGGCGCCTGTAGTCCCAGCTACTTGGGAGGCTGAGGCAAGAGAATGGCGTGAACCCGGGAGGCGGAGCTTGCAGTGAGCCGAGATCCCGCCACTGCACTCCAGCCTGGGCGACAGAGCGAGACTCCGTCTCAAAAAAAAAAAAATAGCCAACTAAATGATGATGTGTATAACAGACAAATTTTTATATAGATACAAACAAAAATAAACTTAAAACTTATTAAAACACACACACACATATATAGTCAGAAATTTCATGTATTGTAGGTTTCTAGTTAACGCGCAATGCATGAAGACAGAAGGGTTGTGTCTATCAAGGCTTTAAACATTGAATGAAGCTTCAGAATGAGGCTGACAGAGGTTTAGTGATCGGGCAGGTGAAATTTTGTTGTTTTTTTGCCTTTGTGCACGTTTCCATTGTATTATCTCCTTTGTATAACAAGCATTACTCTGATTTCTGTTGCAATTTGAAAAAAAAATACTTCATGGGAGAACATTAAAAAAGGAAACTTGATCACGCGCCGTGGCTCATGCCTGTAATCCCAGCATGTTGGGAGGCCGAGGCAGACAGATCACAAGGTCAAGAGGTCGAGACCATCCTGGCCAACATGGTGAAACCCCATCTCTACTAAAAATACAAAAATTAGCTGGGCATGGTGGCGGACACCTGTAGTCCCAGCTACTCAGGAGGCTGAAGCAGAAGAATCACTTGAACCCGGGAGGTGTCGGTTGCAGTGAACTGAGATCACGCCACTGCACTCCAGCCTGTGCGACAGTGAGACTCTGTCTCAAAAAAAAAAAAAAAAAAAAAAAGGAAACTTGTGTAACTAAAATGGTAAGGTTAATATACAATTAACTAAACATCTTTTTATACTCTCTAAATTTCAGCTTAAAGTGAATCCAAATAAAAAAATCATAACAATAAGAGCAGAAATTAAAGAAATAGAAAATAAACCATAGAGAATAACAACTCTATTTCTTTAAAGGAAAAAAAAAAACCTTAATAAAATAGACAAAGCTTTAAGGCACCAAAAATGACACCAGAAATAATAAAGAAACTTTATCTATGGTAACTATATACACTATAAAAACCATAAGGTAATCTATGCCAATAAGTTTGATAGTTTAGAGGAAATAGACAATTTCCTAGAAAATTATAACTCCCAAAACCTACTCAAGGAGACATAGAAAACATAAATAATACTATGATTTTGAAAAATTAAATGCATGGTAAAAACTTTTTCTAAAAATCACTAGGCCAAACTATTTAATTAGTTATTCCCATCAAAATAAAGGAACTAATAATTCTTGGCTTGTATAATGTATTACAAAAATAAAATAGAAGGCCAAGTCTCTAATTCCTGGTATGAGGCTGGAATAATCTTGTTATAAAGATTGGTCAAGGGCATTACTAACAAAGAAAATTGTACGTAGTTTTCATTTATCAACACAGGAGAAAATCATGAATAAAATAATAGCACTCCAAATCAAGGAATGAAAAAATGATCCAACATTAATGATTTGATGTAATACATCTATTAATGTTATTTACCACATGAACAGATTAAGGAAAAATACTACATAATTATTTCAAAATATGTAGAAAAACATGTATTACAATTCAACAGTCATACAACATAAAAGAAAAAACCTTTAATAAAGTAGAAAATAAGGAAATCTCCTTAGAATGACATGTTAGAACTAGTTGTTGACAAGATGTGGATGTCTACTACCACTGTTTTTGCTGAATATTGTACTTAGGGCCCTTATCAGAGCAATAAGACAAGACATTGGACCATAATAATAAGGGCTGGAAATGAGAAAAACACACTTTTTTTCTTCAGAGATGACATGAATGTCTACAGGGAAAATTAAAGAAACTACAGGTAATCTGTTGACACTAACAGAAGAACATTCAGTAGTTGTTAGAGACAGCACAATATACAGAAATTAATAGTATTCTTAAAAAAGCAGTGCTGTAATAAATGATAATCTCATGTTAAAAAAAGATAACATTCACAATATCATCACAAATTGTAAGGTTATCAGGCCTATAACTAAAACGAAAAAAGACACTGTCATGGAGAAAATTAAAAATCTTTATTGCAAGGTCTACAGTAAGATGGAAGTAAATGTTAAAGCAGATCACATTCTTGAATGAGGAAACAACATTGCAGTAGTTTTAATTCTATTTTAAAATGTATAACTAAGTTATTATTGCCAATAGAACCCCATTGTGCTATCACAAATGTAAAGAAAATATTTAGGAACATGTGTACATATTTTGAACTCTTATAGTAGCACTGATAAGGTTATTATTATCTTGCTTGAGTAGATAAGGAAATTGAGGCAAAAAATAACTTGTTGAAGATCACAGAGCTAGAAAATATTGAAACTCAGATTTAATTCAGGCAGTCTCAGAGTCTGTGTTATATTACTTCTAAATAGGAGGAATACTATTTAAAATTTTAAAAAGAAACTCACTTTCCTCTGTGCATAAATGATAAACATTAAATACAACATTGTTTTACTTTAACATTTGTGTATGCAATCTTCCAAAATATTTCACAGTGTATTTGTGATTTATGCTAATTAAAACATCTTTCACTTTTATAAATTGAGTAAACACAGAGAGTTCTTGAGTTGGAAATGATTTTACAAATTCCTCTTACAATAAACTTTCACTCAAACTAATGTTTGCTTCTATGATCTCTGTGATATAATCCAGCTATGACTCAAAGAGTTTCAGTGCAAGAGGAACTGTCTACCTGTGTTCAGTGTCACATTTGTATTCCAATCATTTCTGGAAATGAATACTTTTATTAAAAAAAAAGTTTACTGGAAAAAGAAGTGATTTTAAGACACATTTATAAAGAGTACTTTAGCCTATCTGTCATAGCTCTGTGTATGCATCTGCCCTTACGTTGTAAATGTTGTACTGACTAGTCTTTCAAGCTCCAAACAAACAAACAGGTAAAAGCCAGCTTCTGGCAATAGCCCCGGTCTCAGGTTGTTTATTTATCTTACCCTTTAGTCCATCATCTCTTTTCCTTTACTCTTTGAACTCCTGATTTGGTGCCTCAACTCCTGATATCTGCCTGGAGCCTACTCTGGAAAGGTGCTGGACACTTTAGAATTTCAACTGATAACTAATGTCTACATGGCAATCTTGAGCTAATTACAAGCTGCTCATGTTAAATGTTTCTAAACTACCTTTCCTCAGGTTGTTAAAATATATATTATGCTTATTAGGCACTAAATCACGAAGATCACTCTTTCCTGAATGTGCCCTACTTTTTCAGGGACCTTCAAATTCAGACCTGCTGAGAAGAGTTCTTTCTTCAAGCCCTGGCCACCTCAGTAAGTGTGGATGGCTTCTTCCTCCCTCACCAACAAAACTGATATTATTAGAGGTCCTGTTACACTGTTGTCAAACATTGAGTGTGCTGTCAGTTTTATCCTTACATTGTATTGGTTTATTTTGTCCTATTACCCTCTTTTAAGCCAGATCTATTTCATGCCCTTCCTAATCAATTGAATCTTTTCTTTTTTTTTTTTTTTTTTTTTTTTTTTTGACTGAGTCTCACTCTGTCACCCGGGCTAGAGTGCAGTGGTGCAATCTTGGCTTACTACAACCTCCTCTGCCTCCCAGGCTCTAGCGATTCTCCTGCCTCAGCCTCCCAAGTAGCTGGGATTACAGGCACCCACCACCATGCCCGGCTAATTATCTGTATTTTTAGTAGAGACAGGGTTTTACCATGTTGGCCATGCTGGTCTCAAACCCCTGACCTCAGGTGATCCACCTGCCTCAGCCTCCCACAGTGCTGGGTTTTACAGGTGTGAGCCACCGTGCCCGACCCCAGTTGAATCTTTTTTAAGAACCACAATGTGAATAGTGCATTGATGAACAACCTAGGAGGTGCTTATCAATGTATTTTAAAAAATGTGGTACATATATGCCATGGAATACTATGCAGCCATAAAGAATAGAAAACTCATGCTCCATATGGATGCAGATGGAAGCCATCAACCTAAGTAAATTAATGCAGAAACAGAAAATCAAATGCTACATGTTCTCACTTGTAAGTGGGAGCTAAACATTGAGCACACATGAATATAAACATGGGAACAATAGACACTGTGGATTACTAGAGAGGGAGAAAGGCAGGGAGGCCATGGATGGAAAACCTACCTATTAGGCACTATGCTCACTACCTAGGTGATGGGATTCATACTCCAAACCTCAGTATCACATAATAGTCCCATGTAACAAACCAGCACATGTACCCCTGTATCTAAAATAAAACTTGAAATTTCAAAAAAAAATGAAAAGAAAAACACAGTGAAGTACTCTATTCTAAGTTCTTTGATATAGTTGCTTAAATTAGTGCTGGATGATAAATGCTGAGATCTCTGACTGGCACCATATGTTTTAAGTATCCCCTATACCTACGCAGCATCTGTGAATTTGATATACATGCCTCCCGTGTTCCTTCATGTCAGTGATATGCAAGTTTACTAGAATGCAAATCAAACACTCACTGAGGGTAATTGCTTAGTCTGCTCATTGGTAATGTCATTTCTTCTATTCATTTATTCATACATTCATTTATTCATTCAGTATTCAGTTCTTGAAAGCCAATTATGTATGAGAGATTGTGTTATGTAGTAGAAACATAAAGAAATAGAAGATAAGTTTCATTTCTCCAAGGAATTCACAAATGATAGGATGCAAACAAATGAACAAAATATTATCATAGAGGGTTAAAGAGCAGCTTGGAGAGTATAAAAGAGACATTTCTTGAAAGAAGAGATTGCTCTGTTTTCTCTTTTCAGCAACATAATACCTGACACAAAGAAAGTATTAAATGCATATTTTATGAATGAACATCTATTCATAATAAATGTTATCCATAATAAATAATATATCATTTGATTAGGGCATTTTCTTTTTCATTATAAAACTTAAAGCCTCCATATATTTTAGCAACGTCATGAAAACATTTCTACGAGCTCTGGTGAGGTGTATGCCATCCTTTTGCCAAAAACTGCTGTAATAATATCATAAACTACGGTCCAGTAAACCAAATTCAGTTTTTCAACACCATCTGTGTGCTCTAGGTGTTTACATTCAATTTACATTCAATTTCCTCCTTTCTTTTCCAAAGTCACAACATTTCACTGGAAAAAGTCATAAAACACCACCTGTGTCCCAAGATCTTTAAATTTCTATTCCAAACTTCAAAATAATAAAGTATACATTCCAGGAAGTTATTTTATTTTCTCCTGTCATAATTTCTTTACACTTTGTATCAGTCAAGACTTTTTAAACAGACACAACAGAAACTGACTTTGGCTGATGCTCAAAGAATCAAATGGATTTATTAAAATGATAGTTGGTATGTTACAAAATTAAGAAGAAAGATTCACCGCCACAAAGCAGTTTGAGGGAAGGTACCACAGCCATCCCCACAGAGCAGTGGACCACGGCGCTTGTACCACTTCCATGGACTTTATCCTGCTGTCATGCTCTGGCACTGCTACCCATGGAAGCGCAGCGTGTTGCTTTGGCCACCTTCCAGCAAAACCCGTGCTAGGATTATGAGGATGAACATATCTGATTGTCCAAACCTGGGTTTTATGTCTATGTCCTAGTGGCAGGATGCTATGTTAAATGCATACTCTTCTACTCACAAAGGTTTATTATGAAAGGATTATTAAAACCTGGAGAGCAATTCAGCACTGGGTAACTCAAGACAGTGGGGGTGGGGGACAAAAAGAAAATGTTCATTACACACATGTTCCAAGTAAAGTATATGATAGAGAAGAGAAAGATTAAAAATTGGGACAAATATGAACAGAGCATTCCAGAACAAAAGCACATGCCCTCATTAGGCTCTGTATCACTATAACCAATACTAAATATGTCTCTTTCTTCTAAGGGGGTTCCTACACCTCTTTGTATGTGTAATACATTTCCTATATGTAACATTTCCTTAAACCTCATAATTCTTGTGGATTTTCTGTATGTTGCAGAAAGCTGTGGAATCTTTTCCAGGAAAAGGTACATACTTGTCTTACAAGTATTCCATTTTAATTGTAGAAAATAGTGAAGATGCAGTATTGCAAAGAGAGAGAAAATTACATGTGATCCCATTACACTCAAACAACCATGAGTACAGGTTAATAACTCTCCTTCTAGATATTTATGTCCATGTGTGCCTCTATATTCATAATACAAAAGCTTCCATGTATTCGTGGTTTATGTGATCATACTATATGCTGCTTTCATCTTGACTCTGTAAATTAAGAATGTATCAACTGAGAAAGTATCTTCAATCTCAAATTTCTATATTATTCTACAGGAATAGATTATTTCTTCTTTTCTTTTGGTTCTTTTCACTTTTTAGAAATTGCCTGCTCATGAAGTACCTGAATTTGCCTCTGCCTCCTCAGGAAAATAAATTATTTCTATCTTTTTGTTTTGCATGGTTTATGCATACCGTCTCTGGACATTTTTGTCTTCTTGAGAGATATTATTCAAATCAGGTAAGAAGACCAGTTGGCATTTTCACATAATTGGTGAGTTCCTGAGTCAAGAAGACAAATATAACACATCCCCTGCAGGTCGTTGAAGCATTTCCCTTGGTGTTCATACCTCCAGGGTTTCCAGATGGACTTTCGACCTTCTTGTTAATCAGCAGCACACCTTACCTAATCCCTGCTGCAGGCAGTGGCTGGGTTTTGACACCTCAAACCCTTTTGAGTTTCTCGCTATCTGAACACTCTGAAAACTGCTGCTTTGCCTTTTCTGTCCACTCCTCTTGCTAGTCTCTGTTCATAGGAGTGAGCTAATTTCTCTACAGGGAAGAAAGTAAGTGGGTTAAGGAACAGTGGTTTATATTACAGCAGGCTGAGATTTTTGAGATGGAATGGACAGAACAGAATGAGTACTCTTGCCAGTGTCAGTCAGATCTAAGCTGAAATCCCAATGCTTCTACTCAAGAGTTGTGTTTCTATTGATAAGTTACTCAAATTAGCTGAGGCTCCATATTCTCATCTACAAAATAGGAGTAATATATATCCTAGAGTTGTATAATTCTGTTGACCTCATGAACACTAACTCGTATGCAGTAGTAGCTAATACAAACTATGTTAACCTATACTGAACACATAGAAACTCACCCCTGAATATTTTCAAAATGATCTTACCTATTACTCACTTTTTAGCTTAACATATTCGTGGCAGGTTCTCTTATATAAGTAATTTTAAAAATAATAAAAACCACTAAAACTGTGTTTTATTATATTTAAAATTAGCCCCTTGGTTGTGAATGACTAAAGCAACACTATAGAATAAACTAGAAAGTTTACTTTTATAAAAGCAATAATTATTTAATCTCTCCTTTGTGCCTCCACCCTCATTCTTAAAAAACACAAATATACTGAACTGAAATAAATGTACTAGAAAAACCAGACTCTCACCAAATTTTAGCTACAGAATAAGACTTTAAAATATTAGCTACATCTATTTCCATATAGAACATTGAAGATTTGGATTTTTCTCTCCTTCATTTTTTTTTCAAAACTTAAGCAACTTAAAGTTTGACATAACCTATCTCTTTTTCTCTTAGCCACATGTAAACATTTTTTCTCTAACATAGTCAGGTCCTACAAGTTATTTTTTTTCTGCTTAGTAACCTTTCTTTAGAAGAGTGGGTACACTGTTTCATAACCACTGCAACTTAACGATAGCTAGCATTTGAAAATAACTTAAAGTTATTTTGCATGGCATATTTTATCATCAAAATTAATTCACTCTTGTATATAGGAAAGATTATTATTGTCATTATCATCATCATCATTCCCAACTTATATCTAAATGGACTAAAACGCTAATCATCTCAAAAACTGACTTGGGATCACACAGAGATTGAGCCTTAAAATGTGTGCCTGTTGACACCAGTGGTCATGCTTTTGTCATGCAGCTAGATATCCCCATAAAGGAGGCTGAAATGAAAATATTAATCTTCTCTGTTTACATTTTACATTTGGAAAATTCACTACAGATTGATAGATGATAAATACAGATATGAATATATATGTATATATATTTGTGTGTGTAATGTATTTGCATTATTATTGTTTAAAATAACTGTTTTTTTATTAATGACATGGATCTATGCACCATGAGGGATTACCTATTATCTTCATTCACTTGCATTTCTTTTTAGAACCTATGGTTTTTTAAATAACTCAAGTAAAGCCAACAGGGATTATTCTTTGCTTTAGCTAACAGTGTTTAGGGACTACTATGTCCTGAATTCTGTGCAAATTAAGAATTTAAAGATAAATAAGACGATATTCCTGACTCTGAGTACTTAAAGTCATGTGAACCACTGTAATTCTGGCGATTTTCTGGTGTAATGCAATACATGTATATATTAAGCCATGAGAGTGAATTACGTCTGTGGGAGTCATAAAGTTTCATTGTAAATACGGTATTATAACTAAGTCTGAATAAGTAAGTACCCCCTGTGGAACAGATCCATATGTTTCATCAGATTTGTATAAGGGTTCAGAAATCAAAGAAATTTTAAGAAGTGCTGATATTTTGATAAAGAAAAGGACTGAAAGTGTTAAGGCTAATTGGATAGATCAAGGCCAGACAGCTACTGGCTTATAACTCCAATGACAAAGTTTAGACTTTATCTTGTATGAAGTTAGGGGCAATCAATGTTTCTCCAAGAAAATTTTACGATAAAATTTGTGTTTTATAACTCACTTCTGTTAGTAGCATGTAAGAAAAAATTTATATTTTAACTATGTATATATCTTGGAACATACTAATTTAGTTATCCCTTTTCACCCAAAATATGTCCAGAGGTGAGATTCTATATTATGGCATTGCACAATCACAAATAGATACTTTTCAGAATATGATGTGTGACTTATCACATTAAATTGAAATCACTGATTACATTCTATTTCTCTGCTGTACAAAACTGAAAATAATAAGTACAGCTATACATGATAGGTTGAATAACTTCACAAGAAAGCCTTGTTGGCTTCATTTAATCCCAGTAGGATATCTCTGCTCTGTGTGCTATTAACAACAGACTAATTCTTGCTTCCATAAGTTTGATTAGCCATTATTAGTTCTATCTAAGATATCTTCCACACACGTATATTTACTGTGCCATATATAAAAGTAAATGCAATTATGATTTTTCATCAAAATTAATATTAAGAATATATAAAATGTGAAATATTTCCAGGGAAATGAACAAATATTTATTTGGTATTTCCTTTGTGTAAGACAAATTAAGTATATTATCTTATTTAAAGGAAAAAGCAAAGAAAATGGATAGGTTATTTTGAATACAGATTTCCATAAAAAATTTAAAAGTTTGCATTAAGATAAAATATAATTCTTATATTCCCCCATCCTCCAACAAAAATATTATAATCTCAGAGAATAAAATATAAAATCATATCTTTCTAATTTCTACTCAATGGTTAAATCAAGAGGAGGTTAACTAAAGAGGATTAGAATGATATTAGAATCTACCTCTGAGTTAGAGTAAATGTAATACTGAAGAAACTCTTATCCCTCAAATGCCACCCTTTTCTGGAGCAGCCCTTAGTGGTGCACACGTGGTCTTGATGGCCGTTAACATTATCTGCAGCTGTTAATGGTCTAGTCCACCATCTTTGGACCTCTGTATGGTTTTTGTGATGTTACCCCCAAAGCTGTGGACTGACCATGAGCCATCTGTGTCATCATGCTGATGGTTTAATAATAGGCTCAAAATAATCATCACTCTTGATACGGTAATTATAATGGTACTCTATTCTGATTAGTCCCAGTTTTTCTATTGCTGACTCAAAAGGAAGTCAATATCACAGATTTTTTAACTCCCCGATACGTACCTAAGAAAGGAATTTTTTTTCTTAATTACCAGCGATGTCATATTTGTTTCCTTTGTGTGACTTTCTCTTTAATTTTCTCAGATGTCTATTCCTTCTGCTGTCACTTATGCTGTGACAACTGAATTGTGTGGTAATTTGTGCAGTGGCTAGTGTATTTGAACTGAGTCAAAGTATCTCACATTCTCATCAAAATGAAAGCATTGTCTTCAAAAGGGTATTTATTCTCTGTCATCTCATGTTTGATTTAAAAACCTTATAATCAAGGATTTTGGTTCTAACGTGTGCATTTCGTTTTATTTTTTCATTTCATTATTTTTCACAGGACATTGGTGTTTCTGCAAATACCAACACTTGAAATTTGCCGAAATTACCTAAGTGGGCACACAAGCTGACATGCGTGTGCTGCATCCTTCCTGTCACAAAGGTGTGAAGACCAATTCAAGATGAGGCTCAACATGTTGCCACAATGTTCCTGCCAAATGGATGGGAGAGGCATTTGGTTGTATGGTTCCTAAGGATAGGACACTTACTAGGCTTGAATTAATAGTGAATGATTAATAAAAAGAAAGTTACTTTAACAGAGTTGAAGGTTGGATAAGGCTTAGAAAAGGAAGACAGTATTTTTTTTATTATTATACTTTAAGTTCTAGCAAGAGCTAAGCAGTAATGTGAACAAGTGTAGGAGTGTCAGATACTGTGAACAAATCTTACTGGCTTAAACAAAGGATTCAGTTAGGAAACATTAAAACTGCTACATGTTTTGTGGGCTTTAGGTATTTAAACATTGTATTGTGTGGTTGTTATGCTTTTAATCACAAATGTCTAAAATTCATCCACTCATTCATTAACTTAAATATTTACAGAGCATCTGTTATTGCCTATATATGGAGAAGAGAAAAATAAAGATACATGTTTAATGACGTATCATATTGTAAAACTGAAAATTCATTTTAAATATCAAATGGGGAGATGGACAGTGTTTATTAATGCTGCTACACAGTCTTCTACATAGATTCGGAAGCAAATCTTTATTAGTGATGCATAAAAATGTAGTATAGCATTGTGATATACACGTTAATTATTTTCCTTGGTGTTTAAGTTTAACAACTTCATGTAATCATCATGGAATGACTATAATTTTTTTATTTGTCTTTCAAATAAAATGAACTATCTAAAGCTATGTTCAACATTGTTCTTTTCTCTACTAACTCCCAGATGTTTATATTATTTGAGAGCTTTATCTAAACAACTTTCCACCTTCTTATTCTAACTACACTTTTTAAAACAGAAATGAGTATCCATTGAATGATATGAGTAGCTATCATAGCATCTTTATTATACAGTAGAATCCAAAGAACAGTATGATTCGCTGACTGCTTTCCAAAATCCAGTTAGCTGGGCAAAGGGAGGAAGGGAGAAAAGGCAGGAATAATTCTTATGTCATAACTGAGGAGATTCAGCTTAGCTAGGCTAAGTAATTCCTTAGATCATATAGGTAAAAACTGGCAGAGCCAAAATTTAAACTCAGGACAGTGTCTTTTGAAAAATCTAACCTCTTTCTAATACTTCATGTTAATTGTTACTGGGTAGTCAATAGTAAAACAAAATGTCCTTCATAAATTATAATAGGGCAAAATATACCTACATAATTTTCACAATATTCGATTTCAAGGATCGCCTTCTAGGGATTTGATGATATGTACCAAGCATCTTTCCAACATGCATTTCTTTTGACATGGTAATTATCCTGGTAAAAATAACAATTGAATATAACCATAAATATTTAGCCACCACCATCTCAGACTTGTCCATAGTACTCATCTCTGACATGTCTTTCACCTGTAGAATTCAGCATTTAGACACCCATTACAGCACGTCAACACGCTTACCCTTTCCAAGTGGCTGTTTATGTTCATATATTTAGTATTTTTTCCTTGACTTTCCTTGGGGATTTGACTCATCAATAAGTACATACTGGAGCGGCTTTGCCAAGAGAGTCATGCACTTAAAGTGAGTTTGGAAAGGAGCCTGTGGTTAAAATGCAAATCTGATGCTACTCTTCTGCCTAAAGCCTGTCAGTGACTTCTAGTCAATCAAAATATGGATCAAGATCCTTGCTTATCTAGACCTACCTACCTTTCCAGTTACATGAAACATGCTTTCTCTCACACTTTGAGCTCCAGCTATACTGTACTTTTCATTTTTAAAAGGCACTAATGTTGCTTCCCAACTTAGGATATTTGAAGATGCTGTACGCTCTTGACTTAGTAAAGCTCCATAATTCTGCATCTCCTTCACCTTGCCAATGCCTATTCATTTTTAAATTCTCAACTCTAGCCAATTCCTCTAGAGGAAGTCTTTACTCAGATTAGGGTCACCAGATTTCGTAAACAAAACAGGCTGACTGGTCAACTAAGAATTTCAAACAAACAACGCATATTTTTAGCACAAGAATTTCTTAAATATTGCATGACCTGTCTGTATTTTAACTGGCAATAGTATCTTACATTAGATCTTCTTGAAAGTTCTCTTACCACCTTCTTTCCTTTCTAAAAAGTATTACAATTTATAGTAATATAATAATTGTGTCTCTCTCTCAACTATTTTGCAAGATGCATAGGGAAAGAATTATGTCTGTTTTGATCATGATCGTATCCTTTGTCTGGCAAAATGCCGGAAGAAAGAAGAGCTCCATAAATCTTCTAATGAATGAAACAAAAATACATATTTGAAGGTAAAATTTCAAGCGAATAGTAAAATTTTTCTCCAAGGGTGAGGTCTACATTTTAAAACTTTTAATTAAATGATAATTATAAGAACAATTATATTAAACATTTATTATTTATTCTTTTCCAAATGCTAATTACTTTGCATAGCACTAAGTACTTTGCAAATGTTATTTCTTTTAATCCTTATGCAACTCTATGATGTTAGTACATTATTGGCCGTGTTTTACAGATTTGGACAGTAGGAATTAGAAAAAACAACAGAAAAAAATTTATTTTAAAAAATCATGGACCTAGTATTAAATTGCTACCACAATTCAATATTGGGTTAGTTGATTTTTCCTTCTTCACACCTTGGTTGGAAAACATTATATTTTCTTTGACTATTAAAAAGAAGGTTATCACCACCTGCTTAGTGAGAAGAACTAGAAGTGACTATCAGAGATGTCTGCCTTTTCCTTTGTTACTTCTTTCCTTTGTTATTATGTTACTTCAAGCCACATAAAGCAACAGGCATTTCTTAAGATGAATAGTTAATAGAAGTTTTGTACTTTCCGAAACATGAAACTTGAAGTCAAGTTTATGATCTGGAAACAAGGCACCCTGTAATATGGGCACCACTGTATCTTGGAATTGATGCGTAATGTTATTTCCCTGAGTGTGCATATGGCATGTATTTAATGCAATAATAAATAATAGATTCAATGTTCATCTGTCGGGGAAAATGCCGATTTTTCTATGAGCATTTGGTGCATCATGGTACTAAAAGTCTTTAAACATGTGTTAATATTAAGACTTGGGCTCTTGCCAAATGAGAGCGATTTCAGTTTAGTTTGAATACATCTTACCCAATGGTTATTTAATTATAAAGGAGATAATAAAAAATAAAACATCACAAACCTCTTGGTGAGTTGAGGGAACTAAGCTAGTTAAAATCATATCTCTAATAGAAAGAGTACCTCCTGAAGGGTTTCACCAGATAATGCATAGCGATTCATGCAGAATGCTCTATGTTGCATGTATTTTCTGAATTCAGGTGCCCTGTGGTTTTCCTTCTATGTGGTAATGTGTTATGGATGCTTGTGAATGAGCACTGTGTGAGACACTAAATTAAATATGTCTAATAAACATGAATTCTGCTTTCTCAAGGCCTATAATAAAAATGACTGTCATTTATGTGCACTTCCACACAAGAGTAAATTATTACAGCCAGTTATAGAGATGCTTGGTTCTCAGAAAGGCCAATTGCAGATACATAAGAATTAATCCTCTTTCTCCTTCTCTTCTACCATCTCTGAAGTGATAGAGAAAATTTTCTTTGATTTTGAAATACATCTGAAAAAAAAAGTATAGTTTGAATTGCTTTTAAACTTCCCCCGAATTGATTAAAGATAAGGAGAGAAATTCTACAATTAGGGCAGTAAAACGAATGTGAGTATCTTACCCTAGGAGGCAGTAGTTATTTGGAAATAGTTGCCTAGTACCATTTATTTTGCTGAGGGTTGCCTCCATAGCATTTGGAAGCCTGCCCCTACCAGGAGAAAAGGGGTCTTAAAGCTGCCATCAGTTGTGAATTAGGTTACAGGGGCATTAATCTTATTAAACACCGGGAAATTTATTGGGTTAATATTACAAGCTCAACACAGCAACATTCTCAGTTTGTCTGGCCAAGATTGTTAGATTTAGTATAGCCCCAAAACTACCTTCAACTCAGGGGGAAAAAAAAAATAGGAGTTAACAATTCAGCTTACACTGCAAAATGTTAGCCCTGAAAAGCAAGCCAGAAGTGACATCAAATGCCCAAGCCTATAAACTCTGGCAATTTTAGGTCCCTGCAGCTAAATATTTACTGCACAACTGTCAAATTACCTTTGTGTATATCTGAGCGCAGACACTCCTTCACTGTAGGATTTAATGGGTGAGTTCTGATATTGGTAACGATGTATGAATGATGTATTTTAGGTATAATCTTAAGTTTTGAAGCTAGAGGCCTAAATTTCTGTTTGGAAGTCTATTTGAGATTATACCAGCTTGAGACTTTAGATGACATTGCGTGCTGGCATGTTTTGTTTACACAGCATTGCATATATTTATAAATTATAATTATTTTCTCCCTCTAAAGATGCATATTAAATATAAAGATAAAATGTATGAAATGGTTAGAAGAGAAAAAACTTCCTGCAATAAGGCTTTTACTTTTTTCCTTGAAATTAATTTTTTTCTTTTAAGGTCAAACTTTTATTTAGGAAATCTGTCTTTGTTTACATAAGCTATGTTGCACTGGTTTTTGGTGGAGCACATTGCTCTCTGCCTGTGTGCTTATACTGAGCATTTAACATTTAGTTCATCTTTTCTTTCCTTCTTTATCTATTCATTTATTAAGCCCTTAACATGTAGTAAAGTCAAGATGAATCCTTCCCTACTGGTATTCACAGGAAATATAGAAGGGCAGATAAGTAAACTACCAATTATAATTCAGTGTAGTGGGTGCCATGTTAAGTTTTTATAGAGGATGCAGCGGAAGTTTATAGAAAAGCAATCTGATTCAAGGTGATAGCCTCAGGAAATTTGCCAACCAAGGCTACATTCAATAATGGATTAAATGAAAATAATACCTTTTAAGAAGGTATAACATGTTTCCAGCAAAGGAAACAGTACAGGTAAAGGCACAAAAAAGCAAATATAATGAAATGCAAATGGTAGAATAAAGCTGTACACAAACCCAAATAACATCCATGAGTTCTTGATATTTAGGAACAGTATGTTGTATATAGTAAAATTTATATATTACTTTTCTTCACCTTGTGATATGACACAATCTACTTATTGATTACATTGGCAGCAAAAAGCACATCAAAAAAATGAAAAAAATACAAATTGTATAGCCAAGGTGAACGCATTTGTCCATGCCCTTCTGCTTTCTTCATGGTTCGAAAGCAAATATTTATTAGTGATCAGTAATGCAGATGTATACTGTAAGTGATACATTTGTTAGCTATTTTTATTGCGATAATTGTTTAACTTTTATGTTCATTGTGCAGTGACTGTGACTTTAAATGTTACAAATTTTTCCCTTTATCTTTCAAATAAAGTACATTATAGTTATTTTAATCTTTATTTTTTCCTCTAATATACCCCAACATGTTTAGATTTCATGGGCAGTTTTCTGCCCTTAATTTGCAATACATTTTAAAAATTACAGATGTTCTAGCACAATGTTGGTATTATATGATAAAAAACACATAGTTGACTGACTGCTTCTATAATGTAATGAGATATGTTTGGGGTAGCAAGTTCTTCATTTAAATAGGGATCATGGAGGCACAGCATAATTTTTTAAGAGAGAGAGAGAGTGTGTGTGCGTGTGTGAGAGAGAATTCATATTTTTTCTGGAAATCAATATGGAAAACATACTCTTTGAATATTTATTCTTTTTAGTTATAAAAGTACTTAGTGAATATTAGCTATTATTAGTTTCACTATGTGCTAAACACTGTTTCAAGGGTTTGAATTCAAACAGTGGGTAAGTACAAGTTTCTACCCTCAAGTAACTACGTGGATTTATTTAGCAGTTGATCTGATGCCAAGTTAAAATGTTTTAACCCATGTCAGGATATCAGGTATTACTACTTTGTTGCAATCCATACATAGCACATTTTCCAGAATTGCAGCATGGCTTACAGTTTCCAACCCTCTTGAAAACAGCTAAATTCCTCACACTGGAAAGAAGGAGTGATGATGTGACAAGTAGGAGAATGGCAGAGGACCAGAGATTTATATTGCTTTTTACCAAATTTGGATAAAAGTTCAATAGGAATTAAAGTCTTTTCCTCCAAGTACACCATGGGGAATTATGAAAGACAAGGCTAAGCTATGCTGAACTTGGCAGCTTATTTATTGTTTTATAGATTTTTTTATTCAGAGAAGAAAAAACCAGGAAAGCACTTGCCACCATTTCCCGTCTATTTTGTCTTATTTCTGAAGGTGCAGATTCCACTGCATATTTCCTATTGAATTTAAGTTTTTTCATCCTCCAGATTTAGGGGAAGTTTGAAAAACAAATTTATTTATACATCTCAGTTTCAGCCAATAAAGAGGAAACATATTACAAAACTGACATAAATGGCACATCCTAGACACAATCACCTTTCACTGTTGGTCAACAGTTCTCAACCAAAGGTAATTTTCCCTCCTGCAGGATGTTTCGCATTATCAGGAACCGGTTTTGGTTGTCACAGCTGGTGTGTACTGCTGGCATGTAGTGAGTAAAGTCTTGGGATGGTGTTAAATATCCTCCAGTGGAACAGTCTCCCGTTGACAAAAATTATCCACCCCAGGGTCAGTCGGACCAAGATGAGAAACCCTGATGTAGTAGAAGCCCATCTTAGGCAAGAAAGTCTGTCACCTATTTTTCCGAGTCACTTTGAAGATGCAGGGTTTTTAATTCTAATTTTGATTCTTCCTTTCAAATTGTGAAGCATTTAGAATGAACCAATAAAATTCTCACATAAATATACAGTAACTGGAGTCACCAAATTATGATGATCAAAGATACATTATGAAAACAATGCTTTTAAAATCAGGCAGACCTGGATTTCAGATCCAGATCTGCTGTTCATTGGCTTTGTGACCACGGTTACGTTACCTTCCTATGTGTTCTACTTCTTAATGTTGGTGATTGCCACAGGACGGACTCGTCTTTTGAAAAATCACAAAAGTTCTTTACTTATGATTTATGTATTTTTCTAGGCCGGGCACTGTGGCTCATACCTGTAATCCTAGCACTTTGGGAGGCTGAAGCTAGCAGATCACCTGAGCTCAGGAGTTCGAGACCAGCCTGGGAAACATGATGAAACCCCATCTCTACCAAAAATACAAAAAAATGTAGCCAGGCATGGTGGTGCATGTCTATAGTCCCACCTACTCAGGAGGCTGAGGCTGGAGAATCACTTGAACCCAGGAGGCAGAGGTTGCAGTGAGCCGAGATCGCACCACTTCACTCCAGTCTGGGTGACAGAGCAAGACTGTCTCAAAAAAAAAAAAAAAAAAAAAAAAAGAGATGCATTTTTCTATATGCATGTTGTGTTTCAGTAATGTTTATTTAAATTAAATAAAATGATTTATTTAATATTTAAAAAATCTTAATATGTACACATACTGATTGCTCAATAAGTGGTCATCGTTACTATTATTATTACATGTCTTTCGATTTAATGTAAGGTGAAGCACAGGTCAAAGGTACTTTTAAATAAAGACATAGGCTTATGTAATTCCATAATTTCAATGGAGATGTTTCTATTTTTTTTATGGTAAAGCAAAGGCTTTGGACTTCACTATTTGATCCCAATACATATTTTTTCTCTTGTGCAAATTTGCTTTTTTGGAGGGATCATTTAGGGTCAATTGTTTATTGTCTGTTTCCTATGTTAACTGTAACTTTAGCTGAGTTACATAATCAGAGATGAGTAGCTGATGAAATAAAAGCACTCAGAGTTTCTTATGATGCATTAAATTGCCAAAGTTCCTGTAAGTTTTCAATGAAACATTTTATAACAGTTGGCTTAATGTTGATGCGATATTTTCCACAGAGGAATATCAAAATTACATAATCTCTTCAATATTTAACAAGAAAATGTTCAATAAATTCTCAATTAGTTTGAAAATTTGAAAAGTTCAAATGAAAAGTAGCCTCAAGTAAAAAATAAAAGTTAATTTAAGTATTCCTTTGATACGTATAGCTGAATAAGCTGAAGTCTTTTCACATGTTTGAAATTCTAATAGATGAGAAGAAAGTATGCTTTAATTTCTTGAGAGGTATTTTACTAACTCACTTTAATGAGCTGCCAATGAGAAAGCTGTTGCATATCTCCAAACCAAATCAATGACTAATTTTTTTGTCAATATAATACATCATTTTAATAGAATTAAGAAAAAGCCCCCCATGATCATCTCAACTCAATAGATACAGAAAAAAGCATTTGGCAAAATCCATCGTGCTTTCATAATAATAATAAAAAAAAACTCAACAAACTAGGGAACTTTCTCAACCTGATAAAGGGAAGCCATGAAAAACCCACAGTCAACGCCATACTCAATTGTGGAAACCTGAAAGCTTTTACCCTAATATCAGGAACATGACAAGGAGGTCTGCTCTCATTACTGTTATTTAACATTGTGTTAGAAGGTCTACCTGGGACAATAGGCAAGAAAAAGAAATAAAAGTTTCCCATTGTGTAAAGTAAAACTATCACTATTTGCAGATGATGCCATCCGTTTATTTTTACTTTAAGTTCCAGGATACATGTGCAGAACGTGCAGGTTTGTTACATAGGTAAACATGTGCCATGGTGGTTTGCTGCACCTATCAACCTGTCACCTAGGTATTAAGCCCCATATGCATTAGCTATTTGTCCTGATGCTTTCCCTCCCCTCGTCCCCTACCAACAGTCCCTGGTGTGTGTTGCTCCCCTCCCCATGTCCATGTGTTCTCCTTGTTCAGCTCCCACTTATGAGTGAGAACATGCAGTGTTTGGTTTCCTGTTTCTATGGTAGTTTGCTGAGGATGATGGCCTCCAGCTTCATCCATGTCCCTGCAAAGGACATAATCTCATTCCTATTTATGGCTGCATAGTATCCCGTGATGAATATGTACCACATTTTCTTTACCCAGTCTATCATTGATGGGCATTTGGGTTGGTTCTATATCTTTGCTATTGTGAATAGTGCTACAATAAACATACATGTGCATGTATCTTTGTAAAAGAATGATTTATATTCTGTTGGGTATATAGGTATATACCCAGTAATGGGATTGCTGGGTCAAATGGTATTTACCGGCTAATTTTTTTCTAACCTAATGAAACTATGTAAAGTCTATAACTAGATCATATAGCTTACTTGATATGTTTGTTAACAAAACTGTTTAAATAAGATTTAAGGAAGAATAATCTTTAGAAGACTACAACAGATTATGTTCAGACACTATAAGCACTGCTGTAGAATTACCACATTCTCTTGGTTCTGCTTAATTCTCTGTTTTAAGTAAAGTTTATTTTTAAACTGTAAACATTATGCACACTCAAAGGAGAATTTGCAAAACAGGTAATGGTAAATACAAAGAAAAAAGGAAAAAAATGTATGTCACCATCCAATGTAATCATTATTAGTAGTTTCATATAATTTCTTAGAATTGATTTTTATATAATTGTTAGCAAAGTTGAGACTACACTTTATATGTAATTTTAACTCCTTAACTTAATGTTATCCTATTTATATTTTAATGTTGTCGTAACTTCTTCTAAGTTTTTCAGTGAGAAAATAGTATTTCATTATATTATTACACAATAACTTAATCATCTGTTGAAATTTAGATTATTTCTAGTTTTGATACATTAAATGGTATTGTGCATAAAACCTTCATCTACACTTGCAATTATATCTTTATTAAAGATTACCAGAAATAAAACCATTGGATCAAAGAGTACTAAAATGTTGAATTATTTTTTAATTAACCTCTTTAAGGAATTATTATGTAAACTAGTCAAGGAAATATGATAGAATGCTGACTTTTGTACTCTGTGTGTAACAAATACTTTCAAATATTGTGTACAAAGTCTAAATTCTCATCTCTTATGTATACTGTATCTAGCAGTTTGATCAAAAGCACATAATTTTTAAAAAATGTTTTTTCTTAAACCATGTTATATTACTTTTTCTTTGAATCAAGAACTATATAATATAACCTTTTGATAGTTTAATTTAAGAACCTTATCTTTTTTGAAGCAATAGTTAGATAGCTGGATGGATGGATGGATGAATGGATGGATAGATGGATAGATCAATATATAGACAGACAGACATGAAGGACCCATTAGTAAAACAGCATGGCATCTAGCATGTATATAATCAAGTATGGAAACTGCCTGAGGTGAGAGGGAAAGGTTTTGTAAAGACATTCAGGAGTTAGCTCAGTATTTCCAGATAAACTGCAAATAATTGGAATTACCACTCTTCAGATGCATATTAAATTTTATGATTGATAAGTAAGAGCCAGCTTATCATATCTGTACACAATGCTAAACTATCTGAAATCTTCTATACATAATGGAAAGATGAAAGGGGGAGGGTCACTAAAGAATTTCAAACAGTTAACTGATTTGGTCAAATATGCATTTAACAAAGAAACAACATGGTGGCAGCCCTGTGGATAACAAATTGGATTTAGTCAAAGAATGAGAAAAGTGTGGGTGGAAGGTAAGCCAGGGCCATCATCATTAAATTATTGTTCATTTATTGTCAGGGTATCATAGTTTTAGACAAAACACATAAGAAGGAACACACACTCTTACATGAACTAGAATATGTGAAAATGTCAGGGTCTCTGCTAGGAAACCACAAATATAAGAAGAGCTGCCTTTAACAATAATATTTAGGCCATTTGTTAAATAATTGCCTTGGTTTCTATCCACGAAATATTTGTCTTATATAGAGTTTGTTCTAGACATGCAATGTTTAGTTATATCCAGGATCTTAGGTGGGGTTTGACTATCAGAAAGACAGTGTTGTTCCTCAAACAGCACTGGGGCTCTTATTGGCTCTGGGGGAAAACTGGAAATTATGGTCACACTGATTGGTATATTTCCATTCTTAATAATGGCTTGGCACTTCTGTTGGAATGCTGTGCCTAGACAGAAAACAACCTTCAGCATTTGGTACCATCACCCATTATGGGCATAGGAGGGAGAGTCAACTAAATATCGATTAGCCAAGCAAACTATCCATTTTGTAAAGCTCTGCAGAATTCTTCATTAACAGGAAAAGAAAGCAGTCTTGTTCGTATTTACTTCTAATCACAGAGGTTAAGATAAATATTGAGGCAATGACATAATACAACTGTGCCCTATCTCTAAATCTGAACTTGGTTTTAACAAAATTTTGCCTGTATATGTACTGCTAAGACCTTTATTCTTCATTATAATTGGCTAAGTAAATGTAAATATAAATGTAATAAGCATCCCTATATCAATAGTTTGCACTGACTGTAATATTTATAATCACTAGAACTGATACATGGTAAGACAACATTTATACATTCAAATTGCCTTTTGCTTGAAATAATGAGTAATCATTATTATCACTATATACTATATTATTATCATGCTATCCTTCCAAGAGGGGTTTTGAAAATTAAAGACAACCTACTAATAGATTAATGACTTATTTTTTTCAGTCCAATAAAAATCATTTTCTATAACAGTATTCTCAAAGCCTGCCTGCATATATATATATGTATATATACACACATGTGTATATATACATATATATATATATATATACTCGTATGTATATATACACATATATATCTTTCTGTATACTGTATTAAGGCAACAGGGAACAATAATCAATAATCCAGAAATTATTATTTCTGCTTATAGGGTTAAATGACTGATAATGGATATTTTCAGATGGAAGATATTCGATATATCTTAAATGGTAAAACCCTTTATAAAAAACGCAAACAGCAACTACTTTTCTGGTCAACACTTGCTAGGTTTATTATTTTTTAAATAACGTAATTTTTTATTCAGAAATGCTTTGAAACCCTGGATAAGTAGCACCTTATTGTCATCACTGAAAATATAATCTTTTCATTATATATTAAAAATTAGCATGCCATTCTGTCTCCTAACAATTTTTGTCATGTGTCTGCCATCATAGAATATAAACTTTGGCAAAGTGTTGAGAAAGTTAAGTCTTTGAATCTACAATTTGGAGAATCAGACTTTGTCCTTGATAAATTTAACATCATAGAGTTATACTGTGAGGATCTCTGGAAGGTAACCCTTAGTCTTCTATTTCCATGCCTGTATTCTTTTTCAAACTTCAACATTTACCTCATAGATAAAATATAGAGCAAAGGTAGAAAACAATGAATAAAGAGATTTAGATTTTAGCCCTTTTATTGCTATCAACTAACTCAATTAAATGTGAAAACTTCCATTAACCACTGAGATTTCCATCTCTTCATATGGAACACACATGTAGAGAACTCCGTAATTGTAAGATCTCTCTGAGTTCCAAAATTCTATAATGGTTATCCTATATTGGATGAGATAAATCCAAAGAGCAGCACAGGGTCCAAACAAACTAGCAGTACTTAGAATAAAATGTGAGTTTCTAATATTCATTACTGAGACAAATATAAGTTGCTCCTTTGCTGAACGACCACCATGAAGTACTAAAGGTGACATGCAAGTATAATATGAAAATAAACGGTAGTTTTTCCTCCTGTTCTTTTGTATTTACTGCTTGTGTATTCAAGATCATCTCCTAATTCAGGCAAGAGGTACTCCTCATAGCAACTTTGATATCTGGATATTAAAAAGGAGTTAGCCCAAAAAGGCCGGGTGTGGTGGCTCACGCCTGTAATCCCAGCACTTTGGGAGGCCAAGGCAGGCGGATCACGAGGTCAGGAGATCGAGACCATCCTGGGTAACACGGTGAAACTCTGTCTCTACTAAATATACAAAAAAAAAAAAAAAAAAATTAGCCGGGCGAGGTGGCAAGCGCCTGTAGTCCCAGCTACTCGGGAGGCTGAGGCAGGAGAATGGAGTGAACCCGGGAGGTGCATCTTGCAGGGAGCCAAGATCGCGCCACTGCACTCCAGCCTGGGCGACAGAGCGAGACTCCGTCTCAAAAAAAAAAGGAGTTAGCCGAAAACATGGTGCTGATGGAATCAGACAGGCACAAAAAGAAGCTGACGCAATACACTGTATGAACATGGAGGTAGAGACAAGGATGTAAGTCACAATTTTCAAAGGACATAGGAATTGTCAGTCTGCTTCAACTAAAGAGCAATATAAAAAGAAGTAGTGAGGTTTTGCCAGATGAGTAGTGTACAGCCAAGCAATATGAAGTTAGTAGTGAAGTCCAGTTCTTTTTCCTAATAAGCTTGTACTATTTTAAACTTTGTGCAAGTATAAAAAAATTATCTTCCATTAAATTCTTCAGAGAGATGAGATGCTGCATTTGTGTAATAAGTAGAGAATGCTACTAGGAGAATGGTGTAGAAAATAGAAAGCAGTCAAGGTTGAAAATAGATAGCATAAATGAAAAGCTCAATAAAATGGCTAGAAGATATAGTTGAGGAAATCTCTTGGAAAGTACAGCAAAAATAAAATAAAAACAAACATGGAAAACAAGAAAAAGTAAGTGAAATGGCAGGAATTATTCTGAAAGACGATAACGAAGCATTCCTTTTATAGCAGACACTATTTTAAGTGGTTTACCAAAACAATTCATTCAAAGCAAAACAAGTTTTGCTAGCAGATAATATTATTATGATCTACATTTGGCAGATGAAAAATTCTAAGTACAGAGAAGTTAAGACAAGTTGTCCTAAACACACTGCTACTAAGGGCAGAAGTGGTATCTGCAAATAGGCATTGTGACTCCAGGTGCTGTGCTATTATCTGCTACACTATAATGTAATGGAGGATATCATCAAATAAATAATTTAAGAATATCTTCTAGAATTGAAGCTATGATTATGGCTTGAAAATATTAATTAAGAGTCAGGAACAATAGCAGAAAGTAGACCATCCCTAAAGTTTTTAATTCTACGATTTCCTGGCAGAGAAAATCTAAATGTTTCAAGAAGAAAATGTATGTCATATACAAATATAAAGTAATAATAATGACTTTAAACCTCTTAACAACAATATGGAAAAGTAGGAAAAATGAAACTTTTTTAAATATAAGGAAAATCTATTTCCAATTCAGAATTTTATACCTAGCCTAACTGTGCAGTATATGAGGGGCTAATTAAATATATTTTACATGTGTAAAGTCTCAGCAGTTTTTCTCCCCAGGAAAATATTCTTCACTTTTCCAAGACATCTATATGTTGTTCCTAGGCATCTGCTGGATTTGGGGAAATACTGATATTCCAGTACTAACAACATTTTATTGAAGGGATCATTCTTTCCTTTCTCCTTCCTTCCTTCTTCCATTTCTCCCAAACTCCCTTCCTTCCTTTTTTTCTTCCTCTCATCCCGCCATCCCTCTTTTCTTTCTTCCTTCCTTCAAGTGTTAGGTACACCATGGTCAACAAAATAGAGCCTACATGAGAGAATAATACGAACTAGCAAACAAATAAATACATACACAAACTTGTTTTAAAAATGTGAAAAACAATGAGTACAGTCTGCACAGACCAAAACTTAATCTTCACAAGAATTTATTTTTGTATTCCCAGTGCCTAATAAAGTGATACCCTTACAGTAGGCACTCAGTAAATTTTTGGTGAACCACATGCATATGCTGAATACATTTGATTTCTTCTAACAATCAAAACCAGATTGTTTTGCATGAAAATCTAGTGGAAACAATCTTAGTAGCTCATATGCACAAGTACAAGAGTTAAATTTTTAATGTTGCTGTATATTAGTCTTCTTAAAATCTTTTTAAGCCTTTCATGTTGCCGCTTGTAGAAAATAATTTCAGCACAATGCACAACAAAATTTAGAACAATTATCCCTTTGCCATTTTTGCACCTGTTCAATGGAGATGAGGAGTGCAGATGATGTGAGTATCTCATTAATTCATAGAAAATATCGCTTTCAACCTATTTTGCAATTCCCCAACTCCACAAGCAAGCTGCGACTCAGCTATAAGATTCTGCAGGGCTGACAATGTCATGCCCAGTTTAACAGTAGATAGATAAATGTGATTAAATAGAGGTCTAAATGTAATTGCACTGTCGTGGAAATGTGGTAGTAAAGCAGATTATCATTATTACATAATGTGCTAGCAATCTTTATATACATTGCTTCTCTTTATACAGCAGTCAAGCCTTAGCAGTCTGCATACTTAAAATATACAGCTGCAACGTCTTTTGTTGCATCAGATTTCATTTTCTACTTGATCAAATACATACAAAACAGGAAACATGCTTCTCAGGGTTAGCAATACAAATCAACAGTCTTTAGGCTAATTAACTTTATAGGTAACTTTACTATTGGTTTGGTAATGGCAGTGGATTGAGCCTAATTAGGTTTGGATTTTGTGTTACCTGCTCTTTGAAAATAGCCAGCAAGTTTTTCTCTGTGCAACATTTTAAAAAACAAACAAGTGATTTTTAACTCATTTTGCAATTATCTCTGTTTTAACTGCATAGAACTTTGAAAGAAAACTAAGTTATATTGATGTCTTGGCAAATCAATGCCAAATGTAATTTAACGAGATGGTTTTCATCATCTCTGAAAAATACTGATATATTTAAAATTTAAAATTCACAATATTGTGTTTAAAAATTGTTTAAATCCTTTAATTTCTGCAAATATAAAAATAGATAAATGTGCATTACCTTTAAGAGATGATAAACTGGAATTAAGTCATCTCTTGTGGTCTTACTTTGTTATATATTGCTCATCTCCCTTTTTCAATATTCCCTCCATCCTGCTATTCAGTTCTTCCGAACTACTTTCAATTCTACCAGTGATCTCTGCTTTCCTTCAAAAAAAAAAAGAAACTGTTCAAATTTCTGATTTTATATGACCTATTTTAACTTTCTGCAAACCCCAGTGGTACCCTGACTTCCCCTATGATAATAACATATTTTAACTGCTTGTCTTTTTTTTTCTCACTAGGCTGAAAGTTTAATTAAAACAGGGGCTATGTCTTGCCTAACTTCATATTCTAAGCACATTAGCTTAGTCCTGGAATATATTATAGTAGGCTCTACTAATTGGAGAGTAGTAACCTTATTGAATAAGTGTGCAAAACAAAGATTGTTAAACCCATCACACTCTTAGGCTAAATTAAAAAACTATTTTATTTATTTTTAATATATTCATTAAAAAATTTTTTATTTTAGGTACAAGTGTACATGTACAGGTTTCTTGAACAAGTAAATTGAATTTCATGGGGTTTTGTTGCACAGATTATTTCATCACCTAGGTAATAAGCATAGTACCCACTAAGTAGTTTTTTGATCCTCATGCTTTTCCCACCCTTTACCCTCAAGTAGGCCCTGGTGTCTATTGCTCCCTTCTTTGTGTCCATATGTCCTCGATATTTAGCTCCCACTTTTAAGTGAGGACTTATGGTATTTGGTATTCTGTTCATGCATTCATTTGTTTAGGATAATGGCCTCCAGCTCCATCCATGTTGCTGCAAAGGACATCATTTTGTTCTATTTAATGGCTGAATAGTATTGCATGGTGTACATGTACCACATTTTCTTTATCCACCGTTCATGGCTGTATCAGTCTGTTTTCACACTGCTGATAAAGACATACCTGAGACTGGGAGATTTATAAAGAAAAAGAGGTTTAATGGACTCACAGTTCCCTATGGCTGGGGAGGCCTCACAATCACTGCAGAAGGTGAAAGGTACATCTTACATGGCAACAGGCAATTGACAGAATGAGAGCCAAGAAAAAGGGGAAACCCCTTATAAAACCATCGGATCTCATGAGACTTATTCACTACCATGAGAACAGTATGGGGGAACTGCCCCCATGAATCAATTATCTCCCACTGGGTCTTTCCCACAACATGTGGGAATTATGGGAGCTATGATTCAAGATGAGATTTGGGTGGGGACACAGCTAAAATATATCAATGGCCATTTAGGTTGATTCCATGTCTTTGGTATTATGAATAGTGCTGCAATGAACACATGTGTGTATGTGTCTTTCTGTATGAGTATATGAATATAATTATTTATACTCATTTGAGTATATACCTGATAATGGGATGGTTGGGTTGCATGGTAATTGTTTTAAGTTCTTTCAGAAATCACCAAAATGCTTTCCATAATGGCTGAACTAATTTACATTCTCACCAGCAGTGAATGAGCTTCTATTTTTTGTGCAACCTCTTTGTCATCTGTTATTTTTTGACTTTTTAATAATAGCTGTTCTGACTGGTGTAGATGGTATCTCATTGTGGTGTTAATCTGCATTTTTCTAATGATTAGTGATGTCAAACTTTTTTTCATATGCTTGCTGGCCACTTGTATGTCTTCTTTTGAAAAATGTCTATTCATGTACTTTGCCAAATTTTTAATGGGGTTGTTTGTTTTCTGCTTGTAAATTTCTTTAAGTTCCTTATAGATTCTGGATATTAGACCTTTGTGGAAACACAGTTTGCAAATATTTTCTCATATTCTCTAGGTTGTCTGTTTATTGCTAGTTTCTTTTGCTATGCAAAAGCTGTTTAGTTTAATTAAGTCCCATTTGTCAATTTTTGTTTTTGTTGCAATTGCTTTTGGTATCTTCATTATAAAATCTTTGCCTAGTCCTACGTCCAGAATGGTATTTCCTAGGTTATCATCAAGAGTTCATAAAGTTTTAGGATTTACATTTAAGTCTTTAGTCCTTCTTGAGCTAATTTTTGTATATTGTGTAAGGAGGGGGTCCAGTTTCAATTTTCTGCATATGACTATCCAGTTACCACATCTGCATTTATTGAATAGGGAGTTCTTTCCCCATTGCTTGTTTTTGTAGACTTTGTCAAAGATCAAATGGTTATAGGTGTGCTGACTTACTTCTGGGCTCTCTCTTCTGTTCCGTTAGCCTACATGTCTGTTGTTATTCTGGTTACTGCAGGCTTGTACAGTTTGAAGTGGGATAATGTGATGCTTCCAGTTCTGGTCTTTTCACTTGCAATTACTTTGGCTATCTGTTCTTGTTTCTCATTTTGTAAGAATTTTAAGCCAGGCACAGTGGCTCATGCCTGTAATTCCAAAACTTTGGTAGTCTGAGAAGAGCGGATGGCTTGAGCCCAGGAGTTTGAGACTAACCTGGGAAACATGATGAAACCCTGTCTCTTCTAAAAATTACAAAAGTTAGTCGAGGGTTGTGGCCCATGCCTGTAGTCCCAGCTAATTGGGAGGCTAAGGTGGGAGTGTCACTTGAGCCTGGGAGGTAAAGACTGTCATGAGCCATGATCGTGTCATTGCACTCTAGCCTGGATGACAGAGAGCATCCCTGTTTCCGAAAAAAAAAAAAAAAAGGATTTTAAAATAGTTTTCTTATTCTGTAGAGAATGTTATTGGCAGTTTGATAGAAATAGCATTGAATATGTAGATTTCTTTGGGCAGTATGGTCATTTTAATGATATTGATTTTTCCTATCCATGAGTGTGGAATGTTTTTGCATTTGCTTGTGTCATCTTTTATTTCTTTCAGCAGTGTTTTGTAGTGCTCCTTGTAGAGATCTTTCACCTCCCTGGTTAGCTGTATTCCCAAGTACTTTCTTCTTTTTATGGTTTTTGTGAATGGGATTGTGTTCTTGATTTGGCTCTCAGCTTGGATGTTGTTGGTGTCTAGGAATGCTACTGATTTCTTTACATTAATTTTGTATGCCAAAACTTTGCTGAAGTCTATCAGATGAAAGAAGTTTTGGGAAGATACTACTGGGTTTTCGAGGTATGGAATTGTATCATCTCCAAACAGGAATAGTTTGACTTCGTCTCTTCCTATTTGAATGCTTTTTCTTTCTTTCTCCTGCCTGATTTTTCTAGCCAGAACTTCCTTTACCATGTTGAGTATGAGTAGTGAGAGAGGGCATGCTTGTCTTGTTCCAGTTTTCAAGGGAAGTGCTTCCAAATTTTGCTCATTCGA
Source organism: Homo sapiens (assembly GCF_000001405.40). NCBI lineage: Eukaryota > Metazoa > Chordata > Mammalia > Primates > Hominidae > Homo > Homo sapiens. Next base: position 53,258,294 of record NC_000017.11, on the reverse strand, counting down.
TATGACGTTGGCTATGGGTTTGACATAGATGGCTCTTATTATTTTGAAGTATGTTTATTCAATGCCTTGTTTGTTGAGGGTTTTTGAAGTGAAGAGATGTTGAATTTAAACAAAAGCCATTTCTGCGTCTATTAAGATAATCATATGTTTTTTAAATTTTAATTCTGGTTACATGATGAGTCACATTTATTGATTTATGTCTATTGAACAAACCTTGCATCCCAGGAATAAAGCCTATTTGTATGATGGATTCGCTTTTTGATGCACTACTGGATTCAGTTTGTTAGTAGTGTGTTGAGCATGTTTGCGTCTACTTTTATCAAGGATGTTGGCCTCAGTTTTTGTTGTTGTTGCTGTGTCTCTGCCAGGTTTTGGTGTTAGGGTGATGCTGACCTGATAGAATGAGTTAGGAAGGAGCCCCTCCTCCTCAATTTTTTTGAATAGTTTCAGTAGGAATGCTATTAGCTCTTCTTTACATATCTGATAGAATTCGGCTGTGAATCTGCTGGCCCTGGCTTTTTTGGGGGTGGGTGATGGCGGGGTAGGGGGCAGGCTTTCTATTACTGATTCAATTTTGGAACTCATTGGTCTTCTCAGGGATTTAATTTCTACTTGGTTTAGTCTTGTGATGTTATATATGTTCAGGAATTTGTACGTTACTTTTAGATTTTCTAGAGTTTGTGGATAGAATTACTCCTACTAGTCTCTGAGGGGTTTTTGTATTTCTGTGGGGGTAAATGGTAATGTCCTCTTTGTCATTTTTGACTGTCTTTATTTAGATCTGCTCTTTTTTTCTTTATTACTTTTTTCAAAAAATCAACTCTTGATTCTTTGCTCTTTTGCATTGTTTTATGCATCTCAATTTCCTTCAGTTCAGCTTTGATTTCGTTATTTTCTTCTGCGAGCTTTGAGGTTGGTTTACTCCTGTTTCTCTGTCATCCAGTTGTGATGTTGTGTTCTTAATTTGAAATCTTTCTAACTTTTTGATGTGAGTGTTCAGTACTATAAATTTCCCTTTCAACACTGCCTTGGCTGGCTCCCAGAGATTCTGGTATATTGGATCTTTGTCCTTATTAATTTCAAATAATTTCTTGATTTTTGCCTTAATATCCTTATTTACCCAAATGTCATTCAGGAGCAGGTTAATTCCCATGTAGTTATATGGTTTTCAGTGATTTTCTTAGTATTGATTTCTATTTTTATTGGGCTGTAGTGTGACAGCATGGTTGATATGATTTTGTGTGTTTTTTTTTTTAATTTGCTAAGCATTGTTTTATGGCCCATTGTGTGGTCGATTTTAGAGTATGTGCCAGGTGCAGATTCAAAGAATGTATATTCTCTTTTTTTTTAATGGGGAAGACTGTTCTGTAGATGTTTATTAGGTCCATTTGGTAAAGTGTCATGTTCAGGTCCTGAATATATTTGTTAATGTTTTGCCTCAATGATCTGTCTATCTGTCAGTGGGATTTGAAGCCTCTCAATATTATGGTGTGGTAATCTAAGTCTCTTTATAGGTTTTTATGAGCTTGCTTTATGAATCTGGGTGCTCTTGTATTGGGTGCATATATACGTAGGATAGTTATTTTTTCTTGGTGAGTTGAACCCTTTACTATTATATAGTGCCCTTTGTCTTTTTTTGATCTTCATTGAATTAAAGTCTGTTTTGTCTGAAATTAGAATAGTCACCCTAGATTTTTCTGTTTTCCTTTTGCTTGATAGATTTTTTTTTCCCATATCTCTTTACTTTGAGCCTGTGGGTGTCACTGAATGTGAGATGGATCTCTCAAACACAGCATACTGTTGTGTCTTACTTCTTTACCCAACTTACTACTCTGTGCCTTTTAATTGGGGCAATTATATCATTTACATTCAAGATTAGTGTTGACATGTGTGGATTAGTTCATGTTATCATATTGTTAACTGGTTATTGTTCAGACTTGTTTGTGTGGTTGCTTTATAGTGCCAGTGGTCTATGTATTTAAGTGTATCTTTCTAGTGGCAAGTATTGGTCTTTCTTTTCCATGTTTAGCACTCCCTTCAGGATCTCTTGTAAGACAAGTCTGCCGATAAATTCTCTTAGCTTTTGCTTGTCCAAAAAGGATCTTATTTCTTAACTTTTGAAGCTTAGTTTGGCTGGATATAAAATTCATGTTTGGAAATTCTTTTCTTTAAAAATGCCGAATAAAGGCCCTCATTCTTTTCTGGCTCTTAAAGTTTATGATTAAAGGTTTTCAGTTAGCCTGAAGACATTATAGGTAATTTTCCCGTTCTCTCCAGTTGCTTTTAATATTTTTTTTCTTTCATTTTGACTTTGGAGAATCTAATGACTATGTGTCTTGGGGATCTTCTACTTGTGTAGTATTTCACAGGGGTTCTTTCCACTTCCTGAACTTGAACGTTGGCCTCTCTAGTGAGGTTGGAAAAATTTTCGTGAACGATATACTAAAATGTATTTTCCCAACCAGCTTGCTTTCTTTCCCTGCCTCTCAGAAATGCCAGTGAGTCAAAGATTTGGTCTCTTTACATAAATCTGTATTTTGTTCATTATTCTTTACTTTTTTTTTCTTTATTTTGTCTGACCAGGTTATGTCAGAGAGCAGTTCTTTGAGCTCTGAAATTCTTCTATCTCCTTAATGCTACTGATCTCCTTTCCTATCTATAGTCTGAATTCCATTTCTGTAATTTCAGGCATTTCAGCTTGGTTAATAACCATTTCTGGGGAACTAGTGCACTCGTTTAGAGGTAAGAAGACATTTCGGCTTTTTGAGTTTCCAGAGTTCTTGTCTTGTGCTGATTCTTTCTCATCTGTGTGGCCTGACATTCCTTCCATTTTTGACACTGATGTCCTTTTGATGGGTTTGTTTTTGTTTTGCTTTTATCTTATTTGATGTCCTTGGGGGTTTGATTATGGTATAAGGTGAGTTTAGTCAATTGGATTTGTTTCTGGTGAATTTTTTTTTTGTTAGGGCAAGGCCCAGCTCAGCATTCCTGGGTTGTGTACACTAATTCTGGGGGGCTGGTACTGGGCCTCTGGCTTTGTTCTCTCCCCTCTCAATGTTGGTAACCTGCTTCACTAGAGGGCTTGAAGTATTCCCAGACCACTGACCACAACCTTCCAAAGAGCGATGCCAGCCAGTGAGACAATTTTTCAGGCAGTGGCAGAGAGATTTGTATTCAGTTTATGTGACAGTAGAAATAGCCACATGGTTGGGTGCATGCCCCTCAGCTGGGACAGGGTGCTAGCAGTCCCTGGGCTGCCAGCCTCCTCTCAGGTGTTGGCACCAGCATTTTGGGAGGCGTGAAGCTGCTGGAGTCTGGGCACACATTCACACCCATGACAGTATTGATGCAGGGGTGGGGCTCAGATGGCACAGGTCTGGTGACCTCCATGTGCACCTTCATGCCAGTGGTGGTGGCAGTGGCATGGGGCAGGGCACAGGGCTACCGGTTTTCCTCTGTGTGTCCATGCCTGTGGCAGTGGCAACAAAGAGTGGGGATTGGGGCCACAGGTAACCACCTTCATGTTTGGGCTGGCAATGGCAGCATGGCATCACAGTACTGCAATGGCATGGGGTAGCAGGTATGCTCTAGTGTGCAGCAGTGGTACAGTGTGGTTTATGGACACTCATGTGCCAGCAGGGCAGGGGAGGAAAGGTTGCCCATGCAAATGCATGCTGGAAAAGCAATGGGGGTGGCTGTGGGCAAGTCCATCCTGGCAAAGTGGCACAGGGGAGGCTGTGCTGTGGGGAGGATTTGGGTGGGTTGGTGCATATTGTCAGGGGCCACTCTGTTGAAGCTGTCTGATGGTCATGTAGAGTCTGGCAGTGTAGGAACTATGATTTGGGCCCTTGGGAGGCATCCAGGTTGGGCATCCAAGTCTGCATTGCAAATAGGCACAGCCAGGCTGGGGCCCTGGGACAGGCCAGCAAACAGAAGAGTGCTCAGGTCAGACTAGTCCCATCTCCCAGGTAGATTACCCTACATTGTTCAGGTCTAACAGTCCCCCTAAGGCTAGAGTCTTCTAGAGGAGTATGGCAAGCCTTTGGGGATGGCTGTCCCTTGCCATGCTCCCCTGCAGATGTTTCTGCACCAAACACTCTGGGCTCTGCACAGGCTATAGGCCTGCTCCTACCACCTCTCTAAGTAGCAGTCCCTGCCAGCTCAAGTGCCTGTAGGGGCTGTGGGGTCTCCTGTTGCCACGATTCCAGGGATCTATGGCAAGAGGGAGTTGCTCAGCATGTGCCCAACTCACCCCTTCCCCAGGAGTTGTTGGGATCCAGGAATGAGTCCTGGTGCATGGTATTGCTGAGAGCATTCCCTACTTCTTCACCCTTCAGACTAGTGTCTGTATCCTCCCTCTATTCACTCTCAATGTCTTCATTCCAAAGATCTGCTCAGAGTATGCCAGTCTTCCCAGTGTCCTGGTCCCTCAGTGGCAGATGCTCCTGCTAGCTGTGTCTAGTCAGCCATCTTGCCTTGTGAGATTCTGTAATTTATTTTACTATAAGTACAATTTCTGTGTTGGAAGACTATTTTATAAAGATTGGCAAGGTCAATCAGTAAATTATATCATAATGGCTAAATAAATTAACACAGGTTGACTTGAGAACACTGCCAAAAATACCCAGACTTTCATTTTCAACTTTGGTCCATCTTACCGATGTTCCAACTACACACTTTTTGAACAGCGCATGCTTTTTTCATTCAAGTCAATGTGAAGCAATCAGACATTTTCATATCCATAGAATGCTATTCTTTTTTTCAAAAGGGCTGTTTTTAGTAACTTAACATGACATCCAGATAAAATAACAAAGGAAGGCCTGTGGAACTGCAGAAAGATTAGCTCCACTGTCAGTCATCACATTTTCATCACAAAGTACTTTACGGTTAGCTATTGGACATCCAGAAGCTGTGTAAGTATTTAGAGGTAAAAGATAAAGTAATATTATAATGTTTAAAAAAATGTTGGAAGATTAGTGTCATACGGCATTAGATGTTGCAGGCTGTCTCCATTCTCTTCAAGCCCTGAATATAGCCATTTTCTCTTATATGTAGCTGATGAATTGTTTGCCTCTTACTGGATAATATGAGTGCTATTTGATATGCGGTCCTTCAACTTTTTCCTTTACTGTTTTAAATTACTTCAAATTCTACTTCTAGCATTTCTATAGAAATATTAATAAAACATGCACTTATAGACATGCATATTATTTTCAATAATTATAACAAAACTTACAAATAAATTAATGCACATCACATGAATTGAGATGATGAAACTGGGAATAGCTACATAAAGGGTATTCTGTCTGGCACTCTGAAAAAGGAGAGATCTACACATAATTGACAAGTGATGGTAAAGATAGCAGATTAAAAAGTACATATTTCATCCTATTTGTATTAAATAATAATAAATTATGTATGCTAATTCATGCCTAGAAAAATACAGAGGAACTGATGGCAACTTTTCATCAACAGTCACCCATGGGAGAATGATCGTGTTACGGGATAAATTCATTTTCTCCTTTTCTAAATTTCTATGGTGTTACATTTTTAATATATATCAACTTAAATTTGTAATTAGCAAAAAATAAAAGTATTTATAAAAATATTGTATAGTGGCTTTTTTTCTCGTTTTCAAACTTGTCTCAGGGTAACTTTAATGCTGTCATCATTAACAAGCCTGTTCTATGTCTTTCACTAGAGTTTGGAATCTCATTCTCTTCTCACTATTCCAGAGCCACACTTCCTCAATTATTTTATCATATACCTGCATCTTCAGAGTTGCACTGTGGCTTAAAATATTCTTAGGTTTCATAAAATAAATATTTGTCTAAATGAAATAAAATAAGCAACAAGTAAATAAGTACCTAAATAAAAAATTTTGAAAACATGTTTTTATATTTTCTTCTCCAGCAAAATTCTAAAATAACTTGTATCTACTTTATTAATCTGATTTCTCAATCTTCCTATCATTTCTTCCCTCATTGGTTCTATACTATCCATTGAAAGCTTAAAAATCATGAGTAATTTTGTAATCATGTAACCTAGGGGATGGGAAACTAATTCTGAAATGTCCAGACAGTAAAGATGTTAGTCTTTGCTTATCATACAGGTTCTGCCACAAACTCTGCTGTTGTAGCAAGAAAGCTCCAATAGACAAAATATTTGATAAATAACCATAGCTGTATTCAAATAAAGTTATATATAGATAGATAGATAGATATAGGAATTTGATCTATGATCTATAATTTGCAGGCTTCTGATATAATCTAAGACCTAATTTGAAATTATCATTCATCATTAGTTCACTACAGCATTTGACACTGCTTCCTTATTGTTAAACCTCCTTTCTGGACAGACACTTTGGGCTTACCAAATGTCCCGTGGACTCTTCTGCATTTCCAGCTCACCCTTGCAGTTACATTGGAGCACATGACTTATTATGGCCAATAGATTTGAGTGGAAGTGAGGTGCGTTCTTTCTTGACTGCATGACAAAGTTAAAAATGAGTGTATGAATTCTCTATGCACTCCCTCTTGTTTGTGTTGAGAGAGGGAAAGGACTCCAAAATGTCTGCATGGCAGGATGAATGCCCCCAGGATTTCTGGGTCACAGTAGAGATGAGATGCTAAGAAGAGAATGCTCATAACAGTCTATCACAAGGCAACAACAACAACAACAACAACAACAAACACTTTTCTGTGTTAGGAGTCTGAGATATCAGAGTTTGTAAGTTATATCATAAGCAAGCCTATCCTGACCTTTCAACAATGGTATACCTACAAATGGTTACCTTCATGTTTATCCTTCTTGAAGTTAGCTTATTTTAACTAATTTTGAAATTTATGTTCTTCCTAAAGAAACTGTGGTACATATATACAAACTAGAATATTATTCAACTATAAAATGGTAAGATGCTGTCATTTTTAACAACATAGATGAGGCTGGGGAACATTTTGTTAAGTAAAATAAGCTAGGTACAGAAAGATGAAAATTGCATGTTCTCACTTATATGTGGGAGCTAAAAAAGTTGATTTCACGGAGGTACAGAATAGAATGGTGGCTACCATAGGTTGAGAATGATGATGAGGGGGATGAAGAGAGGTTGGTTAATTGGTGCAAAAATACAGCTAGATAGAAGGAATAAGTTCTAATGTTCAACAACACAGTAGGGTGATAATAGCTAAAAATATTTATTATATATTTCAAAATAGCTAGAAGAGAAGTTTTGGAATATTCCTAATACAAAGAAATAATAAATATTTGAGGTGATGGATATCCCACTGACCTAAATTTGATCATTACATGTTGTACTCATCTATCAAAATATTATGTACCCTATGTATAATTGTTACCTAACAATAAAAAATGTATATGTCTTACCAACTAAAGGTTATACTGTCCATTGTTTTTGTATCTTATTGTTTTGCTTTATTCTCTCTCCCTTCTTTTCTGATTCTGATTAACAGTAGGTTATATCTTTTGATATTATTCCATAGATCTCTAAGACTCTCTTTCCAAATCATTTTAGTCTCTTCATCAAAATACAAAATTTTCTTGACATGTCTTTCTTTCCTTTGTGATCTTCATTTTGTTGTTAAAGTCATATATATTCTTTTCAATATTTTTTGTTTCATTAATTTTTCAGTTCCATAATTTCTACTATTATTATTCATCATTTCTATATTTCTGCTGGGATTTTCTATTCATTTATTCACTGGATCTATATTTCCTTTTCTCTTTTTGAGCAGAAAAATATGTATTATAATCTTTGTCTACTTACTGCAACACATTTGTCATATCAGGTTATATATCTGTATCTGTTTTTGAGAATGAGTCTTTGTATGTTGAAAAACTTGCATTTTATCCTTAACATTGTAAATATTGTATTTTGGATTACATATATTTCTATGAATAATTCTGAATTATTTTGTTTTAGCAGGTAATTAAACTTGTTTCAACCTAAATTATAAAAGCCGGTTTTTTGATAACATCTCCAGTCTCAGTGTAATTTTTAAATCTGTATGGTTAATTTTATCCCATGCAAGTGTGGTTCAGAGGTTAGTCAGAAATTTGAGCAGAGTTTATTCAAAAATATGTGGCTCATCCTCTCCAACCCTCTCCTTTCTTGAACTCTGCCTTTATTTTCAAGAAAATAGCTCTTTCTATCAGAAAGGCTGTGGTTTTCATTCTATCTGTATTTATTTATTCATTCTTTCATTTGATTATCATCATCCATTGGCCTTTTCTCAGGCTAAAAACAAAACTTTGCTAGTGTATATTGAAAAACCCTGAGAAATATTTGTCTTTATGGATTCTGTTGGTGCCTGCCCAAGAAGAAAAGTATATTAGTGAGTAGGCTGAATTTATGGCGTTGGTAAACATGCCATAGATTCTAGATTTAGCATACTAGCTTGAAAATCTGTGTGCTCAGTTACTTGATTAAAACCTGTACTTATCCTTAGCCCAGACTAAATGCATTTGATATGACAGAAATTTCTTGCTATAATGAAGAGGTAGAAATCTAAATAATTCAGTAGCTAGGGACGTTAACAGGTATTTACTACATGTTAAATGTGGAAAGTACTTTAGTTGTTACTGCTGTCTGTTGACTGGAATACTGCTAGAAATTTTAGAAGGTATTCATATAAGGAATGTTTTTATCTGCAAGAGACAACCTGGCTATAGGGATAGAGTCTTGTTATTCAGTTAGAAAGAAGTTCAAAGATAAAAATTTGTGGGTAATGCTTCTAAGGATGAAGAATGACAGGGCCAGCATTTTAGTGACCCTTCTGATTTATTTTATCATGGTTATAATATGGCTTTTCTAGTTTACCTTTACATCTGCTTTCAAGGCAGAAATAAACAAAGTGATTAGATCAGTCATTTTAGCCTTTTTATCTAGGCAGCAAAAATATCTCCTTAAATACTCCCCCCCGCCCCCGCACAAAGACTTCCTTAAATAACTAATTTGCTAGATCAAAGTAACATAACCACTTCTATCTGCAAAGGAGATTGGGTAAGAGGAGAATACGATAGTCATAATTGGTTTAAATAAACAAATCTCTTTCCATTGGCATACTGCCCCTCTGAAATGCTTTGTGTTTATGTAAGCCACATTTCACAGAGGAATTAATATTAAATAAATATATGACAATCTTTTTGAAAGGAAGAAAAGGAGTCCAGAATATCAGAGGCTACACAAAGTTAAATGTTGTTGTCACACATAAAGCCAATATGGTAATCAAAGTGGCCTGCCCCACAGGTATATTTAGTTATGATTATTAAATAATGAAATTCCCAGGACTGAAATAAATAGGTAGCCTACTAAGGTTGATTTATTAATGAAAGGGTCCATGCTTGTTATAGAGAAAACCAAGAGGCAAAAAAATAGAGTGATGGTAACTTTCCTTATTTCAGGACAGGATTCAGATAACAAACAACACCTTTCAAATGAAGAAAAATCTATAGCTCTTTGAGAAATGATACTGCAATAACATGATTATATACTGTGAATTCCTCCTAACCTTCCCTAAGGCACCTAAAACAACTCAACTGGGTAACTTTGCCAATAGAGGGTAAATAGTAGTGAACAGCACCCCTTAGCAAATACCAATTCTAAGGAAGCCAGAACATCACAGCTCCAACAGTCAAGGTCAAGGGGACAAATGTTTAAAGATGTCTAACATAATTTTCCCCATGATAGGGTAAGTAAGACTGAAAGTGTCATTTGAACATGTATCCTAAACACCTGGCAGTGGGCCACATATGATGGCTCATGCCTATAATCCCAACACTTTGGGAGACCAAAGCAGGAGGATGGCTTGAGGCCATGAGCTGGAGATCAGCCTGAGCAAAAAAGTGAGACCTCTTCTCTACTAAAAATTTTTTTAAAATGTAGCTGGGTATGGTGGAGCACTACTGTAGTCCCAGCTACTTGGGAAGGTGAGGTGGGAGGACCACTTGAGCTCAGGAGTTTGAGGCTGCAATGAGCTATGATCATATGACTGCACTGCAGCCTGGGCAACAGAGCAAGACCTCATCTCTTTAAAAAATAATAAAAAAATAAGTGAAATTAAAATTTAAAAATACCTGGCAGAATTGATATAATAACTCACTGATGCACCAAGTTAAGTCTACTATAGGAGAAAAGGGCAATAATTTTTAAAATAACGTCCTTTGTAAATCACAGCTATTAGCGTCAACATAAAAACGTTAAAGATTAGGAATGGTGATCCTTATTCCATTTTTATATCAGACTCTATATTGCATGATACAAAAGTTACATGTGTCTTGGAGAAACACAATGGAATATTGTAAGTTTAATCATATCATCATTCCATTGCAGCTGTTCTTCCAGATATGGTCTATTGTAGGAACAAATCAATTCAGTTGGCAAGCAGCTATTGACCTGACAAATACTTTTTCTCCATTTCAGTAAGATAAAATAGCACAAGAGGATTGTTTTTACCCTACAAGCCCAGAAATAAAATGTTATCATTTGTTTCAGGGTTATTCACCCTCTTCACAGGGCTACCACTAGCCTTTAACCAATTGCTATAGTTTAGATGTTTGTCCTCCAAACCTTATGTTTAAATTTGGTTCCCAACACTGGATGTGAAGTCTAATGGATACATTTTGTGAAATGTATTAGGTGATTTTGCTGTTGTACAAACATCATAGAGTGTACTTACACAAACCTGATGGCATATCTTACTACACTTCTGGGTTATATGATATGCCCTATTGCTTCTAGGCTACAAACTGTAAATCATCTACTGAATATTAATTGGAACACGATGGTAAATATGAGTGTATCTAAACATAGAAAAGGTACAGTAAAGTCGTGGTATAAAATGTTAAAAATGTTATACCTATACTGAGTGCTTACATGAATGGAGCTTGCAAGACTGGGAGTTAGTTGTTCTGGGTGAGGGAGTAAGTGATGGGTGAATGAGAAGGTCTAGAACATTGGTGTACACTACTATAGATTTTATAAACACTGTACACTTAGGGTACACTAAATTTACAAAAACATCTTCAATAATAAATTCACCTTAACCTACTATATTTTTTCCTTATAAATTTAAATATTTTAACTCTTTTAACTTTTTAATTCTTTTGTAATAGCACAACTTAAAACACAAACACATTGTATGCTGTACATAAATAATTTTTAATACTTATTCTGTAAGATTTTTTCTATTTTTTTAAACTTTTCATGTTTTTTTTTTTGGAAAAACTAATGCACAAACACATATATTAACCTAGGCCTACACAGGGTTAGGATAATCTGTATCACTATCTACCACCTCCACATCGCATTGAAAGTTCTTCAGGGGCAGTAACATCTGTGGAGCTGCCATATTCCATTATAAAAATGCCTTCTTCTAAAATATCTCCTGAAAGACCTGCCTGAGGCTATTTTTACAGTTAATTTTATAGATAGATACATGCATAGATACATAGAAGTGCACTTTAAAATTATAAAATAAAAATGTATAATACAGTAAATGCATGAAAAATTATTTATTACAATTATCAAGTATTATTCACGGTTCATAATTGTATGTGCTATACTTTTATACGACTGGAAGCACAGTAGGCTTGTTTACACCAGCATCACCAAGGACACATGAGTAACACATTCCACTACAACGTTATGAAGGCTATGACTCCAGTAGATGATAAGAATTTTTCAGTTCCTTTAAAATCTTTTGGGACCACCATGGTACATAGAGTCTATGTTGACTGAAATATCATCATGGAGTGTATAACTGTATTCAGAGATTGAGAATAAATCACACAAAGATACAGGAGTCTGCTACATCAATGAACTTTTTTGATGGGCCAAGAATCTGGAACTTGCCAGTCTTTTCCATCTGAGAGGACAAGGCAAGATGCTGTAACATTGTATTCCCAACTGCTAAGAAAAGAGCTTGCTGATAGGTTTGGAGGGAACATATATCACCTTTTAGCAGAGTGCTCCAACGTATTACCTGAGATCCTCAAAGCAACCAGCTTTCCATGGTGTTCCATGCCAGAAGGGCAGATTTTCCAGGCTGCACCTCTTCTACTTTGCACTTACAATCTTAGAGTCAATGTGGCTCAATGTATCTATGCTCACTGATGGTAAGCTAATATCAGAGAGAGCCCAAGTGAGGTCCCCAAGGATCTGAAGCTATGTAGTGCACTCTTCCAGAAGTAACTGTGATTATCCTTTGACAACAGTTCTTGGCTCACTAGGGACCATTCTGGAGGTTCAGCATATGTCCATGGGGCATCAAGTGACTGCTTGGTTTGTCGTTGTTGTTGTTGTTGTTGTTGTTGCTTCTAGTAGTTCATCCTGTACTGGATGTAAACGAATCCACTCAGCTATTAGATCCAGATCTCATAGTAGCACTTCATCATCAGAGGGATGTGGGCTATATAAAAGACTGAACCCAGGTATTTCTTTAAAGTACAAGAAAGTCACATTACCAGGTTATTCACATTCCTAGTGTGCCAATTTCTGCTGTACTCTTGCCCTCCCTTAATCCATACTGATAGCCTCATGTGGATTTCTTTAGGGCATTTTAACTGACGAATAAAAATTTAATTCTAGTTTGGTTTATATGACTCCATATGCTATGATGGCAACAGCTGATTTATGCAGGGGTGGTATTGCAACCCCCCTACAGGTAGTCCTGAAGAACACTGGGGAGCTCTTAACTGTATATTTCAGTGTCACTCCTTGACAGGACGGAAAGAAGGGCTGAGTAAGATTCTGCCATGACTCTGGGTCCCACTAATGACTTGCCTGTGTGTGTGTCTCTGAGGATACCCAATTCAGAAAAGCCTCTAAATAATGAAGTTGATATAAAGTGTCATGTATCTCTTTATATATTTTAATAAATTCCTTGTATTCACTCCCTCACCTTCAGTATTTTATATGTTTTAGTGGTTAGTTTTATAATTAACCACACAGTTGTTCTATAATTTTCAGAAAATAACAGTGATAGAATTTGAAGAGGAATTTACATTATATAGAAATTCTGAACCTGGACTGTGTACAGTTACTTGTAAAAATTTTGTCTACTTGGGAAGAGTGTAAATTCATTTTTAGTTGTAACAGGAGTAGCTGCATTATATAAAATGGGAATATTTGTGTGCGGGGGGAGGGAGGTGGGGATGCAATGTATAAAAATAATTTGTATAGATGTCAAACAACAAAAAGGATATTTGTTTATTCTTATGCCAGGAGGCAACTCAAGCTAAAGTTAATATTCTGTTTCCCATATTTATTTCTTTTACACACCCTCTGGAATCTATAGCTTTTGCAAATAACCAGACATAACCGACTTGATGCTTCCTCTCAGAAACTTAAATAATGCAAGAATCCTACAAATTGAAGAACCCCTCAAAATAGTAGCATGTGTTCAGGGCTATGACATTCAGAAATACTGTAGGGAATGTAGTGGAAGAAGCCAAATGGCAGTGTTCTCAGTAGATGGCCACTGCTGTGGATCTTGTGCTTGGTTCCTGGAAAGCACGGCTCCTTGACACACTTCCATTGAATTTCTTTGCCTCCAAGTTAATGAGAGGGTATTTCTATTTCTTTTTTAATCTTGACTAGAAATGTAACCATTATATAGAATCTAGGGAGAAGAGTACTGGCCAAGCTCTATCTGTAGACTTCTGCTGGATATCCAATGTAATTCATCCATAGTTAATTTTGAAAAACACATCCACACATGCACACACACATTACTCCCTCCTCCTGGTTAGTATTATTTGCTTTGAATTGCCAATAATATTCTATCTCCTCTCTTGTCCAAGTTCCCTGATGACATGAAGCAAACTATCATTTACTACCATCTTCCATAATCTCATTTCTCATGTCATCAGGGAACTTGGATATATACATATGTATATATACATGTTTTTAGCTGTACCAGTTTATTTACCATTCTCTGACTTTTCCACTACAGTGTGACCCTTATGCCTTAACCTGAAGTGCTTTTCTACCATTTCTTCTTTATTTTGGCAGATATTGATCATACATCAGTAGGTAGTTTAAATTCTAACACATTCATAAAAACTTTAATTTGTAATTTATTGTTCCTTATTTTTTATTATCAGAGCATTTTGATTATTTTATTTAAAATAATTATTTCAATATGGCTTGTAGTAATAGTATTGTCTATTGAGATATTTAAGGACAAAGACTACTTTTTCACTATCACTCTGTTTTTTTCTCTTGCAATGATTCTTCAAATATCATACGTACCCAACTACCATTTGCTCATTAACTTATAGTCAAGAATGGCTTGGTCAAAGAAGACCAGCGTAACTCATTTTAAATAATTTGCCATGGCAACAATATAGAAATGAAAACTTTATACTCAAAATTACTACATTTATTTCTTTGTAATTTTCAAAGCTGTATTGAAGTACAACACACATACCCAAAGGTACCCAGATTGTAATTTTATAGCAAGTTAATTTTTACCGAGGAAATATTCATAACAGGCCTGCTAGTCAAGAAATAGAATGTTGGCCGGGCGCGGTGGCTCATGCCTGTAATCCCAGCACTTTGGGAGGCTGAGACAGGTGGATCACGAGGTCAGGAGATCGAGACCATCCTGGCTAACACGGTGAAATCCCGTTTCTACTAAACAAAATAAAAAAAATTAGCCGGGCGTGGTGGTGGGAGCCTGTAGTCCCAGCTACTCGGGAGGCTGAGGCAGGAGAATGGCGTGAATCTGGGAGGCGGAGCTTGCAGTGAGCCGGGATCGCGCCACTGCACTCCAGCCTGGGCGACAGAGTAAGACTTCGTCTCAAAAACCAAAAAAAAAAAAAAAGAAAAAAAAGAAAAGAAAAACAAAAGAAATAGAATGTTATTAGCACAACAGAATATGCTTTTTTTTTTACCTCTGCCCCTTACAACTTCTTTCTTCCCCAAAGTTAATTACTATCCTGAATTGAAAGAAACAACTCTTGGTTCAATTTATGCTGTGTAAATTTTTTATTTGTTTTCTATTTCATTAGTTTCTTATACATAAATATTATTTATTTTCTTATATTTTTAATTTTCTTCTATTTTGATAATATTTTCTTTTATTATTATTATACTTTAAGTTTTAGGGTACATGTGCACAATGTGCAGGTTAGTTACATATGTATACATGTGCCATGCTGGTGTGCTGCACCCATTAACTCATCATTTAGCATTAGGTATATCTCCTAATGCTATCCCTCCCCACTCCCCCCACCCCACAACAGTCCCCAGAGTGTGATGTTCCCCTTCCTGTGTCCATGTGTTCTCATTGTTCAATTCCCACCTATGAGTGAGAACATGTGGTGTTTGGTTTTTTGTCCTTGCGATAGTTTACTGAGAATGATGATTTCCAATTTCATCCATGTCCCTACAAAGGACATGAACTCATCATTTTTTATGGCTGCATAGTATTCCATGGTGTATATGTGCCACATTTTCTTAATCCAGTCTATCATTGTTGGACATTTGGGTTGGTTCCAAGTCTTTGCTATTGTGAATAGTGCCGCAATAAACATACATGTGCATGTGTCTTTATAGCAGCACGATGTATAGTCCTTTGGGTATATACCCAGTAATGGGATGGCTGGGTCAAATGGTATTTCTAGTTCTAGATCCCTGAGGAATCGCCACACTGACTTCCACAATGGTTGAACTAGTTTACAGTGCCACCAACAATGTAAAAGTGTTCCTATTTCTCCACATCCTCTCCAGCACCTGTTGTTTCCTGACTTTTTAATGATCGCCATTCTAACTGGTGTGAGATGGTATCTCATTGTGGTTTTGATTTGCATTTCTCTGATGGCCAGTGATGATGAGCATTTTTTCATGTGTCTTTTGGCTGCATAAATGTCTGCTTTTGAGAAGTGTCTGTTCATATCCTTTGCCCACTTTTTGATGGGGTTGTTTTTTTCTTGTAAATTTGTTTGAGTTCATTGTAGATTCTGGATTTTAGCCCTTTGTCAGATGAGTAGGTTGTGAAAATTTTCTCCCATTTTGTAGGTTGCCTGTTCACTCTGATGGTAGTTTCTTTTGCTGTGCAGAAGCTCTTTAGTTTAATTAGATCCCATTTGTCAATTTTGGCTTCTGTTGCCATTGCTTTTGGTGTTTTAGACATGAAGTCCTTGCCCATGCCTATGTCCTGAATGGTAATGCCTAGGTTTTCTTCTAGGGTTTTTATGGTTTTAGGTCTAACATTTAAATCTTTGATCCATCTTGAATTAATTTTTGTATAAGGTGTAAGGAAGGGATCCAGTTTCAGCTTTCTACATATGGCTAGCCTGTTTTCCCAGCACCATTTATTAAATAGGGAATCCTTTCCCCATTGCTTGTTTTTCTCAGGTTTGTCAAAGATCAGATAGTTGTAGATATGCAGCATTATTTCTGAGGGCTCTGTTCTGTTCCATTGATCTATATCTCTGTTTTGGTACCAGTACCATGCTGTTTTGGTTACTGTAGCCTTGTAGTATAGTTTGAAGTCAGGTAGCGTGATGCCTCCAGCTTTGTTTTATTTTCTTAAGGTGAATACTTGTCACATACATTTCGAATATATTTTCTTCATATTGGCCTTTATAAAAGCATATTTTTCAAATCCTTTGACTTCACCCTGTATTTTTGTTAATTTCACATTTTAATTAAAATATACTTTAAATGGTTTGTAATTTTAGTATGTTGTCTTTCTTGACTTGAGCTATAAATATGTGTGTTAATTTTCAAACACATGGATATTTTCTAGCTTTCTGTCATTCTTTCCTTGCCAATTCCACAGTGGTCAAAAACCACATTCTCAAAAGTGTATAATGCAGATACTATCAATATGGAAATGTTCCTGAGAACTTATAAATTATACACATACTTCAATCTTTCATAAAAATCAACCAGGCAATTATTAATTTGGTTGATAAAATATTTTGTTAGTAATACATAATACAATATTGTCTATACTGTGTACCACAGCCTGAGATAGGTGCATAAACATACACCCAAAATAATTGTAGGTATATGCATTTCTCCTTTCTTTCTTTCCTTTTTTTTTTTGAGACAGAGTTTCTCTCTATAGCCCAGGCTGAAGTGTAGTGGTGCCATCTCAGCTCACTACAACCTTCGCCTCCCAGGTTCAAGCAATTCTCCTGCCTTAGCCTCCAGAGTAGTTGGGATTACAGGCACATGCCACCACGCCCGGCTAAGTTTTGTATTTTTACCCTGTTGGATTTCACCATGTTGGCCAGGTTGGTCTCCAACTCCTGACCTCAGGTCAAAGCCACCTGAGTGCTAGAATTACAGGCGTGAGCCACCTTGCCTGGCCATTTCTGACACTATATGTTTTACATATTTTAGGGTAGGTTTTTTAATGTACAAAAATCTTACATTTTATATCTCTCTGGTATTTACTTTTTAGCATTTAATGGCCTTTTCTCATACAGTTTTTTTTAGTTCTAATTTTTCTGTATTGCAGTAGCACCATGATTTTGTTGTTTAATTTTGCTTAGAATATATTTTTCTTTATGCATTAATCTTCTTTGTATTTATTTAATGTAGATTTGACTCTTTTAAGCAGAATGCAGTATTTTTTTTAAAAAAATCTAAAATTTTGTCTTTCAATTGGAAAAAATTGGCTATTTACATGTAATGTGGATAGTTATACATTTAAATTTAAATATACTATTCAACTACTTGCTATTTATCTCATACTGTCTCTTTATTATCTTGATAATTATACATTATTTTACTTTTTATTTTAGCATCTTTCCTGGAGATTGCATCATTAGTCTTTGATCCATCAGAGTGTATGCAAGTCCAAATGTTTACCTCTTCCCAACAAAAGAATGACTCTATAACATTATAATAATATTTTTCACTCTCTACCAACTCATGCTATTACCTTCTGTTACACAAATTCCAGTATAATTGTTACATTGTTTTTTGCAATCAATATTTTTAGATTTATCATGTTTATATGTACTTTTGTTGGTCTTTACCTTCTACCTCCAAACTTCCATATGGGTTCATTTATTTCTCTGTTAGGAAAACTTATTAGTATATCTTTTAATGCAGGTCTTTTGTGTCTGAGTAAGTTTTATTTGCCTGATAATGTTTAACCTCAACCATTTAATAACATTTTTTACTTGGTATGGAATTTCAACCTGACCTTCCTTCTGCCACCCCCCATCCCAACAACAACTTGAAGATATAATCCAAATGATTTTGGTGTCTCACACCTTTTAGTCTCATACTTACAACTTTAAAGATAATGTGACATTATAAGTCTGATTTTAAGATTTTTATCATGACAATTTTACTTATGTCTTTTAAAAATATTTTTTACATGAGTATTACAGTGCTTCTTGATTTTGTGGCTTGATTTCTTTTAAACTACTTTGAGAAAATTCTCTTATTTTCATCTTGAAATATTTCATATTCTCTCTTATATCTCGCCTCTCCTTCTGGTATTATAAGGACTATATCTTTTTCATGTTTATTTTCTGTTTTTATCTTCCATCCTCTTTTTTTACAAATGTTACGGGATGAATTGTGTCTCCCACAGATTTACATGTTTAAGCCCCAACCTCCAATACTTCAAAATGTGACTATATTTGGAGATCTGGTCATTACATAGGTGTTTGTGTTTACATGGGTGTTCATTAGGGTAGGCCCTAACCAAATATGAACTATATCCTTAGAAGAGGAGGAAATCTGGACACAGGTGAGCATAGAGGAAAAGCCATTTGAAGATGTTCATGCAAAAAAGGCAAGGAAAAAAGTCTCAGAAGAAATTAACCCTGCTAATACCTTGGATTGGATTTCTAGCCCCCAGGACCATAAGAAAATATCTGTTGTAGGGTCAGGTGCGGTGGCTCACGCCAGTAATCCCAGCACTTGTGGAGGCTGAGGCAAGTGGATCACCTGAGGTCAAGAGTTCAAGACCAGCCTGGCCAACATGTTGAAACCCCCATCTCTACTAAAAACACAAAAAATTAGCTGGGCATGGTGGTGGGCGCCTGTAATCCCAGCTACTTGGGAGGCTGAGGCAGGAGAATCGCTCGAACCCTGCAGGCGGAGGTTGCATTGAGCCAAGATCACACCATTGCACTCCAGCCTGGGCAACAAGAGCAAAACTCCGTCTCAAAAAAAAAAAAAAAAGAAAAGAAAAGAAAAGAAAATATCTGTTGTTTAAGCCACCCAATCTGTGATACTTTATTATTATAACAGTAGTAGAAAACTAACATGTAATGCTTAATTACATTTTTTTATTTCATGTTTTTTACATAATTTTATTTCATATGTTTTCTGCTTTCCTAATTCTCTTAAACTGTAGCTCATTTGTTGGTAAGTCTATCCTTTAACAACTTAATTTTAAGTATTATATTTTTCAGTTCTAGAATTTCTATTTGCTTATAGAGCTTTCTGTTCTCTAATATTTTTTTTTAAATTGAGAGTATTAATCTGAATTATTTGAAGTCTCTGATAATTTTGCACGTGGGTTCAATGTGCGTTCCTTTTAATGTCACTATTTTTGGATTTTCATTACAAATAATGTCTCGTTATATGCTTAAATTTTTTACTGTTATGTGTTAATAGGAAAAAATGTTAAAATTAAATAAGTTTTGGAATTACCCCATTAAATATTTCTGTTAACTTCTCATAGATGAGTAGAGGCGCTAGCCATCCTGATTACCTTAATCAAAGAATTGATTTGAACACGTACTATAGTATTCATGAAGGCTGTGCTCTTTCTAGTTTGGTTATGCTCCTGGGTTATTGATTTTGACAGTTCCACATAAAGCATAGAGGCCTTACCAAAGGATCAATCCTTTGACTTGGTGCACTCAAATTAATAGACTGCCTATATAATTATGCTCTTGGAAACTTTTAATACTTCTCATTTTCTTAGAATTTCAGTATCTCTTCCACATTAAACTCAGCTAATGCCTGCTTTAAAAAAATCATGTAAATTATCACTCAAGCAACAGTTCTTTTTAGAATAAAAAGTGACGCTAAAGGCAAATTGTATTTGCATACATATGGAATAATTCTATTTAAAAACTAGCTTTCCATTTGGGTGATGATATTTATTCTATTTTTATATTTTACCTGGTTTGTGTGTGTGTGTGTGTGTGTGTGCATATGTGTGTTATTGTTAGGTAGTTTTATTTCCTCTAAGTTGTCTCAAATCCTGTGCTAAGACAGATAGTTAGACAGATAAATCTATAGGTAGGTAATACTAATCTACTGTACAGTCATTTATTTTCATCTTGTTTTTTTCTCAGAGGTAAAAAGGTCATTTTATTGTTAAATTAATTTGCATTTTCTTGATTACTGGTGAGTATGAACACTTTTATAAGTTTACTGGTCATTCACAGTTCATTCTTTTACCATGTCTATTTTTATTGGTGCCAAATTTTCCTGTCATCCAATCTGTTTAAACCTATGGCTTTTTAAGATAAAATACAGTGTCTTACTTTCAATTATCTTAAGAAAACCACACAAACACAATACAGTTTAAACATAGACAATTATTTTTCTACTCAAATAAATTTTTAAAAGATAACCAGCAGACTTAGAAAGATTTGCTCATCTGTAAGCTGAGTTTTTATCAGCTTTTCTTTTTTTCTTTTTTCTTTTCTTGATACAGGGTTTTACTTCCCTGACTGGAGTGCAATGCTATGATTTCATCTCAGGGCAACCTTTGCCTTTTGGACTCAAGTCATTCTCCTGCTTCAGCCTCCTGTGTAACTGGGACCACAGGCATGCACCACCACGCCTGGCTAATTTTTGTATTTTTAGTAGAGACAAGGTTTCGTCCTGTTGCCCAGGCTGGTCTCAAACTCCTGGCTCAAGTGATCCTCCCTCCTTGGCTTCTTAAAGTGCTGGGATTACAGGTGTGAGCCACCATGCCTGGCAAGCCTTTTCAGTTTCTAATAGGAAGGAAAGAAAATTGCCATGAGTTTACCATGTTACTTAATTACTTCATTTAAAAATTATATATCCGCACGCACATCACTTTTTAAAGAAAAATATATACCTTTTTGCAAAATATCAGGATGACTGGTTTTTTACTATTGATATGGATTCTTAAGAGCTGATTATCTCCTTTGCTTTGCATTAAGCTGTAGAAAGTTATGGAGATGAGACCAAAAAAGCATTTTTTCTTAGTTGAGATTTATATATTGTGCTGCCTAATGGCTTTTTCATTCCAACAAATAATGACCCAACTCTCTTTGACAGAAATTCCTTAGAGTGTTTCTGCCATCACATGAATAAATAGCATTCATTCTTCATGTAGCATAGAATTACACTATGGCGTAACTGAACTTATTGTTGATAATTTGTAACTGCTGCAAGTTTCTGTCAGAATACCGTCAGGATGCATTTGGCAAATCTTCCCAGATAATTGGCAAACAGAAAAGGCTAATTACATTTGGGATAATCACAATGTGAATACATGCAAATCTAACAAGAGGGTAAAATGTTCTAAAATGCTTTGTAAATCTTTAAGTGGTTTCTCCTGAGTTCCACGCTACACATGACAGCAACCAACGTGGTGATGGTCTTCAGACTACAACATATATCTTCAAGAGTAGAAAATTCTGATGGAAAAAAGGAACAGCAGTTAAAGTCAGCCGCACACAAAAAAATTACTCTTGGTTGAATACACTGTTTTCAAATAGACAGGCAGCTTGGGAGGAACCTGATGCTTGTGTTTCTGAAGATCTTAAAGTTAACTGCTATGTGTGATTTTTTTCAGTGCCTAGGAAATGATAGCAGTCAAAAAGAGCAAAACATGTTTGGGGATATATGATTGCTTGTTGGTCTGCAACATTCTTTCATACCTTGATAAGAGGTAAAAGTGATATGTCGGAAAAGATATTTTGGGATATATCTATATCTATCTATCCATATATATATCAAAAATGCTAGTGAATTTGAAGGTTAAGAAATTCTTAAATAAATTGTGAACCTTCAGTAAGATGGCATTTTAATATTGCCCTGGGAATAAGAGTGTTTGAAGTCAAGGCTGATGTAGGAATTTTAGGAAATGCAAACGGATTTTATTATGTTTAAGTTGTGATAATTTCCCTGCTATATTAGTATAAAAACAGAAACCTCTATATACTTCTCATTCTTGTGTTTATGAATTTCTTACACCCAGAGAACAGATATTAAATGTTTTATTTTTTAAAACTTGTGTGCATGTATGAATATATTTCTTTATTTATTCATTCCTTCTTTTATTTATTCATTTTTGAGACAGGATCTCACTCTGTCCCCAAGGCTGGAGTGCAGTGCCATGATCCTTGCTCAACGTAGCTTCAATCTCCCGGGCTCAAAGAATCCTCCCACTCAGTGTCCCAGAGTATCTGGGACCACAGGCTCACACCATCACACTGGGCTAATTTTTGTTTGTTTGTTTGTTTGTTTTGGTGGAGATGAGTTATTGTTATGTTTCTCAGGCTGGTGTTGAATTCCTGGGCTCAAGCAATCCTCCTCACTTGGCCTCCCAAAGTGTTGGGAACACAGGAATGAGCCACTGCCCCAGCCCCTTGTTTTATATATTCCAAAATAACTTATCATGCATATGAAGTATAAAATACCATACCCATATCTCATACATTCAAGTCGAGGGGGTCTCTGGGCTAATTAACATTTTGTCTTACTAAAGGGGCAACTGTTTTTTCTTTGTGTGAAAGTCATCTTGTCAAACTCCCAACAATATTGTTTCTTAACATAATAGAAACCTATCCAGTTTATTTAACAGCCTTTGTCATTCTCCTATTACTCATGCTCTGTGAGAAAATATTTATTGGATTCCTTCAGCTTTAGTGGGGTGGGCGGAAAAACCTACTATATGGATGAGATTTGGAGTTTACAATTCTTTAAACTTATTTTGTAAATTCACATCACAGATTCATGAATATCAATAAACTGGCTGCATTTAATTCCACAGTGTTTATTAAACTTGAGAAGAAAAATAATAGATGCCCAATAAACCCTTGCTTACTATAATATATAATATGTATTACTGTAAATAATGGAACAATGACAATAATAATATACTCTAAATAATAGTAACGATAATAATGACGAATCCCTATATAGTTCACTCCATATAACAGGACTTTCCTAATTGTTTACATATTAGTTCAATTGTTTATCAAAATATTCTTATAATTAGGTACTATTTTTAGAGTGGGGAACCTGAAGCACAAAGGGTTTAAATAATATCCATGGAAAATGGAATAACTATGATGGCATCCCACGTCCACTTGATTGAATGTTCATATTCTAACCTCTGTGTTATTCTAACTCTAAGAAGCTCAGTGTTCAAAAGCTCACACTCTCACAGACAGAAAAATTGCACATCTCAAGTACCATGTGTTCTTAAAAGCAGAGTGTCCTAAGAATGCAGAGAAAGAAAAGACGAAATTTTTGGAGGAGGAGAATGTGAAAGCCTTTACAAAGGCTTTTGTTAGAAATATGTTGGATTTCAAAACACAATGGTTACAATCAAAAAGGACAATATTGGCAATAGTGGGAGACTTGACTCTTTGTGAAATATTGAACAGTATTTAATTCTTGAGGATGATTCACTTATTCAGCGTGAGAATATATTGATACATTATCATCAAATAAGATCCACATTAAATTTAGATTTCCTACACATTTTCTTAATGTACTTTTTCAGCCATAATCCATCCAGGACATCACTTTGAACGTAAGTATCATGTCTCCCTAGGCTTCTTTTGGTTGTGACAGTTTCTCAGCATTTCTTTGACTTTGATAACCTTGACACTTTTAGAAGAGTACTTTGCAGGTATTGTGCAAAATGTTTCTCAGTTAACATTTATCTGAAGTTTCTGTCATGACTAGACTGGGAGTATGTGTTGCTGGGAGTAAGATCACAGAAATAAAGTGCCATTTGAGTCACATCATATCAAGAATACATGCTATCAACATGACTTATCCCTGTCAATGTTAACCTTGATCACCTGGGTGACAATTTGTCAGATTTCTCCACCATAAAGTCACTCTTATCCTCATACTGTACTCTTTGCAAGGAAGTCACTATCTGTTACCCATGCTAACGGCGGATGCTTATGTTCCACCTTGTCACTGGTGGGGTATCTACATAAACTTGAAATTCGTGTTTTATGGGATACTTGTCTATTCTCCCATATATACTTATATGTTAAATATTTATTTATGTCAGTGTTAATGTTAGGATGCTTATTTTGTATTTTGTGTTATAATCCAATACAAAATTGTATTGTTTACATTTTCTCAGATTTGATTATTAGGAGCTCTTTTAGTTGACTTCTGTGCTAGCTATTTTGACATCTTCCCATACTTATAGGGCTTTGTGGTTGGTTTTGTTGTTGTTTGTCTGTTTTTAGGACGTTCTTGCTTTCTGGCAGTACAAGATTTTCCAGGTTTATCTCGTCTATTTCCTGCCCCAGTCATTGAATAGGCCATTTCTCCAATGAGCTCTGGTTTATTTTTTATAGAATAGATTTAGAAACCTAAATCTGAGTCGTAGTGTTCTCATTCCTACCAGGGTGTCATGATTTTTGTGTCCTCTCAGCTGATGCAGCAAGGAAATATATGTGTGTGTACTAACTAGTGTACAGAAAGGTATCTATACATATTTCCATGTGTAACCATCTGTACCTATATGAAGCAGACATAAGTTCAAATTAAAATCTCCAATTCTAATATACTATTATATGGATCAATTTAGCTTCCTCCCCTTGCTCATTTGTAACATCCTACTCCAACAGTGAGAAGCCTGGCTCTCACAATTAGCAATCCACTTACATAATTGTTTAACTCCAGTATACGTGTATAGTGGTCAGAACTGTTAACCTGTAATCTGTGTGAAACAACTTTATCAACTAAAGTACAGTGCTTATGTAAAGCTTCATGTCGCTTTAGTTTTGCAGACTTTCCCCATTTCAAAAGTTCCTTAGGTCAGAATTAGTTTTCTCACCTCGGTTGTTCACTGATTTTGTATGCAATTTAATTGATTTGTCATACTCTTCACTCCATCTTTGGTTTCTCCATCCTCCAACATGGTTTTTAAAATTTTGTATATTAAAGTTCAATATCTGTGCCATAAAGTTTTATAAATTTTTGATATATACATAGTGTTTTATGTACACCATTCCAGTATTATAGTTTTACAACCCTAAAGAAAAACCACTGGTCCTTTAGTTTTTCAACCTTTCATTTCTCCCTGATCTGCTGACAATCACTATTTATCATTTGTAGTGGCTCAATCATGGTCCCTAAAATTTATGTCCTTGTCTTAACCCTATAACCTGTGAATACTACCATATTTGTAAAATGGATCTTTGCAGATATAATTAAAGGGTCTCAAGATTAGGAGACTACCCTAAATGACACAGGTGAGCACTAAATCCAATGACAAATGTTCTTATGAGAAACAAACAGATAGAAGACACTCAGAGAAGAAAAGGAAGCAATATTATTCTTGAGGCAGACATGGAAGTGATGTGGTCACCAGCCAAAGAATGTTTGGATCTACCAGATATTGGAAGATGTAAAGAATGGATTGACTCCCAGTGCCTCTGGAGGGAGTGTAGCCCTCCTGACACCTTGATTTCAGACTACTGGCCTTTGCAACTATGAAAAAATTTATTTCTGTTGTTTTAAGCTGCCAAATTTGTGGTAATTTGCTAGAGCAGCCACAGTAAACTAATATACTGTCACTGTTGTTTTCCTTTTTCAGAATGGCATGTAGTTGGACTCATACAGTATATAGCATTCACAGACTGGCTTATTCCACTTAGCAGCATGCATTTAAAATTCTTCCACGTATTTTCATGGCTTAATATTTTTTATTTCTTATTGCTAAATAACTATTGTATGGATGCTCCCCAGTTTATCTATTCACATATTGAAGAATGTCTCATCTTGGTTACTTCCTGTTTTCATCAATTATGAATAAATACCATTCATATAAATTTTTGGTCTGGACATACGTATTTTAATAAGCTGGATAAATAGTAGGGTAATTGCAGGATCACATGACAAGACTACATTTAATTTTATTAGAAACTGATGGTCTCTCTTCCAAAGTGGAAGTAGCATTTTGCATTTCCTTTAGCAATGCATGAAAGTCCTTGTTAGCATTTCTCATAAGTGTGTAGTGTTATCTTATTGTTTCAATTTGAGATTCCCTAGTCACAGATAATTTTGATCCTCTTTTCATATGATTATTGTCATTAGCTCATCTTTATTGATAAAATGTCTGTGCATATTATTTTGCCTATTGTTTTTCTTCTTGTTCAATTTAATTGTTCTTTGCATATTTTGGACAGATACATTTATTAAATATTTGCCTTTAAAATATATTCCTCCATTATGTTTCTTGACTATTCATTTTTGTAATAGTATATTTTACAGATGAGAAGTTTTCAATTAAAAAAATTGCAACTTATCTTTTTTGTTTTTGGTTAATGGTTTTAGTTTTACATATTAAAACTCATCATCAGTTCCAAAGTCACATCATTTCTTCCATGTTTTCTTCTAGAATTTTTATAGTTGCATGTTCTACACTTAGGTTTATGCTCCTTTTGACTTAATTTAGGTGAAAGGTATAAGGTCTGTGTAGGGGTGTGTGTGTGTGTGTGTGTGTGCGCGCATGTGTGTGCATATCTTTCTATTCTATCTTGTATATGAAAGTTCAATCATTTCAGAACCGTTTGTTAAAATGACTCTACATTCTCTATTGACTTGCCTTTGTTCCTTTGTAACTTGACAAATTTGTGTGTCTATTTCTGGATTTGCTATTTTGCTCCATTAATCTACGTATCTATTCTTTACCAGTACCACACTGTCTGAATTTCTATAGATTTTACTACAGAGTTATAGAAATTAGGTAGTATAAACATTCTAACTTTGTTCTTCCTCTTCAGCATTGTATTATGTGTTCAAGGTCTTCTTTTCTACATACACTTTAGAATCAGTTTGTTAATATCTATGAAATAGATTGTTGTGATTTTAATTGGGATTATGTTATCTGTATGCTGAGTTGAGACGAGGTAAAATCTTAAGACATATTTAATCTTGTATGTATTTATAAATAAAACACAATCTCAAATAAACAAAACATATTTCACGTGAGATATCACATCTAATAAATTGCAGAACTCGTATTTGAACTCTTATCCATCTAGCTTCCAAACATGAGTGTTTTAGAATATTTCATTATCTTTTTTTAATTATAGCAGTCACCACATTATTTATTTTTCTTTTTAGATGGCCTACACACATTTCAAGTATACGGCTATCCATCTCACTTTTGTTTCTCCAACACTTAGTCAAATATGTAACATATATTAGAAATATAACTGTCCACTACAATTTCTACTGTTATCATCCCCACCCCGGACAACACATCTCCTGAAAGAAGAGTTTCAGAGAGGCACTCATCTTCCTCTATTGTCCACTCTCAGTATAGCTGCAGCCAGTTTTATTTTTAAAAAATAATTTATAAAAACAAAAGTCTTTCAAAAATTTCTCCTTCTGTGCTTAAACTCTCCCCAGAAGTGTTCTACTTAAATTAAAATAAAATTCAAGTATGTTCCATGGTTCATAATGTCCTGTACAATTTGACTTTTTGCTACCTCTCTGACCTCAGATTAACTTATTACTCTTCTCCTTCGTTAGGCTTCAGCCATATCATCCCTTTCTAGTCTCGAAATTGTCAAGTTCATCCTTCAACAGAGTTTTACACTAATTATTACTTTTGCTTGGAATGTTTACTCTAAATATGCACAAACTTGATTCTGTGTCACACAGATCTTTGTCATAACATCAGTTTCCCAGAAAGGATGCTCTGACCTCCTTACCTAAAGCAAGGAATCCAACTCTTGCTACTCCCTCTCCCACAACCACTAGCATTCTACTCTCTATTTAGTTTTAAAGTTATTTTGCCCTCATAGCATCTATAATTATATAAAATTCACTCATGCCCTTTTTTCCATGTGTAATGTCCATAATCCACTTTAAGTTTCACAAGGCAAAGATATTTTCTGACTTGTTCACCACTCAATAAATGTTTCTTTGAGTGAACAAATAGGAAAATGAAGAAGAAACAAAAATCCATTGTTGAATGAAGGTATTCTTTGATCTTCATTCTTATTCAAAGTTTTGATATTCAAACATTTGATATTCAAAGTTATTTTGAGTAACGCTAAATTGTACACATTATGTATTTAGTGTACATTATGGTGATGTATTAAGGATATTGTATGTCAGGCTTTGTGCAGTGGCCCTTAGTAGATGAAATATGAGCCCTTATTTTCTACCTTTGTTTTTTCTTTTACAGGCTTTATCTGGCTATGTCTAACCTCAAATGTTGGTGCTGCAGAAGCTGGCCCATAGAAGTTCTCCTCTATACACTACCTTTAGGTGAACTACATCCAAAGTTTCAAATATCCCTCTATAACTGAACAAACCCTCTATATTTTTATTTAAAACATTTTTCTCAAGTTTCAAACTGAAGTTTTCCTCTGTCTTCCAGATGGACTGTCCTGGATATTTTACAGGTATTTATAATTCAGCATGTCAGCCTTATATCCAGCCCAACTTCTTTTCTATGTTATTTTGTTTGAGTGAAAAGCCAATATGTGTTTTGAAATGCAAACATATGTACATAGCTTTTTGATTATTTGCTTATTTCGCCTTTTTATTAATGGATCAAAACCTTCTCAAAATTTGAAGAGATGGTTCATCTGTATCTCTAAAGGCTCAACAATCCATTTGCAAATTTTAATGACACTTGTGTTCAAACAGTTTTGGAGTATTTTGTCATAACATGCTAACCACTTTTAAATACATTGTAATGAGGTACAAGGCATTTCCTCTGAAAATTATTTTGAAATATGTATAACAGTTTTAGAAACTTCCCAAAAGAGTAGTCAGGTTAATTGTAGAAAAAAAATTCCTTACATTCTTTTGGGAAGTTATATGTTAAAATGTATAGAAACGTGATTCGCTTTCTCTGGCTCCTTTTATTATATTTAAAGATAACCTGTCAGGATTTAGAAAATGTAGTTATGATCAAATTGTGTAGCAATTTAGATTATGTGGGTCTTTGTTTTTCCTTTAATTTTTGTATGCTTAAAAAGGAACAATTTTTAGTACCATTCACCACGTAAGAAAGAAACCTAAACTTGTTTGGAACGAATCAAAAGAAAGAGCAGTTGGGACTATCAGACAAGTTTTTGAGCATTCCTTTATGCTTGCATTATTTCCACTGATATTTGTAAAGCACTTCTCAAGTGGCATACCCTGGGAATATACAAATATGTTTCAAAGTGAACTTTCCTTTAATTATTTTGAAATTTAGGGAAGATGCAAGTATTTAATCCACCTCTCCAATATTAGATGTCGTTTGTTATTGTGAAGCTCTCTAAACTCTACACAGGGTCTAGATTTCCTTGGGGGAAAATAAGCAAGTTTATCATAGGTAATAACAACTGAACTAAGAGTGAGAGAATGGATTAGTGTAGTTAGTGTGAAATCAAGATAAATCATTTAAAGCAAATGGTTGAGCAAGTGAAAAGTAAATGGAGGTCCTGGCTTGTCTTGGCATAAACATGGAATTATGAGTATTTCAGTGTTGTTGAATTTCAAGGAATAAAAAGAAATGGAAAAAAAAAAGGAGGCTAAAATACCAAATCATAGATCCCTATGGTCACATGAAACATTTTGGATTTTCCTTTCAGGAAATAAGAAGTATTTGAAAACATTTTAGTAGAAACTGACATAATTTGATTAAATACTAGAAATATCAATTTGATAACAATGTGGAAGTTTGCTTCAAGAATGTTATAACAGTAAAAAAGGGGAGATGAAAATATTAAGATGATTACCGAAATATTCAAAGTTAAAATACGATAAGTTTAACCGAAGAGGGTATGAAAATAAATGAAGATCATCAAAATGAAAATAAACAGATTATTTATTCACAGCTTGCTATGGTAAAGAAGTCAACTATCAGCACTGTTAGGCAGATACTCAAAGACAGCAAAGTGCACAAGATTTACAGTGGAAAAGAGAAAGAAGGCTTCAGGTATGCTCCGATTAGAAGTTGTTAGCATGGGGAAGCTGAAGTCAGGCTAACAAAAAGTGGGACATTCTGTGTGATTGGTTTGAAGAGTATATTTGGCTGTCTCTATTTAGTCTTAATTGCAAACAGGGAAGCTGACAAGTCCTTACTATTCTCGACTGCTGCGAATGTAGTTTGGCTTTCTGGATTGGTAAGTGCAGACATTGTGGGTCAGGGTTTTATTGTCACGTGTGTTTCATCTACTCCCTTTACTGTATCCGGTCCTTCAAGTGGATATATATAAACATAGAATATAAAATCATATGAGCACTGATTGTATATGAATTTGTGGTAGGACCTCCAGGAGAGCAGAGCAGGAGAACAGATTAGAGGAGTAAGGACAGATATTTACTGAATAATGCTCTCGTCAAGCCCTTGGCTAAGTTACATTATCTGCCTATCTCTTTTAATCATTAACTAAAGTCTGCAAGCACCATGTACATGGGCAAAACAGACTATTCACAGCACAAGGAAACTTATTAAAGTGATGTAGAGAAAACAAATTTATGATCAGAAATGTACAGCTAAAATTTTAAATATATATATATATAATTTGGAAAATGAAGTTTAATTATAGAGTTCAGGCACTGCCTTCTAAAATAATTAGTGATGGGATAACTTCTTTTTTTATTTTGGAGGTAGATTTGAGAAGAGTGAAAGAAAGATAATAAATGTATTGCTATTTATTTAATTATATATTTTTTTCTTTTATTTTTGGTTTGGATGTTCAATATAGAGCTCAGAGGAATTTAGAGAATGTCCCATTCTTTGTAAAGTAATTCCTCATTTCCTGAGTCCAAAATAGAACTAGACTAGGCAAGAAAGAAAAATGAGCTGGCTGCCCTTTCCAAAACAGGTCGACCTGTCTTCATTGCATGAATAATTGTTTATAATGTCAAGGGGACTTACACCTTATGACGATTAAAGGAAAAACTTCTTGAATATCCTTACTCAATGGTCTTAAATATGAATTAATACTGCCAAAATTTGAAGCAAATTTCTTTTAAAATACTTCTTCTCCTTTGATAATCAATTTCTGAGTGTATAACTGAATGCTTTCCAACAGTTTAGTCAACAATTCAACATGTTTTTCGAAAACCTAAAACATATACAGCATCAAGGTTGAGATCCAAACACACATAATACAGGGCTTTTGTCCTTGAGGAGTTTAGAGCATGAATGGTGGGTGCTGTCTTGAGGTAAAATATATGTACAGAAAACATTAATAAGAATGAAAGACTTAAAAATATCAATTAATCATTGCAGAAAATTATTCCTGGATTTCATTGGCTGTAGAGATAACATTGATCTTTGTGTTCAGTGAAGTCACCAGAAAGAAAATAAAAATCTTTTTCTAATTTTTAAGAAATTGAGACAGAAAGGACTAAATTTTCTTTTCTAATATTTAAGGGTATTATTTTGTTATGTCCAAAGAGAGAGCTTGGAAGAAGAGGATATATATTGAATATTTATTGAAGTAATACACTTACTGAATAATACTTCCTGCTAATCATTGGACCTGGTACATTATATATCCATCTCATTTAATCTTACTGCAAGCCTGAAGAGTAGATGTTATTAACCATATTGTTCAATGGATAGAAATGATTCTTGACGACACAAATCTCTAAAAGACTGCAGATTTCTTTAAAAGAGAGAGTCCACATAAGGGCCCTGAACTCATCTTTTATTGCAACAATACATATTTAGAATATATTTGGTCAGGGAAGGAGAAAGGTATGTTCTATTAGAGGCTCAGTTTTACAACACAGTATGACAGAAGAGAGGAAGCTGAAAGAGGCACCACCTGGAAAACTCATTCATTTTATTTATTATTTTTTCATTTATTTTTTTTCTTTTAGTCCTGAAGTGAAAGCAAAATTGAAAGCAAAAAAATGCTACCATTTTTGTAGTTGTTGATAATAATCAATTAAACATAGAAAATTTAACTCTAAACTATTCCTCAGGATAAAACTTGACAAAAGAGCACTTTCTAAGTGTCAGCCATTCATCTACACACCAGAAACATCTTAATGGACAAGGAATGTGTGTGAGGAACTTGCCTTTTAGTAGGAATATTGATCAATAAAGAGGTTAACAAAAATATAATTTGAACATATAAAGTAAGATACATCAATAAGTGAGGAGGGAAATGTCCCTACAAGAGTTATCCCAACATATTTTTTATTAATTCAGGCTTACTGAGGTGTAATTTATATCAGTAAAACTCATCTTCTTTTTAAATTGGGAAATAACCATTGAATATATTTATGAGCTATGCTGTAATTTTTGATATATGTATATGTTGCAGAATGATGAAGTCAAGCTAATTAACATACTCATCACATCACATCATATTTTTTGGTTAGAATATTACCTGTTTTCAATGAGAACATTTGAAATTTACATTCTAAGAAATTACAAAATATACAATATAAAATTATTAACTATACTCATCCTGCTGTGCGATAGATCTCAAAAACTTATTCTTCCTTATCTAACTGAAACTTTGCACCCTTTGACCAACATCTCCCCATTCCTCTCCACCATGACCCTTCCTCTTACCAGCCTCTAATAACCATCGTGCTACTCTCTCCCTCTATGAGATCATCTATTTTAGCTTCCACATATAAGTGAGATCATGCAATGTTTGTCTTTCTGTGACTGGCTTATTCTACTTAACATAATGTCTTCTGGGTTTATTAATGTTGTTATCAATGCTAGGATTTCCTTTTTCAAAAATGCTAAATAGTATTCCATTGTGTATACATACCAAATTTTCTTTATCTATTAATGTACTGATGGGCACTTAGGTTGATTCTGTATCTGGTTATTGTGAATACTGCTGCCATGAACATGAGAGGGCATGTATCTCTTTGACAAAATGATTTAAATTATCTTGAATATATACCCAGAAATGGGATTGCTGGATCATGTGTTTTTGTTTTGTTTTGTCTTGTTTTGTTTTTGTTTTTTGTTTGTTTGTTTGAGACGGAGTCCCACTCTGTTGCCAGGCTGGAGGCTGGAGTGCAGTGGCGCGATCTCAGCTCACTGCAACCTCCGCCTACTGGGTTCAAGCGATTCTCGTGCCTCAGCCTCCCAAGTAGCTAGGACTACAGGCGCCCACTACCACGCCTGGCTAATTTTTGTATTTTTTGTAGAGACTGGGTTTCACCATGTTGGCCAGGATGATCTCGATCTCCTGACCTTGTGATCTGACTGCCTCGGCCTTCCAAAGTGCTGGGATTATAGGCATGAGCCACCGCTCCCGGCCTGGATCATATGTTAATTCTATTTTCAGCTTTTTTCTATATAGGCCTCATTAATTTATGCTCATCAACAGTGTACAAGGATTCTCTTTTTTCCACAACCTATCCAACTACTTGTCATTAAAATTTTTTGACAATAGTCATTCTAAGAGGTATTAATTTACTCTCATCAACAGTGTACAAGGATTCTCTTATAGTCATTCTAAGAGGTATGAGGTGATATTTCATTGTAGTTTAGTTTGCATATCCCTGATGATAAGGAATGCTGAACATTTTTTCAGATACTTGGCCATTTGTTTTCTTCTAAGAAGTATCTATTTAGAAAGTCCTATCCAGAGCAATCAGGCAAGAGAAAGAAACAAACGACATCCGAATAAGAAAAGAAAAAGTCAAACTATGTCTTTTCACTGACAGTATGATTCTATACTTAGAAAACCCTAAAAGATTCTGCCAAAAGGCTACTAGAAATGACAGATAATCTTAGTAAAGTTTCAGAATACAAAACTGATGGACAAAAATCAGTGACATTTCTCTACATCAATAAATGTCTAGACTGAGAGTCAGATCACGAACACAATCCCATTTACAATTGCCACAGAAAAATGAAATATCTAGGAATACAGCTGACCATGGAGGTGAAGGAGCTCTACAAGGAGAACTACAAAACACTGCTGAACTAAATCAGAGAAGACAAAAATAAATGATAAAACAGTCCAGGCTCATGGATTAAAATAATCAGTATCTTAAATTGTATTTCCCATAATCCCCATGTGTCATGGGAGGGACCTGGTGGGAAGTAATTGAATCATGGGGGTGTTACTCCCATTCTGTTCTCATAACAGTGAGTGAGTTATTACGAGATCTGATGGTTTTATAAGTGGCTTTTTCCTCTTTGCTCGGCACTCTCTCTTAGTTCAGCCACCATGGAAAGCAGTTTGGAGATTTCTGTAAAAACTTAAAACAGAACTACCATTTGACCCAGAAATCCCATTACTGGGTATATACCCAAGGGAAAATAGATCATTATACCAAAAAGACACATGTACTCACATGCTCATCGTCAAGCTATTCACAATATTAAACCATGAAATCAACCTAGGTGCCCATTAATGGTGGATTAAATAAAGAAAATGTGGTACATATACACCATGGAATGCTACATAGCTATAAAAAATAATAAAATAATGTCCCTCAAACACTAGTGCTAATTACATGTTTATACCCAGAAATTAACTTCTTTTTATCTTCCCCCATCACCACTTTCCCCAGCCCCTGGTAAGTATTATTCTACTTTTTATGAGATTCTACCCCCGTGAGATCAACTTTTTTAGTTTCCACATCTGAGCTAGAAAATTCAATATTTGTCTTTCTGTGACTGGCTCATTTCACTTATCATAATGAAGTCCAGTTTCATCCATGTTGCTACAAATGACAGAATTCCATTCTTTTTTATGGCTAAATATTATTCTACTATATATATATCCCACATTTTCTGTGTACATTCACTTGTTGACCACTTAGGTTGATTCCATATTCTGGCAATTGTGAATAGTGCTACAATAAACATATGGGTGCAGGTATCACTTTGGTATAATAATTTTTCATTTTTTGGATAAACAGTAATGAGATTTCTGAAATGTATGCAGTTTTATTTTTACTTTTCTGAGAAACTTGTATATTGTTTTCCATAATGGCATTAAAATTTACATTTCTACCAACAGCATACACAAGTTTGTTTGTTTTTTTTTTAGTTGTGCTCTCACCAGCATGTATTATTTTTTGTGCTTTTGATAATAGCTATTCTAACTGGGATAACAGCTAATTGTAATTTTAATTTTCATTTACCTAATGATTAGTGATGGTGAGTATTTTCTCATATACTCGCCCCTCATATGTTTCACTCGAGAAATGTCTACTCAGATCTTTTGCCCACTTTTTAATGAAAAATATTATTATTCTTACTATTATAATTTTGCTATAGAGTTGTTTGAGTTTCCTATATTTTCTTCACATTAGTCTCTTGTCAGATGAATAGTTTGCAAATATTTTCTCTTATTCTGCAGGTTGTCTCTTCACTCTTTACTGCTTCCTTTGCCATGCAGAAGCTTTTCAGCTTGATGTAATCTTATTTGTCTATTTTTGCTTTTGTTGCCTATGCTTTTGAAGTCTTATTCATGAAATGGTTGTTTAGGCCATTGCCCTGAAGCATTACACCTATTTTTTCTTCTAGTAGTTTCACAGCCTCAGGTTTTTCAGTAAAGTTTTTAATCCCTTTTGATTTTATTTTTGTAAATGGTGAGAGATAGGGATTTAACTAGGCTTCTCTGCAAGTTGATATCCAATTTTCCTAGTACCGTTTTTTGAAGAGAGTATCCTTTCCCCAGTGTATATTCTTGATGCTTTTGTCGAAAATCATTTGGCTATAAATACATGCATTTATTTCTTGATTCTCTATTCTGTTCTGCTTGTCTATGTGTCTGTTTTTATATCAATACCATGCTCTTTCAAATACTACAGTTTTGTAGTATATTTTGAAGTGGGGGAGTGTGATGCCTCCAGTTTTGTTCTTTTTGCTCAATATTACTTTGGCTATTTGGGGTCTTTTGTCATTCCATAAGAGTTTTATGATTTTTTTAATTTCTGTGAATGTCACTGGTATTTTGATAGGAACTGTATTCAATCTGTAGATTATTTTGGGTAGTATAGCTATTCTAACAATACTAATTCTGATCCATGAACATAGATATCTTTCCATTTTGTGTGTGTTATCTTGCGTTGCTTTTATTAGTGTTTTGTAGTATTTGTTGAGGAGGTTTTTTATCTCCTTGGTTAAATTTATTCCTAAGTATTTTTGTAGCAATTTAAAATGAGATTGCATTCTTGATCTCTTTTTTAGCTAGGTGGTTATTGGTGTATAGAAACACTACTGATATTTGTTTGTAGGTTGATTTTGTATTCTGCAACTTTATTAAATACATTTATCAGCTCTAAGAGTTTTTTGGCTTAATCTTTAGATTTGTCTATATATGAGATCATGTCATTTGCAAAAAGGAGCAATTTGAATTCCTCTTTTTCAATTTTGATGCTTTGTTTGTTTTATCTTGTCTGATTGCTCTGGCTAGGACTTCAAGTACACTGTTGAATAAGGGTGGTAAAAGTGTTCATCTTTGTCTTATTCCAATTCTTACAGGAAGACTTTCACATTTTCCTCATTCAGTTTGATATTAGCTGTAGGTTTGTCACATATGGGCTTTATTATGTTGATGTATGTTCCTTCTATGCCTAATTTGTTGAGAGGCTTTATCATGAAGAGATGTTGGATTTTATCAAATGCTTTTTTTTCTGGGTCTATTGAGACGATCATATGGTGTTTGTCCTTCATTTTGTTGAAGTGATGTATCACATTTGTTGATTGGCATATGTTGAACCATTCTTGTGTCCCTGGAATAAACCCCACTTGGTCATGGTACACTTTCTTTTTGATGTGTTGTTGAGAAATTGATTTGCTAATATCTTTTTGAGAATTTCTGCTCCTAAGTTTATCAGGAATATTGGCCTGTAATATTCTTTTTGTTGTTATTGTATCCTTAACTGGTTTTTGTAACAGGTAAACTGGGTTGTTTCTTTTTGGCTATTTTTTGTGTTTATATACATATACATATATACATATATATATATATATATACATATATATATATATATATATAGTGAAGATTAATCTTTTTCAGATGTATACATTACAAATACTTTTTTCCCACATCCCTAGGTTCTCTTCACTCTGTAATTGTTTCCTTTTTTTTTCCTTTTCTTTCTTTTTTTTTTGTGAGACAGCCTCTCATGCTGACACCCAGGTTGGAGTGCAGTGGCAAGATCTCAGCTCACTGCCACCTCTGCCTCCTAGGCTCAAGCCTTCTGATACGGTTAGGCTTTGTGTCCCCACCCAAATCTCATCTTGAATTGTAATCTTCATAATCTCCATAATCACCATAATCCCCATATGTCAATGGAAAGACCCAGTGGAGGTAACTGAATCTTTGGAGTGATTTCCTCCATGCTGTTCTTGTGATAGTGAGTGAGTTCTCACAAGATCTGATGGTTTTATCAGGGGCTGTTCCCCCTTCACTGGGCACTTCTCCTTCCTGCCACCTTGCCAGGATAGTGCTTTGCTGCCCTTTCACCTTCCACCATGATTGTAAGTCTCCTGAGGCCTCCCTAGCCATGCTGAACTGTGAGTCAATTAAAACTCTTTCTTCTATAAATTACCCAGGCTCGGTCAGTTCTTTAAATCAGTATAAAAACATACTAACACACCACCCTCCCACCTCAGCCTCCTGGGTAGCTGGGACCACAGTTTCAGACCACCACACCTGGCTGTTAACTGTTTCTGCTCTGTAGAAACTTTTTAGTTGGATGAAATTCTACTTTACTTTGTGTGTGTGTGTGTGTGTGTGTGTGTGTGTGTGTGTGTGTGTGTGTCTTTTGCTTACGGTGCTTTTAGGGTCAAATGCAAAAAAAATTATTGTCTAGACAAATATTGTGAAGCTTTCTTGCTATGTTTACTTCTAGCAGTTTAACAGTTTCAGACCTTATGTTTAAGTTTTTAAATTTATTTTAGTTCTTTTATGTATATGGTGGGAGATAATGGTCCAGTTTCATTTTTCATATTCAATAGTGAAAAATCAAAAACTTTTCCTGTAAGATCATGGATAAAACAAGGATGCCTACTCTCACAACTTCTATTTAACATGATGCACAACATCCTAGCCAGAGAAACTAGGCAAGAAAAAGAAATAAAAGGCCTCCAAATAAGAAAAAAGTAAAAATGTCTTTTTTTGCTGATTACATGATTTTATACATTGAAATCCCAAATCCTCTACCAAAAAACTGTTAGAACTAGTAAACAAATTTAGTATAGTTGCAAGGTAGAAAATCAACCTACAAAAATTAATGGCATTTGTATACACTAGCAGTGAACTCTCTGAAAAAAAAGTTTTAAAATCCCATTCTCAATAGCTACAAAAATTAAAATATTTAGAATAAATTTAACTGAGGAGTTGAAAGATCTGTACACTGGTAAAAGAAACTGAAGAAGATGCAAATAAGTGGAAAGATATGTCATGTTCATAAATTAGAAGAATTAATATTGTTCAATGTTCATACTTACCAAACTGATCTACAGATTCAAAGCAATCTATATCAAAATTCCAATGTAAATTTTCAAAGAATTAAAAAAATTCTAAAATTTTTATGGGAACACAAAAGACCTTGACTAATAAAAGCACTTTTGAGCCAAACAAAAAGAAAATTCAAACAGAGACAAAGCTGGAAGCATCACACTGCCTAATTTTAAAATATATTACAATTACGAAAAACAGTATAAAGTTCCCTCAAAAAAATTAAAATAGAACTATAACATTATCTAGCAATCCTTCTAATGGGTGAAAATCCAAAGGAAATAAAAGTAGTATGTCAAAGAAATGCCTGTACTTTCATGTTTATTGCAGTATTGTTGGCAATGACCAATATATGAATCAAACTAAATGTTCATCAATGGATGAATGGATAAAGAAAATGTGAAATACATAAACAATTAAATTCTATTAAGCCCTTTTTAAAAAAGAAAATTCTGTCATTTATGACAACAGGGATAGAACATAATGGAGAACGTTATGTTCAGTGAAATAAACAAAGTGCCAAATACACATATCACTCACTTATCTCACTTAACATGTGGAATCTAAAAAATATAATCTCATAGAAGTAGGGAATAGAATGGCGGCTACCAGGGCTGGGGTATTTGGGAGGAGCACTGGAGAATTTTCAAAGGGTATAAGATTTCAATTAGATAGGAAGAACAAGTGCAAGAGGGCTACTGTACAACATGGTTACTATCATTAAAAATATGTTGTATTCTTGAAAAGTGCTGAGAGTGCATATTAAGTGTTCTTAGCATAAAAAGATAACTATGTGAAGTAATATATATGCTAATATAGCTAGATTTAGTCATTCCACAATGTATAGGTACTTCAAATCATTACGTTGTACATGGTAAATATTTATAAATTTACCTATCAATAGGTAAATAAAATATATCAGAAAGCTATAATAATCAAAACAGCACAGTATTGGCATTAAAACAGGCAAACCAACCACTGGAACAAAATAGAAACCCAAGAAATAAACCCATGCATTAATGGTCTATTGATTTTCTTCCAAGGTACAAGAAATAATTTTAAAAGGAAAGCCTCTTCACAAAATAGTTTTTGGGAAAACTGAATACCCACTTGCAGAAGAATGAATACTCATCTGTTTTTAGATTTTCATATGGTTTAGACCTGTGACCCTCACCAAAATATCATGTGGAATTGTAATCCTCAATGTTGGAGTTGGAGCCTTATGGGAGGTGATTGGATCATGGGGGTGAATTTCTCATGAATGGTTTGACAACATCCTCTTGGTGCTGTTCTTATGATAGTGAGTGAGCTATCACAAGATCTGGTTGCTCTCTCTATTGTTCCTGCTGCCATCATGTAAGATGCTTGCTCTTCCTTTGCCTTCTGCCATTATTGGAAGCTTCCTGATGACACTACAAAAGCTGAGGCCATTATAAGGGCTGTACTGTACCTTCAGTACAGCCTGCAGAACTATGGAGCCAATTAAACTTATTTTCTTTATAAATTACCCAGTCTCAGGTAGTTCTTTATAGCAATAACACAGATGTACACTTCCATTAGGCTTCAGAAATGTAATACAGGATGTATAACAAACAACATAATCATGATATGAAATATTTCAAGCACTTTGCAAAATTACCTTATTCCTTTTTGTAGTCAGTCTCTCAAATTCTACTCTCAGTCCTTGGCAAGTGATGATCTGATCTTTGTCCCTATACTTTGCATATTCTAGAATATTATATAAATGAAAACATTTAGCATGTACATTTTTAGTCCGGCTTCATTCCTTAGCATAATGTTTTTAAACTTCATTCCTGTTGTGGCATATATCAGTAGTTGGTTCCTTGTTGTTGCTGAATACATTTTGCATTCTTCCAACAGAACATTAGAGTGCCAATGGTGTCACAGCCTTGCATACACTTTGTATTGCCTGTTT
This sequence comes from Homo sapiens, assembly GCF_000001405.40. Taxonomy (NCBI): domain Eukaryota; kingdom Metazoa; phylum Chordata; class Mammalia; order Primates; family Hominidae; genus Homo; species Homo sapiens. The sequence continues at coordinate 53,217,742 of NC_000017.11, read as the reverse complement.
CTTTCTTTAAAAAAAATCAGCTTCTTTAGTAAATGTGTAGTGAAATATTATTTTGGTATTTTAATTTGCAATTTTCAAAGAACTACCGTGCTGAACATTTTTTCCACCATCTCTTCCTGAATCTATCTCTCCTTGGTGAAGTGTTCGCTCAACATTTTTCCAGCAATTCATGATGAAAAAAAAATTTTCCAATGAATCACCTTGGCATCTTTGAATTGATTAGTCATGTAACTGTGGGTCTCTTTATGACCTCTCCATCCGGTTCCATTGATGTGTATATCTACACCACATGTCACAGCATAATTTTCACATTCCCTGAGATTGTATACAAAAATGAATCCCTTAGCTAACTCAACTCTCACAGATGTCCATCCCCACTTTATTTTTAAGCAAATGGCAGAACTAGACAGGTAAGCTCCAATAAAAAAAAAATCCATATAAACTGAATAAGATAAATTGAATTTATGTACAGATACCATTAAAAATCTGAAAAACAAAACAAATAGTAAAAATCGACCTAGAGGATATACTCTAGATGTAGTTTTATGAAAACCAAACTCTGCGTGTTCTCCCTCATACGTGGGAGTTGAAAATGAGAAGACATGGACATGGGGGGGGAACATCACACACTGGGGCTTGTCGGGGGCCGGGGGGGCAAGGGGAGGGAAAGCATTAGGACGAATACCTAATGCACGCAGGGCTTAAAACCTAGATGACAGGTTGATAGGTGCAGCAAACCACCATGGTACATGTATACCTATGTAACAAACCTGCACGTTCTGCACTTGTATCCCAGAACTTAAAGTAAAATAAATAAATTAATTAATAATAAATTTAAAAATAAAAATAAAGAAAATGGAATAAGCACACTCTATATTTCTAACAAAATAACAACATTAAAGTAAATATTTTAGGAAGAAATTATAAAAATGATTCAAAGAGATGAAAAGAGGGAGAAGATAAACTTTTAAATAAGCTGATAGTGATAAAGAAAAAAATGAAAATAATTGCAAATCTGATAAAGAACTCATATTCAGAATACATAAAGCATTCTCAAAACTCAATAATGTGAAAACAAAATACTCATATTATGAAGAACATTATTTAAACACAGGTGCTGCTGGACTTACCATGGGGTCACATCCTGATAAACCTATCAGCAAATCAAAAAATAACATTAAGAAAAAAATCTTTAGGTCAAACCATCCTAAATCAGAGACCTTCCATAGATAGATACCTGTGCTTGTGGGAGCAAAGAGAAATAATAATAAAGTAAAAAAATCTAAAAAGCAATTTAGTTTGTACAAGAACCAATGATTGCAGAGTTCCATAAATTAAAGGGTATGATTTATTCCCATTTATGGATCTGAGCTCCACTACAAATAAGCCCTGGAACTTGATTAAAATTCAATGTCTGTTACATCACTTTGGGCCAATGAAGACATTAAACATGGAAATTGTACAATATACAAAAATAAGTATAATAAAAGCTAGTATCAAACTCCTCTATGAAAACTCAAGTAAACCCCACAAATCCTGAGAAAAGGATACGAAAGTGTGCTCAGATGAGTCAAGGCCTAAGAGTAAACATGGAGTAAACATAGTACTTTGAATTGAATCATTTAAAGAAGTTAAAACACTCTTTTTTCATTCAGGCAAAAAGCTCTTTGTGTCTCTTAATATGATCAGTATTTCTCTTACTGGCCTGTAAGAGATTTATATTACTTCACAAGCCTGGTTCGGTCAAAGTGGTCAGATTCTTTTTCTTCTTTGAAGGAACTGTTACTATACCTAGATACATACTTAGAGGGTTAAATGACTGAGAAGTCACTTTGAAGTTTTTAGTGACTGACCGGGGCTAAACAAGCTCTGCGTTGGATTGTTTAGTGCTTGAATCTAGGGTCAAACAGCAGTCTATTTTCTGCCTTCTTTCTTGAACTTAAGAGAATTTCATATTCTCATCACAAAATAAAACAGTTGAAATACTGAATTAAATTTAAATTAAAAATACATGTTTATTAGACTACACTATTAAGAGGGCTCAAAGGCAAGCTACAGAATGGTAAAATGTATATTTTAACACAAATAAATGACAAGGCTTACATATGCAACACATATATAGGACTTACACTAATTAGTAAAGAAAAGAAAGGCAATAGAAAAATGGGTAAGTGACTTGAGCAGGCACTTCAAAAACAAAACAGGAGGCTCAAGTGTCCAATCACACTGTGAAAGTTGTTCATTTTCGTTTATTATTTGACACACACTAGTTAAAATTACAAATTATAGTGACAAATTATGAGATACCACTACAAACTTATCGGAATATTTCATCAAAAAAAAAAAAAAAGAGCAACAAAAATCCCAGCAAGGAAGCAAACTGACAGCATTCATGTACTGTTAGTGGGAGGAGATATTAGTACATCCATTGAGAGAACTGTTTATCTATTGTGGTTCAACATGTGCATATGTTATGACCCAATCATTCTATTCATGTGTGCACAATAGATATAACTAAATAAAAATTTATATAAAATGATTTTATAAAAACATTATATTCTTAATAGCTCCAAAGTGTAGAAACTGTTCATCAGTAGTGGAACAGTTAAAAATGCATAAACAAATTGTATCATATAATGATATAATGGGATATAATGGAATATAATGGAATATTATATAGTCATATAATGGAATATTATGTAGCACTGTATAGGAGTTGATTGCACCTGCATGCTATGCCATGGATTCTTATCACAATGTAATATTTGATAAAATAAGCTACATGCAAAATAATATATATTTCAGGAATGCATTTGTATAAAATTCAAAACAGGCCATCTTAATTTATATTGTTAGATGTGGGAATATTGGAAGGGAGCATAGTGATTAGGGAGGAGCTGGAGTTTTTTATGGTGCTGGAAATGCTCTGAGTTTTTACTTTGGTGGAGGTTAATTGGAAACATTCACTTTATGATAATTTGTTTCACTGCATAATTATGATGTATGTCTCTGTTTTCTGTAATCTTGAATTCCTGTTCTGGAAAGTGGGCCCCTGGATTGTTCTCACACTCTCTTTCTCCCATTCTTTGGAATATGGACACTTCATAAATGCCAAGGTGTTTGCCTTCCATTTGACAACCTCCTTCCAAGGTCCAGAGGCCAGATCTCAGTTCTTGACTTCCTAATGGGTGAACTTGAAGACCTACTGACAAATTTCTCTTCGGCCATTTTCTACCACCTTTCATAGCAAAATACTGTTCATCTTCAGTATTGTTACCTTTTTAAGGCTCTGCCCACCTGTCATCTATTATTATGTATAGTTTCCTCAATACCCCTTTCTCTCAGGATTTATACCCGTGGTATACCATGCCTGCTAGATACTATCTACTGACTATCCTTTTTTTCTATTTCTATAACTGGATTTTTGTTCTTATGACACCCCTCTCTACATTGACTAGTTGTCACTCTTGGGCTTATACCCTTGCCAGGCTGACCTGTATGCATAATTATAAATCATAAGTATAATTAATTCAGCACTTTTACTTGAAGGATGTTTGTTTGCAAACACATTTTATTCATTTACAGTGATTGGAATAGAAGAAGGCCAAGTGTGTGTTTTCAAACAGTAATTGGCAACTGGAAAACATGTTTGATCATAGATTTAAAAATCACTTGTCTATAAGTCTTGGCACTACAATATGAAAGCAATTACATAGTCATACCATATTAAAATAGAAGAGTAAAGATGTAATGTGTTCCAGGTGACTTAAAGGAAGATAATTTAAACTGAGTACTTCATACGGGTAAGTATGGAAGCTCTATGAAGCTGGTTTCACCTAAACAGCAGAAGATACCAGAAAGAAAATAGTGTCAGAGGAGCCAAACTGGAATTATGGAAGAGGTGACTCTCAGCTAGACTGTAGTCTTGATTGCCTCTGCTTGCCAGAGACAATGCTAAGGAAGAGAAGAAGCGGTGGGGTAGGGGAGGGGATTGTCCCAACCTCTCTCTCCTCCCTTTTGTGATCTGCTGCTGGTGACTTTCATTTTCCAGGCACAATGGGAGCCAGGTTTCCAGGGAATTCAGGTGATGTATGCGACAGTGTTCTATATCTTTTTGCATAAAATAGAGCCTGCAAGGGTGGGGAATGAATCTGAGGAGCAGAGATGAGAAATGAAGAACTAGCATAATTACTATGTTTGCTCCTGTATTTTATACTTATCAGATTATAATTAGAGGACTATATATCCTATGTCAAAAAATGCCAAATTGAGTTTAAAATAATTTGAATTGAAAAATGAAAATTATTCTGGTGTATAAGCACTACATTTTCATTTTCCAGTCTATCATTGGTGAGGATTTAGGTTGATCCCGTGCCTTTGCTACTGTGAATAGTGCTGCAATGAACATACGTGTGCATGTGTCTTTATAATAGAAAAATATGCAGCCATAAAAATTAACGAGATCATGTCCTTTGCAAGAATGTAGTTGGAGTTGGAGGCCATTATCCTTAGCAAACTAATGAAAGAAGAGAAAACCAAGTACTGCATGTTTTCACTTATAAGTGAGAACTAAATGATAACACATGGACACATAAACGGAACAACACACACAGGAGAGCGGAGGAGGGAGAGGATCAGGAAAAATAACTAATGGGTACTAAGCTTAATACCTGGGTTATGAAATAATCTGTACAACAAACATTCATGACACAAGTTTACCTATGTAACAAACCCACGCCATGTATCCCTGAACTTAAAATTTATTTTTTAAAAAAGAAAACTATCCTGGAATAGCCTGTGTTGATTGATTTTTTTATGTCAATTGCATGCAATGAGGATTATGTGCTTGCTATATGTAAGCACTGTCCTAAGTACTTTACATATAATAATCTAGTTATATATTATTCCTCATAAAAGAACAGGGTAGTTACACTTATTTTCCCATTCTTTCTTTCAGATAAAGGAAGTGAGTCGCAGATCAGTTACAGTAAATTGCCAAAGTTCACGTAACTGGTTAGTTTAAACTCCTCAGAGTTGTGCTGTGTACAACTAGAAAAACAAAAAAGAGGAAAGAAATATAACATTAATTGAACAATAACTTGTCTTAGGAATATCTGGAACACTATACATGTCTGTTAGAACATTACTTTTATAATACTTCCTGCTGCATTTTTTCTTTCCATAACCTTTTTTTCCTTTCCTGAAAATGCCTTCCTCCTTTGATGCTCAGCCATTAGGTTTTTCATCCACAATGATAGACGTATTAGTTAAACAACGAGGTCCAGCATGTGGGACAGAAGAATGTAACATTAGAGATATTCTCATTCAGCAGCAAAGAAAAATAAAAATAAGCTCTGCAAAGGGATATCGGGGTGGATAAGTAGATTCTGAGAGCTTGAGAATAAGGTTGAATAATACCTTCTTGGAACACTTAGGCCTCAAGGAAACAAATTTGTAGTTTAACTTCTCAAATTATTTTCAAAGTAAATACTTGGCATACAATCCAAGTATAAAGGTAAATCTTTATAGATGTGTATAGGTCAGTTATTTATGATTAATTCTGTTTCCAGAAATCCCAAATCTGAGCCTATAGCCTGCAATTTTGGTACATTTCCATAATTAGTCATTTATTAACAATACTTACAAAAGTTGTTTGATTTCATATAGACAGAGAAAATAGCCATCATAGAACTTATGAAAAAATCTTAACTATCTTAACTATCTCTCATTGCGAACTCAAGATTATAACTAAAAAAAAAACTTTAAAAATCCATGGTATCAGTGGTTGCAAAATCTGAAGTCTTATTGTATTTGGCAAATTAAATGTGAGGTAAACAGTAAAATGGTCTTCATCAGCAGAAAAGAAAGATAAATGACTTTTTAATGACAGGTTCTCAATATTTGGAAGAATAGTAAAGCAGGAAACCTAAGCATCCCCTAGGTGTTACTAAGAAACTCATTGCAGCTGTCAGTCAATGTAATTGACATAAAGAGAAAATGAAATCTATTCTAACATAATACTGGGAGTTAACGTTAATAAAACATGGCAGAAAAGTCCAAAGAGTGTCTGAAATGTTCCATATGCAAGTCCATTGATAACTGAATGCTTCTAACTGTTCTTAATGCATGAACCAGAATATGAAGCAGGCTTTCCTACAGGACTTTTAGGAGGAATTAAAAGTGCTGATTTTATTAAGAAGATACTGAATTATATGGATGGACATGGAAAGATGACCATGTTACAGTGTTAAGTGAACTAGAAGGCCATTTCTGACCGTTGTATTAATACAAAGCAAGATTTCAGTTAAAACAGAAGCAGCAATAACAACTTGAAGAATCTCCAGGGTTTTCCTCAATGGCAAGTTATATAGATCAGTATGCTTTCAAATGTTGTATTTCTCCTATGGTGAAAGGCGTATTTCCAAAACTGTTCATGTTTAGTGACTATTTTGGCTGTAGAGATAGGTGTTTTCAATTCTCTCCCCCTGTGAACATCAGGCTACTACCTTAATAAGAAGCAGACACAAGCTCCTAGAATGAACAAGGAGATACTTGTTTTCCTTTCACATTTTATACTCATTTAGTTGAGGAAAAAAATGGAAGAGAATTAGAAATCGTAAAATACTTAAAGTACTACGTGAGTGTAGGTGGTGCAATTGCTGATTGCTGGCATTAATTCTTGTTCCTATGTCTCCTTTTATCATTTTTCTGATGTATTTTGGGGGTTACCAAAGGTTTATTTTTGGCCTCTGGCCTCCCAAAGCCATTGGATATAATTCTTTGTACTCTTGTTACTTCTGAGCCTACCCAACTTCTGAGTTGATACTTGCTATGCCATTTTCTCATTTTTTTTAAATGATCTCCAGTACTGCACTCTGCTTCCCAATTTCTAGCTTGTTATGTTCCTTCCATACTCTTGCCATCAGCTTCCCTTAGATGCTTATCTGCAAAGGGTTCCATATTTTAAACTCTCTATCTCCAGCCCAGACCTCACCTCTTAAATACACACTGAATATATCCAATTGCCAGTCCTCTCAGGCTGTTATAACAAAATATCTTAGTCGAGGTAATTTATAAATTTACAGCAGTAACTTCAATTTACTGTTCAAGGTGGCAGCAGATTCAGTGCCTGGTGAGGCCTCACTCTATCCTTCAAAGATGGTGCCTTCTCACGGTGTCCTCACATGACAAGAGGGCAAAAGGCTATGTCCTCACATGATGGAAGGAACAGTAAGCTTTCTCAAGCCTCTTATGTATGGACACTAATCCCATTTATGGGGGTGGTCCCCATGTGACCTAATCACCTGCTGAAGGCCCACCTCTTAATACTGCCACAATGAGGATTAGATTTCAACATTAATTTTGGAGGAACAAAAGCATTCAGACCATAGCACCAAATATCTTCTAGTTTTTATTTGGTAATTTTACAGGCACCAAAAAATTTTACCAAGCATTATACTTTTATGATTAAGACTATGAGTTTTGAACCTAGAATTGCTAGATTTGAATCTTTATTACTTATAACTGTGTGACCTTAAAGAAATGATTTAACCTCTAAGATCAAATGATTGTAGATGTGTGGTGTTACTTCTGAGGCCTCTGTTCTGTTCCATTGTTCTATATATCTGCTTTGGTATCAGCACCTGACAAAAACAAGCAATGGGGAAAGGATTCCTCATTTAATAAATGTTGTTGGGAAAACTGGATAGCCATATGCAGAAAACTGAAACTGGACCCCTTCCTTACACCTTATACAAAAATTAACCCAAGATGGATTAAAGACTTAAACATAAGACCTAAAACCATAAAAACCCTAGAAGAAACCTTAGGCAATACCATTCAGGACATAGGCATCGGCAAAGACTTCATGATTAAAACACCAAAAACAATGGCAACAAAAGCCAAAATTGACAAATGGGATCTAATTAAACTAAAGAGTTTTTGCACAGCAAAAGAAACTATCATCAGAGTGAAGAGGCAACCTAGAGAATGGGAGAAAATTTTTGCAATCTATCCATCTGACAACAGGCTAATATCCAGAATCTATAAGAAACTTAAACAAATTTACAAGAAAAAAAACTAACAACCCCATCAAAAACGGGGCGAAGGATAGGAACAGACACTTCTCAAAAGAAGACATTTATGCGGCCAACAAACATACAAATAAAAGCTCATCATCACTGGTTATTAGAGAAATGCAAATCAAAACCACAATGAGATACCATATCACCCCAGTTAGAATGGACGATCATTAAAAAGTCAGGAAACAACAGACGCTGGAGAGGATGTGGAGAAATAGGAACACGTTTACACTGTTTGTGGGAGTGTAAATTAGTTCAACCATTGTGGAAGACAGTGTGGCAATTCCTCAAGGATCTAGAACCAGAAATACTATTTGACCCAGCAATTCCATTACTGGGTATATACCCAAAGGATCATAAATCACTCTGCTACTCTGCTATAAAGACAAATGCACATGAATGTTTACTGTAGCACTATTCACAATAGCAAAGACATGGGACTAACCCAAATGCCCATCAATGATAGAATGGATAAAGAAAATGTGGCACATATACACCATGGAATACTATGCAGCCATAAAAAAGGATGAGTTCATGTCCTTTGCAGGGATATGGATGAAGCTGGAAACCATCATTCTCAGCAAACTAACACAAGAACAGAAAACCAAACACCACATGTTCTCACTCATAAGTGGGAGTTGAACAATGAGAACACACGGACACAGGGCAGGGAACATCACACATCAGAGGGTGGGGACTTAGGGGAGGGATAACATTAGGAGAAGTACCTAATGTAGATGATGGGTTGATGGGTGCAGCAAACCACCATGGCACATGTATACCTATGTAACAAACCTGCACATTCTCCACATGTACCCCAGAACTTAAAGTATAAAAGAAAAAGAAATGATTTAACCTTTCCTTTTTTAATTTTTTTTTAAATTTCCATAGGTTATTGAGGAACCAGAGGTGTTTGGTTGCATGAGAAAGTTCTTTAGTGGTGATTTGTGAGATTTTCATGCACACATCACCTGAGTGATATACACGGAATCCTATTTGCAGTATTTCATGCCTCACCCTCTTCCCGCCCTTTCCCCCTGAGTCCCCAAAGTCCACTGTGTCTTTCTTACACCTTTGCATTCTTATAGCTTAGCTCCCACTTCTGAGTGAGAACATACAATGTTTGGTTTTCCATTCCTGAGTTACTTCACTTAGAATAATTGTCTTCATCTCATCCAGGTCATTGTGAATGCCATTAATTCATTCCTTTTTATGGCCAAGTAGTATTCCATCATATATATATGATGGAATATATATATATGATTATATATATAATTATATATATATATGTACGATTATATATATATACACCACAGTTTTTTGTTGTTGCTTTTGCTTTTTTGAGATGGAGCTTTGCTGATGTTGACCAGGTTGGAGTGCAATGGCGCAATCTCGGCTCATCCCATCCTCCGCCTCCTGGGTTCAAGTGATTCTCCTGCCTCAGCGCCCCAATTAGCTGGGATTACAGGCATGTGCTGCCATGCCTGGCTAATTTTTTTGTATTTTTAGTACAGACAGGGTTTCTCCACGTTGGTCAGGCTGGTCTTGAGCTCCTCAGGTGATCCGCTGGCCTCAGCCTCCCAAAGTGCTGGGATTACAGGTGTGAGACACTGCACCTGTACCTGGCCTATACCACAGTTTCTTTATCCTCTCATTGGTTGATGGGCATTTGGGTTAGTTCCATGTTTTTGCAATTGCAAATTGTGCTGCTATACACGTGTGTGCAAGTATTTTTTTTCATATAATGACTTCTTTTCCTCTGGGTGGATATCCAGTAGTGCAACTGCTGGGTCAAGTGGTAGTTCTACTTTTAGTTTTTTAAGGAATCTCCACACTATTTTCCATAGTGGTTGTACTAGTTTATATTCCCACCAGCAGTGTGGAAGTGTTCCCTGTTCACTGCATCCATGCCAACATCTGCAATTTTTTGATTTTTTGATTATAGCCATTTTTCCAGGAGTAAGGCAGTATTGCATTGTGGTTATGATTTCCATGTCCCTGATTATTAGAGAAGTTGGGCATGTTTTATATGTTTGTTGGCCATTTGTATATCTTCTTTTCAGTATTGTCTATTCATGTATTTAGCCACTTTTGACGGGATTGTTTTTTTCTTGCTGGTTTGTTTGAGTTTGTTGTAGATTCTGGATATAAGTTCTTTGCCAGATGTATAGATTGTGAAGATTTTCTCCCACTCTGTGGGTTGTCTGTTTACTCTGCTGACTGTTCCTTTTGCCGTGTAAAAGCTCTTTAGTGTAATTAAGTCCCAGTGCTTTGGTGACTATGGCCTCATAGTATAGTCTGAAATCAGGTAATGTGATTTCTCCAGATTTGTTCTTTTTGCTTAGTCTAGCTTTGGCTATGAGGGCTCTTTTTTGGTTCCATATGAATTTTAGAATTGCTTTTTCTAATTCTAAGAAGAATGATGGTGGTATTTTGATGGGAATTGCATTGCATTTGTAGATTGCTTTCGGCAGTATGGTCGTTTTCATAATATTGATTCTATCTATCCATGAGCATGGGATGTGTTTCCATTTGTTTGTGTCATCTATTTCTTTCAGTAGTGTTTTGTAGTTTTCCTTGTAGAAGTCTTTCACCTCCTTGGTTAGGTGTATTCCGAAGTTATTTTTTGTTTGTTTGCTTTTGTTTTTTTGCAGCTATTGTAAAAGGGGTCGAGTTCTTGATTTGATTCTCAGCTTGGTCTATGTTGGTGTATAGAAGAACTACTGCTTTGTATACATTTATTTTGTATACGGAATCTTTGGTGAATTCTTATATCAGTTCTAAATAGGAGCTAATAAATGATTTAATCTTTCTGTCCTTTTTTTTTTACCTGCAAATGAAAGTAAGTATAATATCTACCTTATAAAAGTATGGTGATAATTAAACAGATTAATCACTTGGAACAGTTTCCACACATAGTAAATTCTCAACCTAATTTACTGTTAGCCATCCCTCTTTATTTTTCAGTAGGCTGGAGTGCACCTTCAGGATGCTGTTTCAGGGAAAATTTGTAAATATTTTATTTCCTGAGACATTACATATGTGACTGAATCTGTTGAAAGGCCAGACATAAAAAAGAGTTTGGCTACTTAAATATTTACAACATGTTTCTGTTATTTTCTTCTGGGAAAACAAACCATGAAAAACCACTGTATAATAGATCCTGGGGGTAGATTTACACCTGTGTTGTATGCCTCCTGCTATAGAAGATGAAAAAGCTAGAAAATGGCTTTCTCCATCTCCCTTGCATTTTGGGGATGCCAGATCTAGAGATCTGGTAAATGGCTTACAATAGAAAGACTGCCTGAGGCTCTTAGGCAACGTATCTCTCCTTAACAAGGGAGAGGGATAATTTAAGAAAGTTATGTCATCTACTTGCTACCCCTCTTTGGTTGGCAGAAAAATGATTCTCCCAAAGATGTAACTTCCCTAATCCCTGGGCTCTGTGGGGTTATTTTATATAACATCAGAAATTGTAAAACACTTAAAGTACTACATAAGTATATAGTGGTGCAATTCTGGACATTATCAATTGTGTTTATTCTCAAGACTGCATTGTGAACCACTGGGGAGAAGTCTGTTTTGTGTATCTTTTTTTGCTTACTGAGTTCACTGCAGATTCTTACACAGAGAAAGAGATTAATATACACTTTTTCAATTGCTGTTTAAATTAATGCCTTTTATTTTTTAGCACTACTCCAGGAAACAGCTTGACAGTGCAAGAATGTCGTATTTGCCATGTAAAACTTTCTATATTGTCGAATTAATTAGTCAATTAATGTTTTTACAATGGTTCATAAATGTTATTAGCTGATTAATTCTGGGTCATCATTTGCATAATGTTCACAAAATATACCTGTAACATTTGAGTTGTAAGTCAAACACCAACATCAGCACAGAGATATTTCACATTTTTAAAATAAATTAACTTATGTAGGAACAGTTAATCCTTGATGTCAATCAATGCTGCTTTTTTCCCTTAAGTAATTTAAAATATAATTTCCCCTTGGATTTTAAAAGCATTGAGATATGCCATATTGAATAAAATCAACTCTGCTTGGGAAAAAGAATGACACACTTCATATAGCCTGAGAATAATTTGCCATAGACTAATGTAGTTTCTCTTAGAATTCATCGCAATTCAACCTGAATATTATCAGAAAGAAAAATCTAATTCTGACATTAATTTAGAAGGCACAAGCTACTGGACTGAAAATCATTGCAGTGGAATTTATAAAGTGATAAACTGTCTTGAAAGTGAAATACATAGTGAAGAAAATCAAGAGGTATAATTATTCATATTTTTCTTTCTCAATAACTATGTTGCTTATATACCACATTTGTATAATTATCATCTCTGAAGCCATCAGAGGACTGTCCAGTACAGTTGATAAAGTTCATGAGTATGTTTCTTTCAGATGCATATGTGTACTGTATGTGCACACATCATATATACTTTTGTATCAGAGGATTATTATTATGGTGTTAGTTTATATTTTTACACTTTTACAGTTTATAAATGCTGAAACATACATAATCTACTTTGCCTTTTTTTTTTTTTTTTTTTTTTTTTTTGAGACGGAGTCTCGCTCTGTCGCCCAGGCTGGAGTGCAGTGGCGCGATCTCGGCTCACTGCAAGCTCTGCCTCCCGGGTTCAAGCAATTCTCCTGCATCAGCCTCCTGAGTAACTGGGACTACAGGCGTGCACCACCACACACAGCTAATTTTTGTGTTTTTAGCAGAGACAGGGTTCCACCATGTTGGCCAGGATGGTCTGGATCTCTTTACCTCGTGATCTGCCCACCCTGGCCTCCCAAAGTGCTGGGATTACAGGTGTGAGCCACCGCACCCAGTCTCTGCCTGCTTTTATTCTGGGTGGGCTGGCAGATGACTAGACTGTGGCCACCCAGATTGAGGGTGGGTCTGCCTTTCCCAGTCCACTGACTCAAATGTTAATCTCCTTTGGCAACATCCTCGCAGGCACACCCAGAAACGTCACTTTGCATCCTTCAAGCCAATCAAGTTGACACTCAATATTAACCATCACACTTTGTTTTATTCTTTTCACCTTTTTCTTATGACATACACAGAAAATATGCCTGACATATAAAACTTGGGGATTCATCACAAAGTTGAGACCATGCAACCACAACCCTACTCAAGCAAAAGAATATTGACAATACCCTGGAAACCTTTTGATGCTCTTTTCCAATCATTATCTCCTCCTTCCCACACAAAAATAATCTTTATCTAACTTTTATATGAAACCATTCTTCACTTTTTCATTATTTTAATATCTGGATTTTCTTCCCTAAATATTATAACTTACTTTTACTACTCTTTTGCTATAAATTAAAATGAAATAATATATATTCTTCTTTGTTTAGCTTCTTGTATATGCAACATTATGTTTGTGAGATGTAGCCATGTTGTTCTTTATTTTCAGAGTTGTATAGTACACTTGTAGCAATATGCCCATCTTTGTCAGCTTGAGGGACTGATCTAGTTTGTATATTTGTCCCCACCAAAATGTCATACTGAATTGTAATCCCCAGTAGTGGAAGTGGGGCCTGGTAAGAGGTGATTGGATCATGGGGGAGAATTTCTCATAAGTGTGTTAGTACTATTCCCTTGGTGCTGTCCTCGCAATTTTTGTGAATGAGATCTCCTGAGATCTGGCTATTTAAAAAGGTATAGTCCCTCCTCACCTTCCTCTGTCTTGCTCCTGCTTTTCACCATGTGATGTGCCTTCTCTCACTTCACCTTCCATAATGAGTAAAAGCTTCTTGAGACCTCACCAGAAGCCAAGCAGATGCTGGTCCCACATTTGTACAGCCTGCAGAACTGTTAAATGACTCAGTCTCATGTATTTTTGTAATAGCAACACAAGAATGGACTGATATAGGGGCTATAATAAAATATCATAGTCCAGGCTGTTTAAACAACAGAAATTTGTTTCTCACAGTTTTGAAGGTTGGGAAGTCCAAGATCAAGGTGCTGGCTGATGTGGTTCCTAATGAGGGCTCTCTTCTTTTGTTTCACAGAGTGGCCTCCTCCTTATGTTCTCAGGTGACCTTTCCTCAATGCTCTTTTTGCCTCTTCTTACATGGCCATAGATCTCATCTTAAGGGCTCCATTCTCACTGCCTCATCTAACCCTAATTACATCACAAAGACTCCAACTCCAAATACCAACCCACGGGGAGTTAAGATTTCAATGTATGAATTTTAGAGAAACACAGATATTGAGGCCATAACAATGCCATACTTTGTTAGCCACTTTTTCTATTCTAGTTTTAAAAATATTGCTGGTAAACATTCCTATTTATATTCAATGTTCTATACATGCATGCATCTCTGTTGTTATGAAATTACTTAGTAACAAGGTATGCAGTTCCTCAACTTCATTAGATAATGCCAGTTTTCCAAATTATCAATTTACGTATTTAAACAAATTTACATTCCCACCAGCAGCATATAAAATTTTTATCACTTTACAGTCTGGTTTTAATTTTAGCAATTCTGAAGACTGAGTAATGGCTTCTCACTGTGGTTTGAAATGGCAATATTCTCAGAGGTTAAACAACTTTTTATAGCTTACTTGCAATTTGGGTCACTCCTTTTGTGAGGCACATTTTGAAATCTCTTGCTTATTTTTTTGGGCTTGTTGTTCCTTTCTTAATGATGATATAATTTCTTTATATACCCTGTACATGAGTTCCTTGTTGATTATATGTAATGTAACATTTTTCACCCACTCATTGACTTGCCTTTTCTTTCTTAATTACTTAAAACAATAGAAGTCATCTCTCTCTCCTCTCTTTAAATCAACTTTATTAAGATACAATTTAAACCCAATGATATGAACACATCTAGTGTGTAACTCTCAAAGAAGTTTTAAGATATTATGCACCTGTGCAATACCACCAAAATCAAGACATTAATCACTTCCTTCATCCCAGAATGTTCATCCATTTCCCTTTGCGGTCAAACTCTTCCCTACCACCATCCCACCTTCATCACTTTGGGCAATTACTGATCTATTTCTGTCTCCAAAAATTAGTATTGTTCTTTGCAACTTAATATAGTTACACATATTTCTTTTGGGCAATGTTTGCTTCATTTTCTTTTTTCTAGCTTTCTTTTAATTCAAAATTTCTGCAGCCTTTCTTTTACATATGCCTTCTAACTCCACATCTAGTTGGAATATAAGAATATCATTTTTCATTACTTCTCTATTATCTGGAGTATTTACAGTAGTTACTCCTTCATTAGCTGTAAGGTTTCACATAAAAAAAACTGGAGATTCATTCTTCTTGTTGTTGGATTTAACTTAGTCGTATTTCTCAATCTTTTAATTTTTGACTAGAGCTTGCTATGTTTTATGCAAGAAAACTTTCCCTGTGAGTACAATAGCACTCCTTATCTGCATTTTCCATTAATTATTGAGAGAGAGAGAGAAAGAGAGAGAGAGATGCTTAAGTAGAGATGAAATTCTGGAAATTGTATCAGTATGTAATACTAGAAAATTTCTGTAATTAAAAAAAGGAGAACTGACCCATTTAGTTTATTTTTTACTGATGTCAGTACAGGAATCCTAAGTAAAAGAAAGTATTTTTAACAAAAATCATATAATATTCCTGAGTTCCCATTAGTTCCTTGAAGTAAAACCTTAGACATTTGAACCTGTTCTTTCATGCCTCCAGGTATAAGCATAAAAACTCCAGGTATAAACATAAAAATTCCCCTCGGAATTTTTATCTATTTTATATGGTTTAGCGGTAGCCAGTACGCAGATTTCCAGAGTGTTGATGTAAATGGTCAAAAGGGTCCAGGCAGACATAGCTGATAAGAATTCACCATTTTCCCTCTACATATTATGGGTTTACAGATTCCATCTCCAATGTTGGCAGATAAATCACTTACTGTGCATTCCAGCCAGTCAATTGCAAATATCTCATATTTCCCTCAATATATCTTTACAAATCTATACTCAATATCACCTAGAATTTTTCAGTTGCAAATAATATAAATTCATGGACTGATTTATGATATAATATAATAGGACTTTTAGTGTCAGCTCCAATATGTAAAGAGCTTAGAAGATTGCTATCCTCACAATAAGAAAAAAAGACTAAATCAACTGAAAATCAACAACTTTTCTTGGAGCCTTCAGAGAACTGAGGTTTCAGGGAAATCTGCTACCCTGAAATCTGGAAAGACAGGCAAATCCAGAGAGTCATAGCTAAAAACTACTTACCTGGAGCAGATGCCACTAGAATATTAAATGAGGAGAACACTTAAGTGGTAGATTTGATGGATTTCTGGAGGCAACTACAATGAGTTATCACCTCACTCTATTTAGCATGGCTGTTATTAAAAAGACAAAAAGTAACAACTACTGGCAAGGACGCAGAGAAAAGGAAATGTTTATGCACTGTTGGTGGGAATGTAAACTAGCATAGACACAATGAATAACAGTGTGAAGGTTTCTCAAAAAACCACAAATATAACTACCATAGGATCCAGCAAACCCACTATTGGGTATTTAATCCAAAGAAAGGAAATCGGTATATCAAAGAGACATCTGCATGCCCATGTTTATTGTAGCACTATTCACAATAGCCAAGATATGGAATCAACCTAAGTGTCCAACAACAGATAAATGGATAAAGAAAATGTGATATATATATATATGTATACACACACACACACACATACACACACACACACACACACACACACAATGGAATACTATTCTACCATACAGAAGAATAAAATCCTGTCATTTGTGGCAACATGGATGAAACTGAAGGACAACATATTAAATGAAACAAGCCAGGAACAGAAAGTTAAACACTGCATGTACTCACTCATGTGTGGAAGCTAAAGACAGTTGATCTCATAGAAGTAAAAAGTGGAACACAGGACACCAGAGACTGTGGAGGGTGAGGGGAAAAAAGCATAGGGAAAGATTTCCTAAAGGATATAAAGTTACAGCTCAATAGGAGGAATTCTAGCGTTCTATAGCATTGTAGGATGACAATAGGATAATTATTATAGAGTTTTAAATAGCTAGAAGGGGGATATTAATGTCGCCAACACAAAAAATTATAACTGTTTGAATTGATGGATATGCTAATTACCTGATCTGACATCCATACATTATATGTACCAAAGCATCGCTATGTACTTCATAAATATATACAATTATCATATATCAGTTAAAAATAAAGGGAGAAAAAGTAAAAATGAAAAATAAAGTTTCTAAACTGAATTTCAAAGTCAAAAATAAAAATTAAAAAGTTAAAAACAGATCCAAGATCTACAGCATAATTTCCAAATATGTAACTAATATATTAGGTTGGTACAAAAGTAAATGCTGTTTTGCCATTTTTTTAAAGTCTTGGCAAAAAACACTATTGCTTTTACACTAACCTAATATAAATAAAACTGGAATAGCAGAAAAAGAAAAACTTAGAATGGAGCAGGAGAAATATTTGATATAATAATAGACAAAACCTTTCCAAAAATAATGACAGATATCAAACCATAGATCTAGGAAGCTCTGAGAAAAGCAAATAGTATAAATCCTGCAGAATTACTCTTACACATATCATACTTAGATAGCAAAAAATTGAAGCCAGAGAAAATATTGAAAGCAGCTGGTGAGGAGGGGAACATCTTGCCTATAAAGGAACAAGGATAAAAATTACAGCAGACTTATCATCAGGAAATATGCAAGCAAGAAAGAAATGGAGTTGAAATAAAGTATTGAAAGAAAGAATCCCCAGCAATTTAGAAATCTATGTCCTACAAAATTATACTTTAAAAGTAAAGGAGATATCATAACTTTATCTGACAAACAAAACAGGGACTTTATGGTTACGAGATCTTCCTTTCAATAAACATTAAAAGAATTTCACTAGAAAAAGGAAAATGCTATCCATCAGAAACTTGGACCTGTTATACATGAAGAAAGGAAGGATTCGGGGGAAAGAATAAATGATGATAGATTAAGGTTTTTTTTTCCTATTCTTTATTTATAAGTTAATTATTTGTATGAAGTAATATTGGTAACAATGTACTGGGTGATTACAAAATATGGATAAGTGGAATGAATTGTAAGCAATGCCATAGGGATCAAAGTCTCAGGGACAGGTAAGAAGAATTAGGAATACTCTTTTATCATGTACCTGCCTTATATGTGAAGTGGCATAACGTTATATGTAGGTGGACTTAAGCTACCTAAAAATTCCTATTGGAAACTTTAAGGCAAACAATAAAAAAACTAAAAAGAGGACAGGCACAGTGACTCACGCCTGTAATCCCAGTACCTTGGGAGGCAGAGGTGCCAGATCACTTGAGCTCAGGAGTTTAAGACCAGCCTGGGGAACATGGCAAAACACCACTCCCATCTCTACAGAAAAAATACAAAAATTAGCTGGGCCTGGTGGCATGTGCCTGTACTCCCAGCTACTCAGGAGGCTGAGGTGGGAGGATCCATTGATCTCAGGGCAGAGAAGCGAGTTGAGGCTGCAGTGAGCCATGATCATGCCACTGCACTCCAGCCTGGGGCAACAGAGAGAGATGCTATCTAAAAACAAAAACTTAAAAATTAAAAAGAAGTGTAAGTGATATGTTAAGAGAACAGATAAAATATAATAATAGAAAGTGCTAAATTTAAATCAAGAAAGCATACAAAGGAAGGAGAAAAATGAACCAAAGAACAAATGCAATGAATAAAGAGGAGTTACAAAAATCGAATGTATTAACCAACTATATCAATACTCACTTTAAATAGTCGAAATAAACCAGTTAAAATAAAAAGATATTTAGAGTGAATATTTAAACTCTTTTGAATATAAAGCTTAAAAAGTTTAAAAGTAAAGGAGTGAGGAAAGAAATACCATGCTCATATTAATATGAGCAGTGCTGGAGTCACTAATTTCAGATAAAGCATACCTAAGAACAAAGAAAAGAGGGGCATTATATAATGATCTCTCAGTCATTTTCTGTGAAGACATGCAACCTTAAACATGAATATGCCAAACTGGAGAGTTTCAAAGTACGTGAGAAAA
Organism: Homo sapiens; assembly: GCF_000001405.40. Lineage (NCBI taxonomy): Eukaryota > Metazoa > Chordata > Mammalia > Primates > Hominidae > Homo > Homo sapiens. The sequence continues at coordinate 53,198,581 of NC_000017.11, read as the reverse complement.
AACTGATAGAATTGCAAAGACAAATTGACAAATCTGCTACCATAGTCCATGACTTCAACACCTTCTTTTTAGTTATTGATACATCAAGCAGGCAGAAAATCAGTAAGGATAGAGTGGACTTCAAAAGCACTACTAACTGGCTTCATCTAATAGACATTGATACCTGCATCCAACAACAGAATGCACGTGCTTCCAAAACTCACATGAAACATTCACCAACATGGATTAAATGAGCAATAAAATGCAACTTAACAAATGTTTTAAAAAAGAAAGCTACGCACATATGTTCTCAGATCACATTGCAATTAAACTAGAAATCAATAAAAGAAATAGAGAAGAAATGTATCCCACCAATAGTGTATAAGCATTGCCTTTGCTCCACAGCCTCGCCAACATTTGTTGTTTTTTGACCTTTTCTAATTGTTATTCTGATTGGTGTGAGATAGTATCTCATTGATGGGAGTTAGTTTCTCATCTCTGATGATTGGTGATGTTGAGCATTTTTTTATGTTTTTGGCCGTTGTATGTCTTATTTGGAGAGTGTCTGTTCATGTCCTTTGTCCATTTTTAAATGAGATTATTTTGTTTTATTCTTGTTGGTTTGTTTCAGCAGTTTGGAGATTTCTCAAATACTTAAATTGAACTATTATTCGACTCAGCAATGCCACTGACTGGTTATATACCCGAAGGAAAATAATTCATTCTATCAAAAAGACACATGCACCCATACGTTCATTGCAATACTCTTCACAATAGCATATACTTGGATTCAACCTAGGTGCCCATGAACAGTGGATTAGATAAAGAAAATGTGTTACATATACACCATTTAATACTACGCAGCCATAAAAAAGAATGTAATCATGTCCTCTGCAGCAACATGGATGGAGCTGGAGGCCATTATCCTAAGCAACCTAACACAGAACAAAAAACAAAATACTGCATGTTCTCACTTATGAGTAGCAGCTAAACACTGAATACACATGAACATAAAGACGGGAACAACAGACAGTGGGGACCACCAAATGTGGGGGCAGGGGGACATTGCCTAAAAAACCACCTGTTGAGTACTATGCTTACAGCCTGGGTGATGGGGTCTTTGGGACCCTAAGCATCTAACAAACCTGCATGTGTATCTTTAATCCTGTTAGCCATCTAACAAACCTGCATGTGTATCTTTAATCCATAAAAACAGTTGAAAAAAAAATCCAAGTCCATGGAAATTAAACAACATACTGCTAAATAGCACATAAGTCAAAGAATTTTCAAGTTAATTTTAAAAACTAATTTTGAGCTGAGTGAAAACAGAAAGACAACTTAAAAATAGCATGGGATACAGCAAAAGTGCTCAGAGATAAATTCATAGCATTAAATTTACATATTAGAAAATATATAACTAAAATAAAAAGCTTACGCTTCTACCTCAGGAAAAAAGCAAATGAAGAGAAATTTAAGTCTAATGAAAAACAGAATAAAATAAATAGTAAAATCTGATTCACTCAAAACGGAATGTACATGTTATATATTCTAAATATAAAGTGAAAACCTCCTAGAAGATAACATAAAAATTTCAGTGACCCTGGGTCTGGCAATGACTTTTAGACTCAACACAAAGATACAATCCACGAAACAAATAATTGATCAACTGAACTTCATTAAAATTAAAAACTACTCTGTGAAAGTTACTGTCAGGAGCATGAGAAGGCAAGCCAAGACGGGAAGAAAAAATTTGCAGATGATTTTATTTTCTATGCATAAAATTCAAATAAATGACCAAGAAAAATCCTGGAACTAATAAGTGAGTATAGAAGAGAATAAGAATGCAACGTTTATGTAACTCAATTGCATTCCTATATGCTAGCCCTAACGCTCAAGTCTTCTAGGGAAGCAAAGTGGGCCTTACAGGATGGGCATAGCTGGCCATGCTCCACTGCAGTTCCCACCCCTAACACTTCTAAGCAGTTCTCTCTGCCAGCTTAAGTGTTCACAGGGGCCATGGGATCTCCTGCTGCCAGGATTCCAGAAGTCCCTGCAAGAGCAGATCATTCCTCGCTTGTTCAACTTACTCCTTCCCCAGGAATCGCTGGGGGACAGGAAGGAATCCTGCTGCACAGTAGCCCCATGCAGAGTTCCCAGCTTCCTCTCCCTTCAGCCTAGTGTCTGTTTCCTCCCTCTGTCCACTCAATACCTTCCCTACAAAGATTTATTTGGAGTGTACTAGTCTTCCCAATGTCCCTGTCCCTCAGTCACTTGGTGTCAGATATTCCTCTGGACTGGGTCTAGTCCACCATCCTGCCTCTCTTCCCAGAGCTCTCTTGATATATCAAAGTGAGGCTTAAAGAAAGTATTCGGGAGGCTTCAGTGGATGGAAACAGGGTCCCTGCAATAGCAAGTTAAGTACAGTCAGAATAATAGATTTTTCAAGTAATAGCAGCAATATGAATGGTGGGCACATCTATCATCTGTATAATCTATTGCCTGTTTTAGATTTTTAGAAGATTATTTTTCTTTTCTGTTGATCATTTGGAGCTACATAAATAGAAGATACAAACTCTAGCACTACTATGGCTGACCATGTGACCACCAGGCAACTTGTTGAGCCTCTTAAGGCCTTACTTTGTTTCCTGTAAAGTGGATGAGGTATTAAAAATATGTTGACAACAGAAAAAGGTAGTACAGGTGTGATAGCAGTGTTGAATGCCTGACCCCACCCGCTCTACCCCACCCAACCACTCCTCTATAATTCCCCTTTTCTAGTTATTTTCTTATGCTCATCACCCAGCCACTGCTGATGCTTTGGAAAATGTCTTTATCTGCAGGAATTGCTCTTGGGTAGTTGAAGTCACCTCTCTGAAAGTTACCTGGGAGGTTGGCCACCTATCTTACTCCAAGGTGTCTGTGGTCAAAAACGTCTTGGGCAGTGAGTAAACTATAAAGGCCTTGCTCTCTTGCCTCAAGGAGGGACAGACTCAGGTTCAATTTATGTCTAGATACGTGCATGATTCCTTCCACTTCCCCTACCCCAATTCCTTTACTTGTTTATCTGTTTATCCTGAGAGCACACAACTAAAACATACAAAGGAATTCTGGAGATTTTGCTTCTAGGGAACCCAATCTAGGACAACATGTATCGTGTTTGGCATAGCATCTGCCAGGAAAGAAAAAAGAAAGCTAAATAACAGAGCCCCAAGCAGAACTGAGCCAGGAAGGCAAGTCTTTTGTTTGCTGATTTCATCCCTTTTCACTTACAGTAGACATCACAGAGCTCTTGAATAAAAACCTGCTTCTGAAGATAAGGGGCTGGGACAGAGTAGCAGATTCTTCTCTTTGCACTTAAAAATGTCTGCAAAATGTGTACAAGAAGAATTTTAAAGTTTATCTTTCAAATGCAACACACATAATTAATTTCTAGATGATATATCCAGTACTGTTTATTACTGGGATCTTACAGCACTCACCACCAGTACCAATGACAGCAACAAACAGACTTTTGGAAATACATCAGATCACAATTATGCAAACAGAAAATTGTAGTGTTTTTTCAGGCTTAATATTATAAACCTCATTTCTACAAACAGCTCAGCTGAAATAATGCTAAAAGCTATTAAATTTTACTTTGAAAGAGAAAAATCTATCAAAGTATACATTTTGATATGTACTTTCTCACCCAATAGTCAAGGCGAAATGGAATAAAATGAGAAGCAGCATGAGATAATGGAAATGTCAATGAATGTGGAGTCATAACACAGAATTAAGTATTTATTCTTAGATTTGCTGTTTGGAGGTTTCATAGTTGTATAAATTTGTCACAATTCTCTAAACTATATACTTAAGATGGGGGCAAAATTATGTATCAATAAAGTAGTATTTTAAAATAACCCTTACTTCCCAGTGTTTTTGTGGGAATTAAATAAAATCATGTGGCTTAGAACTCTCTGTAAAGCACACAGGTCTAAAAGTTGTTAATTACCACCCTGTAAACTGGTATCTTCTAGCCCTTCTTGTATACTTGTGGAATGGATTAATTCATAAAAGTTAATAATACATATGAAACTAGTTATTTTTCTCTGTTATCATTTGTCCTGGCATAAGTATAAAATTAATTTTGTCTTTGTAGGTAATGAAGCATCAATCAGAATTTGAGGATATGACTAACTGGTTGATTTCTATCTAGGTTAATTAATGAAAGCCAACTCCAGAGCTTTCTGGTTGGCTGTTATTTGCATGTATGAATTACTCAAATTAACCATTCCATATTAAAAATTAATTTTATATACAACTGCTCAAAGTTCTTATCTTTATTTCATTATAGTTTAATTTCAAAAAGCCATAGATAGATGCTTTAAATGGTTTCTAGAGTAAGGACAAACTTAGTCTTTTTCCTGGGCATCTGTTCTACTGCCTTCATTTATCATTACATGGTAAAACATCTATAGTGAAGGAGATTGCTTTGGAAAAAAGATTCATTTATTTAACATGTCTTAGTAAATGTTACCTTAATTAATTGTGATTCCAGGAAAAATAATAAATGTGATTTGACAGACTGGAATAAAGTTGACTTAGCCAATGAGAAACCTGAAGTTTATGCTGGCATATTTTTTGATATGGGTATTACATTTCAACTTAAGGTAATTCAATATGGGCTATTGTGATACTTGAAATCTTAGTGTTCAGATCCAGAAAATATGGTCTGTGTTATATTGTTATATATCACTTGAAAAAATATAATAATACAGTTCTAACATGGTAACATTCTCTAAATAATTATTCAAATTAAGCAGTTTCTGGTAAATCATGCAAACCAGTTATTTGATATTGTTTAGTAGGGGTGGACTACTTGCTAATAAATCTGATTTGACATGGTTTATGGTCAGTTGCCTTTTCCACAATTTTGCTTCCCCAAGATGGCACTTGCTTATATCTTGTTCGTTAACTGTGCCCTACGCTAGAAAAAAGACAGATATTTGGAGACGTCTAATAGTACCACGATAAGCCTTGACCCTAGTCAAATGTGCCCAATATAATGATTCTCAAATGGGATCTAGGAATCTAGGCTTACTTGAAGTACAACACTACAGGATAAAATGCCTCCCCAGAGCAGAAGATAAATGGTTCAGATGAGCCATTTCTGGAATGGTAAATGAGTCATGTGGTGTCAATCATTATGGTTACCATTACTAACCATATAAAATTAAGTATTGAAATATGATCCTCACAGCTTCTCTGTTTAATCTAAGTCACCAAAATAAACAAGAATGATTCCAGTGTAATGATGTGCTAATTTAGCAGGTGAAATGTAATCATAGCTAGAGATTGGAATGCTTAAAACGTGCCAGATGTGTCACACACATTAACACATTTCATGCTTACAACAGTTCTGTACAGTGATTGCAATGACTGTCTTCATTCTTCAGACAAAGAGACTAAGGTATTATGAGGTTGAGTAACTTGCCTAAGGCCACACAAATGCTAGATTTCAGGCATTGCAATTTTCATTCATGTTGTACTACTCTAGAACCCACCTTCTTAACTAATTAACCACCTACTTACACTATAGCGGCTTTCCATTTGTGGCGGAAAATAAGACAGCATGGACAAACCATTTAGGGAGGTAGAAGTGGTGATATAATAGTGTACCAGAGGGCTGTTCTCTAAGATTATTCTACTGATAGCTAAGGTATCGGAAATTATTTACAAAGAGAAGAGCTTTTAGAATGGATACAGCCAAAAAGAAAACCAGAATTGCAGTAACATAGGTAATTTGACAATGTATTATTTTATAATCCTGTGGTCTTTGGTGATATTATGATAAATCAAAGAAAAATGGCATAAAATTAAGAGAGTGTACTAGTGCATAGACTTTATATTAAAACTATGAATAATGATACAATGTTAAATTATGCCCTTTAAATTACAAATATAATAATGGCTTGAAAAAGATATTAAAGGGGTCAAAAATTATTGCTTCATTTGCAGTAGTTGAATGGAGAGTTCTGTTTAAAGTCTCTTAGAGAAGTAAGGATCATCAATATTGAGGGGAAATGTTAGTATGAGTTAAAGTAGGTATTGAAGGTAGAGGTAGTTGTAGTAGAAATAACATGAATGAAAAGCATAAATCAATACAATAAATAGTAATAAACAATCTTATTAAAAAACCCTTATTATAATAAATTTGTTTGATTTTTTTTTTAATTTAGGGAAATGTGGTGTTGTGTTTTTTCTGCTAGTTATATATCTCCCTGTAAAGGGTATATATGTCAGTCATGTTATTAATATATAAGTAAGAAAAAGTCAAAACAGGAAATGAAGAAAAAGCCAAGTCATTATTATTTTTACAAAAGAAACATCTGAAGCACAGTGAGGAATGATCAGCAGTGAAAAGTAGTAACACACAATAAGCAGACAGAAACAGGGCCCAGTATAGTCTATGAGATGGTTGACTAAAAGGTCTGATGAAGAGAGCTGACTGCATAGTTTAAACCTCTGTCTCTGGAAAGATAAAGCCCCCTAGTGATATAACTAATTATAACACAATGTTAATGAGGCATAATAGTGAAGATAGTGAACTAAGATGGAAGTCTAATGAACAATCTTTACTAAGTAAAAAGGGAGGCACTGAGGATGATGTAAACAGCAGGCAAGTATCTGACAGGAGACTTTCTTTACACATATATATTTATAGTTGTTCTCAAACTTTAGTGTGCATTAGAATCACTGGGAGGTTTATTAAAGCACAGATTTCTAGGTCCCACCCCAAGAACCTCTGATTCAGTATATCTGAGTTCAAAGGTAGATAATTTGCATTTATTACAAATAACGAGGCAATGCTGCTGCTGCTGATCCAGAGATCACATTTTGAGAGCCACTTTTCTATGCAAACTAGCAACCGTACTGTCTCATTCAGCTTCCCTAGGGTGCAGCTGATATATTCTTGAATGAACATCCCTAAGTTCTATTTTTTTTGTCAGTGTCACTCCAGGCACCACCATGGGGAGAGCCAGGTCAACAAAGTGTGCTCTTAAAACAGGAATGAAACAAGCACATACAGATTCCTCAAATCCCATCCTCTATACACTAACAAGGCAAGTAAAGAAATTTGAGTCAAGAAAAGATGAAAGTAATATTTTAGGGAGAAGATACAAAGAAGTTCCTCCTCTATCACTGTATTTGTAAGTGATGCCTAATTGCTCCATGTCTAGTGTGCTTTGGAGATGCACTGTGGTATCGTTTGGCTGTGTGTCCCCACCCAAATCTCACCTTGAATTGTAATAATACCCATGTGTCAAGGCCAGGACCAGGTGGGGATAACTAAATCATGGGGAAAGTTTCCCCATCCTGTTTTTGTGATAGCGAGTGAGTTCTCATGAGATCTGGTGGGGTTTTATTTTTTATTTTATTATTTTTTTTGAGACAGAGCCTCACTGTGTCACCCGGGCTGGAGTGCAGTGGCATGATCTCGGCTCACTGCAACCTCTGCCTCCTGGGTTCCAGGGATTCTCCTGCCTCGGTCTCCCAAGTAGCTGGGATTATAGGTGCCCACCACTGCGCACAGCTAATTTTTGTATTTTTAGTAGAGACAAGGTTTCACCATGTTGGCCAGTCTTGTCTCAAACTCCTGACCTCTAGAGATCTGCCCGCCTCGGCCTCCCAAAATGCTGGGATTACAGGTGTGAGCCACCATACCTGGTGATCAGATGGTTTTATAAGGGGCTTCTTCCTTCAGTCGGCACTGATTCTCTCTCCTCCCGCCCTGTGAAAAGGTGCCTTGTGCCACTATGATTGTAAGTTTCCTGAGGCATCCCCAGTCATGCTGAACTGTGAGTCAATTAAACTTCTTTTCTTTATGAATACCCAGTCTCAGGTATTTCTTCATAACAGCATGGGAACAGATTAATACTGCTTGTTAAGTTTCCTGCAGGTCCTGTGAATGTCTGTATATTTCTGTATGCTTTTATTTGCTTATTTCTCAAAGCACAAAGATTATTTGGTTGAAAACATCATAAAAGGGAGTGGGTTGCATTTGATAATCTCACTTTTTCTTTGGAGGGAAGGAAGTGAGTAGTGGGGATTTAATACCTATATCAATAGTGGGGATTTAAAACCTATATCACGAAGATTTGGACCAGAGACTTTGACCAGTTTGTGGAAGATGAGCAAATGTGTTGATGGGCACTGAGAAGGAAACCTACCCGGAGCCTCCAATTTTCACTTGCAGATTCAGGTGTATCTGTGCATGTCGAGAGGTCTGGTGTAGCAGTTCTGAAAATAGTCAATTTGAGAGACAGACCAGGTTATCCTCTGTAAGGAAAGTAAATCTAAGAAAAGTAGCTACTTGGACTCAGACTTACAGGACTGCTCCATTTAGTGGAGATACAGAGTACTTTTGGAGTCCTTCCTGAGACTGTTTTATGACTGTATGCTCTCTGAAACCTTAAGAACTCGAATCAGGCTGGGCATAGTGGCTCACGCCTGTAATCCCAGCACTTTGGGAGGCCGAGGTGGGTGGATCACTTGCGGTCAGGAATTCAAGACCAGCCTTGCCAACACGGCAAAAACTTGTCTCTACTGAAAATACAAAAATTAGCTAGACGTGGTGGGCATGCCTGTAAGTCTCAGCTACTTTGGAGGTTGAGGCAGCAAAATCGCTTAAACCCATGAGGTGGAGGTTGCAGTGAGCCGAGATTGCTCCACTGCACTCTAGCCTGGGAGACAGATCAAGACCCTGTCTTGAAAAAATGAATAAATAAATAAATAGAATTCAAATTCACATAAAAGTTCCTGAGAGCGCTTCTTTTACTAAAAAACCATGCAATGGATGGTGACTCTAAGGTGGAAAAAGGGCTTCCTTCCCACACCAGTAGGGAACACTGCATGATAAGGCCACGAGGAGAGTGCCAAAAGACTGCTGGGACAGCAGCAGCATGGCCTGCATCTTAGCACAGGGAAGAGTATTGACAGCAACTAAGAAAAAGATTCTGCTATTGATATTCCTGTCACAGACAGGAGGTCAAATGTCTTTGTTTGTGTACTATTCACAAAAGAATAGTCTGTGTCATGTTTTTGATTCAAGCACAGTAGAATACTTATGGTTTTAAAAACAAGACATACATTTGTTATATGTATGGGCTGTATTATAACACTGGTAACACCATGCTCTAATTGTTGATTTTTACCACTAGACAGTGAACTCCTTAAGGAGAAGGACTGGATTATGCATTTTTTTTTTTTTTTTTGAGACAGGGTCTTGCCCTGTCACCCAGGCTGGAGTACAGTGGAGCGCAAGCTCAACTCACTGCAACCTCCACCTCCTGGGTTCAAGCAATTATCCTGCCTCAGCCTCCCGCGTAGCTGGGATTACAGACATGTGCCACCACACCTGGCTAATTTTTGTATTTTTAGTAGAGATGGGGTCTCGAACTCCTGACTTCAAGTGATCCACCTCGGCCTCCCAGTGCTGGGATTACAGGTGTGAGCCACTGCACTCGGCCTGCATATCGTATCTTTATCTCTGAATACCTGACAGAGAGGCAGTGCTGAAATATATATTTGCATTAATGGGAAGAAATTAAATGTTGATTTATAACTCTGCATTCTGTAATATCTCAGACTGATTATTCTCCCTTATTACTTTACTACAGAAATTGTGAAACTGGTTTCAGGCTTGTACCTCTATCCAGGTTACATCAGGATGTTTTGTTCACTGCTACAGTGTCAATGACTAGAACACTGGATCGTCAATATAATTTTATTAGAAAGTATTCACAATCGAAAACTACAACTCCTTCATTGTTTCCCAAAAGTAAGGAAAATCATACAAAAATGTCATGTGTTCTATGTGAAAAATACAATGGATTATAGAGTTACAAATGCTCCTTCAGTTCCTCCCTTATTTCATTTCTAAAGAAAGACTATTCATTTATTTTCATAATTAAAATATATAATCAGGAACACTAAATACAAATAAAATGATTATTGTTTGAAGTTGATTCATTCCAAAATGTGTCATATTCCTGGAGGATTCAACAGAATCACCCACTATCAAATCAATTATTCTTTGATAACTATGCTACTCAATGGAGAATACAACTATGAAATGAAAACATTATGCAATTTATCATTAGTATATGAGGAACGATTTCTGTGTGTGTGAGAAATCTATTATGACTTGTCTTTATCCATGTTTCTCTACAGGGCAAGTTTATAAAATGTTGTCATCTGATACTTGCAGACAGCTATTATTTTATACTTCTGACAGTAACATAGTGACACTAATTTGGAAAGTTCTCTTTAACAATATTTCTCAAATATTATATGCAGATTATCTACAACAAAATTACATGGAGGTACCTGTTAAAAATTCGTAATACTGAGCTCCACTCGCAAGCACCCCACCTGCACCAGGAGTCTGCATTTTACCAATTATGTATTCAGAACAAACAACAACAAATTCTATTATATTTGGCTAATTGCATTCTGACCACTCAATACAGGCTGCATAGTTCATAGGAATTCAAAAGAAGCAAAGATCTGTGAGGCCTGGAGAGATGAGACACGAACTAGACCTTCACATTGTGTAGGCATTTCAGATAGGTGTTAAATGATAAAGCAAGTCAACAGCAAAGGGAGTGTTTGATGGGGTGAATGTATGCACAGATAAATTGATAAATAAATATGATCTGACTCATCCTAAATTCTCCTTCATACTAATCGCCCAGATATCAATATTTTTTCAGTGGGAAACTAAAATAGTTGCCTGGTATTTCATTGCACATTCGAAAATAGTTCTTTATGGGACAAAGTTGATAAGCTATTTAGAGTATCAGCCCATGAGACCTGGAATCTTGTCTTTCTTACTTAACTGCATATCATAGGTACTAACTGGCTGTTTAGATTATGCCATGGAATATAAGGTGGCATTCTAAGTAAAAGAGATAGAATGCGTGATTATAGGGCAATGGGAATGAGAAGACCCATTTTTAATTTAAACCAGTGTGCTTTGGTAACATGTATTTATGACACATCTTCTGATCATGAAGCACTTTCACTTCTTCAATCATTTGATTCTCACAAACGTCCTACAAATTATGAGTTAGTCTCTTTTTAAGTGAGAAAGCTTTTTACTTAAGCTCATATGTCCTAGAAAAATTGTAGTTTGACATGTTGTTGTTTATCTCCGCTTAGTAATGTCTGTTCACTTATAGTGTAGGTCCCCCTTATTTGAATAAAGAATGGACTCTGGTTGTGGAACACATTAAGAGTTAATTTATAAATCGAATATTTATTGAATTGCTAAGTGATCGGCCTTTGTAAACATAAATTTAAAGACTGGCTTCCCAGATCTCAGTTAAGACTTGACATCCGATAACAACCTCCGATTATCAATTATTTGACCCCAAATGCATTTTCTACTAAGTTTTCTCTTTGAGAAAGTAGTACTAGGGACTATTGTAGTAAACTTTATGAGAGACAATAGGCTTTGTTTGAGAGCAGTAGAGAGCACTCAGCCTGTCTTCTCTTTTTCACTATTTAAAACTGGGCTCATATCTTCTTGATCTCAAAAGCCTCTTCCTTTACCTGTTTTCCAGTCAATGCTCACAAACCAAAGAAGCTTAGTTGGAATCCTGATTCTGACTGTTCATCAGCTATATACATACTGGCTGTCCACATCTTTCTTGAAATTTTTGCAGAGGGTATAGAGTTTTAAGACAAATTGCTACTGAAGTTTTTCTTACCGTACATTTCAGAAAAGCTAATGAGGTTATTTACTACCACAGCAGTGTTGCTTCTAACTCAATCAGCTCTTCAGCCATAGGGTGAACAATGAGTGGTGAGTATTCTGAACTGATCCACTGGAGTCTAACCAGACAAGCACCCAAAAATAGATGATTAGTTTAGAGGTTCACTGTAAAAGAATACATAAAAACTGATAACAAAGAGGAAGACTAAGCTACTCCAAGTGCGACAAAATAACAAAGATGTGGGGCTAACAAAGCATTATATTTGGAGGGGGGAAAAGTATTTTAAAAATATCCAATTGTAAGCAAGTATAATGTGTGGCCACTTTGGAAACACAAGACTGTGTATTTGATATCTTGTATTTGACTTTGAGAATGAGGCAGTTACTAATATGAGTCCCCACATGCATAGCTCAAGGTATTATGATCCCCGTGTATAATGTTTAATAAATGGGAGTATTATAAATGAATTATTAAAGGGAGAATTCTTTAGAGGGTACATACTTTTGTAATATTTAATGTTTAAATATCAGGTAGGGAAAAATAGATTTCTCAAGTTGAGGATTTTAAAACAATGCTTTGCCTTTAAAAGCTCTTGTTCACCCAAGTCAGTCATTTCTCTTTGTGTAATACACAAAGACCCAGCCTGGGGGAGCATTGGGAGCAGTTTTACAGTTACAGCAAACTTTCGTGCATAGTGTTTCACAGATGAGTGTATGCATTCTGGAGAGATCATATTAGATTCATTTCTGAAGCACAGCTGACTCCCAATAACACAGAGCTCTGCTACTCACAAATTAAGAAATTATGATATAGAACGTTCAGGACTGCACTCAGCAACAAGCAGCACACAGTGCACTTCACAG